>NC_000005.10:140703659-141328659 GCF_000001405.40 Homo sapiens
CATATTCTATTGGCCAAACAGACCAACTCTGGTACAAATTGGGAAGAGACTACACAGAGTAGGAATACCAAGAGGGTGGGGCTCATCCTGGGGCTGTCTTGGAAGATGACTGCTATACTCTCTCGAAAGCTAAGGCTTTATAGAAATGAAGGCTTAACACTTCTAAAAAGAAGTTTACCTAAAAATTTGAGTTTCTTGGTTGAAAATGATAAGATCCTTAAAACCATATTTGACTCAGGTGCTGTTTCTTCCTGTTAGATATTACTGCAATGTCTGTGACTGTGTGGTGAAGGACTCCATCAACTTTCTGGATCACATTAATGGAAAGAAACGTAAGGCTTGGAGGTAGCTTGTGACTAGGGCTGGAATTGGGTTTTGGAGGTGGGGTGGAATGGAAGGGTAGCTTTTTTTTTCTTCTTTTTACTCATCAAAAGATGGCTGGAGTAAGAAGGGTAGTTTCTACTGGGCTCTTTTTTGATGCCCCTATTAGAACTCTCCAGTTGTTTCAGCACAGGCCGTCTTTTACTTCATTATGTAATATTTCTGGAGGCCGTGAGGTAAGAGGCCTCATTCTGGAGGCCATGAGGCTTTCAACAGCACCCAAACCATGTGCTGCTCCTGGACCCAGCTGGCCAAGGGAGTTTCTTTTAGCCATAATTATTTTTGCTGTGTGTTTTATGAGATGTCAGAGAAGTCAGGAAAATAATTTTTGAGGGGCTGAGGATGTTGTAATGAACTTGCCTTCTTCACTGTTGACCCTATGCAGATCAGAGAAACCTGGGCATGTCTATGCGTGTGGAACGTTCCACCCTGGATCAGGTGAAGAAACGTTTTGAGGTCAACAAGAAGAAGATGGAAGAGAAGCAGAAGGATTATGATTTTGAGGAAAGGATGAAGGAGCTCAGAGAAGAGGTAAGGGTCTCCTATCCTTCCCCTCTCCCCCAGATTTGAGTTTTATGTTATGAATCATGGGAGACCCTGTCCTCATCCCACTCCTACTCCCACCCCCAGAGTTGTATCTCCTGAGTTCTGTATATTAGCGGAAACATTTGTTGCCTTTGTTTAGGATTCTCATGATCTGAAGGAAATGGCTCTGAAACTACTTTTTTCTCCTAGACTCTCTGGGCCTTATTTTTTTTTTTGTAATTTAAAAAAAAATTTTTTTTTTTTTTGGTCATACAGATATTTCTCAACTTCTGATGGGGTTACCTACTGATAAACCTATCATCAAGTTAAAAATATCATAAGTCAAAAATACATAATACACCTAACCTACTGTAGTTTAGCCTAGCCTACCTTAATGTGCTCAGAACACATTAGCCTACAATTGACCCAAATTATCTAACACAAAGCCTATTCTATAATAAAGTATTCATCTCATTAATTTATTGAATACTGTACTGAATGTGAAAAACAATGGTTGTATGGATACTTGAAGTACAGTTTCAAATGCATGTCAGTTTTTCACCATTATAAAATTGAAAAATCTTGTCAGCATCATAAGTTGAGGACTGTCTCATCTGTATTCTTTGATTTAATTTTTTTAAAAGACTAAACTTTTTTTAGAGGAGTTTAGGTTTGCAACAAAATTGAGAGGGAGTTATAAAGATTTCCCATATACCCACTGTCCCCCACAACATGCATAGCCTCCCCCATAATTTTTTTTTTTTTTTAACTGCAAGAGGAATTAACTAAATGTACCTAGTCCTAAAGAGACCCATGAAATCAGGCTGACTGGGTCAAAATTCTGTTTCTTCCACTTACTGGCTGTGAATCTTGGGCAAGTTATATAACCTCTTTGTGCCTCAATATCCCCATATTAGAGATCTTAATATACATGAAGTACTCAGAGCAATTTCTGGCATGTACTGCATGCCCCAGAATGTTAGTTGTTGTTACAAACAACATTTGGCTGAGGAGTCTAAACTGATTCTGAGTGATTTTTCCCTCCAGGAGGAAAAGGCCAAAGCGTACAAGAAAGAGAAACAGAAGGAGAAGAAAAGGAGGGCTGAGGAGGACTTGACATTTGAGGAGGACGATGAGATGGCAGCTGTGATGGGCTTCTCTGGCTTTGGTTCCACCAAGAAGAGTTACTGAGGCTTTCTGTGCTTGGCCTGACTTTGGCCTATGCTGGACCTAACTTTGCGTGTGTGTGTGTGTAGTAGGGGGTCATTTCTTTTTGGGTAATGGGAAAGTTCTTAAGAGTGTCAATGGGGAGGGATAGAGGGTGGGGGCTCATGGTTTCCCTCTACTTTGGGAGAGGGCACAGATTGCAGAGGTAATGCTGTGGCATATTGCTTCTGCCTCAGTGTATCACTGGAGTCACAGGACCCTGCCCACCTGAGTTCCCAATAAAGAAAAACCTCCCCTTCTGAGGCTGCTTTCCCAAAACTCCCCCTGCATCTTTATCTCTTCATCTATCCCACCTCTTGTCTGAACATCCCACCTTTATCCTGTGTTCTGCCTTTGTTTTAATTTTAACTCATGTTCATCCTGCAACAGAAGCATTCTCTAGGTCCCAGTTTCCAGTTGATTGCATATCCTTGATCAGCCCTTTTTCCCATCCTGCCCTATGGTTCTCTAGCCACCTGTGCATGCATGTGTATTTCTGCCTGGTTCTATGGTGTGTGGATGTGTGTGCATGAATCTGTCATATAGAGGGGGTCCGAGCTGGAATCCTAGAGCATTGCTGCCCTGGGGCCTGATGTTCTTGGCTTCCTCAGAGCATGTAACAGGAAATTAAATGGGATGAGTGTTTGGTGTGGTTTGTGTCTGATGAGTTTTTTAACATTCAGGTGTAGATTGTTTCAGCTTCTCATGTTTCATTTTCCTGAAGATTTATGTTTTTGTCTACCTTGTGAGCAGGCTTTTGGAAGAACCTGTTTGATGCAAAAAAGAAAATGAAAAACAAAACAAAAAATCCCCAAAACCTTATTATGGGAGCCCGTCGGTCTTAGAAGCTGTTTGACATGTATAATAAATGGCATTGACTGGGCCTGTTTTACATTTGGTGAGAACATTCCATAATCTTCCCTGTGAATATTTGTTTTTCCTTCTCATGCTGAGGATTTCCATATAGAGTATTTTATTCTTCCATTTTAAATCTTATTTTTGCCTAGGTTTTTTTTTAGCATGAGTTATGTTTTCGTCTGATAAGGGATCTATGTCCAGAGAAGTCTGAACCAAAACGATTCCTATCATTTCAGACTCCTTTGATCTTTTGTTTTTGGAACAGCAGAGCTCAGGATTGAACATAATGTTTTTTCTTTTTTTTTTTTCTTTTTTTTGAGACAGTCTTGCTCTATCGCCCAGTCTGGAGTGCAGTGGCGTAATCTTGGCTCACTGCAACCTCCGCCTCCTGGCTTCAAGTGGCTAATATTGTATTTTTAGTAGAGATGGGGTTTCACCATGTTGGCTAGGCTGGTCTCAAACCCCTGACCTCAGGTGATCCACCTGCCTCGGCCTCCCAAAGTGCTGGGATTACAGGCGTGAGCCACTGCACCTGGCCCTTAGTGTTTTTCTTACTGTCTGCTAGACACAGAATTACTTAATTTTGGCACTGTTGAGATTTTGGGCCAGATTATCATTTGTTGTAGAAACCAATGCTGGCATTGTAGGATGTTTATTATTTTGATTTTGATTTAGGATTAACTTCATCCCTGGACTCTACCTGCTAGATGCCAGTAGCACCCTCTTCCACAATTGTGACAACTAAAAATGTCTATGCCTCTGAGAAAGGCAAAATCCCTCCCTACCCACATTGAAGACCACTAAGAAGAAGCTAGCTGTCTTCCCTACCTTGGTCTGATTTGAGAATTAGATGGCACAGACTGGCAAACTCAAAACAGAAACTCACAAAACTTTGATATCCACTGGATCAAGTACTATGCCAAGTCAAGGGGATGCAGAAGAAAAAAATAGCCATACATACACGAAGAACTACAGTCACATTAACTTCAAGCAGATGAAGCCTGTAACTTGCTGGTTCTATACCCTGAAAAAATGGACCTGTAAATGAATCTGTTTGGGTTAACAAGGCTGCCACCATATAGCTGGTTTTCATTCTCTGCCCCATCAAGCTCCTCAACTTTCTGTATTATCTGAACCACAAAGCACCATACACCTCCCTTTGGACTTTTGTACAAAATTCCCTTACTGTAAGACATGCCCTTTGTCTAATTTCTGATGCTGAATCTTGCCACTGGGAACACTGAATGTATCTTCACCTATGGGCTGAAGGCCTGGCTCAGTTTTAGATACAGTAAGTACTGGGCAACTGGGGGCAGATTGGTGCGTGCTTTCCTTGGCAGGATTATGTGCACTTCAGGTCCCTTGGGTGACAGTCTTCTTGTTGACTAGGTATTTTGTTACCCCTTTCAAGGCAGGCTGGAGGTTTGTGAGTTCCTTCCATGGTTCAGTTTTTTTTTTTTTTTTTTTTTTTTTTTGAGAGTGTCACTGTCACTCAGGTTAGAGTACGGTGGCACGATCTCAGCTCACTGCAACCTCCACCTCCCAGGTTCAAGTGATTCTCCTGCCTCAGCGTCCTGAATAGCTGGGATTACAGGTGGCCGCCACTATCCCCAGCTAATTTTTTTGTATTTTTAGAAGAGATGGCGTTTCACCGTGTTGGCCAGCTGGTCTTGAACTCCTGACCTCAAGTGATAGCCCTCCTCGGCCTCCCCAAGTGCTAGGATTACAGGCATGAGCCACCACCCCTGGCTTCATTCTTCAGGAAACCATCTAGTTCAATTTAGCTTCAAAGAATGTCTTTCCCTTTTTGGTACAGTGGGATCTTACCTCTGGTTGCATCTAAAAAGCAATTCTGAATTTAAGAATCTTTAAACTCTTGGGACTGGTTAAGTGGTTTGAGTCTCAAAGGGACCTAAGTCATGGAGTGTCTGGAGGTGCTCAGGGTGGCATCTTGGAAAAGTAAATGGAATGGAAATTCAAGAGCCCACAGCAATCCCAGATAACTCAGAAATCTCAAAGAGAAGCTGCTTTCAGGTCTTTTTTGAGACAGTCGCTCTGTTGCCCAGGCTGAAGTGCAGTGGCGCTATCTCGGCTCACTGCAAGCTCCACCTTCCTGGTTCATGCCATTCTGCTGCCTCAGCCTCCCGAGTAGCTGGGATTACAGGCGCCTGCCACCACGCCCGGCTATTTTTTTTTTTTATTGTATTTTTAGTAGAGAGGGGGTTTCACATGTTAGCCAGGATGGTCTTGATCATCTGACCTCATGATCCGCCCGCCTCAGCCTCCCAAACTGCTGGGATTACAGGCGTTAGCCACCGCGCCCAGCCTCTTTCAGGTCTTACTAAAACCAATAGAAATGTTTGCATTCTGGTTGAGTAATATCCACTTGACCAGTGCTTAGGTGAACATGCTGTAGGTACTGGTATTATCTTCTGGGGCAACGCATCAAAGTCCCAGATGTCATGGAATGTACATTCTGCTGGAATTGCCCTTCAGAGTACCTGGGGAACAAAAGATGATCCTTATTATTAAAGATGATCCTGTGGCTTCAGGCACCCTCAAGGCCTCTTGCATTTCCCCCATAACTTTCTCCAAATATGTGTGCAGATTCTTTAATCCAGCATATATTCTAACAACATACTTGTGTATGTGTACATATATGTACCAAGATGTGTATTACTGCAGCTTTATCTTAGTGAAACTTAAAACTAGTACATTTATACTTGAATATAATGCAGCTGTTACAATACAAGTGAATTAGATTTATACGCAGTGATCAGAAGGATCTCCAAGACATGCTGTTAGGTAAACAATATCCAACAACTGGATTCCCAGCAAGCCAAGAAAAATTACGTTTTGTGTACAGTTAAATAAACAGATTGAGGAAAAGGACTGGAAGGATACACATTGAAATATAAACAGTGGTTAATTGGAGAAAAGTAGGAATTTAGGGAAGAAAGGTTAGCTGTTTACAGTATACATAAAAGGAATAGATGTTCCTGCAGTATTAAAAATGGAAATAATTTTTAGGCCAGGCATGGAGGCTCACACGGGTAATCCTAGCACTTTGGGTGGCCAAGGCGGAAGGATCTCTTGAGGGCAGTTACAGGTCAACTGAGCAGCATAGCAAGATCCTGTCTACAGAAAATAAAAAATAAAAAAGGCCCGGCTCGGTGGCTCACACCTGTAATCCCCGCCCTTTGAGAGGCTGAGGGCAGCGGATCACTTGAGGTCAGGAGTTCGCGACCAGCCTGGCCAACTTGGTGAAAGCTCTTCTCTACTAAAAAATATAAAAAGTAGCTGGGTGTGGTGGCGCATGCCTGTAGTCCCAGCTACTTGGGAGGCTGAGACACGAGAATCGCCTGAACCCGGGAGGTGGAGGCTGCAGTGAGCGGAGGTAGTGCCACTGCAATCCAGCCTGGGCAACAGAGTGGAGACTCCGTCTCAAAAAAGAAAAAGAAAAAGGAAAAAAAATTTGGCCAGGTGCGGTGGCTCACGCCTGTAATCCCAATACTTTGGGAGACTGAGGCAGGTGGGTCATGAGGTCAAGAGACCGAGAGTATCCTGGCCAACATGGTGAAACCCCATCTCTACTAAACATACAAAAATTAGCTGGGCGTGGTGGCGTGCGCCTGTAGTACCAGCTACTCGGGAGGCTGAAGCAGGAAAATCGCTTGAACCCGGGAGGCGGAGGTTGCAGTGAGCCGAGATCCTGCCGCTGCTCTCCAGCCTGGCGACAGAGCAAGACTCCGTCTCAAAAAAAAAAAGAGGAAAGAAAAGAAAAAAAAAGCCAGAAAAAAAAGCTCACGCCTGTAATCCTAGCACTTTGGGAGGCCGAGGCGGGCGCGTCACTTGAGGTCAGGAGTTTGAGACCAGCCTGGCCAGCATGGTGAAACCCTGTCTCTATTAAAAATACAAAAATTAGCCAGAAATCGCTGGAACCCGGGAAGCGGAGGTTGCAGTGAGCCGAGATCGTGCCACTGCACTCCAGCCTGGGCAACAGAGCGACTCCGTCTCAAAAAAAAAATTAGTTGGGCATAGTGGCCTGTGCCTGTAGTCCTAGCTACTCGCGAGGCTAAGAGGGGCGTATTGGTTGAGCCTAGATGGAGCCAGTGCACTGCGGCCTGGGTGACAGAGGGAGATTCTGTTTCTAAAAAAATTAAAAAGAGTAACAGGAAGTTTCACTGGGCGGGGGTTGGAATGTTTATCTAGTTTAGCAGCGAAGTTCTAAGATAAGGTCTGAAATACAATTTACACCTTGTAAAGACTCCACTCCCCTGGCCCAAGCACTAGTTGTAAAAGTCGATTTGATCACGAAGTGACCCTGTGTGGTTGTTTTGGGAGCGCAGAGTCTGGAAGCGAAGGAGGTGGGGGCGTTTCGAGAGTTGTGGACCAGGTGACTGCTGAGAAGGAGACAGTAAACCGGGGACACACCTGCGGAAGAGCTCTTCAGGGATTAGGAAAGGCTACGTCCTTGTCACTGCTGTGTGTCCCCAGATGGACAACTCCTCAATTGTCTGGAGGTCGGGGGCGTGTTGGACAGTCCTGGTCGCTGAGTCATGCTGAAGCACTCTCTTTTTGACTCACTCTTTGTGACGTAGGTCTTTCTCACCAGTCAATAAAATATAATCCGAAAGCAACCTCCGGGCTGGCTTTAGCTCAGCGGTTACTTCGACAGTTCTTTAATTGAAACAAGCAACCTGTCTGGGTTGTTCGAGACCCGCGGGCGCTCTCCAGTCCTTTTACCTCTCTGGGCGGTTCGAGACCCGCGGGAGCTCTCCAGTCCTTTTCACTGCTGAAGTTCAGCTCCCTTTCCATGGTAAAAGGAATCAGGGCTCCTCGGAGAAATGGCTGATTTTAGTACTGGGCAGGAAATATAGAAATGGACGTGGAGCATCTCATAGAGCTAGAAAGTAAGGAAATGCTTAAAAACCAAGAACAACCAAACTCAACTTTTAAAGTTTTTTCAATGTTTAGTATGTTCATGTGTTTGTTCTAACAGTTGCCTGTATACTTGTATCTTCTCGCCCTTTTTTACTGAGGCCCACAGGATTTTTTTCTTTCAAATCTAATGGATGTTCTAAGATATACCTTAGACTTGATCATTCCATATAAGTTTTCCTAGGTTTCCTTTCGATATGTAGACCCAATTTTTTTTTATTATAGTTTTGAAGATTACATCGGTTCCATTATTTTATTCTTCTTCAGGGACTGCAATGTATGTTGGATCTTTGCCTCTATACCACTTTCTCTCTGATCCTTTGAATTGCTTTCTTGATTTTATTTTTATTTTATTGGCTGTTTTAATGCCTTTCCTCAATACCAGTTATTATATTTTAAGTAAAAGTTTTTCCTCTTTGGAAAAGCTTTCCTTATGATTTAGTTTTCTTTTCAGAGATTTTTTTTCTTCCATATCTCCTGCTTTTTTACAAACTGCTTATTTTGTTCTTTGTCCATTTCTGTTCTGAGTTATTTTTCTGATTCATGGCATTTTTTTCATGTTACCAAATGATTGCTTAAGGTTATCTAATTTAGGTTGAAGTACTGTGTTTCAGTTTTCTGGTTTCATGGTTAGTTTTCAAAAAAATATTGATTTTCACTTAACCTTTTTCTATATACCATGTCTGCAATTTTCTGTGCATTTTGAAATATTTTATTTTCCAGTTTCAGCAATTACAAATGAGGCAGTAGTTTGGGTGCCTTACCAGCTTTCTTACTTGAAGAGTGCCCTCTTATTTTTGTTTTCGTTTTTTTTTTTTTTTTTTTTTTTGAGACAGAGTTTCTCTCTTGTTGCCCAGGCTGGAGTGCAATGGCGCGATCTCGGCTCAGTGCAACCTCCGCATCCCCGGTTCAAGCGATTCTCCTGCCTCAGCTTCCCAAATAGCTGGGATTACAGGCATGCGCCACCATGCCCGGCTAATTCTGTATTTTTAATAGAGGCGGGGTTTCACCATGTTGGCCAGGCTGGTTTCGAACTCTTGACCTCAGGTGATCCACCCACCTCAGCCTCCCAAAGTGCTGGGATTACAGACATGAGCCACTGCGCCTGGCTGGAGTGCCCTCTTTTGTTGGTAGAACAAAATGCATTTTTCCCCCAAATAGGAAGCCCTTTTTTGGAGAGTGGAGCACAGGCTGATATCTTGTGATTTTGTGATTTTCTTTTATATCTCTGAGACTCTTAATTTTCTTTTTCTTTTTGAGACAGGGTCTGTCTCTGTCTCCCAGTCTGGGGTGCAGTGGCACCATCTTAGCTTTGCAACCTCTCCCTCCTGGGATCAAGCGATCCTCCTGCCTCAGCCTCCTCCAGAGTAGCTGGGACCACAGCTGTGCACTACCTCACCCAGCTTTGTATTTTATTTTATTTTTATTTTATTTTATTTTTGTAGAGATGGGGGTCTCGCCATGTTGCCCAGGCTGGTCTCAAATTCCTGAGATCAAGATCCGCCCACCTCGGCCTCACATAATGTTGGGTTTAGAGGAGTAAGCCACCGCACCTAGACTGGTACTGTTATTCACTGCTTGCTTCCTTTCTCTTCACCGTGAAGCCCTGAAGGGGTACCTCCCCTTCAAGTCACCTCTTTCCTCCTGCCTTTGCAACACTGCCATTACCAGTCTCAAACAATTTCACCCCCTTTTAAAATACGTCTCAGTTCTTGCATCTACCAGATCTCAGACATACTGTCAGCATGTCTCCACTCAAGATGGGACTCTCTTTTTCTGGTGGTGGTTTAGCCTTTCTGTGCCATCTTGGCATCTCTTCTAGAGCATGGCTCTGTAACTGGATCTGCTGGTTTTGGATGTATATATCTGCTTTTATATAAAATGGGGTTTATAATTTTCTCTGTCTGTAAATTATGTTGTAGCCATAGATGGTTTTATTTGTTCTCCTTAGTTTTTTTTTGTTTATAGGATGTGTGAAGAGATTCAAATTTAGGTAACTGGCATTATTCTATAGGAATCTGGGAGCCAGAACATTTGTTTTTGTTTTCCATAAAAATTTTTAATTGTGGTAAAATACACAGAACATAAAATTTGGCATATGAACCATTTTACACCTTTTTTTGGTCTTTTTTTTCCTTTTTATGGAGAATGGGGTCTCACTATATTGCCCAGGCAGATCCCAAACTCCTGGGCTCAAACTATCCACCCACCTCTGCCTCCCTAAGAGCTGGGATTACAGGTGTTAGCCACCATCCCCAGCCCATATGAACCATTTTGAAGTGTTCAGTTCAGTGGTGGTAGGTACATTCACACTATTATGCAATCGTCACCACTATCCATCTCCAGAACTCTTCATCTTTCAAAACTGAAACTCTATACCCACTAACTCTCCATCTCCCTTCATCCCTAATCCCTGGCAACTGCCATTCTGCCCTCAGTCTCTATAAATTTGACTACTCTAGGTATCTCATAGAAGTGGAATCATACAGTATTTGTCTTTTTGTGACTCATTTATTTCACTTAGCACAATGTTCTTTTTTTTTTTTTTTTTTTTAGAGGGAGTCTCATTCTGTCACCCAGGCTGGAGTGCAGTGGCATGATCTCGGCTCACGGCAACCTCCGCCTCCCAGGTTCAAGTGATTCTCCTGCCTCAGCCTCCCAAGTAGCTGGGATTACAGGCACCCACCACCACACCTGGCTAATTTTTGTATTTTTAGTAGAGATGGGGTTTCACCATGCTGACCAGGCTGGTCTCGAACTCCTGACCTCAGGTGATCTGCTCACCTCGACCTCCCAAAGTGTTGGGATTACAGGTGTGAGCCATCACGCCCGGCCAGCACAATGTTATTAAGGTTCATCCATATTGTATCATGTACCACAATTTTGTTCTTTTTTAGAAAGGATAAATAATATTCTATTGTATGTGAATACTACAGTGGAATATTATGAAAATGGAATATTTTGTTTAGCCATTGTCCGTCAATGGACATTTGGGTTGTTTTGACATTTTGGCTATTATGAACAATGCTGCTAAGAACATAAGTGTACAAATATCTGTTTTAGTTTCTGTTTTCTTTTTTTTTTTTTTTGAAACGGAGTCTTGCTCTCTCCCCCAGGCTGGAGTACATTGGTGTGATCTAGGCTCACTGCAACCTCCACCTTCTAGGTTCAAGTGATTCTCCTGCCTCAGCCTCCTGAGTAGCTGGGATTACAGGCGTGTGACACCAAGCCCAGCTAATTTTTGTATTTTTAGTAGAGACGGGGTTTTACCGTGTTGGCCAGGCTGGTCTCGAACTTCTGACCTCATGATCCACCCACCTCAGCTTCCCAAAATGCTGGAATTACAGGCATGAGCCATCGTGCCCGGCCTAGTTTCTGCTTTCAATTCTTTTGGATATATACCAGAAATGGAATTGCTGGACTATATGGTAATTCTATTTTTAGTTATTTAAGTAACTGCCATACAGTTTCCCATAGCAGCTATATCATTTTACATTTCTACCAATAGTTCAGAAGGGCTTCAATTTCTCCACATCTTTACTAACATTTATTCTGCCTCTCTCTTTCTCTGGGTGTGTGTGTGTCATTGATAGTAGCTATCCTGAAGAGTGTGAGGTTGTATCTCCCGTGGCAGCTTATTTGATTTTAATCTTTCTTAATCATTAGTGTATTTAAAACTCCAAGTTTGCCTTTACGTACTGCTTAGTTGTAGTACACAAATTCTGTCATGTAGTGTTTCATTCACTTCTAAGTATTTTTTAAGCAGAGTCTGATCTAGTAATATGTGATTTAGTTTCCAAACAAGTGGGATTTTATTTTAGCTATCATTTTTACAAATGTTAATTCCAGGATGCATTGTAGTAGGAGAACATTGTCTGAATGGGATTGGATATTTGGAATTTATTGATGCTTCCTTTATGGCCTAATGCATGGTCTATTGTTGTGTTACATGTATATTAAAAAAGAATGCCTGATTATTTTAGATCTACATATTTTTAAAATTGTTTTTTAGCTCATTCATATCCATACTATTTTCAGGTCTATGTGATCTACAGTTCTTAGAGATGCATGTTAAAACATTTCCAACTACAATTGGTGATTTATATGTTTTTTCCTATTTATTTGACATAGTTGGAGATTGTATTGTGGATGCATGTATGCTTATGATGATTATATCAATTTTCTACTGTTTACTAATTAAACATTTTAAAACTGTGAGGCATAACATACATGCAGAAAGTTTATAAGATATATATGTAGATTTAAATAAATACTTATAAAATGAATCCATATATTCACTACTATATAATCCATATAATCACCACTAAGGATAAGAAAACGTTGCCAACCGGGCGCGGTGGCTCACACCTGTAATCCAAGCACTTTGGGAGGCTGAGGCGGGCGGATCACCTGAGGTCAGGAGTTCAAGACCAGCCTGACCAACATGGAAAAACACTCTCTCTAGTAAAAATACAAAATTAGCTGTGGTGGTGGCGCATGCCAGTAATCCCACTTGGGAGGCTGAGGCAGGAGAATCGCTTGAACCCGGGAGGCAGAGGTTGCGGTGAGCCGAGATCGCGCCATTGCACTCCAGCCTGGGCAACAAGAGAGAAATTCAGTCTCAAAAACAAACAAACAAACAAACAAACAAACAAACAAAACAAAACAAAAAAACTTTGCCAACATTCCAGAAACCCTGTATCTCTCTTTTGATTTTCACAACCCCTTCACTTTTGGAATTAACCATTCACCTGATTTTTATTTTATTTATTTTATTTTATTTAGAGAAGAGGGTCTTGCTATGTTGCCCAGGCTGCAGTACAGTAGCCATTCACAGGTGTAATCATAGCGGGCAACAGCCTTGAACTCCTGGGCTCAAGTGATCCTTCTGCCTCAGACTCTCAAGTTGCTGGGACTCTAGGCATGCACCATTCTGCCCAACTCCATTTACCTGATTTTTATTGATTTATTATTATTACTGGTATTATTTTTGAGACAGAGTCTTGCTCTTTCACCCAGGCAGGAGTGCAGTGGAGGTATCTCAGCTCACTGCAACCTCCGCCTCCTGGGTTCAGGTGATTCTCCTGCCTCAGCCTCCTGAGTAGCTGGGATTACAGTTGCCCGCCACTAGGCCCGGCTAATTTTTTTTGTATTTTTAGTACAGATGGGGTTTCACCATGTTGGCCAGGCTGGTCTTGAACTCCTGACCTCAAATCATCTGCCCACCTTGGCCTCCCAAAGTGCTGGGATTATAGGTGTGAGCCACTGCGCCCAGTCTCATTCTTCAGGAAAACATCTAGTTCAATTTAGCTTCAATTTAGCTTCAAAGGATGTCTTTCCCTTTTTGGTACAGTGGGATTTTACCTCTGGTCACTTCAAAAAAGCAATTCTGAATTTCAGAATCTTTAAACTCTCTTGGGACTGGTAAGTGGTTTGAGTCTCAAAGGGACCTAAGTCATGGGGTGTTTGGAGGTGCTCAAGTTGGCGTCTTGGGAAAGGAAATGGAATGGAAATTCAAGAGCCCACAGCAATCCCAGATAACTCAGAAATCTCAAAGAGAGGCTTCTTTCAGGGGTTTCTAAAACCCTTTCTAAAACCAATGGAAATGTTTGCATTCTGGTTGAGGAATATCCACTTGACCAGTGCTTAGGTGAACATGCTGTAGGTACTGGTATTATCGTCTGGGGCAATGCATCAAAGTCCCAGATGTCATGGAATGTACATTCTGGTGGAATTGCCCTTCAGAGTACCTGGGGAACAAAAGATGATCCTTATTATTAAAGATGATCCTGTGGCTTCAGGCACCCTCAAGGCCTCTTGTATTTCTCCAAATATGTGTGCAGATTCTTTAATCCAGCATATATTCTAACAACATATTTGTGTATGTGTACATATATGTACCAGGATGTGTATTACTGCAGCTTTATGATAGTGAAACTTAAAACTAGTACATTTATACTTGAATATAATGCAGCTGTTACAATACAAGTGATTTAGGTTTATATGCAGTGCGTGGAAGGATCTCCAAGACATGCTGTTAAGTAAACAATATCCAACAACCAAGATTCCCAGCAAGCCAAGAAAAACCTTATGTTCTGTGTACAGTTACATATACAGATTGAGGAAAAGGACTGGAAGGATACACATTGAAATATAAACAGTGGTTAATTGGAGAAAAGTAGGAATTTGGGGAAGAAACATTAGCTGTTTACAGTGTACATAAAAAGAATAGATGTTCCTGTGGTATTAAAAATGGAAATAATTTTTAGGCCAGGCATGGAGGCTCACACGGGTAATCCTAGCACTTTGGGTGGCTGAGGTGGAAGGATCTCTTGAGGCCAGTTCCAGGTCAACCTTGGCCACATAGGAAGACTCCGTCTCCGACAACAACAACAAAAAAGGCTGGGCCCGATGGCTGAAGCCTGTAATCCCAGCCATTTGGAAGGCCAAGTCAAGTGGATCACTTGAGGTCAGGAGTTCGAGACCAGCCTGTCCAAAATGGTGAAACCTCGCCTCTATTAAAAAATACAGAAATTAGATGGGTGTGGTGGCGCGTGCCTGTAGTCTCAGCTACTTGGGAGGGAGAGGCATGAGAATCACTTCAACCCGGGAGGCGGAGGCTGCAGTGAGCTGAGGTGGTACCACTGCAGTCCAGCTTGGGCAACAGAGTGGAGACTCCATCTCAAAAAAATAAATAAATAAAATAAATAAATAAATGAAAAGAAAAGAAAAAACATTAGTTAGGCATGGTGGCCTATGCCTGTAGTCCTAGCCACTCGCGAGGCTAAGAGGGGCGTATGGGTTAAGCCTAGATGGGGCCATTGCACTCCAGACTGGGTGACAGAGGGAGAGTCTGTCTCTAACAAAAAAAATTTAAAAAGCATAACAGGAAGTTTCACCTGGGCCGGGGTTGGAAGGTTTATCTAGTTTAGCAGCGAAGTTCTAAGATAAGGTCTGAAATACAATTTACACCTTGTAAAGACGCCACTCCCCTGGCCCAAGCACTAGTTGTAAAAGTCGATTTGATCACAAAGTGACCCTGCGTGGTTGTTTTGGGAGCGCAGTGGCTGAAGGCGAAGGAGGTGGGGGTGTGTCGAGACTTGTGGACCAGGTGACTGCTGAGAAGGAGAAAATAAGCCAGGTACACAACTGCGGAAGAGCTCTCCAGGGTTAGGGGAAGGCTGTGTCCTTGTCACTGCTGTGTGTCCCTGGCTGTACACTCCAATTGTCTGGAGGCGGTGGCGTGTTGGACAGTCCTGGTTGCTGAGTCATGCTAAAACACTGTTGTTTTGACTCACTTTGTGACGTAGGTCTTTCTCACCAGTCAAGAAAATATAATCCGGAGATAGCCTCTGGGCTGGCTTTAGCTCAGCGGTTACTTCGAGTACATTGTAACCACCTCTCTGGGTGGTTCGAGACCCGCGGGTGCTTTCCAGCTCTTTTACTGCTGAAGTTCAGCTCCTTTTCCATGGGGAACCATGGAGAAATGGCTGATTTTAGCACTGGGCAGGAAATACAGAGATGGACAGGGTGCATCTCACAGTGCTAGAAAGTAAGGAAGTGCTTGAAAACCAAAAACAGGCCGGGCGCGGTGGCTCATGCCTGTAATCCCAGCACTTTGGGAGGCCGAGGCGGGCGGATCACGAGGTCAGGAAATCAAGACCATCCTCGCTAACCCGGTGAAACCCCGTCTCTACTAAAAATACAAAAAAATTAGCCGGGTGTGGTGGCGGGCGCCTGTAGCCCCAGCTACTCGGGAGGCTGAGGCAGGAGAATGGCGTGAGCCATTCGGGAGGTGGAGCTTGCTGTGAGCCGAGATCGCGCCACTGCACTCCAGCCTGGGCGACAGAGCAAGACTCCGTATCACAAAAAAAAAAAAAAAAAGAAAAAAAAGAAAAGAAAACCTAAAACAACCAAACTCTTAACTTTAAAAATATTTTTCAATGTTCAGTAATGTTCATGTGTTTGTTGTAACAGTTAATTGTATACTTGTATCTTCTCATCCTTTTTGCCTGAGGCCCAGAGGAGTTTTTCTTTCAAATCTAATGGATGTTCTAAGAGATATCTTTTTTTTTTTATTGGCTGTGTTAATACCTTTTCTCAATACCAGTTATTATATCTTAAGTAAAAGCTCTTCCCTTTGGACATCTTATAATTTAGTTTTTTTCTGATTTTTTTTCCTTCTATTTCTCCTGCTTTTTTACAAACTGTTTTCTTAGTTATTTTGTTCTTTGTCTATTTCTCTTCTGAGTTATTTTTCTGATTCATGGCATTTTTTTCATGTTACCAAATGATTGTTTAAGGTTATCTAATTTAGGTTGGAGTACTGTGTTTCAGTTTTCCGGTTCCATGGTGAGTTTAAAAAAAATACGGACTTTTGGCTGGGCTCGGTGGCTCACGCTTGTAATCCCAGCACTTTGGGAGGCCGAGGCGGGCGGATCACGAGGTCAGGAGATCGAGACCACGGTGCGACCCTGTCTCTACTAAAAATACAAAAAAATTAGCTGGGCGTGGTGGCGGGCGCCTGTAGTCCCAGTTACTCAGAGAGGCTGAAGCAGGAGAATGGCGTGAACCCGGGAGGCGGAGCTTGCAGTGAGCCGAGATTGCGCAACTGCACTCCAGCCTGGGCGACAGAGCGAGACTCCGTCTCAAAAAAAAAAAAAAAAGTATGGATTTTCACTTAAAATTTTTCTATATAATATGTCTGCAATTTTCTGTGCATTTTGTAATATTTTATTTTCCAGTTTCAGCAACTGCAAATGAGGCAGAAGTTTGGGTGCCTTACCAGCTTTCTTAGTTCAAGAGTGCCCTCTTTTGTTGGTAGAACAAAATGCATTTTTCCCCGAAATAGCCCTTTTTTAGAGTGGAGCACCGACTGATGCCTTGTGATTTTGTAATTCTCTTTCATTTCTGTGGGACTCTTAATTTTCTTTTCTTTTTCTTTTTCTTTTTGAGACAGGGTCTATCTCTCTCTCCGAGACTGGAGTGCAGTGGCGCCGTCTCAGCTCACTGGAACCTCTGCCTCAAGCAATCCTCCTGCCTCAGCTTCCTCCTGAGTAGCTGGGACCACAGGTGCGCGCTACCTCGCCTGGCTAAATTTTGTATTTATTTAATTTTATTATTTTATTTAATTTTAATATTTTTGTAGAGACAGGCATCTTGCCATGTTGCCCAGGCTGGTCTCGAGTTCCTGACCTTAAGATATCCGTCCTCCTCAGCATCCCATAATGTTGGTTTACAGCAGTGAGCCACCGCACCCAGCCTGGGACTCTTACTCATTGCTTGCTTCCTTTTTCTTCACCATCAAGCCCTGAAGGGGTACCTTCCCTTCAAGTCGCCTCTTTCCTCCTGCCTTTCCTCTTGCCTTTGCAACATTGCCATGGCCAGTCTCAAACAATTTCACCCCCTTTTAAAATCTGTCTCAGTTCTTTCATCTACCAGATCTCGGACGTATTGTCAGTATTTCTCCACTCAAGATGGGACTCTTTTTCTGGTGGTGGTTTAGCCTTTCTGTGCCATCTTGGCTTCTCTTCTAGAGCATGGCTCTGTAACTGGATCTGCTGGTTTTGGATGTATATACCTGCTTTTATATAAAATGGGGTTTATAATTTTCTCTGTCTGTAAATTATATTGTAGCCATGGATGGTTTTATTCGTTCTCCTTAGTTTTGTTTGTTTATAGGATGTGTGGAGAGATTCAAATTTAGGTAACTGGCGTTATTCTATAGGAATCTGGAAGCCAGAACGTTTGTTTTTGTTTTCCATAAAAAATTTTAATTGTGGTAAAATACACAGAAAACAAAATTTGGCATATGAACCATTTTAAAATGTTCAGCTCAGTGGTGGTAGGTACATTCACACTGTTATGCAACCATCACCACTATCTATCTCCAGGAACTCTTCATCTTTCAAAACTGAAACTCTATACCCATTAACTAATAACTCTCCACCTCCCTCTATCTCTAATCCCTGGCAACTGCCATTCTGCTTTCCGTCTCTATAAATTTGACTACTCTAGGTATCTCATAAAAGTGGAATCACACAGTAGCTGTCTTTTTGTGACTCCTTTATTTCCCTTAGCACAATTTTTTTTTTTTTTGAGACAGAGTCTGGCTTTTTCTCCCAGGCTGGAGTGCAATGGTGCGATCTCAGCTCACTGTAACCTCCGCCTCCCGGGTTCAAGCGATTCTCCTGCCTCAACCTCCCCAGTAGCTGGGATTACAGACGCCCACCACCACGCACGGCTAATATTTGTATTTTTAGTAGAGACGGGTTTGGCTATGTTGTCCAGGCTGGTTTCGAACTCCTGACCTCAGGTGATCCACTCACCTCGGCCTCCCAAAGTGCTGGGATTACAGGCGTGAGCCACTGCACCCGGCCAGCACAATGTTCTTAAGGTTCATCCATGTTGTATCATGTACCATAATTTCATTCCTTTTTAAAAAGGATAAATAATATGCTATTGTATGTGAATACTACAATGGAATATTATTAAAACGGAATATTTTGTTTAGCCATCATCCATCGATAGACATTTGGGTTGTTCTGACCTTTTAGCTATTATGAACGATGCTGCTATGAACATAAGTGTACGAATTTCTATTTGAGTTTCTGCTTTCAATTCCTTTGGGTATATACCAGAAGTGGAATTGCTGGATTATATGGTAATTCTATTTTTAGCTATTTAAGTGACTGCCATACTGTTTTCCATAGCAGCTGTATCATTTTACATTCCCACCAATAGTGCAGAAATGCTTCAATTTCTCCACATCTTCACTAACACTTATTCTCTCTCTCTCTCTGAGTGTGTGTGTGTGTGTGTGTGTGTATGTGTGTGTTATTGATAGTAGCTATCCTGAAGGGTGTGAGGTTGTGTCTCCTGTGGCAGCTCATTTGATTTTAATCTCTCTTAATTATTAGTGTATTTAAAACTGTAAGTTTGCCTTTAAATACTGCTTTATTTGTAGTACACAAATTCTGTCATGTAGTGTTTCATTCACTTCTAAGTGTTTTATAAGCTGAGTCTGATCTAGTAATATGTTATTTATTTTCCAAGTAAGTGGGATTTTATTTTAGCAATTGTTTTTACAAATGTTAATTTCAGAATGCATTGTAGTAGGAGAACATTGTCTGAATGGGATTGGATCTTTGGAATTTATTGATGCTTCCTTTATGGCCTAATACATGGTCTATTGTTGTAAGTGTTATATGTATATTCAAAAAGAGTGCCTGTTTATTTTGGTTCTACATATTTTTAAAAATGTTTTTCATTTCAGCTCATTCATATCCATACTATTTTCAGTTCTATGTGATCTACAGTTCTTAGAGATGCATGTTAAAACATTTCCAACTACAATTGGTGATTTATGTATTTTTTCCTGTTTGTTTGATATAGTTCAAGATTGTATATTGGATGCATGTATGCTTATGATGATTGTATCAATTTTCTACAGTTAATTAATTAAGCATTTTAACACTGTGAGATAAACATGCAGAAAGTTTATGAGGTATATACGTAAATTTAAATACTTATAAAATGAATCCATATAATCACTACTATATAATCCATATAATCACTACTAAGGATAAGAAAACGTTGCCAACATTCCAGAAACCCTGTATCTCTCTTTTGATTTTCACAACCCCTTCACTTTTGGAATTAACCATTCACCTGATTTTTTAATTTTATTTATTTTATTTTATTTAGAGAAGAGGGTCTTGCTATGTTGCCCAGGCTGCAGTACAGTAGCCATTCACAAGTATAATTATAGCAGGCAACAGCCTTGAACTCCTGGGCTCGAGTGATCCTTCTGCCTCAGCCTCCCGAGTTGCAGGGACTCTAGGCATGCACCATTCTGCCCAGCTCCATTTACCTGATTTTTATTGATTTATTATTATTACTGGTATTATTTTTGAGACAGAGTCTTGCTCTTTCACCCAGGCGGGAGTGCAGTGGGGGTATCTCAGCTCACTGCAACGTCCGCCTCCCGGGTTCAAGGGATTCTCCCGCCTTAGCCTCCTGAGTAGCTGGGATTACAGTCGCCCACCACTATGCCTGGTTAATTTTTTTGTATTTTTAGTACATATGGGGTTTCACCATGTTGGCCAGGCTGGTCTTGAACTCCTGACCTCAAATGATCTGCCTGCCTCGGCCTCCCAAAGTCCTGGGATTACATGCCTGAGCCACCGCACCCAGTCTCATTCTTCAGGAAACCATCTAGTTTAATTTAGCTTCAAAGGATGTCGTTCCTTTTTTGGTACAGTGGAGCTTACCTCTGGTCACTTCTTTTTTTTTTCTTTTTTCTTTTTTTTTTTTTGTTTGAGACGGAGTCTTGCTCTGTGCCCAGGCTGGAGTGCACAGGCGCGATCTCGGCTCACTGTAAGCTCCGCCTCCCGGGTTCATGCCATTCTCCTGCCTCAGTCTCCCGAGTAACTGGGGCTACAGGCGCCAGCCACCACATCCGGCTAATTTTTTTTTTTTTTTTTTTTTTTTTAGTAGAGATGGGGTTTCACCGTGTTAGCCAGGATATTCTCGATCTCCTGACCTCGTGATCCGCCCGCCTTGGCCTCTCAAAGTGCTGGGATTACAGGCATGAGCCACGGCGCCTGGCCATCTCTGGTCACTTCTAAAATGCAATTCTGAATTTCAGAATCTTTAAACTCTTTTGGGACTGGTAAGTGGTTTGAGTCTCAAAGGGACCTAAGTCATGGGGGTGTTTGGAGGTGCTCAAGTTGGTGTCTTAGGAAAGGAAATGGAATGGAAATTCAAGAGCCCACAGCAATCTCCCAGATAACTCAGAAATCTCAAAGAGAAGCTTGTTTCAGGGCTTTCTAAAACCAATGGAAATGTTTGCATTCTGGTTGAGGAATATCCACTTGACCAGTGCTTAGGTGAACATGCTGTAGGTACTGGTATTATCGTCTGGGGCAATGCATCAAAGTCCCAGATGTCATGGAATGTACATTCTGGTGGAATTGCCCTTCAGAGTACCTGGGGAACAAAAGATGATCCTTATTACTAAAGATGATCCTACGGCTTCAGGCACCCTCAAGGCCTCTTGCATTTCTCCCATAACTTTCTCCAAATATGTGTGCAGATTCTTTAATCCAGCATATATTCTAACAACATACTTGTGTATGTGTACATATATGTACCAAGATGTGTATCACTGCAGCTTTATGATAGTGAAACTTAAAACTAGTACATTTATACTTGAATATAATGCAGCTGTTACAATACAAGTGATTTAGGTTTATATGCAGTGACTGGAAGGATCTCCAAGACATGCTGTTAAGTAAACAATATCCAACAACCAAGATTCCCAGCAAGCCAAGAAAAACCTTATGTTTTGTATACAGTTAAATATACAGATTGAGGGAAAGGACTGGAAGGATACACATTGAAATATAAACAGTGGTTAATTGGAGAAAAGTAGGAATTTGGGGAAGAAAGATTAGCTGTTTACAGTGCACATAAAAATAATAGATGTTACTGTAGTATTAAAAATGGAAATAATTTTTAGGCCAGGCATGGAGGCTCACACGGGTAATCCTAGCGCTTTGGGTGGCCAAGGTGGAAGGATCTGTTGAGGCCAGTTCCAGGTCAACCTTGGCAACATAGCAAGAGCCTGTCTCTACAAAAAGACAAAACAAAACAAAACAAGAAAGGCTGGGCATGGTGGCTGAAGCCTGTAATCTCAGCCCTTTGGGAGGCCGAGGCAAGCGGATCACCTGAGGTCAGGAGTTCGAGACCAGCCTGGCCAACATGGTGAAACTTCCTCTCTACTAAAAAATATAAAAATTAGCTGGGTGTGGTGGCGCATGCCTGTAGTCCCAACTACTTGGGAGGATGAGGCATGAGAATCGCTTGAACCTGGGAGGCGGAGGCTGCAGTGAGCCGAGTTGTTGCCACTGCAATCCAGCTTGGGCAACGGCGTGGAGAATCCGTCTCAGGAAAAAAAAAATTAGTTGGGCATGGTGGACTGCCTGTAGTCCTAGCTACTGGGAAGGCTAAGAGGGGCGTATGGGTTGAGCCTAGATGGGGCCATTGCACTGCAGCCTGGGTGACAGGGTGACAGAGGGGTATTCTGTCAAAAAAAAAAAAAAAAAAAAGCGCCGCAGGAAGTTTCCCCTGGGGAGAGGATGTAAGGTTTATCTAGTTTAGCAGCGAAGTTCTAAGATAAGGTCTGAAATACAATTTACACCTTGTAAAGACTCCACTCTTATGACCCAAGCTCTACTTGTAAAAGTCGATTTGATCACAAAGTGACCCTGCGTGGTTGTTTTGGGAGCGCAAAAGCTGGAGGCAAAGGAGGTGGGGGCGTGTGGAGAGTTGTGGACCAGGTGACTGCTGAGGAGAGAATAAACCGGGGGCACAACCGCGGAAGAGCTCTCCAGGGGTTAGAGGAAGGCTGAGTACTTGTCACTGCTGTATGTCCCCAGATGGACACTCTGCAATTGCCTGGAGATAGCGGCGGATTGGACAGTCCAGGTCGCTGAGTCAAGCTAAAGCACCGTTGTTTTGACTCACTCTTTGTGACGTAGGTCTTTCTCACCAGTCAAGAAAATACAATCCGAAAGCAACCTCTGGGCTGGCTTTAGCTCAGCGGTTACTTCGCGTGTCATCAAACCACCTCTCTGGGTTGTTCGAGACCCGCGGGCGCTCTCCAGCCCTCTTACTGCTGAAGTTCAGCTCACTTTCCATAATAAAAGGATCCAGGGTTTCTTGGAGAAATGGCTGATTTTAGTAGTGGGCAGGAAATATAGAAATGGACACGGAGCACCTCGTAGTGCTAGAAAGCAAGGAAGTGCTTAAAATCCAAACACAACCAAACTCTTAACTTTTAAAGTTTTTTCAGTGTTCAGTAATGTTCACGTGTTTGTTCTAACAGTTACCTGTATATTTGTATCTTCTTGTCCTTTTTGCCTGAGGCCCACAGGAGTTTTTCTTTCAAATCTAATGGATGCTCTAAGATATACCTCAGACTTGATCATTCCATATAATTTTTCCTAGGTTTCCTTTCGATATGTAGACCCAAGTTTCTTTTATTATAGTTTTGAAGATTACATCGGTTCCATTGTTTTATTCTTCTTCAGGGACTGCAATGTATGTTGGATCTTTGCCTCTACACCAACGCCACTTTCTGTCTGATCCTTTGAATGGCTTTTTTTTTTTTCAGATGGAATCTCACTCTGTTGCCCAGGATGGAGTGCAATGGTGCGATCTCCGCTCACTGCAACTTCCATCTCCTTTTTTCAAGCGATTCTCCTGCCTCAGCCTCCTGAGTAGCTGGGACTACAGGCACATGCCACCATACCTGGCTAATTTTTGTATTTTTAGTAAAGACAGGGTTTCACCATAATGGCCAAGCTGGTCTCGAACTCCTGACCTTGTGATCCACCCGCCTCGGCCTCCCGAAGTGCTGGGATTACAGGCGTGAGCCACTGCACCCGGCTGAATTGCTTTCTTTTGATTTTATTTTTATTTTATTGGCTGTGTTAATACCTTTCCTCAATACCAGTTATTATATTTTAAGTAAAAGCTCTTCCTCTTCGAACATCTTATAATTTAGTTTTTTTTTCTGATTTTTTTATTCTTCTATTTCTCCTGCTTTTTTTTTTTTAACAAACTGTTTTCTTAGTTATTTCGTTCTTTGTCCATTTCTGTTCTGAGTTATTTTTCTGATTCATGGCATTTTTTTTCATGTTACCAAATTATTGTTTAAGGTTATTTAATTTTGGCTGGAATATTATGTTTCAGGTTTCTGGTATCATGTTGAGTTTTTTTTTTTTAGAAAATATAGATTTTCACTTAAATTTTTTCTATATAATATGTCTGCAATTTTCTGTGCATTTTGTAATATTTTATTTTCCAGTTTCAGCAACTGCAAATGAGGCAGGAGGTTGGGTGCCTTACCAGCTTTCTTAGTTCAAGAGTGCCCTCTTTTTTTAGAGTGGCGCACTGGCTGATGTCTTCTGATTTTGTGATTCTGTTTCATTTCTGTGGGACTCTTAACTTTCTTTTTCTTTTTCTTTTCGAGACACAGCCTGTCTCTGTCTCCCAGGCTGGAGTGCAGCGGCTCCATCTCTGCTCACAGCAACCTCTGCCTCCTGGGCTCAAGCGATCCTCCTGCCTCAGCCTCCTCCCGAGTAGCTGGGACCACAGGTGCGCACTACCTCGCCTGGCTAAATTTAGTATTTTATTTTATTTTATTTTTGTAGAGATGGGGGTCTCACCATGTTGCCCAGGCTGGTCTCGAGTTCCTGAGCTCAAGAGATCTGCCCACCTCGGCCTCCCATAGTGTTGGGTTTATAGGAGTCAGCGACTGCGCCCAGCCTGGGACTCTTACTCATTGCTTGCTTCGTTTTTCTTCACCATCAAGCCCTGAAGGGGTACCTCCCCTTCAAGTCGCCTCTTTCTTCCTGCCTTTCCTCTTGCCTTTGCAACATTGCCATTGCCAGTCTCAAACAATTTCACCCCCTTTTAAAATCTGTCTCAGTTCTTTCATCTACCAGATCTCGGACGTATTGTCAGTATTTCTCCACTCAAGATGGGACTCTCTTTTTCTGGTGGTGGTTTAGCCTTTCTGTGCCATCTTGGCTTCTCTTCTAGAGCATGGCTCTGTAACTGGATCTGCTGGTTTTGGATGTATATACCTGCTTTTATATAAAATGGGGTTTATAATTTTCTCTGTCTGTAAATTATATTGTAGCCATGGATGGTTTTATTCGTTCTCCTTAGTTTTGTTTGTTTATAGGATGTGTGGAGAGATTCAAATTTAGGTAACTGGTGTTGTTCTATAGGAATCTGGAAGCCAGAACATTTGTTTTTGTTTTCCATAAAAAATTTTAATTGTGGTAAACTACACAGAATATAAAATTTGGCATATGAACCATTTTAAAATGTTCAGCTCAGTGGTGGTAGGTACATTCACACCGTTTTGCAACCATCACCACTATCCATCTCCAGAACTCTTCATCTTTCAAAACTGAAACTCTATACCCATTAACTAATAACTCTCCACCTCCCTCTATCCCTAATCCCTGGCAACTGCCATTCTGCTTTCCGTCTCTATAAATTTGACTACTCTAGGTATCTCATAGAAGTGGAATCATACAGTAGTTGTCTTTTTGTGACTCGTTTATTTCACTTAGCACTATGTTTTATTTTGTTTTGTTTTGTTTTGTTTTGAGATGGAGTCTGGCTCAGTCACCCAGGCTGGAGTGCAGTGGCACAATCTCGGCTTACTGCAACCTCCACCTCCTGGGTTCAAGCGATTCTCCTGCCTGAGCCTCCCAAGTAGCTGGGACTTCAGCCTCCTGCCACCATGTCCTGCTAATTTTTTGTAACTTTACTAGAGACTGGGTTTCACTCTGTTAGCCAGGATGGTGTCGATCTCCTGACCCCATGATTCTCCTGGGATTACAGGCATGAGCCACCGCACCCAGCCAGCACAATGTTCTTAAGGTTCATCCACGTTGTATCATGTACTACAATTTCATTCCTTTTGAAAAAGGATAAATAATATTTTATTGTATGTGAATACTACAATGGAATACTATTAAAATGGAATGTTTTGTTTAGTCATTGTCCATCAATGGACATTTGGGTTGTTTTGACCTCTTGCCTATTATGAACAATGCTGCTATGAACATGAGTGTACAAATATCTGTTTGTGTTTCTGCTTTCAATTCCTTTGGGTATATACCCAGAAGTGGAATTGCTGGGTTATATGGTAATTGTACTTTTAATTATTTAAGTGACTGCTGTACTGTTTTCCATAGCAGCTGTATCACTTTACATTCCCACCAATAGTGCAGAAATGCTTCAATTTCTCCATGTCTTCACTAACACTTATTCTCTCTCTCTCTGTGTGTGTGTGTGTGTGTGTGTGTGTGATTGATAGCAGCTATCCTGAAGGGTGTGAGGTTGTATCTCCTGTGGCAGCTCATTTGATTTTAATCTTTCTTAATCATTAGTGTATTTAAAACTGCAAGTTTACCTTTAAGTACTGCTTTAGTTGTAGTACACAAATTCTTCATGTAGTGTTTCATTCACTTCTAAGTATTTTTTAAGCAGAATCTTATTTAGTAATATGTTATTTAGTTTCCAAACACATGGGATTTTATTTTAGCTATTGTTTTTACAAATGTTAATTCCAGGATGCATTGTAATAGGAGAACATTGTCTGAATGGGATCAGATCTGTGGAATTTATAGCCTAACACATGGTCTATTGTTGTAAGTGTTATATATATATTCAAAAATAATGCCTGTTTATTTTGGGTCTACATATTTTTAAAATTGTTTTTCTTTTCAGCTCATTCATATCCATACTATTTTCAGGTCTATGTGATCTACAGTCCTTAGAGATGCATATTAAAACATTTCCAACTACAATTGGTGATTTATGTATTTTTTCCTATTTGATGTAGTTCAAGACTGTATTGTAGATGCATGTATGCTTATGATGACTGTATCAATTTTCTACTGTTCACTAATTAAACATTTTTAAACTGTGAGATATAACATACATGCAGAAAATTCATGAGGTAAATACATAGATTTAAATAAATGCTTATAAAATGAATCCATATAATCACTACTAAGGTAAGAAAACATTGCCAACATCCCAGAAACCCTCTCTCTCTTTTGATTTTTACAATCCCTTCACTTTCTTTTGGAATTAACCATTCACCTGATTGTTTATCTTATTTATTTTTATTGTATTTAGAGAAGATGGTCTTGCTATGTTGCCCAGGCTGCAGTATAGTAGCCATTCACAGGTATAATCATAGTGGCAACAGCCTTGAATTCCTGGGCTCAAGTGATCCTTTTGCTTCAACCTCTCCAGTGCTGAGACTGTAGGCATGCACCATTGTGCCCAGCCCTGTTTACCTGATTTTTATTTATTTATTAATATTTCTATTACTATTATTATTATTTTTGAGACAGAGTCTTGCTCTTTCACCCAGGCAAGAGTGCAGTGGGGGTATCTCAGCTCACTGCAAGCTCTGCCTCCTGGGCTCAAGTGATTCTCCTCTCTCAGCCTCCTGAGTAGCTAGGATTACAGGCATGTGCCACCATGCCCAGCTAATTTTTGTGTTTTTAGTAGAGACAGCGTTTCAATATTTTGGCCAGGCTTGTCTCGAACTCCTGACCTCAAGTGATCCGCCCACCTCGGCTTCCCAAAGTGCTGGAATTACAGGCGTGAGCCACTGTGCCCGCCCCCTCCATTTACCTGATTTTTATAATAATAATTTTCTCACTCTTCTTTATATCTTTACCACTTATGTATGAATGCCTGGGTGCTATAATTTAGTTTTCCTATTTTGATTACTTTCATAAATATAGTTATATTGAAGTGTTTGTTTTGTTTTGCTTCTTTTGTTCAATAATACATTTGTAAGATTTATCCATTTTGTTTATGTTGTGGGTTACTATTCCATTTAATGAATATAAGATGATTTACTTATTCATTTTAATATTGATGGATATTTGTAGCATTTCTAGTTTTGGTTCATTGTTCATAATAACTGAAACCCAGAAAAAACAGATATTCCCATCTTATACATATGTCCTGCGGCACTTCAGCATATATTTCTCCAGGGTACATACCTAGGAGTCAAACTGCTAAGTATTTAGTGGATTCATGTCTTCAGTTCTATAGTTTTGCCCAGTGGTTTTCCAAAGTATTTCTACCAGCTTACACATCTACCAGCAGTGTATCATGTCCCCAATATTTGGCATTGTACAACTTTAAAAATTTTTGTCAATTTTATGGCTGTAATTTGGTACCTCATTGTATTTTCATGAAAAAAGACAAAATCTTCATTTTAAGTATATAGAATAAATTCACATAATGTATTTTCTTTTTCTTTTTCTTTTTTTTTTTTTTTGGGACGGAGTCTTGCTCTGTCGCCCAGGCTGGAGTGCAGTGGCGCGATCTCGGCTCACTTCAAGCTCTGCCTCCCGGGTTCAAGCCATTCTCCTGCCTCAGCCTCCCCAGCAGCTGGGACTACAGGTGCACACCGCCACGCCCGGCTAATTTTTGTATTTTTAGTAGAGACGGGGTTTCACCGTGTTAGCCAGGATGGTCTTGATCTCCTGACCTCGTGATCTGCCCACCTCGGCCTCCCAAAGTGCTGGGATTAAAGGCGTGAGCCACTGTACCCGGCCCACGTAATGTATTTTCTTATTTAACCTTGAATGCTGAATAGTGTGCGTCTTTTTTTAAAAATACATCTTTAGATAAAATAGTATATTTTCAAAAAAGTACCCAAATCATAAATTTACAGCTCTATGAATTAATACAAAGTAAAGAAAACCATGAAATCACCACATGTCTATAAATAGGACTGTTCCATAAAGCCCTTCTAGAGCCTCCTGTAGTCACTTCTCTCACACTTGTCCTCAGAAGAAAGCCTTGAGGTGATTTCTAATATTACGATTGTTTTGTTTTTTCAACTTTGTATTAATGGAATAATACGTGACTGATTTTCTCATTCCTCCTTATGTTCCCATCCAGGTACTAACCAGGCCTGACCCTACTTAGCTTCCAAGATCAGAGGAGACCGGGCACGTTCAAGATGGTATGGCCAAAGACCCTCATTATGTTTCTAGATTCATCTATTTTGTTGTGCGTAGCAGTTGCTTATTTGCATTGCTGTATGGAAAGTAAGTCAAAAGACTTAATACTTTTGAAAGTAGAAATACTTTCGAAAGCAATTTGGGCTCCTCAATATAGTATAGGTTATGAGAGCTACAACAGTGCTTAGCAAGAGGTTTGGAACATAGAAAGTGTTTATTATACTTCTTTTTTTTTTTTTTTTTTTTTGAGACGGAGTTTTGCTGTTGTTGCCCAGGCTGGAGTGCAGTGGCAGGATCTCGGCTCACTGCAACCTCTGCCTCCTGGGTTCAAGTGATTCTCCTGCCTCAGCCTCCTGAGTGAGTAGCTGGGATTACAGGTGCGTGCCACCACGCTCAGCTAATTTTTTGTATTTTTAGTAGAGACGGGATTTCATCATGTTAGCCAGGCTGGTCTCGAACTCTGACCTCAGGTGATCCATCCACCTTGGCCTCCCAAAATGCAGGGATTACAGGCGTGAGCCACTGCGCTTGGTCTATACTTCTTATATTTGCAGGCAAATACCTTTTTACATTTGACAAATTGCCTTTTTATTTTTGCTTGAGTTTCCCTAAATAAAACTTCCTTGTTGTACTTATGCATGGTTCTATAATGGTGAATCAAGCCATTTACATTGGTGAATGAGAAATTGCATATTTCATGAATGCATGGAATAGTTTATGGTATTTATTCAAAATATTACACATACTTCTGCTTCCAGGAAGGTGGAGTAAATGTAATATTCCCCATTCATCCTGCTAAAACCCCAAAGCATTGTACATAAAACAAATGTAATACAATGAAAGGCAGACAAAAGGCAGACCAGCTAGGGATCTCAAGACTCAAGGTACAACACAGTCGTAAGTTTTTTTTTCCTTTTGTATTCCAGACTTGGAACTGAAGAAGCTGGCAATCTGGAAATGCCAATGGACGCAGATTTTAAAAGCCCCAGCAAAAGTCTGCTTTCTCTATTCATAGGACCAGGATCAGGAAGAGGACAGCTTAGAAAGACATAAAATTCTTAGACAATAACTGTTCTACCCCAGCCAAACACCAAACACACACACACACACACACACACACACACTCCAACAACTATGGCCCCACCCACTTCAGCAAAGGCTGAGTAGGAGCCTAAACTTCCACCACTGAGCGGCTATAAGAAGTTACCCCAAGACCCCACCAACGTGGTGTTAAAGAAGGCCAAATAGGGGACAAAATTTTTATCCATGCTGACCAGTTATGAGGTTCCCTTTTTCCCTCTGTGAAATAAAAATAAAGCCCGTAGGTCCCCAGGCAAGATGAAATGGACTCCTTGTTGCAAAAGAGACCCCAGAAAACTTTAAAAGCTGGATTCTATGGCTTTGGCAAGGTAAGAGTTCGGTCACACCTCAAAACTCCCCTACCTCATTAACTGCTTCAAGACTTTCTTTCCTACAGTTAAACGCCTGGGACTACAGTCATGTGCCACCATCCTAGGCTAATTTTTTTTTAAAGGTTTTTGTAGAGATGAGGTCTCAGTATATTGCCCAGGCTGGTCTCAAACTCTTGGGCTTAAGCAATTCTCCATCTCGGCCTCCCAGAGTGCTGGAATTACAGGCGTGAGCCACTGCACCAAGTCAGAAAACTGAGTTTTAAGAAGATTAATATTTTTATGTTTATGTAGCTTTCTGTATTACTTTTAAAGTCTTTTGATTGTCACTTCGGTTAAATGAATATTATTTTACAATGACCCGTGATCCTGTTTTGATCAAATATTTTGGGCCTTTTAACATCTTTGACAAACATCCTCAAAATCAATCCTAAATTAAGTCTTTTTACTTAGAATTAACTTTAAGATTTTCTAATTGGGCCCCTAAAAAGCTTCAACAGATATATCTCTCATTTTATAGAGATATTTTAAATGATTAGGCTTATTTGGTAAATTATATAAAAACATTGTCAAATAATAAGCAATACTAGATCTTCTTTTAATTACACTATGATATGTTGTTGATATAAATGGTTCAAAATTTATATAAATTCAGAAAGATCTAATGTGTTATCAGTCATAATTTTGGTTGTTATCTTAAAATACTACATATAATGTAAATAACTAAATGTTCTTGTCAATTGAGAACTTTCATTAGATTTTAACCATAGCCATTCTAAGTTTTTGTCATCTACAGTTACTGTTTTTAATTCTTCTCTAAAAACATTTGCAATAAGCTATAATCCAAATTGCTTTCTATCGAAAAGACTTTAACATATTTGAATACCAATTTCTCACTTGGAATAACGAAGTTCTTCCCTCCGCGGAAGACTGGACCTCAACACCAGTATCTGACACCAGACTTAGACTAGGGTTCCACCTCATGGCTGAGAAGAAGATGACAGCTGAGGTGGACTGCCTGTCCAAGATGCTGGACCAGGGCTGTATTTTAACTCGCCCACTTTTGACTTAAGACAAATTACCATTGCCATTGCCTCAAGTACCTGCGTTATTGACTGATTACCCTGACGTTGGGAATATTATGTATTCTGGAGATCCTATGTTGTGCTACAATGCTTACCCTTGTATTCCATTTTTAGATACTTCTAAAATTTCTCATCCACCTCCAAGTCCAAAATCCCTTTCCCAGAGCCTATAATCCTCACTTTAGAAAACATAGTTACCATGCTCCTTGTTAATCAAATACTCCATTACCTTAAAGAATACCCCCAGACTCTAGATAGTGACCCTCAGCAATTTGTATGGAATTTATGATTTCTCTCTTGGTTTAATTTTTTTATAACTAAAATGGACTCCTCTGTTTCACTCCTCACAATTTTAGTTTTATTGACCACTTCTGTTACCAAACCCACACCTTAACCCTTACCCTTTTGAGTAAAAGGTAATTTTACTATTCTTTTGAAAAGGTTTTTGTAGAGATTAGGTCTCAGTATATTGCCCAGGCTGGTCTCAAACTCTTGGGCTCAAGCAATTCTCCCACCTCAGCCTCCCAAAGTGCTGGAATTACAGGTATGAGCCACTGCACCAAACCAGAAAACTGAGTTTTAAAAAGATTAAGATTTTTATGTCTATGTAGCTTTCTCCTTAGATTCTGGGACTCCCACCCTTGCTACTGTACATAACCACTGAATGCCCAAAGAAAAAATATCAAACACTGACAACAGCTCCTCTTTGTTAGATATCATGCCTCTGCAGGCTTCTAGAAGGCTTGCAACAAAACCAGTTCGTGGTTCACTCACATAATAGATATCTTGTTCATAAATGAACGTATAAATTGGCATACCCTTGGAGGTATAACTTGTGCCCCTTGAGGACACACTTTCCTATATAGAATTGAGTCAGATCCCCCAGTTCAAGAAGAGGCACACAGATGCATAAACAGCTGGCAAGTTGAAGGACTTTGCCTTCTAGGTCATTACGTTGCCCTCTTTTCCATCCATCTCAATCATAAAGAAAATCTTGCTTTCCGGTAAGCTAAAAGAGAGCTACCAAGTGGATATCAGGATATGTGGTAGCATAGTTTTTGGGGTGTAATTTTTCTCAGCTACGGAGTATACACTAACAGAGATACGATAAAAAAAAATGCCGGCCACCATAGGACAAATTGCTGAAAATGCTGCAATAAGTATTATGACACAGTAGAAGTCCTTAAATTCTCTCGCTCAAGTGGTTTTAGACAATCAAATTGCACCAGGTTTTCTCATTGCTAAACAAGGGGGAATTTGCATGATAGCCCACACCACTTGTTGCACTTATATCAACATTATAGGAGATTTAACAACCCATGTAGGTAAGATCACCCAACAGGCTGCCTGGTTACAGGAGGTACAAACCACAGATCCCCTTAATAACGTTTTTAGCTGACTCATTGCAGTATTAGAAATTACTTCCAATCCATCTTACAAACCCTTGTCATTATCATATCACTATCTTGTTCCTATTTTTGATAGTCAAAGTACTTATAAGATCTATAACCAACTACTTCAAGTCTGTCACTAAAACCAAAGTTATGGTAGCACAATGCATAGAAATGACAGACAACATAAACATAAACTTACCTTCTCAACTTTTCTGTTGTTACTGTTTTTCTAGTCTCAAAGGTTCAAAGGGTCTTAATAGCTGTCTGCCTCCTTCTTGCCTGGCCTAAAATATTCAACTGGTTGTAAGTCTCCTAGCCACATGAGTCCCACTGACAGACTAGATAGACCTGGGGCAGGTATCCACACCATCCTGGGAACGACATGGGACATGTTAGAAAATTTAGCCATCAATGCTGCCTATGGCAGATTTCAGCCTAAAGCTGGAAAGTGTGAAATAAAACTAAAGTCCCTAAGCCCCTAGGTGAAACAGAATGGACTTCTTGTTGCAAAAGAGACCCCAGAAACTTTGAAAACTGCATTCTATGGCTTTGGCAAGGCAAGAGGTCAGTCACACCTCAACACTCCCCTACCTTGTTAACTGCCTCAAAACTTTCCTTCCTACAATTAAACAGAAACGAGTTCCTAAAAAACTGTCTGGAAGATTTCTCCCTCAACCTCAAGAGACCTCTTGATGTCATGGCTGACCTCCCCTCTTTTATCGTGGTTTCACCATGACTACTGACCAGCCTTATTAAACATTCCATTGTTATACTGACCACCGACCACAGACTGATTGCACCTAGTCCACAGAGGCTGTGCACAAGATGCCTTTGTGTTCTGTTTCACCTTGTTATATATAAACAGCCACGTGCCACTTCACTTTACTATTAAATCCCCACCCCAAAATGAACATGGAACATATGTAACATATATGTTTATTCTCTTTGCATGCATTAGGGTTTTCTCAAATATTCATAGATTCTCCTATAAGCTACTGAATATGTACATATAGCTCATCTTGTTGGGCATAAGTCCCAGCTTCTCCCTTTTGTCTCTGAAGCAGATGCTTTTCATTTTGGCTGGATGTTTCATTTCCCAACCTGCAGATTGTAACCATTTATAGGAAATAAAACTCTCTTTTTTCTTCTTCCTCAAATCTCATGATCTTTTGTTAATACTTCCCTTCCCAGCAGGGGGGATTATATGAGAAGACTGGACTTAGACCTCTACCCAGTGGTAATGTGGCCATCCTCACTGTGGTGTCAGGGGAGCCAGAACTTCCATGCTTACCCAGCAGTAACAATGAGCTCCCTTCTTCAGGTGGCAATGGAGGCTCTGTGGGGAACCTGGACTTCTGCCTGCACCTGGCAGTAATTAGGTGACATCTCCTTCTTTCTCTGTTCCCCCTTCTGCCTAAATGGTATCAGAGAAATCCCACTAAAACAGAAGGTTTAAATAGGATCCAGAGTAGCGGAATATAATATGAACATATCCAGGTTTTAATGAAAAGTTACTTATCATACCAGAAGATCTCAAACAGAATGAAAAAATGACAATCAACAGATGCCAACATTGTGATGACAGAGATATTAGAATTATCTGACAGAAATTTTAAATTAGCCATTGTAAAAATGCTTCAATAAGCAATTATAAACATTCTTGGAATAAATGAAAAATAGAATGCATAAGCAAAGAAATAGATGATAAAAGAAGAACTAAATGGAAATTTTAGAACTGAAAAATATAATAACTGAAATAAAAACCTCAGTGGATGGGGTGGGTGGGTTCAGCAGCATAATGGAGGAGGCAGAAAAAATAACAAGTGAACTAGAAGATAGAATAATAAAAATTATCCAACCTAAACAACAGAGAGAAATTAGACGGAAAAAAATGAATAGACTTTGATAAGTTGTGGACAGAGCAACCGCTAACATGTTATACAAAGAGATGCACTAAAAAACATAGTATTAACTCAAAATAGAATTTTAGAAAATATTAAAGTAAGATGAAGGCACGAAGAATAAAACAGAGAAGTGAAAATCCAAATGAACAGGAGGCCAGGTGCAGTGGCTCACACCTATAATCCCAGCATTTTGGGAGGCCGAGGTAGGAGGATCACTTGAGGCCAGAAGTTTGAGACCATCTTGGGTGACATAGTGAGACCTCGTCTCTACAAAAAAATAAAAATAAAAAAGCCCCAAAATGAACAATTAGTAAAATACAACATAGATTTCCTTTAGTAACAATTCTCCTCATATCCTTCCTTATTCTTCTTTTTATTCTTCTCTATGATTACCTATTAATGATGAAATACTAGATGTTTTACTTTCTATTTCTTCATAGGATTCCTCTGAATATATTTCTTTCTTTCTCTCTCTCTCTCTTTTTTTTTTTTTTTGAGACAGAGTCTCACTCTGCTGCCCAGGCTGGAGTACAGTGGTGCGATCTCAGCTCACTGCAACCTCTGTCTCCCAGGTTCAAGTGATTCTCATGCCTCAGTTTCGTGGGATTACAGGTGCACACCACCACTCCCGGCTAATTTTTGTATCAGTAGAGACAAAGTTTCACCATGTTGCCCAGGCTGGTGAACATGTTTCTTAATCGTATTCATCCTTTTTAGAATGACAGGGTGGCTTCTCAGAGGTACCATTGGGATCACCTCCAAGTTCTGCAGAATAATTAACTTTTTTTTTTCTTTTTTGAGACAAAGTCTTACTCTGTTGCCCAGGCTGGAGTGCAGTGGTGTGATCTTGGTTCACTGAAACCTCCGCCTGGAGGGTTCAAGCAATTCTCCTGCCTCAGCCTCCCTGGTAGCTGGGCTTACAGGTGTGGGCCACCACACCTGGCTAATTTTTATATTTTTAGTAGAAATGGGTTTCACCATGTTGGCCAGGCTGGTCTGGAACGCCTGACCTCAAGTGATCCACCCACCTAGGCCTCCAAAAGTGCTGGGATTACAGGCGTGAGCCACCACCCCTGGCCCAGAACAAGCAACTTTCAGCCTGATTCTTAAGCATGGGCCTTTATGATAACATTTGTCGTTATAAAATAATTTGTGAGTTGCTCCCTCACTGCCAATTTAATATTTTTAAATTTTAAAACCTATTTTATTTTTAAAAATTTTACTTCTGACCCATGAGATGTAATTAATATTTGTTTTTATAATGAAGCGTCAGGTTTGTTTTTCTTATAAATGACCTTTCATGAATATTTACTTCCATGTTCAGAAAATTTGCTATTCTTATTACCTACTAGTTTTTCTGTAAATTTGCTGGATATTATAATGTTTATAATCATATTAACTCTAAATAAGGAGAGTTTTATACTCGTATTAACTCTAAACATACAGAGTTTTAACTCTAAATAAAAAAGTTTCATATAAGAAGGTGTATCTTCTCACTCATAAGTGGGAGCTAAGCTATGAGGCTGCAAAGGCATAAGAATGATACAGTGCACTTTGGGGACTCAGGGGTGTAGGGTGGGAAGTGGGTGAGGGATAAAAGACTACAAATTGAGTTCAATGTATACTGCTCTGGTGACGGGTACACCAATATCTCACAAATCACCACTAAAGAACTTACTCACGTAACCAAATACCACCTGTTCCCCAAAATCCTACGGAATAACCTCCTTATACTTTTCCCCTTCTTTTTCTAACCATGGAGAATGCCATATGAACACCTCAGACCTTTATATTTTTCTCTTGTTGTATACACTGGTTAGGCCCTTTGGAACAATGACGACAGGATGATTAAAGTGATGATAGCAGACATCCCTGTCTTGTTCTGGATTTCAAAGGGAAAGCTTTAATCATTTCACCATTAAGTATGATGTTTGCTTTAGCTTTTTTTTTTTCCCCTGGACACCCTTACCAAGTTACAAATATTCTCTTATATGCCTAAGGATACAACTAATATCTGCTAAAAATCTTAAGATTAATTAAGATTATTTTAAAATCATGAAAGGTTGTTGAATTTTATTAAGTAATTTTTCTGCATGTACATAGATAATCATGATTTTCCCTTTAGTTCATTAACTTTGCATATATACTAATTACTTTTATAATGTTAAGTCAACCTCATATCTTGGAGAAATTCTACTTATGCTGTATTATTCTTTTTTATGTACTACTGGATTTAATTTTCTAATAATTAGTATGGGTTTTTTTTCATTTATTTACATTAATGACATTAGACTGGGCTTTTCCTTTTTTGTGTGTATTTTTTACAATAGGATTCACTATCAGGTTATTTTAGCATTAGAAAATCATTTAGGAAGTGTTCCTTCTTATTAATTAGGATAGTTTGTATATGATTGAAATGACTTAATTTTTCTTTTCTTTCTTTTTCTTTTATTGAGACAGGCTCTTGCTCTCTCACCCAGGCTGGAATGCAGTGGTGCGATCATGGCTCACTGCAGCTTCCACCTCCTGGGCTCAAGCGATCCTCCTGCCTCAACCTCTCAAGAATCTGGGACCACAGGCACATACCACACGCCCAGCTAATTTTTTATTTTTAGTCGCGATGAGGTCTCACTGTGTTGCATGGGATGATCTCGAACTCCTGGGCTCAAGCCATCCTCCTACCTCGGCCTCCCAAAGTGTTGGGATTATAGGTGTGAGCCACTGTGCCTGGCCCTAACAATTCTTTGTTAGATGAATATTCATGTTAACATTTTTATGCCTTTGCAAAATATAATTCCCAGCAGAACATGGTCATATACCATGATTGTCTCCTTTTCTTCTTTCTACTTTTCCTGAAGTTAATGCTTGACTTTTCTTCATGTGCTTAGTTTTCCTTGGACCTCTTGTTAATTTTTTGCACATTCTTCAATAACTCTTAGTACAGTTTTCTATGTGGTATATCATTTCAGGTAATCAGAGAAAGTATTAATACAAAAGAGCTATAAGATACCAGAATGTTTAGGCCCAGATCCAGAGAGGAGTAATTGTTGTGGGTTATTACCTAGTAACCAGGTAACAATGAAGCTCTGGTAGCTTTAAAGACCCAAGGCTGGCATTTGGCAGTTTGGGAGGATTTCATGGGTCTGACTCATGTACTGGCTGTGAAAGTTGATTTGAGCTAAAATGACCCCGGTTTGGTCATCTGGGAAGCACTGAGGCTGGTCCAAGACTTGTGGCAGGTAGCCACTGAGTGGGAGGAGGGAGAGTGAGCCTAGACACAGCTGGGGGAACAGTTTTTAGGGAAAGGAAGACATGGGTTTCTCTCAGTGGTGTGCATCCTCAAATGGGGGCTTCCCAAGTTTGTGTGTCCTGGTCTGGAAGTTGTGGTGGGTAGAAGGAAACTTAAAACTCAGCATCGTTCTTGAACCATTCAGGCCTAGGCTGACCCTACTGCCCAGGGTATACCAACTCATGACACTTATCTGTCAAGGAACTCCAAATTCAATCTACTTTCTGCATTATCTCAGTGATATATTTGCATGCTTCTTCCTGTCTGTGTTTTGGGGGCAGGTTTGATGTCCATGGACCCTCTTTAGTCCTCTATGTATGTCCCCACCAAGCTTATCATTTTCTTGGAGATGGGAGAGAGCCCTTTTTCAAGGAGGGGTCTAAAACGGCATGGATTCCTGAGAAGACTAGGCTGGGTCAGGAGCTGAAGAGGTTTAAGGTTGGGACAGAAACTCTGGAGGTTAGCCTTGGTAAGAGTCTTTTGAGACCTACTCCATGAGTAAATCTGCTCTTCACCAAATTTCCAGATCCCCACAGTTCCTCTGAGCAGCTTCTCACTACTGTCATCTCTCCCAGATATGAACCAAATCCCTGGTTGCCAAGACAAGTTGACAAGGTTTGAAAAAGAAACTATTTTGAAACAGAACTTCAAGGAAAAATAAGAACCCATTCTCAGGCAAATCCTAGCAGCTTTGATTAGTAAAGAAACAGCAGTCCTTGTTTGATTCAGACAGTTTATTACTTACATAGACACAAAAGGAAATAAGCAGAATTTCCAGCTCTCCCACAGGACAGCACCAATACAAAAGGGGATGGCAACCTGAGTAATGAGACACCCTGTTGCTGAGGAGCTGAGTCCATTTGCAACTAAGAAGTTTATGGCTTGCAGTTCTGCCCTAAGAAAGATGAGGCAGAATGCCTCATACCTTATCAGAACCTGGGAAGTGATAAGAACTGCCTCATGACAGCCTCCCAAGAAGATAAAAAGATGAGTTGAAAGTGGCCTTGTGGTAGTTCCTCATAAGCCTGTTCCCCAAGGATCACAGAATGTCCGCCAAGACTTTGATTAATTATGGTTAAGCCTTGCCTGTATGGCCTATGTGAGTACATATAAGGTTGGCAGGTCAACGTGGCAGAGCCATGCCCCTACACCCATATACAGAAGAGAGCAAATGAACAGATAGTTGACCAGCCTGAAAAAGCAAAACAAGGGAAAAGAGAATAATAATTGTCATAATAAGTAAAAGGATAATATGCAAGGGATTTCCCCTCTTTTTCTGAGATAGCATCTTACTCTGTTGCCCAGATCTGAGTGCAATGACACAATCACAGCTCACTGCAGCCTCAACTTCCCAGGCCCAAACCATCCTCCCACCTCAGCCTCCCGAGTAGCTGGGACTACAGGCACATGCCACCATACCTGGCTAATTTTTAAGAAGTTTTTGTACAGAGGGCATCTCACTCTGTTGCCCAGGTTAGTCTCAAACTCCTGAGCTCAAGCAATCCTCTCGCCTTGGCCTTCCAAAATGTTGGGATTGCAGGCATGAGCTGCCCCATCTGGTTAAGAGTTTTTCTTTTGCCCAGGAATTTGAGCTATGCTGAAAACAGAAAGAAGTAATTCTAAGAGTAGCTTCCACCTGATTGCCAAGAGTTAGTGGCCAAGCCAGCTTTCTGATAACCAATCACGATATCACCCCCTTACCTTTCCCCAATCCCCAGTTTGTATAAAGACGGTACTAGGGAAAGGGATAGTTGTCAGAATCCTTGATAGTGGGTTGGGGGAAGGTTGTCACAGTGTGAGACCTTTCCTTTCATCTAGGGAGCCATGTGATGAGAAAGAATTCAGTAGGCCTCTGTGGAGAATGTGAGTGCCTGCAAGAAATGAAGAATGACATTTGGTACTTGGTTGGACAATTGGACTCATACATATATACATATATAATATATATATATATAATATTTTTTAAAGTCAGGAACCAATTATAGATCATGCATTGCTTTTAGTTGTCATGACATCTCTCCAGTCTCTTTAATCTAGACCAATCTCACCTGATATTCTTTTCCTTTTTGTGACAGCCAGTTTTAAAATAATTTTAAAAAGCTGTGGTAAAATCCATAATATAAAATTTACCATCTTAACCATTTTTAAGTGTACAGTTCAGTAATGTTAGGCACATTCACATTGTTGGGCAGTCAATCTTCAGGGCTGTCTTCTTGCAAAACTGAAACTCTATGCCCATTAAACAACAACTTCCCATTTTCCATCCTCCAGCTCCTGACAACCACCATTCTGTTTTCTGTCTCTGTGAATCTGACTACTCTAGGGACCTCATATCAGTGGAATCATATAGTATTTGTCATTTTGTAGTGTGATGGGATGATCTCCGCTCACTGCGACCTCCGCCTCCCGGGTTCAAGCGATTCTCCTGCCTCAGCCTCCCTAGTAGCTGGTATTACAGGCGCACACCACCATGCCCAGCTAATTTTTGTATTTTTAGTAGAGATGGCATTTTACCATGTTAGTCAGGCTGGTCTCGAGCTCCTGACCTCATGATCCACTGGCCTCAGCCTCCCAAAGTGCTGGGATTACAAGCGTGAGCCACCGTGCCCTGCCGGTAATTCTATTTTTAATTTTCTGAGAAACTGCCTTACTGTTTTCTAAAAAGGCTGCACCATTTTACATTCCCATTAATAGTGCACAAAGGTTCCAATTTCTGCACACCCCTTCCAACACTTATTTTCCCTCTCTTTCTGGTGTGAGATGATATTTATATGGTTTTAATTTGCATTTTTCTAATGATAATTGATGTTGGGTATTTTTTTTAGGTGAAAGCAAGTTTACTAAGAAAGTAAAGGAATAAAGAATGGCTATCCCCCAGGCTGAGCAGCCCCGAAGGCTGCTGGTTGCCTATTTTTATGGCTATTTCTTGATTGTATGCTAAACAAGGGGTGGATTATTCATGAGTTTTCTGGAAAAGGGGTGGGCAATTCCCAGAACTGAGGGTTTCTCCTAGTTTTAGACCATATAGAGTAACTTCCTGATGTTACCATGGCGTTTGTAAACTGTCATGGCACTAGTGGGAGTGTCTTTTAGCATGCTAATGCATTATAATTAGTATATAATGAGCAGTGAGGATGACCAAAGGTCACGTTCTTCGCCATCTTGGTTTTGGTGGGATTTGGCTGGCTTCTTTACCACACGCTGCTTTATTAACATGGTCTTTGTGACCTGTATCTTGTGCCGACCTCCTATCTCATCCTGTGACTTAGAATGTGACTGGGAATGCAACCCAGTAGGTCTCAGCCCTATTTTACCCAGCCTCCATTCAAGATGGAGTTGCTCTGATTCAAAGGCCTCTGACAGACTTCCTCCCTCCCATTTATTTATTTACTTATTTATTTAATTTGGAGACAGAGTTTTGCTCTTTTTGCCCAGGCTGGAGTGCAATGGCATGATCTCAGCTCACTGAAACCTCTGCCTCTCAGGTTCAAGTGATTCTCCTGCCTCAGCCTCCCAAGTAGCTGAAATTACAGGTGTGTGCCACCATGTCCAGCTAATTTTGTATTTTTAGTAGAGACGGGGTTTCACCACGTTGGTCAGGCTGGTCTCGAACTCCTGACCGCAAGTGATCCACTGGCCTCAGTCTCCCAAAGTGTTGGGATTATAGGTGTGAGCCACTGCACCTGGCCCCTCCCTCCCTTTTATAAGAAAACTCTTAATCCTAAGGGTTGTAGCAGGATGAAGATCCATGTTTTGTAACTTTTTCAGGCTGAATAGGGGCAATGATATTCCTGCCTAATTATTAGGGTCTCTTGTATTCAGGGTAGAGAGTAGCTCAATCAGAAAGCATCAGTATGTCAAGCACCATTCATAACCCTGAGTACTGATAAAAGGTGACATCTGGAAGATTAATAAGTGTTTAATTTGGGAAAACATTGAGTAAGCTTGTTCTGCATTCCTATGCAAAGAGCACAACACCAATATATTCCACAAAAGTAAAGCAAAATAAGTAAAGTTATCTCAAGTAAACTAAATAAGAAGGCTTTCCATAAGCTAGGCAACTGTTGGAACTGAGCTAATATGGAGTCACTAGCTGATTTCAATACATGCCCAGAATTAGAATATTGATCCACATTTTTATATCACCTATCCTTCTTGTTTCTTCTATCAGCCAGACACCACTGGTTGGTTTACAGGAATAAGCAGTCTAAATTGCAGACAAAAAACTCAAAAACAACTGATGAGACTAAAATCTGACAAAAGGTGTACCATAGTTCCTGAAACATATTTTTTCTCTCTCCAGTCTCCCATTTTTACTAAAGACAAATCATGGTAAGACCAATTTGCTTTAATATACTTGGCCTAATTATTTGTTTAAAGTGCAGCAAGAATAATTATTTGCCACATAGGCTTCTTTTAATTGGTTTTGATGGAACTCTGTTCCATAAAGAATCTCAGATAAGACTTTTTTTTTTTTTTTGAGATGGAATCTCGCCCTGTCACCCACGCTGGAGTGGAATGGTGCGACCTTGGCTCATTGCAACCTCCACCTCCCGGGATCAAGCAACTCTCCTGCCTCAGCCTCCTGAGTAGCTGGGATTACAGGTGCACGTCACCATGCCTGGCTAATTTTTTGTATCTTTAGTAGAGACAAGGTTTCACCATGTTGGCCAGGCTGGTCTTGAACTCCTGACCTCGTGATCTGCCTGCCTCGGCCTCCCAAAGTGCTGGGATTATAGGCATGAGCCACCGTGCCTGGCCTAAGTATTTTTTTTTTTTTAGATGGAGTCTCGCTCTGTCGCCCAGGCTGGAGTGCAGTGGCACCATCTTGGCTCACTGCAACCTCCGCCTCCTGGGTTCAAGCAATTCTCCTGCCTCAGCCTCCTGAGTAGCTGGGATTACAGGCGCCCACCACCATGCCTGGCTAATTTTTGTATTTTTAGTAGAGACAGGGTATCACCATGTTGGTCAGGCTTGTCTCGAGCTCCTGACGTTGTGATCCACCTGCCTTGGCCTCCCAAAGTGCTGGGATTACTGGTGTGAGCCACCGCGCCCGGCTAAGACTTTTTGTTGTTGTTGTTGTTGAGAGGGAGTTTCTCTCTGTCACCCTGGCTGGAGTGCAGTGGTGTGATCTCGGCTCACTGCAACCTCTGCCTCCCGGGTTCAAGCAATTCTTCTGCCTCAGCCTCCCAAGTAGCTGGGACTACAGATGCGCACCACCATGCCCGGCTAATTTTTGTATTTTTAGTAGAGACGGGGTTCACCATCTTGGTCAGGCTGGTGTGGTCTTGAACTCCTGAGCTCGTGATTGCTTTCCTCGGCCTCCCAAAGTGCTGGGTTTACAGGAGTGAGCCACCGCGCCCGGCCTCTCATTTTTTTTTAACAATTATATTGTACACCATTGACACTGTTCAGTAGATTCATCATATTTCATTCAGTCTCAGCTGATTACCATTGGGTTGTTTTCCAGTTATTTTATTATAAATGATGTCACAATAAATAACTTGGTGTATATAATGTTTAATATTTGTGAAGGTGTATATTTAAATTTTTAAAGATGGAATTGCTAGTTCAAAAGACAAATGCATTCATCATTCTTTGAAGATATTGCCAAATTACCTCCATTGTGGTTCTACCATGTTTTTCACTCCTACAAACAATACATGAGAATGCCTACTTTTCCACAACCTTATTAATAGAGCCTATTGTCAATTTTTCTAAATGTTTGTTCATCGGATTGATGAAAAATGATGTCTCAATGTGGTTTTAATTTGTATTCTTGTTATGGATGAAATTAAGCAAGTTATAATATGTTTAAAGCTCTTCTTTTTTGTTTTTGTTTTATACATTTACAGTACTGTACTGTATTTATCAATACTATAAATTTACAACATCTTTTTTTAGCTTATATTTTAAGTCCAGGGATACAATGCAGGTTTGTTATGTAGGCAAACTTTTGTCACAGGGGTTTATTGTACAGATTATTTCGTCACCCAGATATTAAGCCTAGAACTCATTAGTTAATTTTCCTGATCCTCTCCCTCCTCCTGTAAATCCCGGTGTCTTTTGTTCACCTCTATGTGCCCATATGTTCTCATCATTTAGCTCCCACTTAGAAGTAGGAACATGCAGTATTTGATTCTCCATTCCTGCATAAGTTTGCTAAGGATAATGGGCTCCAGCTCCATCCATGTTCCTGCAAAAATATGATTTCATTGTTTTTTATGGCTGCATAGTATTCCATGGTGTGTATATGTACTACATTTTCTTTATCCAGTCTACCATTGATGAGCATTTAGGTTGATTCCATGTCTTTGCTATTGTGAGTAGTTCTGCAGTAAATATGCATGTGTCTTTATGATAGAACAATTTATATTCCTTTGGGTATATACCCAGTAAAGGGATTGCTGGGTCAAATGGTAGTTCTGTTTTTAGCTCTTTGAGGAATTACTACACTGTTTTCCACAATGATTGAACTAATTTACACTTCTACCAACAGTGTGTAAGTGTTCTGTCTTCTCTGCAATCTCACCAGCATTTGTTATTTTTTCACTTTTTTTTTTTTTTAAGACAGGGTCTCATTCTGTTTCCAGGCTGGAGTGCAGTGGCATGATCACAGCTCACTGCAGCCTTGACCTCCCAGACTCAAGTGATCCTCCTGCCTCAGCCTTCTGAGTAGCTGGGACTGTAGGCGGGTGCCACCACACTGGCTAATTTTTGTATTTTTTTTATACAGATGGGGTCTTGCCATGTTGTCCAGGCTGGTCTCAAACTCCTGGGCTCAAGTGATCCTCCCTCCTTGGGGCCTCCCAAAGTGCTGGGATTACAGGCATGAGCCACTGCGTCTGGCCTATTGTTTGACTTTTTAGTAATAACCATTCTGACTTGTGTGAGATGGTATCTCATTGTGGCTTTAATTTGCATTTCTCTAATGATCAGTGATGTTGAGCTTTTTTTCATATGCTTGCTGGCCATATGTATATCTTCCTTTAAAAGGTGTCCATTCATGTCCTTTGTCCACTTTTTAATGGTGTTTTTTTCTCTTGTAAATTTAAGTTCCTTATAGATGATGGATATTAGACCTTTATCAGATGTATAGTTTGCAAAAATTTTCTGCCATCCTGTATGTTGTCTGTTTACTCTGTTAATAGTTTCTTTTGCTGTGCAGAGGTTCTTTAATTAGATCCCATTGGCCAAGTTTTGCTTTTTTTGTGAATGTTTTTGGCATCTTTGTCATGAAATCTTTGCCAGTTCCTCCATCCAGAATAGTTTTGCCTAGGTTATCTTCTAGTTTATAGTTTTGGGTTTTACATTTAAGTCTTTAATCCATCTTGAGTTGATTTTTGTATATGGTGTAAGGAAGGGGTCCAGTTTCAATCTTTTGCATATGGCTAGCCAGTTATCCCAGCATCATTTGTTGAATTGCTTGTTTTTCTCAGCTTTTCCCATTGCTTGCTTTTGTCAGCTTTGTCGAAGATCAGATGGTTGTAGGTGTGTGGCCTTATTTCTGTGCTCTCTGTTATGTTCCATCGGTCTATGTGTCTGTTTTTGTACCAGTTCCATGCTGTTTTGGTTACTATAGCCCTGTAGTATAGTCTGAAGTCAAGAAGTGTGATGCTTCCTGCTTTGTTCTTTTTGCTTGGGATTGCCTTGGCTATTCAGCCTCTTTTTTGGTTCCATATGAATTTTAAAATAGTTTTTTTTCTAGTTCTGTGAACAATGTCATTGGTAGTTGATAGAAATAGCATTCAGTCTATAAAATGCTTTGGGCAGTGTGGCCATTTTAATGATATTGATTCTTCCTATCCATGAGCATGACCATGGTATGTTTTTCCATTTGTTTGTGTCATCTCTGATTTCTTTGAGCAGTGTTTTATAGTTCTCCTTGTAGAGATCTTTCACCTCACTGGTTAGCTGCATTTCTGGGTATTTTATTCTTTTTGTGGCAATTGTGAATGGGACTGCATTCCTGATTTGGCTCTTTGCTTGGCTGTTGTTGGTGTATAGGAATGCTAGTGATTCTTGTACATTGATTTTGTATCCTGAAACTTTGCTGAAGTTATCAGCTGAAGGAGCTTTTGTGCCTAGACTATGGGGTTTTCTAGATACTGGATCATGTCATCTGCAACAGGGATAGTTTTGACTTCTTCTCTTCCTATTTGGATGCCTTTTATTTCTTTCTCTTGCCTGATTGCCCTGGCCAGGACTTCCAATACTATTTTGAAAAGAAGTGGGGAGAGAGGACATCCTTGTCTTGTGCCAGTTCTCAAGAGGAATGCTTCCAGATTTTGCCCATTCAGTATGATGTTGGCTGTGGGTTTGTCATAGATGGCTCTTATTATTTGAGATATGTTTCTTCACTACCTAGTTTACTGAGAGCTTTTAGCATACAGTTGAGTTGAAATTTATCACCTTTTTTGCATCTATTGAAATAATCATGTGGTTTTTGTCTTTAGTTCTGTTTATGTGATGAATCACATTTATTGATTTTCATGTGTTGAACCAACCTTGCATCCTAGGAATAAAGCCTATTTGGTCATGGTGGATAAACTTTCTGATATGCTACTGGATTCAGTTTGCCAGTATTTTGTTGAGGAGTTTTGCACTGATGCTCATCACAGATATTGTGCTGAAGTTTTCTTTTTGTGTGTGTGTGTCTCTGCCAGGTTTTGGTATCAGAATGATGCTGGCCTCTTAGAATGAGTTAGGGAGAAATCCCTCCTCCTCAATTTTTTGGAATAGTTTCAGTAGGAATAGTACCAGCTCTTGTTTGTACTTCTGGTAGAGTTCAGCTGTGAATCCATCTGGTCTTGGGATTGTTTTTGGATAGGGTACTTATTACTGATTCAATTTCAGAGCTCATAATTAGTCTGTTCAGGGATTCAGTTTCTTCCTGGTTCATTCTTGGGAGGGTGTATATATCCAGGAATATATCCATTTCTTCTAGATTTTCTAGTTTGTGTGCATAGAGGCATTCATAATATTCTCTGATGGTTATTTGTATTTCTGGGGGGTCAGTGGTAATACCCGCTTTGTCCTTTCTAATTGTGTTTATTTGGATCTTCTCTCTTTTCTTCTTTATTAGTCAAGCTAGTGGCCTGTCTTATTAATTTTTTCAAAAAAGCCAACTTCTGGATTCATTGTTCTTTTCTTGTTGTTTATTCAATGATCTTTTGAATGGTTTTTTGTGTCTCAATATCCTTCAGTTCAACTCTGATTTTGGTTACTTCTTGTTTTCTGCTAGTTTTGGGGTTGGTTTGCTCCTAGTACTGTAGTTCTTTTTTTTTTTTTTTTTTTTGAGTTGGAGTCTCACTCTGTCACCCAGGCTGGAGTGCAATGGCAGTCTTGGCTCACTGCAACCTCCACCTCCCGAGTTCGTGTGATTCTCATGCCTCAGCTTCCTGAGTAGCTGGGATTACAGGCTCACACCACCATGCCCGGCTAATTTTTGTATTTTTAGTAGGGATAGGGTTTTGTCATGTTAGCCAGGCTGGTCTCAAATACCTGACCTCAAGTAATCCACCCGCCTCAGCCTCCCAAAGTGCTGGAGTTGCAGGCATGGACCACTGTGCCCAGCCAAGACCTGTCTAACTTTTTGATGTGGGCATTTAGTGCTATAAATTTTCCTCTTAACACTGCCTAGCTGTGTCCCAGAGATTCTGGTATGCTGTAACTTTGTTCTCTTTGGTTTCAAAGAACATCTTGATTTCTGCCTTAATTTCATTATTTAACCAAAAGTCATTTATGAGCAGTTTGTTTAATTTTCATGAAATTGTATGGTTTTGAGCTAGTTTCTTAGTCTTCATTTCTAATTTTATTGCATTGTGGTTGGTATAAGAGTAGTTGGTATAATGTCAGTTCTTTTGCATTTGCTGAGGATTGGTTTACATCTAATTGTATGGTTGATTTTAGAGTACGTGCCATGTGACAATGAGAAGAATGTATATTCTGTTGTTTTTGGATGGAGAGTTCCTTAGATGTCTATCAGGTCCATTTGATCCAGTGCTGAGTTCAGGTCCTGAATAGCTTTGTTAATTTTCTGACTTGATGCTTAGTCTAGTACTGTCAGCGGGGTGTTGAAGTCTCTCACTATTATTGTGTGGGAGTCTGAGTCTCTTTGAAGGTCCCTAAGAACTTGCTTTATGAATCTGGATGCTCCTGTGTTGTGTGCATACATATTTGGGTAGATCTTCTTATTGAATCTTTTACCAAAATATAACGCCTTTCTTTGTCTTTTTTGATCTTTGTTGGTTTAAAGTCTGTTTTGTATGAGATTAGGACTGTAACCCCTGCTTTTATCTGATTCCATTTGCTTGGTAGATTTTCCTCCATCTCTTTATTTTGAGCCTACGGATGTTATTGTGTGTGAGATGGTCAGATGAAGACAGCATACCTTTAGGTATTGCTTTTTTATCCAGCTTGCCACTCTGTTCCTTCAATTGGGGCATTTAGCCCATTTATATTCAAGGTTAGTATTGATATGTGTGGATTTGATCCTGTCATCATGTTAGCTGGTTATTATAGATACTTGTTTGTGTGGTTGCTTTACAATGTTACTGGCCTGTGTACATGAGTGTGTTTTTGTAGTGGTTGGTAATGGTCTTTCTTTTCCATATTTAGTGCTTCCTTCAGGAGCTCTTGTAAGGCAGGTCTGGTGGTAACGAATTCCCTTAGCATTTGCTTGTATGTAAAGGATCTTACTTATGTTTCGCTTATGAAGCTTAGTTTAGGTGGATATGATATTCTTGGTTGGAATTTCTTTTCTTTAAGGATGTTGAATATTGGCTCCCAATCTCTTCTGGCTTGTAGGGTTTCTGCTAAGAGGTCCACTGTTAGTCTTATGGGCTTCCCTTTGTAGGTGACCTGACCTTTTTCTCTAACTGCTTTTAACATCTTTTCTTTCACTTCAACCTTGGGGAATATGATGATTATGTGTTTTGGGGATTATCTTCTTATGAACTATCTTTATTGGGGTTCTCTCATTTCCTGAATTTGAATGTTGGCCTCTCTAGTTAGGTTGGGGAAGTTCTCATGGATGATATCCTGAAATATGTTTTCCAAGTTGGTTCCATTCTTCCCATCTCTTTCAGGGACACCAATACATCATAGCTTTGGTTTCTTTACATAACCCCATATTTCTTAGAGGTCTTCGTCTTCCTTTTCATTCTTTTTTTATTGATTACTGTCTGACTGTCTTATTTCAGAAAGCTAGTCTTTAAGCTCTGACATTCTTTCCTCAGCTTGGCCTGTTCTGCTATTAATACTTGCAATTGCACTATGAAATTCTTTTTTTTTTTAAATTCTTATAGTGTGTTTTTTTAGCTGTCATGTTGGTTATGTTCTTTTCTATACTGGCTATTTTGTCTGGCAGCTTCTGCATTGTTTTATTGTGATTCTTAGCTTCTGTGGATTGTGTTTCAATGTAGTCCTGCATCTTGATTATCTTCATTCCTATCCGTATTCTGAATTCTGTTTCCATCATTTCAGTCATTTCAGCCTCTTTCAGAACTCTTGCTGGAGAGTTAGTGCAGTCGTTTGGAGGAATAAAGGCATTCTCACTTGTTGAGTTGTCAGATCTTGTGCTGGTTCTTTCTCATCTTTGTGGGCTGATGTTTCTTCAATCTTTGAAGTTGCTGTCCTTTGATGGGTTTTTTCTTTTATCCCATTTGATGACCTCAAGGGTTTGATTGTGGTATAAGGTGGGTTCAGTTGACCGGCTTTGTCTCTGGAAGATTTCAGGGGGCCAAGGCTCAGCTCACAACTCCTGGACTACGTGCTCTAACTCTAGGGGACCAATACTGGACCCCAACTTTGTTTTCTGGCTCCTTGAGGTTAGGAACTCACTGCACTGGGTAGACTGAGGTGCTCCTGCATCTTTGGTTTCAGCATTCCTACAGGTGGTGACAGTCAAAGCATTTCATAAGGCAGTGGCAGCGGGGTCCATCCTCATTTGCATGTGCCAGAAGCAGCATGGCAGGGTACATGCTTATTGGCTGTAGCCTGGTGCTCATGGGTGTTCGGGCATTCATAACAGTGGCAGAGACAGCATGGCTCAGGGGTTGGGGTCCCTGCTGGTGACTGACTGCGTGTGTGGTTTGCTGGTGGTGGTGTTAGCATGGGGGCAAGGTGCTGGCAGGTGCAGGACTGTGTGCACCTTCTGTGTGTTTTCATGTAGGTGGAGGTGGTCACTTAGGGCAGTGGAGGGTCCACTCTTCTCTGCCTAGTTTCACTCTGGTGACAATGTTGGTGCTGGGGCAGGGTGCTGGTGGTGGCTGGGCTGCACTCTGACTACAGTGGAAGTATGATGGGGGAGGTGGTGGAGTGGACTGCACTTACCCCAGCAGCAGTGGCAGCAGAGGGTTCATGGGCACACACATGCTGGTAGGACAGGGAAGGTAAAATCCACCCATGCACATATACTCCAGCAATATAGGGGTGGTTGTGGGCCTGGAGTGAGGGGAGGGAGTGGGTGGGCTGGTGCAGTCTGCCAGCGCAGGAGCTATGATGCAGCCCCCCGAGGGCACTCGAGGCTGCATTGCAAGCAGGTGCAGCCAGGCTGGGGCCCTGCGAGAGGTCAGCAGGCAAAGGGGTGCTCACGTCAGACTGGCCTCATTTGGTGGGCAAGACTGCCCTGAGAGCTCATGTCCAACAGTTCCCCTAGGGCTAAAGTCTCTTATGGGAGCAAATCAAGCCTAGGGGGATGGGCATCCCTGATTATGCTTCACTACAGACATTACCACAACAAACCCTCTGGGCTCTGCACCAGCTGGAGTGCTTCCCCTACCACTTCTCTAAGCAGCTCTCCCTGCCAACTCAAGTGTCCATGGTGGTTGAGGGGTCTCCTCCTGCCCAGATTCCAGAGGCATGTGGTGAGGGCAGGTTGCTCCTTTCCAGTTCAACTTGCTCCTTCCCCTGGAGTAATTGGGGGCTTTTTTTCAGGTTTGATATCGGAGTAATGCTGGCCTCGCAGAATGAGTTTGAATGTATTCTCTCCTCTTTAGTATTTTGAAATATTTTGAGAATAATTGGTATTCTTCTTCTTTTTTTTTTTTTTTTTTTTTGGGACAGAGTCTTGCACTATCTCCCAGGCTGGAGTGCAGTGGTGCGATCTCGGCTCACTGCAAGCTCAGCCTCCCAGGTTCACGCCGTTCTCCTGCCTCAGCCTCCCGAGTAGCGGGGACTACAGGCGCCCGCCATCACGCCCGGCTAATTTTTTGTATTTTTAGTAGAGACGGGATCTCACCGTGTTAGCCAGGATGGTCTCGATTTCCTGACCTCGTGATCCACCCGCCTTGGACTCCCAAAGTGCTGGGATTACAGGCATGAGCCGCCGCGCCCGGTTTTTATTCTTCTTTAAATGTTGGTAGAATTCAGTAGTGAAACTACCAGGTATTGGGCTTTTCTTTGATGGGAGACTTTTTATTACTGATTCGATGTCCTTACTCATTATTGGTCTCTTGAAATTTTTTTATAACTTCATAATTCAATCTTAGTAGGTTGTATGTGTCCAGGAATTTATCTGTTTCTTCTAGGTTATTCCATTTGTTGGTGTAAAATTGTATAATAATGTCTTATGATCCTTTTTATTTCTGTGGTATCAGTTATAATGTCTCCTTTTTCATTATTGTTTTGTTTGTCTTCTCTCTATTTTCCTTAGGTAGTTTAGCTAACTGTTGGCTGGTTTTATTTTTTCTCAAAACACCAACTCTTAATTTTGTTGCTCTTTTGTATTTTTTTCAAGCCTCTATTTCATTTATTTATATGCTGATATTTTTTAGACGAGGCCTCACTCTGTCACCCAGGCTGGAATGCAGTGGTGTGATGTTGGCTCACTGCAACGTCTACTACCCAGGCTCAAGAGTTCCTCCCACCTCAGCCTCTTGAGCAGCTGAAACCACAGGCACCTGCCACCACGCCTGGCTATTTTTTTTTTTCATTTTTGGAAGAGATGGTGTTTCACCATGTTGCCCAGGCTGGTCTTGAACTCCTGTGCTCAAGTCATCCATATACCTCAGCCTCCCAAAGTGCTGGGATTACAGGCGTGAGCCACCTCATCTCACCTAAATTATGACCTTTATTACTTCCTTCTCCTAATTTTAGATTTAGTTTGTTCTTGTATTTCCAGTTCCTTGAGGTATAATGTTGGATTCTTTATTTGAAACCTTTCTTCTTTTTGAATGTAGGTGTTTATAGCTATAAACTTTTCTCTGAGAACTGCTTTTGCTGTATCCCATAAGTTTTGGTGCATTGTGTTTCCATTTCTATTTGTCCAAAAGGGATATTTAAATGTCTTTTAATTTCTTCATTGACTCATTGGTTTTTCAGGAGCATATTTACTCTCTATGAATGTATAAAGTTTCTGAAGTTCCTTCTGTTATTGATTTTTAGTTTTATATCATTGTGGTCAGAAGAGACAATTGATATGATTTCAATCTAAAATTTGTCAAGGCTTGTTTTGTGGCCTAACATATTATCTATTCTGTTAAATATTTTATGTACAGTTGAGAAGAATGTGTATTCTGCAGCTGTTGGATGGAATGTTCTGTAAATGTCTGCTAGGTCCATTTGGTCTACAGTGCAGTTTAAATCTGAAGTTTCTTTGTTGATTTTCTGTCTGGATGACCTGTCCATTGCTGAAAATGGATAGCAAATCCCCCTAATATCATTGTATTGCAGTCTTGTTCTCCCTTTAGATCTATTAATATTCGCTTTATATATTTAGGTGTTCCAATATTGGATGCTTTTGTATTTACAATTGTTATATCCTCTTGCTGAATTGAACTTTTATTATTATATAATGACTTTCATTGTCTCTTTTTAGAGTTTTTGACTTAAAGTTTATTTTATCTGATGTAAGTACAGCTATTCTTGCTCTCTTACAGTCTCCATTTGCATGGAAATTCTTTTTTTTTTTTTTTTTTGAGACAGAGTCTTGCTCTGTCGCCCAGGCTGAAGTGCAGTGGCATGAAATTATATTCATTAAGGTGAAGATAAAATGTGCTTTGGCATAATGAAAGAGTAGAACAGATTAAGAGAATCAGAAATCTGTGAGAGATGGGATGAATGTCACAATATTAAAGAGCTATATAGAATAATCAGGATAGACTTCATTAAGAAATTATATCTAACTTGAAGGATGTGAGGGAGTTAGCCAAGCTGTTTTCTTGGGGTAAAACATTTAAGGCAGAGGGAAAAACTACAGCAAATGCCCTAAGGAAGAAGAATGCTTATTGTGTTCAAGGAGTAGCAGAGACGTCTGTGTGCTTGGATCAGAGAGATAATAATTATTAGGAGGAAATGAGGCCAAGGTGGTAATAAAAGAAACAGATAACTTGGGTTTTCTTTGTCACTGTAAGTCTTTGCTTTCCTGAGGGAAATAGGAAGCTAGAGCTACTCTTTTTGGCACAGGAGTGATGTGGCTAAAGGATTACTCTGGCTGCCATATTAGAAATATGATGTAGGAGGAAAGGGTAAAAGCAGGAGGATACAATAAGAGCTATTTCAGTGACCTCAATGAAAGGTTATAATAATTTTGACCAGGGTGGCAGCGGTGGGGAAAATAAAATAATCAGATTATGAATATTTTTTCAAATGTTGAAAAATATCAAACCCATGGAAAACTTACAAAAACAGGACAATGAACGTTTATATAGTTGGTGAATCTAAGCTACCATTTGCCACATTCTTTCTCTCTCTCACTATGTATATTCATTTGGAGATATATGGAATAGATCTGTATCTATTTATATCTATCTATAGATACACACACACACTCACACACAGAGAAAGACTGTGTATGGTAAAATGTTAATTGTTAAATGCTTTTTACAATGTTAAAAGAATTTTACAGCTATTAAATCCTTTTACCTCATATTGAAACACTTCAGCATGTAACTCTCAAGAACAAGAATATACACCTCAAAATGGCAGCATGATGATTAAATTAGAATATTTAATCTTATTATAATTTGACTATCTAATATGCTGCCCATATTAAAGTTTCACAGATTTTCCAAATAATATATTTGATGGAATTTTTTTCTCTGACTTAGAATCACACATTGCACTTAGTTCCTAGGTCTGTTTAGCCCTATTTAATCTGAAATGGTTCTTAGCTTTTCTTTATTTTTGAAGATATTAACAAATTTTAAAGGGTACAAAAACCAATAGTTTTATAGAACGATCCTGAGTTTTAGCTTGTCTGATTATTTCCTTATAATCGCAGCAGAAATTAATATTATGACTTCTCAGTATAGCACATTGGAAGATACATAATGTCAGTTTGTCTCATTATTGGTGATGTAACTTGATTAGTGTTATGTTCACCAAGTTTCTCAACTGCAAATATACCATTTTTTCCTTGTAATTAATAACTAATTTGTAGGGAGATACATTGAAACTAATCACCAATAAGCTTTTACCCCAATGTTTTAGTATTTGTTGAAGATTCTTGTCTGAATCAATTATTCCTATGATGATTAAAAAATAGTAACTTTCAAATGGTCATTTATTCTACATGTATTAATTGGCATTCTTCTGTAAAAAATGTTCCCATTTCCCCTACCCCTGTTTAAGCCATATTTACATCTGTTCATATTAATGTATTCATTAGTATCCATTATTAGTCATTATTATATGGATTCTGTTTTATGCATTTTGTTATAATGCATTACTGTCATTATTCACTGTGGTATTCAAACTGTATCATATTTTTCCAGTGGGAGACCCTTCACATGTTTCCTGTGGTGTTTTTACAAGTATTCCCATAATTTTTGAGCAGTTTCTTACTTTCTGAAGAAAAAACAGATATTCGTTTCTTCTTGCACTTTTGTCACCACTATCCTGAGGTGAGTAATTTCTCCCAAAAGCCCTGTTTCCTTTTAGTGACGAGTGGTATTTATAATCTATATGTACTATTAATATACAGCCTTAGTGCCTAGCACATAAGAAGTGCTTAATACATACTCTTGAATACACAATTATAATGAGATTTATGTATTTGTTTTTGCCTTATGTTTGAAGTTTCATTTTAAAAGTCCTTTCTTGCCCCTATGTTTTAAAGGTATCACCCTATATTTCCTTCTATCAACATTATTGCTTTACCTCCATATTGTGTTTAATCTACTTGGAGTCCACCTTTGATTATTATGGTGTATACACACACATACCACACACACACACACACACACACACACCCCATATATATATTTTATGGTAATACCTAATTGGCCGAATCTTCCATCTTTCCACTTCATTTGTAATGCTGACATAAAATTTATTGATCTTTATGCTTCTTTTTTTTATTATACTTTACGTTCTAGGGTACATGTGCACAACGTGCAGGTTTGTTACATATGTACACATGTGCCATGTTGGTGTGCTGCATCCGTTAACTCGTCATTTACATTAGGTGTATCTCCTAATGCTATCCCTCCCGCCTCCCCCCACCCCACAACAGGCCCCAGTGTGTGATGTTCCCCTTCCTGTGTCCAAGTGTTCTCATTGTTCAATTCCCACCTATGAGTGAGAACATGCGGTGTTGGTTTTCTGTCCTTGTGATAGTTTGCTCAGAATGATGGTTTCCAGCTTCATCCATGTCCCTACAAAGGACACGAACTCATCCTTTTTTATGGCTGCATAGTCTTCCATGGTGTATATGTGCCACATTTTCTTAGTCCAGTCTATCACTGATGGGCATTTGGGTTGGTTCCAAGTCTTTGCTATTGTGAATAGTGCCGCAATAAACATACGTGTTCATGTGTCTTTACAGCAGCATGATTTATAATCCTTTGGGTATATACCCAGTAATGGGATGGCTGGGTCAAATGGTATTCCTAGTTCTAGATCCTTGAGGAATCGCCACACTGTCTTCCACCATGGTTGAACTAGTTTAGAGTCCCACCAACAGTGTAAAAGTGTTCCTATTTCTCCACATCCTCTCCAGCACCTGTTGTTTCCTGACTTTTTAATGATCGCCATTCTAACTGGTGTGAGATGGTATCTCATTGTGGTTTTGATTTGCATTTCTCTGATGGCCAGTGATGATGAGCATTTTTTCATGTGTCTGTTGGCTGCATAAATGTCTTCTCTTGAGAAGTGTCTGTTCATATCCTTTGCCCACTTTTTGATGGGGTTGTTTGTTTTTTTCTTGTAAATTTGTTTGAGTTCTTTGTAGATTCTGGATATTAGCCCTTTGTCAGATGAGTAGATTGCAAAAATTTTCTCCCATTCTGTAGGTTGGCTGTTCCCTCTGATGGTAGTTTCTTTTGCTGTGCAGAAGCTCTTTAGTTTAATTAGATCCCATTTGTCAATTTTGGCTTTTGTTGCCATTGCTTTTGGTGTTTTAGACATGAAGTCCTTGCCCATGCCTATGTCCTGAATGGTAGTGCCTAGGTTTTCTTCTAGGGTTTTTATGGTTTTAGGTCTAACATTTAAGTCTTTAATCCATCTTGAATTAATTTTTGTATAAGGTGTAAGGAAGGAATCCAGTTTCAGCTTTCTACATATGGCTAGCCAGTTTTCCCAGCACCATGTATTAAATAGGGAATCCTTTCCCCGTTTCTTGTTTTTGTCAGGTTTGTCAAAGATCAGATGGTTGTAGATGCATGGTATTATTTCTGAGGGCTCTGTTCTGTTCCATTGGTCTATATCTCTGTTTTTGTACCAGTACCATACTGTTTTGGTTACTGTAGCCTTGTAGTATAGTTTGAAGTCAGGTAGCATAATGCCTCCAGCTTTATTCTTTTGGCTTAGGATTGTCTTGGCAATGCGAGCTCTTTCTTGGTTCCATATGAACTTAAAAGTAGTTTTTTCCAATTCTGTGAAGAAAGTCATTGGTAGCTTGTTGGGGATGGCATTGAATCTATAAATTACCTTGGGCAGTGTGGCCATGTTCACGATATTAATTCTTCCTATCCATGAGCATCGAATGTTCTTCCATTTGGTTGTGTCCTCTTTTATTTCGTTGAGCAGTGGTTTGTAGTTCTCCTTGAAGAAGTCCTTCACATCTCTTGCAAGTTAAAAACTCTCAATAAACTAGGTCTTGTTGGGACGTATCTCAAAATAATAAGAGCTATTTATGAGAAACCCACAGCCAATATCATACTGAATGGGCAAAAACTGGAAGCGTTCCCTTTGAAAACTGGCACAAGACAGGGATGCCCTCTCTCACCAATCATATTCAACATAGTGTTGGAAGTTCTGGCCAGGGCAATCAGGCAGGAGAAAGAAATAAAATGTATTGAATTAGGAAAAGAGGAGTCAAATTGTCCCTGTTTGCAGATGACATGATTGTATATTTAGAAAACCCCATCATTTCAGCCCAAAATCTCCTTAAGCTGATAAGCAACTTCAGCGAAGTCTCAGGACACAAAATCAATGTGCAAAAATCACAAGCATTCCTATACACCAATAACAGACAAATAGAGAGCCAAATCATGAGTGAACTCCCATTCACAATTGCTTCAAAGAGATTAAAATACCTACGATCTTTATGCTTCTTTTAAAGTTTTAGATTAAGATTATCTATCACCTTAAAAATACCACCAGAGGCTGGGGGCAGTGGCTATTGCCTGTAATCCCAGCACTTTAGGAGGCTGAGGTGGGTGGATCACCTGAGGTCAGGAGTTTGAGACCAGCCTGGCCAACATGGTGAAACCCCGTCTCCACTAAAAATACAAAAATTAGCCAGGCGTGGTGGTGGGTACATGTGATCCCAGCTACTGGGGTGGCTGAGGCAGGAGAATTGCTTGAAACCGGGAAGTGGAGACTGCAGTGAGCCAAGATCGTGCATTGCACTCCAGCCTGGGCAACAAGAACGAAACTCTGTCTCAAAAACAAAACAAAACAAAACAAAAACAAAAATGAAAACAATACTACTGGAATTTCGATGTCAATGATTTTTAATTTATGGACTAATTTGGGGTGATTGTATTTCATATTAATTAATGGCATCCAACTGATGCTATTAGAATGGCACATAGAATGTGTCTCTATTTATTTAGAATCTTCTCTATACTGTAAAATTATATTGTATCTTTCTTCATTGAGATCTTGTGTACTCTTAGTTAATTCCTAGATGCTTTATAGCTTTTGTTTGGAGTTGGGGTCTTGCTCTGTTGTTCAGGTTGGAGTGAGGTGGCATAATCATAGCTTACTGTAACCTTGAACTTCTGGGCTTAAGTGATCTTCCTGCCTCAGCCTCCCAAGTAGCTAGGACAACAGGCATGTGCCACCATGCCTGGCTAAGTTTTTAAATTTTTAGTAGAGATGGGGTCTCACTATGTTGACCAGGCTGGTCTTTTTTTTTTTTTTGAGACAGGGTCTTGCCCTGTCACCCAGGCTGGAGTGCACTGGCCCAATCTCGGCTCACTGCAACCTCCACCTCCTGGGTTCAAGCGATTCTTCTGCCTCAGCCTCCTGAGTAGCTGGGACCAAAGGCACGTGCCACCACGCCTGGCCAATTTTTTGTATTTTCAGTAGAGATGGGGTTTCACCATGTTAGTCAGGATGATCTCGATCTCCTGACTTGTGACCCACCTGCCTCAGCCTCCCAAAGTCCTGGGATTACAGGCATGAGCCACCATGCCCCACTCAGGCTGGTCTTAAACTGCTGGGCTCAAGCAATCCTCCTTTCTGGGTTTCCCAAAGTGCTGACATTACAGATATTAGCCACCATGCCCCACTCAGGCTGGTCTTAAACTGCTGGGCTCAAGCAATCCTCCTTTCTGGGTTTCCCAAAGTGCTGACATTACAGACATTAGCCACCATGCCCAGCCATTTTTATAGCTTTCTTAATGTTGTGCATGGTATGTTAGCTTTTATTTATATTTTCTGTTAGATTATTGATAATATAGTGAAATATTATTAATAAGTTAAAATTTCTCTTGATTCTATCATCTTTGCTGATATTTCTGATCAGTTCTGAATTTATGACTTATTTTTGTTTTTCTAGGGAGATTATTGCATCAATAATAAATAATGAATGAGTTTTATCTCTTCCTTTTTCAACTTTTTTTTTGAGACAGGGTCTTACTCTGTCACCCAGGCTGGAGTGCAGTAGTGCAATCACGGTTCACTGCAGCCTTGACTTTCTGGGCTTAGGCAGTTCTCCCACCTCAGCCTCCCAAATAGCTGGGACCACAGGTGTGTGCATACACACCTGGCTAACTTAAGATTTTTTTGTGTGTGGAGATGTGGTTTCCCTATGTTGCTCAGGCTGGTCTCAAAGTCCTGGGCTCAAGCAATCCTCCTGCCTTGGCCTCCCATAGTGCTTAGATTATAGGCTTCTGCCACCACACTTGGCTTATTTTTTTCTTGTCTTATAGTATTGGGACCAGGACCTACAGTACCATATTAAACAGTAGAGATAATGGCAAGCATCCATATTTTATTTTCAGTTTTAAAGGTAATGTATTTAAACTTTCTATATAAAGTTAATGTCTACTATAGGTTTCTAATGTGTAGTTCTACCAAGTAGAGGAATTTTCCTAAAAGTTATTTTAAATCAGAATTATGTATTGAACCTTATTAAATGCTCTAGTTGTTTGAATGTTGGCCCCCAAGAAGATATGTCCGTTTCCTAGTATATGGACCTTATTGGAAATGTGACCTTGTTTGGAAAAGGGGTCTTTGCAGATGTAATTAAGTTAATCATCTTAAAATGAGATCATTCTGGGTTATCAAGGTTGGCACTAAATTCAGTGATAAGTGTCCATATAAGATACAGAAAAAGACACAGAGAAGAGAAGCAAATTAATATAGAGGAACATATTGGGCTGATACACCTAGAAGGAATGTCAACAGCCACCAGAAGCTGGAACAAAGAAGGATCATTCTCCCCTAGAGCCTTTTGGCAGAAGGATAACTCTGCTAATATCCTGATCTTGGACATATGGCCTCTACAGCTGTGAGAGAATAAATTTGTTTTAAGCCACCATATTTGTGGTAATTTGTTACAGCAGCCTTGTGAAATTAATACAAATGCTTTTCTTTATTATTTGATTTTTATCTTTTAGTTTGTTACACAGTCAATTTCTGACTAGTGTTCAGTGCCAATATCAAACAATTGCAGGTACTTTTAATTGGGAGGAGATTCACACAGAAAATTGTGTGCTAACAAAATTTTTGGAAGGGTTTAAGTAGTAAGCTGAACAAAACTGGTTTACCAGCTGGGTGTGGCAGCTCACACGTGTAATCCCAGCACTTTAGAAGGCCAAGGCAAGAGGATTGCTTGAGCCCAGGAGTTTAAGACCAGCCTGTAAAATATAGCAAGACCCCATCTCCACAAATAAAAAAATTAGCTGGATGCCTATGGCATGTGCCTATAGTCCTAGCTACTCAGAAACTGAGGTGAGAAGATCACTTGAGCCCAAGAGGTCAAGGCTGCAGTGAGCTGTGATCATGCCACTGCACTCCAGCCTGGCCGACAGAGTGAGACTCCATCTCAAAACAAAACAAAACAAAAAAAACCTAGCTTACTAGCAAAACTTTTTAAAAATGGAACTGTCATTATAGATATGCCAGTCTATTTCTGGATAATCTTCTATCACCACAACAGCCTTTGGACCCAGAATTCTGGAGAGTAGACACTAAAAATGTAATCCAGGAATTAAGGAATCAGGCTAAGAAGTAATACAATTGACCTTGAAGCCTCTGTTTTTAGAAATAACTGAAATTGTGAGCGCATGCTTAAGAAGGCGGATTTTACTTAAATTACTATCTACAACAGTAACAGTAATAGTAATAGTAAATAGAAATTTCAAATTTTATATCACGTAATTTATAAGAGCCAGAAACTATTATTGTATTATAAACAGAAGTAATATTATATTACTTATACATTTGTTCTGTTTAGAAATGGTGTGATCACAAACAATTTGAGATGACCAGTAGTGGATATCAATTTACACAACATCAGAGAACTCATACTGTGAAAAACACAATAGATGTAAAAAAATGTGAGAAGATATTACAATTCAATTTAGTCCTTATCACAGACATAGTGAATTCATACTGATGAAAAACTTTATGAATGTTAAGAATATGTGAAAGCTATTATTTGTGTGGACTATTTAGCCAACACCAGAGAATTCATACTAGTAAGAGGTTCTATGAATATAAGGAATGTGGGAAGCTCTTTAGAATGAATTGAGTTTATTCTGTAAATTAGAATTCATGCTGATTCTACACTTTATAAGTATTAGGAATGTTGGAAATCCTTTCTTGTGTGCCGGCAAGTCACTCACTATAAGAGAATTCATACTGTTGAAAAACCTGAAAAAATGTAAGAACTGTGGAAGGACATTTAAATTTTAATCCTTATTATGTATCAGAGAATTCATATGGTGAGAAACTATGAATATAAGGGATGCAATAAAGCCTTCCTTGTATTCGGACAATGTACTCAATATCAGAGTATTCATATAAGTGCCAAATTTCATGAATGTAAGGAACATAAGGTCTTTAATCTGATTTGAGTTCTTCTGAGAAACAGATAATTCATACTGGTGACAAACTTTATGAATGTAAAGAATGTAGTAAAGCCTTTATTGTGTCTGGACACATTGCTCAATATCAGAGAATTCAAACTGATGAGAAACTTGATGAATGTAAGAAATGTAGGAAAATATATAAAGTTAATTCTGCCTTACTACATATTAGAGAATTCATACTGGTAAGAATCTTTATGGATATAAGAAGTACAATAAAGCCTTTACAGATATATATATCAGATATATATATCAGAATATATGTATATATAGATATGTTCTGGATATATGTTCTGGATGCATTTCCCACATTTCTTTCTGTTATTAATTTCCAGTTTTCATTGTGATTGTTTATTCTTTTATGAGTTCAATGCTTTTACATTTGTTGAGGCTTGCTTTATGGCCTAGCATATAGTCAAACGTGGAAACTGTGCCATATGTAAGTGAGTAGAATGTGTATTCTGCTGTTGTTGGATGGAGTTCTCTATAGATATCTGTTAGGTGTAACTTGCATATACTATTGTTGAAGTCTCTGATTTCATTGCTGATCATTGCATAGTTGCTGTTTTCAGTATTGACAATGGAATGTTGAAGTCTCCAACTATTATCGTTCAGTTATCTAGTTCTCCCCTCAATTCTTTCAGCTTTTGGTTCATGTATTTTGGGGCTCTGATGTTTCAGTGGAGATATATATATATATATATATATAAATTTCATAATTTCAAGATGGGCTGACCATTTTATCAATATAAAATATCAATATTTATTCTAATGACATTTTTATTTTCAACTATATTGTGTCTAAGTATAGCCACCCTTGCTTTTGTATGATTCCAGTTTTCATAATTTATCTTTTGCCAACCCTTTACTTTTAATTCACTTCTCTCTTTGAGTCTAAAATGTGTCTCCTGTACATGGCAAATAGTAGGTTTGTATTTTTTAAAATTTATTCTGCCAAACTTTGCCTTTTGAATGGAGAGTTTAACTGATTTATATTTAGAGTAATTATTGATGAGAAAGGACTTACTCTCATCATTTCATTATTTGTTTTACATATGTCATATCTTTGTCTTAATTTACTACAGTACTACCTTCATTTGTGTTTAGTTGATTCTTTAAAGTCATATACTTTGATTATCTTCTCATTTCCTTTTGTTTATATCCTATAGATACTATCTTTGTGATCACCATGGCGATTACACATGACATCCTAAAGTTATAACAATCTGGCCAGGCATGGTGGATCATGCCTGTAATCCTAGCACTTTGGGAGACTGAGGTGGGTAGATTACTTGAGGTCAGGAGTTCAAGACCAGCTTGGCCAATATGGCAAAACCCTGTCTCTACTAAAAATACAAAAATTACCTGGGCCTGGTGACACATACCTGTAATGGCAGCTACTGGGGAGGCTGAGGCATAAGAATCACTCAAGCCTGAGAGGTTGAGGTTGTAGTGAATTGAGATTGCACCACTGCACTCCAGCCTGGGCAACAGAGTGAGACCTTGTCTAAAAAAAAGTTATAAAAATCTAATTTGGGTTGATACAAACTTAACTTCAATCACAAATAAAAACTCTGCTTCTCTACTGCTCCATTTCTCACTTTGTGTAATAGTTGTTACACATTGCATCTTTAGGCACTGTATGCCAAATAACATAGTTTTATAATATTTTTATGCATTTGTCTTTTAAATTCTGTAGACAGCAAAAAGTAGAGTTACTGTATTAGTTCATTCACACACTGCCATGAAGAATTACCCGAGACTGGGTAATTTATGAAGAAAAGAGGTTTAATTGACTCACAGTTCTGCAGGCTGTACAGGAAGTATGGTTGGGGAGGCCTTATGAAATTTATAATCATGGCATAAGGGTGAAGGAGAGGCAAACACATCTTCACATGGTGGCAGGAGAAAGAGAGCAAAGGGGGACACTTTCAAACAACCAGATCTCATGAGAACTCACTCATTTTCGTGAGAACAGCAAGGGGGAAATTTGCCTTCATGATTTAATCACCCCCCACCAGATCCCTCCCCCAACTTCGAGAATTACAATTCATCATGAGATTTGGGTGGGAACATGGAGCCAAACTATACCACTTAGAAACCAAAATTACCACAATATTGGCTTTTGCATATGCCCATATATTTACCTTAACTGGTGATTTGTATATCTCCATTCAGATTTGAGTTACTGTCTAGCATTTTTTCATTTCAAACTGAAGGATTCCCCATTAGAATTTCTTGTAGAGAAGTTTAGTGACGATGAACTCATCTTTCATTTATCTGGGAATATCTTTTTTTTTTTTGAGACGGAGTCTTGCTCTTTCACCCCAGGCTGGAGTGCAGTGGTGCGATCTTGGCTCACTGCAACCTCCACTCCTGGGTTCACGCCATTCTCCTGCCTCAGCCTCCCGAGTAGCTGGGACTACAGGCACCTGCCACCATGCCTGGCTAATTTTTTTTTTTTGTATTTTTAGTAGAGATGGGGTTTCACTTTGTTAGCCAGGATGTTCTCGATCTCCTGACCTCATGATCTGCCCTCCTCAGCCTCCCAAAGTGCTGGGATTACAGGCGTGAGCCACCACGCCTGGCCCTATCTGGGAATATCTTAATTTTTTCCTCATATTTGAATGACAGTTTTGGTGGATATGAAATTATTGATATACAGTTTTTTTCTTTCAATGCGTTAAATTTATAATTCCATTGCTTTTTGGTCTGCAAGGTTTCTGATGAGAAGTTGGTTGATAATTTTATTGAGCATTTCCTATACATATTGAGTTGCTTTTCTCTTGCTTTCAAGATTCTATCTTTGTCTTTGGATTTTCATAGTTTGATTATAATGTGTCTTAGTGTGGGTTTCTTTGCGGTTTCCCACTCGGACTTTGTTGAGCTTCTTGAATTTGTAGATTGATGTCTGTCATTAAATGTGGAAAGTTTTCAAACACTATTGTTTAAAAATATTCATTTCAACCATTTTTATCTCTGTCTCTCTTTCTCTCTTCTCCTTATGGGACTCTCATATGTATATATTTGTATGCTTGATGATATCCCACAAGTCCTTTAGGCTCTCCTCACTTTTCTTTATTCGTTTTTCCTTCGTGCTTTTCCAATGATAATGTCAATTATCTTATTTTCAAGTTGCTGATTATTTATTCTGTCTAATTAATTCACTTTTTTCAGAGATGAGGTCTCATCTCACTGTGTTGGCTAGGCTGGTCTTGAACTCCTGGGCTCAAGCAATCCTCCCACCTCGGCATCCCAAAGTACTAGGACTACAGGCATGAGCCACTATACTCAGCTTCTTCTGTCTACTTAAATCTGTGGGTTGAACCCCTCTAGTGAACTTTTCATTTAGTGATTGTATTTTTCAGCTTCAGAATTTGTTGGGTTTCTTTTCATAATTTTTATATCTTTGTCAATGTTCTCATTTGGTTCATATGTTATCTCTTGATTTTTTTTACTTCTTTGTTCATATTTTTTCTTAGCTATTTGAGCATATTTAAGACAATTATTTTAAATTCTTTGCCCATTAAGTCCAAGGTCAGGGAAATCTTAGGGATGATTACTGTCCATGTATTATGTTTCTCTGAATAAGACATGTTTTCCTGTTTCTTTGTATGATGTGATTTTTTCTTGAAAATTAGACATTTTGATATTTTGTGAAAACTTTGAAAATAAGATTATCTCACTTTCCCAGAGTTTAATGTTTTAAATTGTTGAAGGCTGTAGTAGTTCTTTCTTTTGAGACTTTTCCAAGCATGTTTTGCAAAGACTATTCCTTGTCAAATGTGATCACTGAAGTTTCTGATCCTCTAGCTTGTGTTCGTCTAGTTATTTGATGGATTCCCTTGAGTGTCATGAACCTAAACAAACAAATCAAAATCAGAGAAAGAGAGAAGCCATTTCTCCCAGTCTTTTCAGATTGCCTGTGTACTGGAGCACTTCTTCACCATACATAGGCTTGTTGTAAGCTTAGGGATTATCTCAAGGTGGAAATTTTTCTAAGCATATGTCTTGCCTGGACATGCACATGGCTTTTTAAATTTCCTTATACATGTGGCTGAATTTGAATGTCTTAATTTCCCACAGAGTGTCACCCCAGCTTATCTTCCAGGTCTTAGATGATATATTACATGTCCCCAAGCATAATATCTTCCTCCAGATGTCTGTGGGTTTGTAGTCACCTTGTAGCTTTTAGGAGCAGTGCCTGTGTCTTAGTCTGTTTAGTAATGCTGTAACAGTCTAGTGGGACCACATAGTTTATAAAGAAATGATTAGTCTCATGGTTCTGGTGACTGGAAAGTTCAAGATTGCATATTTCCATCTGAGGGTCTCAGGCTGCCACATATCATGGTGGAATGTGGAAGGTTAGGCAGTGTGCAAAGAGATCAAATGATAAGAGAGGAGGCAGATGTTTATGTGTGCATGCCAGGTTCTTTTTAACTACCAGCTCTCGTAGGAACTATTTAGAGCATAAACTCACTAACCCAGCAGGGAAGGTATTAATCTATTCATGAGGTATCCACCTTCATGAACCAAATGCTTCCCACTAGGTCCTACCTCCTAACATTGCCACAATGGGGATCAAATTTCAACATGAAGCCTGGAGGGGACAAACATTAAAATTATAGCCACCTGCAAATTCTTTAACCTTCAAACAATCAAACACTTTGCTTCAGTCCTTCAGTTGTTTCCCTAGACAGATTAGAAGAGACAAACAAAAAAAATTGTAAATGAAGTCTGCTCTTCACCCTTTGGTTCTAGGGAAGGAACTGGGAACTGTGCTGTCACCAATTCAAGACCATGTTTGATATTGTGCCAGGAAGAAGGTCAGGCAAGGAAGAGTAAAATCATCACCAAATGTTTCTTTCTGAGACAGGGTCTTTCTCTGTTTTCCAGGCTGTTTTCATTTTTATTTTTTGGTAGAGATGGAGTCTGACTACCCAGGCTAGTCTCAAACTCCTGGCCCAAGCAAACCTCCTACCTTGGCCTCCCAAATTGCTGGGATTACAGGCATGGGCCACAGCTCCTGGCTAGATTTTTTTTTTCTTACAGTCTAAATATGTTCATAGATTTTTTTTTCTTGATTGGGCGTTTACTTGGTTGTTGTAGACCTTTGACTGTTTTTTGTTTTGTTGATGTTTCTGTTGGGGGACAAAAGTTCGGAGCCTCCTTGTTCATGATTTTGCTGTCTTCGCTTCTGATTTTATAATTAAACTTGTTGATATGGTTTGGATATTTGTATCCTCCAAATCTGATGTTAAAATGTGATCTCCAATTTTGGAGGTGAGCCTAGTGGGAGGTATTTTGGTCATGGAGGTGGATCCCTCATGAATGGCTTGGTGCCCTCCCTGTGGTAATAAATGAATTCTCACTTTATTAGTTCACATGATAGCTACTTATTTACAGGAGCCTGGCACCTCTCTTGCCATGTGATATGCCTGCTCCCCTTTCACCTTCTCTCTCCCTTTTTTTTTTTTTTTTGAGACAGAGTCTCACTCTGTCGCCCAGGCTGGAGTGCAGTGGAGCGATGTCAGCTCATTGCAACCTCCACTTCCCTCGTTCAAGCAATTCTCCTGCCTCAGCCTCCAGAGTAGTGGGGACTACAGGCGCGTGCTACCACACCGGGCTAATCTTTGTATTTTTTTAAGTAGAGATGGGGTTTCACTATGTTGGCCAGGCTGGTCTCGAACTCCTGACCTCATGACCTGCCCGCCTTGGCCTCCCAAAGTGCTGGGGTTACAGGCATGAGCCACCATGCCTGGCCTCCTCCTTCACCTTCTATTATGAATAAAAGCTCCTGAGGCCTCAGGAATAAGAGGCTATCAGAAATAGATGTTGCCACCATGCTTCTTGTACAGTCTGCCAAACCATTGGCCAAATAAACCTATTTTCTTTATATAGTACTGACCTCAGGTAGTCCTTTATAGCAAAGCAAATCAGATGAACACACTTATTATTTAAGATAATTGTAGGCTCACATGCAATTATAAGAAATAATAATCCTCTGTACTCTTTACCCACTTTTCCACAATGGTAACATCTTCCAAGACTATCAATATTACATCCAAAATATTGATATTGATGCAGTTAAGATCCAGAACATTTCCATTACTACAGAGATTCCTTATATTGCCCTTTTATGCCCATACTACCTTTCACCCCTGGCCCACCTCTTTCTTAACCCTTGCAACGACTAATCTGTTTTCCACTTTTAAAATGTTGTTATTTCCAGAATGATATATAAATAAAATCATACAGTATAAAACATTTTGTGATTAGTCATTTTCACTCAGCATAATTCTCTGGAAATTCATCCAGGTTATTGAATGTATTAATATAATGGAATAGAATTCCATTACATAGATGTTCCCCTGTTTATTATTCATCTGTTGAAGGACATCTGGGATGTTTTAAGTTCAGGAATATTATGAATGAAATTTGTATTACCATTTGTGTAAAGGTTTTTGTGTGAACACAAGTTTTTACTTCTATTAAATAAATGCCAAAGAATGCAATTATTGTTCTATATGAGAGGTCCATGGGTAGTTGGTTGCTTTGTTTTGTTTTTAAAGAAACTGCCTTACTCTTTATCAGAGTGGCTATAGCAGTTTGCATTATCACCAGAATGTATGAGTAATCTAGTTTCTCTGAATTTTTTTCTAACATTTGGTGTTTTCAACATTTTATCTGAGTCATTCTGATAGGTATCTAATAATACCCAATTGTAGTTTTATTGCTCCTCCCTAATAGCTACTGGCATTGAAAATATGTTCATGTGTTTCTTTGCCTTCTTGGATATTTTCTTTGGTAAAATGTCTTTTCATATCCAGGTTCTAATTGGGCTGTTTGCTTTTTTACTGTTGAGTTTTGACTGTTCTTTTATATGTACTAGATATAAGTGTGTTGTCAGATATGTGCTTGCAAACATTTTCTCCAAAATTTTAGCTTTATCTTTTATGCTTTTAATATGTTTTTTTTAAAAGGGTAAAAGTTTAAAAATGTTTAAGAAATTCAACTTATTAGTTTTTCATTTTACAGATTATGCTTTTGATGTCAAGTCTAAGAGCCTTTTGCCTAGCCCTAGATCCTGAATATTTTCCTTTATGTTGTTTTCTAAAAATCTTAGAATGTTATGTTACTTTTAAGTTTGTGATAAATTTTGAATTAATTTTAGTATAAGATGTGAGACTTAGGCTGAAGCTTATTTTTTTTGCCCATGGATGTCCAATTGCTCCAATGCCATTTTTTGGAAGCCTATCTTTCCTTCAGTTAGTTGCATTTGCACCTTTGTCAAAATTCAGATGGGCATATTTGCATGGGTCTACTTTTGGATTATTTATTTTATCTTGTTCCATTGATTTACATGTCTATTCATCTACTTATTATTATACACAGTCTTGATTACTGTAGCTATTTAGTAAAAATCTTAAAATAGAGTACATTGATTTTTCCTACTTTTTTCTTGTTTCTCAAAATTGTTTTAATTATTCTAGTTCCTTTGGTATTCCATATAAATTTTACAGTAATCTCATCTATAGCCACAGAAAATCTTGCTGGCATTTTGGTAGAAACTGTGTAAAATTATATATCAATTCAGGAAAAATCGATGTATCTCCATGACTTTTTGAGTCTTCCAACACATGAGCACAGTGTATGTCTCTCCATTTATTTAGATTTTAAAAATCTTTCATCAGTGTTGTGTAGTTATTGTAGTTTTTAGAACACAAGTCCTGTACATGGTTTTTTTACATTTACACCTAAGTATCCTTTTTGAGTTAATGGAAATGGTATTATATTTTAAATTTTGGTATCCATTTGTTCATTGTTAGTATATGGGTATACAATTTACTTTTCTATGTTCATCTTTTTTTTAGTGACTTTGCTGAATTCATTTATTCTAGAAGTGGTTTATTTTTTGTCCATTCCTTGGGATTTTAAAGTACACAGTTGTGTCAAACATGAATAAAAACAATTTTATTTCTTTCTCGTTTGTATTCCTCTTATTTACTTTTCTTGCCTTATTGCATTGTGTAGAACTTCCAGTGCTATGTTGAATACGAGTGGTGAGAATAGATATTTTTGCTTTTTTCTTGATCTTGGGATAAAAGCATTCAGTTCTTCACAATTAAATATAAATCTGTCTATAGATTTTTTATAGATGCTTCTTACTGGGTTGAGAAAGTTCTCCTCTATTTCTATTTTTCTGAGAATTTTAAAAACCGTGAATTGATATTGAAGTTTGGTTGAATGTCTTTCTGCATTTATTGACATAATCATTATGAACATATGTCTTTTCTTCTTTAGCCCTTTAATATGGTAGATTATAATGACAGATTTTCAAATATTGAATATATGAAAAAAGCCCACTTGATCATGGTGTATAATTCTTTTTACTCATTGTAAAATTTTATTTGCTAGTATTTTAAAAATTGTTGAAATCTAAATTTATAAAAGTTATCACTCTGTGTTTTCTTTTTATTTTTGTATTGTCTTTGGTTTTGGCATCAGGGTGATACTGTCTTCATAGCATACATTGAGAAATATTCCTTCTACTTAGATGGATTACTTTCCTATGTGGGGACTTCCAAAAGTTCATGGAAAATAGAATTAAAAGATCAAAATAAAAATTATCAATTTTATTTCTCAACAAAATCTCCATCAAGTTCAAGACACTTTTAAAATTTATTTTATTTTGTTTTATTTTAAGCTCCACGATACATGTGCAGAATGTGCAGGTTTGTTATATAGGAAAATGTGTGCCATGGTGGTTTGCTGCACCTATCACCTAGGTATTAAGCCCCACATGCATTAGCTATTTTTCCTGATGCTCTTCCTCCCCCACTCCCATGACAGGCCCAGGTATGTGTTGTTCCCCTCCCTGTGCCCATGTGTTCTCATTGTTCAGCTCCCACTTATGAGTGAGAACAAGTGGTGTTTGGTTTTCTGTTCCTGTGTTAGTTTGCTGAGGATGATGGCCTCCAGCTTCATCCATGTCCCTGCAAGGGACATGACCTCAGTCTTTTTTATGGCTGCATAGTATTCCATGGTGTATATGTACTACATTTCCTTTATCCAGTCTATCATTGATGGGCATTTGGGTTGATTCCATGTCTTTGCTATTGTGAATAGTGCTGCAATAAACATACGTGTGCTTGTATCCTTATAATAGAATGATTTACATTCCTTTGAGTATATACTCAGTAATGGGATTGCTGGGTCAAATGGTATTTCTGGTTCTAGATCTTTGAGGAATTGCCACACTGTTTTCCAAAATGGTTGAATTAATTTACATTCTCACCAACAACATAAAAACATTCCTATTTCTCCACAACCTCACCAGCATCTATTGTTTCTTGACTTTTTAATAATCACCATTCTGACTGGTGTGAGATGGTATATCACTGTGGTTTTGATTTGCATTTCTCTAGTGATCAGTGATGTTGAGCTTTTTTTCACATGTTTGTTGGCTGCATAAATGTCTTCTTTTGAGAAGTGTCTGTTCATGTCCTTTGCCCACTTTTTGATGGGGTTGTTTGTATTTTTTCCTTGTAAATTTGTTTAAGTTCCTTGTAAATTCTGGATATTAGACCTTTGTCAGATGGGTAGATTGCAAAAATTTTCTCCCATTTTATAGGTTGCCTGTTCACTCTGATGATAGTTTCTTTTGCTGTGCAGAAGGTATTTAGTTTAACTAGACCTCATTTATCAATTTTTGCTTCTGTTGCAATTGCTTTTGGTGATTTCATCATAAAATCTTTGCTCATGCCTATGTCCTGAATGGTGTTGCTTATATTTTCTTCTAGGGTTTTTATGGTTTTGGGTTTTATATTTAAGTCTTTAATCCATATTGAGTTAATTTTTATATAAGGTGTAAGGAAGGGGTCCAGTTTCAATTTTCTGCATATGACCAGCCAGTTTTCCCAGCACTATTAATTAAGTAGGGAATTCTTTTCCAATTGCTTGTTTTTGTCAAGTTTGTTAAAGGTCAGATGGTTGTAAATGTGTGGTCTTATTTCTGAGATCTCTATTCTGTTCCATTGGTCTATGTGTCTGTTTTGGTACCAGTACCATGCTGTTTTGGTTACTGTAGCCTTGTAGTATAGTTTGAAGTCAGGTAGCGTGATGCCTCCAGCTTTGTTCTTTTTGCTTAGAATTGTCTTGGCTATATGGGCTCTTTTTTTGTTCCATACGAATTTTAAAGTCATTTTTTCTAATTCTGTGAAGAATGTCAATGGTAGTTTGATGGAAATAACATTGACTCTATAAATTACTTTGGGCGGTGTGGCCATTTTCATGATATTGATTATTCCTATTCATGAGGATGGAATGTTTTTCCATTTGTTGTGTCCTATCTTATTTCCTTGAGCAGTGGTTTGTAGTTCTCCTTGACGAGGTCCTTCACATCTTTTGTTAGCTGTATTCCTAGGTATTTTATTCTCTTTGTAGCAATTGTGAATGGGAGTTCATTCATGATTTGGCTCTCTGCTTGTCTATTGTTGGTGTACAGGAATGCTTGTGATTTTTGCACATTGATTTTGTGTCCTGAGACTTTGCTGAAGTTGCTTATCAGCTTAAGGAGCTTTTGGGCTGAGACAATGGGTTTTTCTAGATATAGGATCATGTTGTCTGCAAACAGAGGCAATTTGACTTCCTCTTTTCCTATTTGAATACCCGTTATTTCTTTCTCTTGCCTGATTGCCCTGGCCAGAACTTCCAATACTATGTTGAATAGGAGTGGTGAGAGAGGGCATCTTTGTCTTGTGCTGCTTTTCAAGGGAAGTGCTTCTGGGTTTTGCCCATTCTGTATGATATTGGCTATGGGTTTGTCGTAAATGGCTCTTACTATTTTGAGATATGTTCCATCAATACCTAGTTTATTGATTGTTTTTAACATGAAAGGATGTTGAATTTTATCAAAGGCTTTTTCGGCATCTTTTGAGATAATCTTGTGGTTTTTGTCATTAGTTCCGTTTATGTGATGAATTATGTTTATTAATTTGCGTATGTTGAACCAGCCTTGCATCCCAGGGATGAAGCAGACTTGATCATGGTGGATAAACTTTTTGATGTGCTGCTGGATTCAGTTTGACAGTATTTTATTGAGGATTTTTGCATCAGTGTTCATCAGGGATACTGGCCTGAAGTTTTCCTTTTTTGTTGTATCTCTGCCAGGTTTTGGTATCAGGATGGTACCTCTGTCCAGTTCTGTGCACTTGCTGGAGAAGTGTTGTGATCATTTGGAGAAGAGGCACTCTGGCCTTTTGAGTTTTCAGCATTTTTCAGCCACAGCCTGTATACTGCACTGTGGGGATTACCTCTTGGAACCAAGCTGTCCTGTCTCTCCGGCTCCAGGAGGGGAAAAATGTGGTCTAGAGCTATAGTGATGGCTGCCACCCTCCCCGCTACCCCCAGTTCAGTGTCAGGTAGCAGTGTACTTAGCTAGCAGCTGGAGTAATGTTTGCCTTCCCTCCCGCAGGGAGCTCAGTTTTCTTAGGCAGCTAGCAACCACAGTGATGAGGGCCGCCCCCACCTCAGGGAGCTCAGTTGTCTTAGGCAGCTGACAGCCGCAGTGATGGCTGCCATCTCTCCCCCTGGAAGCTCAGATGGCTTAGACAGCAGGCAGCTGCAGTGATGATGGCGGCTTCTCCTCCGGGAACTCATTACCTTTAGGCAGATTCCAGCAAGAGTGGCTGTTGAGAGTCTGTGCAGCTCTGTGGTTGGGACCCAAGGCCCTGGTAGTATGGGCTCACGAGTGGAATCTTCCGATCTGTGGGTTGCGCAGATCTGTGGAAAAAGCACGGTTTCCCAGGCAAGATAGCATACTCATTCACCACCTTCCTTGGTTGGGGGTGGGGTTTGCCCTTTCTCCATGTGGGCCGACGCAGCACCCTGCTTTTTCTTGCTCTTTATGGGTCACACCAACTGCCTAGTCAGTCCTGATGATAAAACCTGGATACCTCGATTGCCAGTGCAGGATTGACATGCTGTTTTGTTTCTTCTCAATTGGAGCCTCTAACTGCTGCTGCTTCTAGTTAGCCATCTTGGTCCCGCCAAGCTCAAGACATTTTTATAAGGGATGATACCAGCCATTTAGTCCGTCTCTAAAGAGCTGATGGTCCTAAGAATTTAACCATGTCAATGAAGAATTGTTTACATTATTAACTGAAGGAAAATGGATGCTCTTTAAAGATTTTTTAAGATTGGGAAATAAAGAAAAGTCAGAAATAATCACACTGGGGCAGGGCATGGTGGCCCACACTTGTAATCCCAGAACTGTGGGAAGCAGAGGCAGGTGGATCACTTGAGGTCAGGAGTTTGAGACCAGCCTGGCCAACGTGGTGAAAACCCATCTCTATTAAAATATAAAAATTACCTGGGCAAGATGGCACACACCTGTAATCCCAGCTACTCAGGAGGCTGAAGCAGGAGAATCACATGAACCTGGGAGGTGGAGGTTGCGGTGAGCCAAGATCGTGCCACTGCACTCCAGCCTGGGCGACAGAGTGAGACCCTGTCTCGAAAAAAAAGAAAAAGAAAAAAAAGAAATAACCAAACTGGGACTGTATGGTGGATGCCCAGTGATTTTACATGTCAGAATTCTTGTGAAATTGCCCTTGTTGAGAGGAATGAACATGAGCGTTGTTGTGGTGGAGAAGAACTCTATAGTAAAGCTTTCCTGGTTATTTTTCTGCTAAAGCTTGGCTTTCTTAAAACGTTCTCTGGCCCTCCAGAAAGTCAACAAGCAAAATACCTTTAAGATCTGCAAAACCTGTTGTCATGACCTTTGCTTTTTGTGTGTGTTGGGACCTTTGCTTTTGACCAGCCAGCTTTTACTTTGACTAGACAATTTACACCTCTTGATAGCATTGCTTTGATTGTGCTTTGTCTTCAAGATCATACTGCTAAAGCCATGTTTCATCTCCCGTTACAATTCTCCAAAGAAAGTATTCAGAATCTTGATCCCATTGTTTAAAATTTCCATGGAAACTCAGCTCTTATCTGCAGCTGATCTGGGTGCAATTTGGCACCCATTGAGCAGAAATTTGCTCAACTTTAATTTTTTAGTCAGAATTGTGTAAGCTGAACCATCTGGGATGTCTATGGTATTTCCTAGTGTATCTGCTGTTAATCATTGGCCCTGTTCAATTACGGTATGAACAGGACTAATTTGTTTCTTATAAAATGATATGGATAGCCTGTCACTACAGGCTTTATCTCCAACATCATCTTATCCCTTCTTAAAACAAGTTATTCATTTGTACACTACTTATTTCTTTGAGGCATTGTCCTCATAAACTTTTCATAAAGTGTCAATGATTTCATTATTCTTCCACCCAAGCTTCACCATAAATCTGATGTTTGTTCTTGCTTCAATTTTAGTGAATTCATGTTGCTCTAATCGGGAGTCTTTTCAAACGGAAGTCCTATCCTTCTTTGTGGCTTAAACTAGATCCTGCTCAGACATGTTATAACAAGTTAATACAAGTTTATTATGATGCAAACTTTATTTAAATTCATGCATATTTTTTCATAGTACGCATTTTTCATGAACTTTTTGAAGACCTCTTGTATTTTCTGGGAGAGATTAGTATTGGTGTTATTTTTTAAATTAAATTTTTTTTACCTCATACCATGTATTTTTTTTTATTCCTTTGAGACATCGTCTTTGGCCCATGGATTATTTAGAGATACGTTAACATCCAAGTGTTAGAATATTTTTCTTTTATCTTTATGTTATTGATTTCTCCTTTGATTCCATTGTGGTCACAGAACACACTCTGTATGATTTCATGTCTTTTACATTTACTGAGGCTTGTTTTATGACTCAGGGCAAGATGTGTTTTGAGATATGTTTCACTGGCACTTGGAAGAGTGTATTTTGAAATTTTTTTTTTTTGAGATGATGGAGTCTCTCTCTCTCTCTCTCTTTTTTTTTTTTGAGACAGAGTCTCACTCTGTTGCCCAGGCTGGAGTGCAGTGGCATGATCTTGGCTCTTGGCTCACTGCAACCTCCACCTCCCGGGCTCAAGTGATTCTCCTGCCTCAGCCTCCCAAGCAGCTGGGACTACAGGCATGCACCACCACACCTGGCTAATTTTTGTATTTTTAGTAGAGACAGGGTTTCACCATGTTGGCCAGGCTGATCTCGAACTCCTGACCTCAAGTGATCTGCTTGCCTCAGTGTCTCAAAGTGCTGGGATTACAGGTGTGAGCCACTGTGCTCAGCCCGTGATTGTTGAATAGTGTGTTCTATAAATGTCAATTAGTTTCCATTGGTTAGTGATGTTACTGAGTTCTTCTATATTCTTGCTGATTTTCTTTTTAGTTGTTCTGTTATTTGTTGAGAGAGAATTGTTGAAGTCTCCAATTATAATTGTGGATTTATCTGTTTCTCCTTTTAGTTCTATGAGATTTTGTTTCACAGCTCTGTTGTTTGGTGCATACACATTTAGGGTTGCCATGTCTTTTTGGTGGATTGACTCCTTATCATTTATAATTTTCCTCTCTCTCTCTCTCTCTTTTTTTTTGAGACAGGGTCTCACTCTGTCATCCGGACTGGAGTGCAGTGGTGTGATCTCGGCTCACTGCAACCTCCACCTCTCAGGATCAAGTGATTTTCCTGCCTCAGCCTCCCAAGTAGCTAGGATTACAAGCGCGCACCACTACCGCCAGGCTCATTTTTGTATTTTTAGTAGAGAGGGGATTTCATCACGTTGGCCGGGCTGGTCTTGAACTCCTGACCACAAATGATCCACCCGCCTTGGCCTCCCAAGTTGCTGGGATTACATGCATGAGCCACCGCTCCTGGCCTGATTTTCCTCTATATACCGGTAGTTATCTTTGTCTTGAACTCTATTTGATAGATGCTTCTGCTTTCCTTTGATCACTTCTGACTAAAAAATTAAAGTTGAGCAAATTTCTCCTCAATGGGTCCAAAACCATTGCACCTAGATCAGCTGCAGATGAGAACTGAGTTTCCATGGAAATTTTAAACAATGGGATCAAGATTCTGAATACTTTCTTTGGAGAACTGTAACAGGAGATGACACATGGCTTTAGCAGTATGATCTTGAAGACAAAGCACAATCAAAGCAATGCTACCAAGAGGTGCAAATGGCCTAGTCAAAGTAAAAGCAGGCTGGTCAAAAGCAAAGGTCCCAACACACACAAAAAGCAAAGGTCATGGCAACAGGTTTTGGGGATGCTCAAGACATTTTGCTTGTTGATATAGCTTTTACATTTTTAATTTTAATCTCCCTGTATTTTTATATTTCAAGTGAGATACTCATAGGCAGCATGTAATTGGGTCTTTTTTTGATTCACTTAGTCAGTTTTTTTTTCTCTTTCTTTTTCTTTTCTTTTCTTTCTTTCTTTTTTTTTTTTGAGACAGGGTTTTGCTCTGTCACTCAGGCTAGAGTGCAGTGATATGGTGTTGGCTCACTGCAGCCTTGATCTCTCAGGCTCAAGTGATCCTCCCACCTCACCCTCCTAAGTAACTGAGAGTACAGGTGCATGCCACCATGTCCAGCTAATTTTGTTTATTTTTTGTAGAGACAAGGTCTTACTATGTTGCCTAGGTTGGTCTTGAACCCCTGGGCTCAAGAAATCCTCCCACTTTGGCCTTCCAAAATGTTGGAATTACAGGCACAAGCCTCTACACCTAGCCTAAGATTTTTTCTTTTTCATTTATTTTCAAAAGTTTGCCTGTTATATGCCTTGGTGTGGAGTCTTTGGAGTTCACTCACCTCTCTATATTGTTTATCAAATTTGGGAACTTTTTAGCCATTTTTTGAGTTATTTTTAGCCTTGTCTCCTTTGCCTTTTCTTTCAGTACTCCACTGACATGAATGTTGGAGCTTTTGTTAAGTTCCCACATGTCCCCAAGGTACTGTTCTTTTTTATTCTTTTAGTCTATTTTGTTGCTGTTTTTCAAATTGCGTAATTTTTATTTATTTACTTATTTGTTATGTTTTTAGAGATGGGGTCATGCTCTGTTGCCCTGGCTGGAGTGCAGTGGCATGATCATACTGCACCATAACCTCAAACTCCTGGGCTTAAGCAATCCTCCCACCTTCACCTCCCAAAGTGCTGTGATTACAGGTGTGAGCCACTGTGCCCTGCCCAGATTCAGTATTTTCTATTTTTCTTTTAGTTTCCTTATTCTCTTTTTTGACCACTCCATTCTTCTATTTGGGTTTTTATTTTGGTTATTGTACTTTTTTCCAAAATTTTCATTTGGTTCTTTTCATCATCTATTTATTTGCTGAGACTTTCTGTTTCATTGCTGAGGGTTTCTATTTTTTTATTCGTTTCAAGCATATTTGCAATTGCTCATTGAAGCATTTTCATGGTGACTGCTTTAAAATTTTTATCACAGAATTCTAACAGCTCTTTCATCTCATTGTTGGCATTGGTATGTTATTTTTTAAATTTAATTTATCTTCTTGGTTATTGGAATAATGAGTAATTTCTTCATATTGAAACTTGAACATTTTTATATCATGTTTTGAGACTCTAGAGCTTACTTATTCTATTTTAGCTAGTTTCTCCTGACACTGTTCTGTCAGAGAGAGCATTGGCACTACCTCATTACTGTCACTTGAAGATAAAGCCCAAGTTTCCCATAGGCCTACATTGACAAATGCATGGACATGTCCTCTATACTTCTAGGTGGGGTGGAAGTTTTGGCCCCACCATGTGTTCTCCATAGACACTAAGGTAGAGATGCCCTTGTTATCACATGGTGAAAGGTCTTGGCTCTCCACTAAAACCTCCTCTGACATCACCTGATATGGTTTGGATATTTGTCCTCTTCAAATCTCATGTTGAATTGTGATGCCTAATGTTGGAGTTGAGGCTATCAGGAGGTGTTTGGGTCATAAGAGTGCATCCCTCATGAATGACTTGGTGCTATTCTTGGGGTAGTGAGTGAGCTCCCACTCTGTGAGTTCACACAAGATCTAGTTGCTTAAAAGAGTGTGGTATCTCCTTCCTTTTCCTCTTGCTCTCTCTCTAATCATGTGATATGCTGGTTTTCCCTTCGTGTTCAGCCATGATTGGCAGCTTCCTGAGGCCTTCACCAGAAGCAGATGCCAACACCCTGCTTCCTGTACAGCATGCAGGACCATGAGGCAAATAAACCTCCTTTCTTTATAGATTACCCAGTCTCAGATATTACTTCATAGCAACACAAAATGAACTAATACAGAAAATTGGTACCAAAGACTGGGGTGTTCCTATAAAGATATCTGAAGATGTGGAAGCAGCTTTGGAGCTGGGTAACGGGCTGAGATTGGAAGAATCTGGAGGTCTCAGAAAAGACAGGAAGATGAGGGAAAGTTTGGAACTTCTTAGAGACTTGTTAAGTGGTTGTGACAAAAATGCTGATAGAACTATGGATAGCAAAGGCCAAGCTGATGAGTTCTCAGATGGAAATTAGGAATTTATTGGGAACTGGAGCAAAGGTCACTCTTGTTATGCCTTAGCAAAGAACTTGGCTGCATTGTGTCAATGTCCTGGGGATTTATGGAGGGTTGAACTTAAGTATGATTACCTAGGATATCCAGTGGAAGAAATTTCTTTCTTCTTTTTTTTTTTTTTTTTTTTTAAGGCGGAGTCTCGCTCTCTAGCAGGCTGGAGTGCAGTGGCACAATCTCGGCTCACTGCAAGCTCCATCTCCCGGGTTCATGACATTCTTCTGTCTCAGCCTCCCGAGTAGCTGGGACTACAGGTGCCTGCCACCACGGCTGGCTAATTTTTTTTTTTTGTATTTTTTTAGTAGAGACAGAGTTTCACCGTGTTAGCCAGGATGGTCTCGATCTCCTGACCTCGTGATCCACCCACCTCGGCTTCCCAAAGTGCTGGGATTACAGGCATAAGCCACTGCGCCCAGCCAGGTGGAAGAAATTTCTAAGCAGTGAAGCATTCAAGATGTGTCATGGCTGCTTCTAACAACCTATGATTAGATATGGGAGCAAATAAATGACTTAAAGTTGGAACTTATATTTAAAAGTGAAGTGGAGTGTAAAAATTTGGACAAGTCACAACCTGGCCACGTAGTAACAGAAGGAAAAAGCATTTTCAGGAAATAGATTCAAGAGGGCTACAGAGAAACCACTTGCCATGGAGATTAGCATGACTAAAAGGGAGGCAAGTGCTAATACCTAAGATAATGGGGAAAAGGCCTCTAAGCCATTTCAGAAATCTTCCAGGTAGTCCCTCCCATCACAGATCCAGAGACCTAGGAGGAGAGAATGAGTTTGAGGACCAGGCCCAAGGCCCTGCTGGCATGTGAAGCCTTGGGACACTGCTCCCAGGATCCTGACTGCCTTGGCTCCAGCTGGTACAGGTACAGGCCACAGGTACAGCTCTGGCCACTGCGCTGGAGAGTGCAGGCCACCATAAACCTTGATGGTTTCCACATGGTGTTAAGCCTGTAGGCGCACAGAATGCAAGTGTGAAGGAGGCTTGGCAGCTTCCACCTAGATTTCAGAGGATGTATCAGAAAGCCTGGATGCCTAGGCAGAAGCCTGCCATAGGGTGGAGCTCCTGTAAAGAACTTCTACTAGAGCAATTCCCAGGAGAAATGTGGAGCTGGAGCTCTCCCACCGAGTTTTCACCAGCATACTTTCTAATGGAGCTGTGGGAAGGGGGCCGCTATCCTCTAGATCCGAGAATAATATGAGAATGCCACCAGCAGCTTGCACCCTGAGCCTGGAGAAGCTGCAGGCATTCAATTCCAAGCCATGATATCAGCCATGGGTGTTGCACCCTACAAAGGCATGGAGGTGGGGCTGCTCAATGCCTTAGGAGTCTGCTCTGTGCACCAGTATGCCCTGGATGCAGGACATGGGGTCAATAATTATTTTGGAGCTTTAAGATTTAATGTCTGCCCTGTGTGGTTTCAGATTTGTGTGGGGCCTGTTCCTTTCTTTTGGCTGTTTTCTCCCTTTTAGAATGGAAATGTTTACCCAATGCAATGCCTGTACCACCATTGTATCTTTTTTTTTTTTTTAAATCTTACAGGCTCTTAGGTAGAAGGAACTTGCCTTGAGTCTCAGATGGGACTTGGGACTTTTGATTGAGTTGGTGCTGGAACAAGTTAAGACTTTGGGAGAACTATTGGTAAGGAATGATTGGATTATGCAATGTGAGAAGGACATGAGATTTGGAGGGCTGGGGTGGAATGATATGGTTTGGATATTTGGCTCCTCCGAATCTCTTGTTGAAAAGTGATCTCCAATGTTGGAGGTGAACCTAGTTGTGGGTGTTTGTGTCATGGGGGCGGATTCCTCATGAATGGCTTGGTGCTTGGTAATGAGTGAGTTACCACTCTATGAGTTCACATGATATATATTTTTTAAGAGTGTGGCACCTCCTCCCTCTCTCTCTTGTTTTCTCTCTCTCTTACCATGAGCTATGCTGGCTCCCCCTTTGCTATCAGTTGTGATTGGAAGCTTCCAGAGGCCCTCACCAAAGGCAGATGCTGGCACTATGCTTCTTACGTAGCCTGGAGAACCGTGAGCCAAATAAACCTCTTTTCTTTATAGATTACCCGCCTCAGGTATTCCTTTATAGCAATGCAAAATGGACTAATGCACCACCCCAGCAGAGAGGGGGAGGTGGCACCGTGTTATTTTCTGCACAGTCCAGGCTGTCCACATGGTCTCCTCTGATACCACAACTGTGGAGCTTGCTAGCAGTTGGGGGAATGAAAGTCTCAGTTTCATTTTTTGGCCTGATCTGATACCACCAGAAGTATTGGGATTCCTCATTAACAGCTTTGCAAGAGCGTTAATCTAGATTCCCCACTCAACTTTTGCTGGTGTGGGGCCACAGTTTTTTTCTGTGGTGATTACCTGGAGTAAATGATTATCTAGGAGCTTTTTGTCTTGCTAGGCTGCCTATTTCCTGGTCCTTTGTCTAGAGAAAGCATGCTTTTTTTTTTGAGCTTTTTGCATCAGTACCCAATAATGTTTCTGGTTGTTGGCTTCTTCTGGTCCAAGTCTGGAATAGATAAGGCAAAAACCCAGAGATTTCACCACTGTGTCAGTCTTCAAAATTTATAACACTTTAAAGTATTTTGCACTTCCAAATGTTGACAATGTTCTCTAAATCTGCTAACCTTTAGAATGTTTCCAAGTTTAAAGTTTGCTTCACTTTTAGACTAAGAGAATATTCATGTATCTTATGTTGCTCTATCTTTTGTAATAAAGTAATTACTACATTGAACTGTTAAAATATATAAACTGCTTGTTAAAAATAAAATAGCTCCATGTTTTGTCTATATCTTAATTATCAAGTAAACAAGGATTTAGGCTTTCTGATTATGAAGACATACTGGATTAAATAATCCTTATTCACATTAATGTCCTTAACTATTCTTAGTACTTAAAATATAAACATTATGGCCATTCCTTTAAAAAAAAACTAGTGATAGCTTATTCTGATCACATTTCTTAGTCAAACTAAGATGTAGCTATGGGATTCTGATTATGAATTGGACTGAAATTGAAAGAGAGGTTTATTAATAGGTAGGTTATTCTCAAATTATTTTTTAAATATATCTTTGCATAAGATTTACATTTTTCTTTTGACTATGGATTATATAAAGATTCTCAGTACGTGTCTCTGATATTGCGATTCAATATCCATATGATTTTTGTTGTAATATGACAATGTTTGGTCTTGATAAGAAAAAAGCATGGATGAAAATTTAACATAGGAATAAAAGATCTAGTGGACACCGATTCAATTAGGAATACTGAGTTTTGGAAGTCAGAGTTATAAGTTCAATACTTAGGTCATTATGTTATATAACAACAAGGGAAAATGTCACAAATATCTTTATTCTAACAGTTAAAGTATCAGAAAATGATGAAGTTGTTCATACCACATTAAAGGAATTTTACATGTGTTCAGAAATTTTCCAAAAATGTCATCTGTAAGTACCTGATAACTATATATACATGTGCATATGTACGTGTGTGTGTATAATATCATTTAAAAAAAAACACCCAAGCTATCCTAGAATAAGGTGAATCATATCAGTCAAACTACCTTATTTTAAAACTTTGACATTCAGTTGCAAATATTTAATAATAAAAATATATAAGCTGATAAATCGTTTTAAATAAAATGATGTAAGGAGAGGTTAAGTAGATCTTAAAGTTTCTAATTCAATTGTAATATGTTTGTAATCATTACTAAAAGAAAATACTGGATTACACACTCTCCAATGAGATTTGAAATGTTCTGGGTCTTAAAAGGACATAAAATTGAAAATGATTGCATTTAACAAATTGCAGACGGATATAGATTGCATTTTGAAAATCAACGAATGGATCTAAAATTTACATTGGCCACATGATGTCGCTGTACACCACAAAGTCTTGTCAATAGAAGGGAGCTACTGATCACTAAAAGTGAAGGAGGAAGCTCCATTTTGTCACCGCCTGAGAGAAGACAGAAACGGTAAAGAGATAAATGATTGGAAATATTAGATAAAATGGCATGATTTTGAAGTAAGAGGAGAGCATAAGAAAGGTGTAGTCCTTTTGCAATGGTGTTTTCTAGGAGAGGGGGCCTGGGAGCCCGGGATCTGCTTCTTTGGCTTCTGCTCCTCGCAGCCTGGGAGGTGGGGAGCGGCCAGCTCCACTACTCGATCCCGGAGGAAGCCAAACACGGCACCTTCGTTGGCCGCGTTGCTCAGGACCTGGGACTGGAGCTGGCGGAGCTGGTGCCTCGCCTGTTCCGGGTGGCGTCCAAAACACACAGGGACCTTCTGGAGGTAAATCTGCAGAATGGCATTTTGTTTGTGAATTCTCGGATCGATCGCGAGGAGCTGTGCCAGTGGAGCGCGGAGTGCAGCATCCACCTGGAGTTGATCGCCGACAGGCCGCTGCAGGTTTTCCATGTGGAGGTGAAGGTGAAAGACATTAACGATAATCCACCCGTCTTCAGGGGCAGAGAACAAATAATATTTATTCCTGAATCTAGACTCCTGAATTCGCGTTTTCCGATAGAAGGAGCTGCTGATGCAGACATTGGTGCTAACGCTCTTCTAACGTACACGCTCAGCCCGAGTGATTATTTCTCTTTGGATGTAGAGGCAAGTGATGAACTGAGTAAATCTCTTTGGCTTGAATTGAGAAAATATTTGGATAGAGAAGAAACACCAGAACTTCACTTATTACTGACTGCCACTGATGGGGGCAAACCGGAGCTGCAAGGTACAGTTGAGCTGCTGATCACCGTCCTCGACGTTAATGATAACGCCCCACTGTTTGACCAGGCCGTATACAGAGTCCACTTGTTAGAGACTACAGCAAATGGAACATTAGTGACCACATTAAATGCCTCTGATGCTGACGAAGGTGTAAATGGTGAAGTCGTCTTTTCCTTTGACAGTGGTATTTCTCGTGACATTCAAGAAAAATTCAAAGTTGATTCCAGCTCAGGAGAAATTAGGTTAATTGATAAACTGGATTATGAAGAAACAAAATCCTACGAAATTCAAGTAAAGGCAGTTGATAAAGGAAGTCCTCCGATGTCAAATCACTGTAAGGTTTTGGTGAAAGTGCTGGATGTAAATGATAATGCTCCAGAACTGGCGGTCACTTCATTGTATTTGCCTATCAGAGAGGACGCTCCACTCAGCACCGTCATCGCCCTCATCACCGTGTCTGACCGTGACTCAGGTGCCAACGGGCAGGTGACTTGCTCCTTAATGCCCCACGTCCCCTTCAAGCTGGTGTCCACCTTCAAGAATTACTACTCGTTGGTGTTGGACAGCGCCCTGGATCGCGAGAGCCTGTCGGTCTATGAGCTGGTGGTGACCGCGCGGGACGGGGGCTCGCCTTCGCTGTGGGCCACGGCCAGGGTGTCCGTGGAGGTGGCCGACGTGAATGACAACGCGCCTGCGTTCGCGCAGCCCGAGTACACAGTATTCGTGAAGGAGAACAACCCGCCGGGCTGCCACATCTTCACGGTGTCTGCGCGGGACGCGGACGCGCAGGAGAACGCGCTGGTGTCCTATTCGCTGGTGGAACGGCGGGTGGGCGAGCGCGCGCTGTCGAACTACGTGTCAGTGCACGCGGAGAGCGGCAAGGTGTACGCACTGCAGCCCCTGGACCACGAGGAGCTGGAGCTGCTGCAGTTCCAGGTGAGCGCGCGGGATGCGGGCGTGCCGCCTCTGGGCAGCAACGTGACGCTGCAGGTGTTCGTGCTGGACGAGAACGACAACGCGCCGGCGCTGCTGGCGCCTCGAGTGGGTGGCACTATTGGTGCAGTCAGTGAGCTGGTGCCGCGATTGGTGGGTGCGGGTCATGTGGTGGCGAAGGTGCGCGCAGTGGACGCCGACTCGGGCTACAACGCGTGGCTGTCCTATGAACTGCAGCCGGCAGCAGGCGGCGCGCGCATCCCGTTCCGCGTGGGGCTGTACACGGGCGAGATCAGCACGACTCGTGTCCTGGACGAGGCTGACTTGTCGCGCTACCGCCTTCTGGTGCTAGTGAAGGATCACGGTGAGCCGGCGCTGACAGCCACGGCCACTGTGCTTGTATCTCTGGTGGAGAGCGGCCAGGCGCCAAAGGCGTCTTCGCGGGCGTCGGTGGGTGTCGCGGGCCCAGAGGCGGCGCTGGTGGATGTCAACGTGTACCTGATCATCGCCATCTGCGCGGTGTCCAGCCTGCTGGTGCTCACACTGCTGCTGTACACGGCGCTGCGGTGCTCAGTGCCGCCCACTGAGGGTGCGTATGTGCCGGGCAAGCCCACTCTGGTGTGCTCCAGCGCGTTGGGGAGCTGGTCGAACTCACAGCAGAGGCGGCAGAGGGTGTGCTCTAGCGAGGGCCCACCCAAGACCGACCTCATGGCCTTCAGCCCAGGCCTATCTCCAAGTCTTAACACGTCAGAAAGAAATGAACAACCAGAAGCAAATTTGGATCTTTCTGGTAATGTAAGTCCAACTTTCGAGTTTTGGCTTTAAATATTTTTCATATTTAACTTGTCTAATCATCTTTTCAAATATCACTTTAAAAAATGTCTTCAAGGTGTTCACTAACGTTGAAATAAATCATACCATTGAATGTAGATATCCTATTAATGGCAGTTTTGTCTTGAATGGAACTAGAAAGCAAAGAAAAATGTAGGGACAAATTGTCGTATTTCTTGATTTAAATGGCAGGTTAAAAAAGCTACAATACAAGGTACAATAAAAGGTAATGTTGGTCATATTTAACACAATATCTCAATGTAGTAAAATAACAGTGACATATTCGGGGTAACTTATTATGTTATCTTTTCTGGTGAAATGTCAAGCCCCGGACAAACAATTCTTGACAAAGTTACAGAAATCATCTGCCTTCCCTTTACGTGGCTAAGTTTCAAAGTGAACAATAAACTGAAGTTTTAAGCAAACGTAATTTAAAATACATTTATTGGCTGGGGGCGGTGGCTTATGCCTGTAATCCCAAAACTTTGGGAGGCCGAGGAGGGCGTATCACCTGAGATCAGGAGTTTGAGACTAGCCTGGACAACATGGTGAAACCCCGTCTCAACTAAAAATACAAAAACATTGGCCAGGCCTGGTGGTGGGCGCCTGTAATCCCAGCTAATGGGGAGGCTGAGGCAGGAGAATCGCTTGAACCCGGGAGGCAGAGGTTGTAGTGAACCGAAGTCGCACCATTGCACTCTAACCTGGGCGACAGAGTGAGACTCTGTCAAAACAAAAACAAAAACAAACCAAAACCGACCAACCAAACAAACAAAAAACACCATTTATTGGGCGATTTGTTTAATTTCTTTATGAAAACATACAACCACGACTTCATTGTCATTGTGAACAATTTCCTGATGCCATTAACCTTGAATTCCCCTGGGTCTAGAAGGCTTAGCATTGCATGTATTTGCTATTTCGGGGATCCAGTTAGGAAACACTTATTAAGCACCTCCCATTCCTCCCATTCACTCACAAATGTTCTAAAACCCTTTACTTTTTTAGCTCATTCGATCCTTCCAACGATTTTATGAAGTGAAGACTTTCGTCACATTTTGTGGATAAAGGTGCTGAGGCTCGCAAAACCTAAGTTCAGTATTATTACTAAGTTTTCTTCAAATTTCCCGAGGATATCCAAAAACTTGCTTGCTGTTAATACAGTTCTTTACCTTTCCTAAAATGTTTAAGGTGGCTTACAGTGGAAGAAATTTGTGAAAGCAAATTATTAAAAAATCTGCTTAAGGTCAAAGTAAAAGATCAAGAGAAAGGTGGGAGTCATTATTTCAAAAATCAAGCCTAGGCTGAGTGAAAATCCCAATACTTACCTTCCTGTAAGTCAATATAGAAGTATGAAAAAATAACAATAAAAGGAAATTCTCTATACCATTTCTTCAAGAGAGAAAAAATAGCCTCTTCCTGCTACAAAATCAAGGAAGATTTGATTACTGATGATTGTGTAAAGGTTGAGAAATATACTGGGCAGCACGTTTTATAGCAGTTTTGCAAAACCCACGGAAATATCCTTGATGTAGACATCATTGTATTTGGTAGTCATTCAGTCAAGGGCATAATGTTAAATTTTATTTCCTATGTTTGCTTCTGAAGTTACTTAAATATTAAATGAATATATTTTTGTTTGTCAAACTTTCAAACATACATGAATGTCCCCTTGTGAAGACATTCTATGAGAAATTAATATAATTTGCTAGTTAAGTTTCCAGAGATTTGAGTTGATACAGAGTTGTTGCTTAGAGTATTGTAAAAAATAGGCTGTAAACATGTTCTGTAACTTTTAATATATTATCGTACTCAGCCTTTTGGCAAGAATCAGAAAAAAATAATCTTAGCATCACGTTGCCAAGAAAATGTCCCAGTTCCTCAAAATATGAGACAAACTTTGCAGGATTATAAAATTGGAAAAAATAGATCAGAAAATCACAAAATAATTTCTCTTTCCAATTCACATTACTGTGTCCCCAAAGCTTCATTTGCTAACAGTATTAATGGCCAGGCTTAGGATTGCCTTTACATACATTCAATATTTCTTTATTTAGTTTTCTAGGTTAGTTGAGTGTATTAACCTGAAGGTGAATCACAAATAATAGTGAATTACTATTAAACCAAAAATAAATGGGCGTAGGAGTACAAAATTTGAAAAGTAATTTTTATGAAAAGGTAATTCTAGAATGGAGGAAAAAATGATTGTGGAGTGGTATTGTCACTTAGTGTTTATTTTAATGTAAATATGAATGGATTTCCCATTGGTAGTTAAAGTTCTTGCTCCATTCCAAATCTTCATATAGTTAACACAACTTTCAACAGGTTTATCTTTCTTCACAAGATTTCATCCACAAACTAGTAAGGTATCATTTGAGGGACCTTAGAGACTTGTGGTCAGTGAAGGATGCAAATAGATGAAAATGAGAAATAGTTTATATTGCTAGCCACTACCGATATTCCTCTGAGAATGCTGGAGGATTTCACTTTTCTGTTATTTTGAGGTAGCACGATTGTGTAATTTCCTTTGGCCAATGAAATGTGAATGGTGTGTCACTTCCAAGCAGAATTATGTAACTGCCAGTGAAAGACTCTTCTGCTATCTTTTCCTGTTACAGCAATTACATAAGCACTGGTTGATACTGAGACACCATAAAGTCAAAGCAATCCAGGATGCTGAGCCAACATGTGGAGAAAAGCTGTCATAGGAAGTCCCCAATAACTACAAAGGACTCTGCAGCAGCAAGAAATAAAATTATGTTTATTTTAGAGGAAAAACTGAATGTTAACTCACAACAGCATATGTATTGAGGTCCCACTGCCATTAAGCTAATATGAACCAGATAAATTTTAAGAGGGGGGCATTTTTTTTACAACAGGAAATACAACTGTAGGAGAACATTATTGTTGACACTTTTTACTAAGACATCTGACCGTTAAGCAGATTAGATAACTTGAATTCCATGGAAAAAATCTACTGTGTTTTGATTTCTTTTTCTTAAATATAAAAGGTAGCAGAAGAAAAATAATAAACTGAAATTTAAAATGTCATAGATATTCCTTCTTTTTTCTTGCTTAGCATCCACTCCCCTTGTTGTTTTTTTCTTCTGGGGTCTTCTAGTAGTTTTGTGAAAGACTAGGTTGAAGGTTTTGCAAGAATGAGTGCTTGGACATGTAAACGTTAAGGGATATACAGTTCCATAGATAGGTGCAAAGGGTATAATTTTAGCAATGGGTACTATATTAATTTCCTTGGGCTGATGCAACAAATTACCACAGACTTGGTGGCTTGAAATAACAGAAATTTATTTTCTTACAGAGTCTCTGTAAGAATAAATTTCTTCTCTCTTATGGAGGCCAGAAGTCCAAAATCAGCGTGTTTCCTGGGCCGCATTTCTTCTGAAGACTTTAGGGGAAATTTTTTTCTTGGATCTTCCAGCTTCTGGTAGCTCTTGGCATTGCTTGGCTTGTGGCAGCATAACTCCAGTTCCTGCCTCTGTCTTCACATTTCCTTCTTTCCTGTGTTACTATATGCCTTCTCTTTTTCTGTCTTTTATAAGGGGCAACCATCATTGGATTTATGGCCTTCTGTAATCTAGGATGATCTCATATCAAGATCCTCATCTTTGTTACATCTGCAAAGACCTTTATTCCAAATAAGGTCACTTATTTAAACCTCAGAAAAGTGATGTCTTTTGGGGTATCTTTGACCCAAAACAGGTACCAAGAGATATCAAGTGCAGTGGGAGGAAGGATATTTGCTGAGCATGGCTTCTTAATCTCTTTTCCCCGTTGTGGGGGAAATGTACTTGCATATCTGGCAATAGTATTCTATCTCCGGGGGAAGGGGGAAATATTCCATATTCTCAGAAATCCTAAATAACAGCACAAAATGCCTCTTATACCCCCACATATGTCATTCTGAATATCCGGTATAATTAATTACCTTATATGATTGCAGAAATTGTCTCAAGCAAGCCATGTTTCCTGAAGCTAGCATCTGGATTCTAGGTATAATTCCTTCTATGTGTCAACAGTGGTCAATGTTGGCTATAGATTAAATAATAATTACTGGGTATCATACATATGCAATTGCTTTGCAACTACATAATGCTGTAACGAGCAGTTCTGAAGCTATCTGCCATCTGTTTAAGCTCCAGGAGAATTTGGGTACATGCCATGACCTCCACTTTTCAGTTCACATAAAAACCAACCTCCCACTTTTCAGTTCACATAATTTAGGTGGAGCTGATTTCATTTCCTGGCTTCAAGAATGAGCAAGTGGACCCATGTCTAGCCAATGTGAGAAAAATCACAATTATTGACTAAAGGAAATTTACATCATCCAAACTGGGCTGTAGGAAGTAATATCCAGGATTTTTGCTGGACTATTAGAAAAGAGCACTTTCTGGTAAGAGTCATCAAACTGGTAATTTTTAGTCTAGAAAGCTACTTTGGCCATTTTGCCAGCAGATGGGAAAAGTCTATCTGAGAAGAAGTTCAGCAGGGGAAAAGGAATTATAAATGTGGAGATTATTTTCCTTATGGAATTATGGAAGGGTGTAGACCCAGCTCTGTCTGAAACCAGTAATTAATTACCCATTTCCATGTATGAGTCAGTACAGGATTCTCTGGTTTATTTTTGCTTAAATCGGTTAACTTGGGATTTACTGTTAGAGTATGATTAACATAAATACACATTTCCATAGATGGTACAAATGAGTATCTTAAGATACTGTACATGAGGGAAAAAAATTGTTATTGGAAAAAAAGCTAGCTTTTCTTAACAAGAGCTTTGCTTTTCTCTTACGGACATTGCAAATTTTGCAATTAATTTTACTTCTCTCTTTGCTCTAGGAAGCTGAAAACAAAATTGGTGACATGGTTAGAGTAACTGAAGGTGACCCTTTATTATGGATTTTGTATGCTATCCCACTCCTTGATTCATTTTATTTCATCCTCATCTTATCTTTATTCTATTTTCATTTTTTTACTGTGAAGGGATCAGCTAAAAATTAACAAAAGAAGATATTCTCAAGTAATTAACACAAAAAAAGAGATCGATTGTATTGTTCTTGCATAAAAGTCTAAATGTAATGGAAAAGGAATATTCTAAAGTAATAGTACATTATCCAAATGAGAAACAAATAAATTATTAATTTCAAAACATTTGCAAACAATTCAAAAATCAAAATTAAATCACAAAACAACAGTATATATACACATATATTTTCAATGGACTAAAATACCTTTGATTACTATGTTCTTCATTTGAAGAAATAGTGAAAAATGCTAATATATCCAAAAGAATTGAAAGCAGGGTCTCAAAGAAATATATGCACACCCATGTTCATGGCAGCACTGTTCACAACAGTCAAGAAATGGAAGCAACTCAAATGTCCACGAATACTTGAATGAATAAACAAAACGTGGTGTATACATATGTTGGACTATTATTCAGCCTTAAAAAGGAAAGAAGTCCTGTCACATGTTACAATATGGATGAACCTTGAGGAACCATCCACGGATGCTTGAATGAATAAACAAAACGTGGTGTATACATACGATGGACTAGTATTCAGCCTTAAAAAGGAAATAAATCTTGTCACATGCTACAACATGGATGAACCTTGAGGACATTGTGCTAAGTGAAATAGGCCAGTCACAAAAAGACAAATACTTTACGAGTCCACTTACACGAAATATCTAAAGTAGTGAAATTCATAGAAATAGAAAATAGGACTGTGGTTACCAGAGACTGGAGTGACGGTGAAAAGCGGAGTTGTTGTCTAATGGGTATAGAGTTTCTGTTTTCCAAGATGAAAAATTTGTAACAATGTGAATATACTTAACATTACTGAAATGTACATTTAATCATAGTTAATATGGTAATTTTAAATATTATGTTGTGTGTTTTTTAACCAGAGTAAAAAAGGGTAAAAAGGTAATATATTTTAGGGCTTAAAATAGTTATTTTTTTCCAAGATGAAAGCTATGAGTAAACTTAAACCAGAAAATCGACTAGTTTTAAATCTACAGAATAAACAGTAGAGCCTTCCTTTTAGCCACATGATGTCGCTGTCCACCATAGAGTGTTCTCTAGGAAGGAAAATACCCAGAGCCCCTTTGTTACTTCAGAGAAGCGGAGGAATAAGAGAAGCAGCAGGACTTTAACAGAGACTAGAATATTTAAATTTTTGCAAAACATGCTCTTCTAATTTGATCAAAACATTGAGGATTGGTAATGGCGTCTTCTATCAGAAGGGGCCGAGGGGCCTGGACACGGCTGCTCTCGCTTCTGCTCCTCGCAGCCTGGGAGGTGGGGAGCGGCCAGCTCCGCTACTCCGTCCCCGAGGAGGCCAAACACGGCACCTTCGTGGGCCGCATCGCGCAGGACCTGGGGCTGGAGCTGGAGGAGCTGGTGCCGCGCCTGTTCCGGGTGGCGTCCAAAAGACACGGGGACCTTCTGGAGGTAAATCTGCAGAATGGCATTTTGTTTGTGAATTCTCGGATCGACCGGGAGGAGCTGTGCGGGCGGAGCGCGGAATGTAGCATCCACGTGGAGGTGATCGTGGACAGGCCGCTGCAGGTTTTCCATGTGGAAGTGGAGGTGAAGGACATTAACGACAACCCGCCAATATTTCCAATGACAGTAAAGACTATCCGGTTTCCCGAATCAAGGCTGCTTGATTCTCGGTTTCCTCTAGAGGGAGCATCTGATGCAGATATAGGAGTAAATGCTCTTCTCTCCTACAAGCTCAGCTCCAGTGAGTTTTTCTTCCTAGATATACAGGCAAATGATGAACTAAGCGAATCTTTGTCTCTCGTGCTGGGGAAATCGCTGGACAGAGAGGAAACTGCTGAGGTTAATTTGTTACTGGTGGCTACTGATGGGGGCAAACCTGAGCTCACGGGCACCGTTCAAATACTTATTAAGGTATTAGATGTAAATGACAATGAACCAACTTTTGCCCAATCAGTTTACAAAGTAAAATTGTTAGAGAATACGGCAAATGGGACCTTAGTGGTTAAGTTAAACGCTTCTGATGCAGATGAAGGACCGAACAGCGAGATTGTGTATTCACTCGGTAGTGATGTGTCCTCCACTATACAGACTAAGTTTACCATAGATCCCATCTCAGGGGAAATCAGAACTAAGGGAAAATTAGATTATGAAGAAGCAAAGTCCTACGAGATTCAGGTCACTGCAACTGACAAAGGAACCCCTTCAATGTCAGGACATTGTAAAATTTCATTAAAACTTGTGGACATCAATGATAACACACCAGAAGTCTCAATAACGTCTCTCTCACTTCCCATCTCAGAGAACGCTTCCCTGGGCACTGTCATTGCTCTCATCACGGTGTCGGATCGCGACTCTGGTACGAATGGACATGTCACCTGCTCCCTGACGCCCCACGTCCCTTTCAAGCTGGTGTCCACCTTCAAGAATTACTACTCGTTGGTGCTGGACAGCGCCCTGGACCGCGAGAGCGTGTCAGCCTATGAGCTGGTGGTGACCGCACGGGACGGGGGCTCGCCTTCACTGTGGGCCACCACCAGCGTGTCCATCGAGGTGGCCGACGTGAACGACAACGCGCCGGCGTTCGCACAGCCTGAGTACACAGTATTCGTGAAGGAGAACAACCCGCCGGGCTGCCACATCTTCACGGTGTCAGCGTGGGATGCGGACGCGCAGGAGAACGCGCTGGTGTCCTACTCGCTGGTGGAGCGGCGGGTGGGCGAGCGCGCGTTGTCGAGCTACGTTTCGGTGCACGCGGAGAGCGGCAAGGTGTACGCGCTGCAGCCGCTGGACCACGAGGAAGTGGAGCTGCTGCAGTTCCAGGTGAGCGCGCGGGATGCGGGCGTGCCGCCTCTGGGCAGCAACGTGACGCTGCAGGTGTTCGTGCTGGACGAGAACGACAACGCGCCGGCACTGTTGGCGCCTAGGGCTGGCACCGCTGCTGGCGCAGTGAGTGAGCTGGTGCCGTGGTCGGTGGGTGCAGGGCACGTGGTGGCGAAGGTGCGCGCAGTGGACGCTGACTCAGGCTACAACGCGTGGCTTTCGTACGAGCTTCAGCTGGGTACTGGCAGCGCTCGCATCCCGTTCCGCGTGGGGCTATACACGGGTGAGATCAGCACGACACGTGCCCTAGACGAGGCTGACTCCCCTCGACACCGCCTACTCGTGCTGGTGAAGGACCACGGCGAACCAGCGTTGACAGCCACGGCCACCGTGTTAGTGTCGTTGGTGGAAAGTGGCCAGGCACCCAAGGCCTCGTCGCGGGCGTGGGTGGGCGCCGCGGGCTCAGAGGCTACGCTGGTGGATGTCAACGTGTACCTGATCATCGCCATCTGCGCGGTATCCAGCCTGTTGGTGCTCACGGTGCTGCTGTACACTGCGCTGCGGTGCTCGGTGCCACCCACCGAGGGTGCGCGCGCGCCAGGAAAGCCCACGCTGGTGTGCTCCAGCGCCGTGGGGAGCTGGTCTTACTCGCAGCAGAGGCGGCAGAGGGTGTGCTCTGGGGAGGACCCCCCCAAGACGGACCTCATGGCCTTCAGCCCTAGCTTATCTCAAGGTCCAGACTCCGCAGAAGAGAAACAGCTCTCAGAATCAGAATACGTAGGAAAGGTGAGTCTTTTACTTTTTCTTGCCAATTCTAAAATTGTTCTTTTTAAAAAATTCTATATGATTTCTACTAGTTATTTAGATTCATAGTTCTTCATTTATTTTATATCATCCTACCGTGCGATTTTGAATATGAATTAGAGATCAATTTATTGCATTTACTGAACAATTTATTTAAACAATCTACATAACTGTTTTCTTATTTTTACATTTTGGCACTTCCATCATTAAGTCATAAGTAATAGACCATGAAACACTGAAAAACACCTCAGCAAAATTTGTAAATTAAACATTTCCCATAAATATTTTCTCTCTTAAAAATTGAAAATCACAATCGGAAGAAATTAAAGAATTTGATTATATAATACGTATTTTCAACTGACACTGTCTATCCAATCTGTCGGATAGTGTTTGGAATAACCTATATCCTGGACATTTCTTAGATTGTTCTTTGGATCAACAATGCCCTTGTCTATGCAATAGTTAATAAGCTACATTTTTTTTTTGTTTGTTTGTTTTTGTTGAGACAGTCTTGCTCTGTCACCTAGGCTGGAGTGCAGTGGTGTGATCTCAGCTCACTATAACCTCTGCCACCCGGGTTCAAGTGATTGTCTTGCCTCAGCCTCCTTAGTAACTGGGATTACAGGCGCCCACCACCACGCCCGGCTATTTTCTTTTTTAAATTTTTTATTTTTAGTAGAGACGGGGTTGGTCTCAACTAAATGTTGGCCAGGCTGGTCTCAAACTCCTGGCCTCAAGTGATCCACCCTCCTAGGCCTCCCAAAGTGCTGGGATTACAGGAGTGAGCCACTGCACCTGGTCTTTTTATTTGTATTTGAAAGCAGCCTGAGTGGATATTTTAACACCAGAATTTCCAAAAGTATGTAGCACAGGTTGTTACAACAAAATGACAGCACTTAGGAATAACTGCTAATCTTAAGTATGTTTTTTATAAGTAAAATAACCCATTATTTGGTATAAAGATTTCACACTGATAACATTTTTGAGTTATCAGGCAAAAATAGAGAGTATTGAGAAAAGAGACCCTCTCAATTTTGTTTAATTTGAAAATATTAACATTTAAAAATCACACTGGGGTTTTTCAGGTGGTGGGACTTTTTCTTCATTTAAGTGGAGACTACCCAGTCTTTATGTTAATGGTTGATAAATCATCCTTTCAGTATCATTATCATTAGGCCAATGTGTGCAGGCCTCCCACTGCAGAGATTGACTACTTTTTTCTGGCATCTAATTCTATGCGTGGGAATACATTTTCCATTAATGTGAGCTCACTCAATTTTACCTGGAAGCATCCATATTCCTAATGAAATTGGAATTTTTCCAAAAGATGAGGCCTGGTCTTGGATGACTACATTTTCACTTGAAACATTTATTTTGGGTAATTATAACACTGAACTCGACAAGTAAATGTTACACTTGGAAAGAACTTTTTTAGCTTTTCCAACCAAAGGCAGATGTATTGCAATAAAATAACTGTCTTAAACGGTCCTCTACTATTTAGTTCTTAGTTATTTGCTGTTTATTCTAAATATATGTGCATATTGATAAATCATAGAAATAACTTCCACTAGTGATCTTACCTTTAGCCATTTCATAGTTAGGTCAGAATATCCATTTCCAAGTAATACTTGACCACTATGTTTCTACCATAGGTAAATGATAAGCTTCTAAAATTATATTCACATATATCCAAATCTCCAGGAGTCACAATCTGTTGCTCTATAAGTTTTTTCAAAACATTCTTATTTACATTTTTTCTTGGTTGTCTAAGTGACATCTAGGTGGTAGTAGAAATTATTCACTGATACTTTATCTACAAAATGGCTCAATCTTCTAAACTCATAGTTCCTTTAATATTACCTTTATCTCTTAATAATCAGTATGGAGTCTACTCTGCTATAAATTCTCATGTGACATTCCATTTTGCAATTAGTATAACTCTTAAAGGTACTGAAAAGTGCAGTATTACAATAAGTTGTCAAAGGCATCTCATTACTATGAAGTCCATGAAGTTTAAAAATTTTAAATTTATCTCTTATTTTCAAACTAGCTACCATCTTTAAAAATTCAGCAAAGTGGTAACTGGAATATTAATAGCTATAATTATTTCTTAGGTCCATGCTTTTCAGAAATAATGCTTAAATGTTTACTTACTTCTTCATAATATAGCACAATATAATCATTTAGAAATTATGTAAGTTTGATATTAACAAATATCATTAACTTACATTTTTATTTATCTTGCTTGAAAAAGTTAATTCAAAATATTAATTTATTTATTCATGAAAACAACAATTGATAATTTATCCTATTCTAAATATGAATGATAAAATCTGAGTAAGTTGCAGTCCTGGCTTCCATTTCATGAATACACAGGAAACAAAAGCTGAAATGAAAACTTTTCCCCTAAATATTTAAATCACATGTTTGATTTCATTTTTAAATGGTCTGGGTATAAGCAAAAATTTGTACATTATTTTATTTCTCTAAATTTGACCTCTTTCCATAAATTTTCTTTGCCCCACTTCCAAATGCGGCGAGAATTCATGCTTCTCATTGAATTCACAGATATCTTTAGAATGTTTTATTGCTTAGTGTTAAATATGTTGAGTAAATACTGGCTTATGTTCCTAGGTTACTTTTCTCCCTTCACTGTTTAGTTAAATAATCAATTCTTTCAAGTAACAACTTTTAAAAAAACTGGAATCTAGAAATTCATCAGGAGTGGAGATCATCAAAAACGTAATTACTTTATATTGTTAACATTTTAGTATATACAGGTAAATTCAAATACATAAAGAGTGTGGAAAAATTAAACCTAATATATTCTTAATTGATGTGATGTGAGTGTAACAAATATACAAATCACATTCCCACAATAGGAAACAAATTTCCTGTTTGAATTTCTCTGTAAAGGACCGACTTCTGAAATCTTTATGTAAGTTACAGTCAAGACAGTTGATGAGGCTATAGTTCTTGAAAAAGGGGCATGGGAGGGAATTACAGACATTCTACAAATTTAAAAAACCATAAATGTACATATTTTAAGAAATTAACAGTTGCTGTAATAACATAAAAGTAGATATATGTATGTTTTAATATATACAGCACACACACACTTTTAAATACTTCAACATCTCAATGTTTTGATGATCATAAATCTGAAAGGATCTGATTTTTCTATAAAATGTAACTTGGGTGGTAAAGAGGTTAATGGTAAGTTGTCTTGAATCAGATTGAAATCCCATCGTACCAAGAGATAATATCGTTTTACTTAACCTCTATGTGTTTATAAAAAGCGAATAATATTAAAACTTATTTCAGAGGATTGTGATAATTTAACGGGATAATTCCATTAAGACAAATAGAAAAGTGGCTGTCACATGGGAAATATTTCCAATAGATGTCCACTGTTAAAACAGGAATCACAATATTTTAGTGTATGTCATGAATTAGCACAATTGATAGTGAATTAGTATAAAAGTTCTAAGGAAATATTTAGATAAAATATAAGGACTTTGAGGAGTGACCGAAGGATATTACAATTGAAACTAGAAATTTTGGGAAAGTTCAAACGACATACAAGGAAAAGAAGATACGTTTACATATTTAATACTTACACGTTTAGCCACATGATGTCGCTGTCCACCACAAGGTCTTTCTCCACAAAAGAAATAACAGCGTGCATTACGTATTCAGATACTGCTTTGCTTCATCCTCTCTAAAATTTAACACCGAGGAGTTTAAGAAATGAAGATAAGGAACTCGAATTATTTTTAAACTTTGGATCAATGTAAAGGCAATCTAATATTTGGAAAATACTTGCAATGTTGTTCTCCTGGCGAGAAGATCCTGGAGCCCAGTGCCTGCTGCTTTCTCTTCTGCTCCTCGCAGCCTCGGAGGTGGGGAGCGGCCAGCTCCACTACTCCGTCTCTGAGGAGGCCAAGCATGGCACCTTCGTGGGCCGCATCGCGCAGGACCTGGGGCTGGAGCTGGCGGAGCTGGTGCCGCGCCTGTTCCGGGTGGCGTCCAAAAGACACGGGGACCTTCTGGAGGTAAATCTGCAGAATGGCATTTTGTTTGTGAATTCTCGGATAGACCGCGAGGAACTGTGCGGGCGGAGCGCGGAGTGCAGCATCCACCTGGAGGTGATCGTGGACAGGCCGCTGCAGGTTTTCCATGTGGAGGTGGAAGTGAAGGACATTAATGACAACGCGCCAGTTTTTCCAATGGCTGTAAAGAATCTGTTTATTTCCGAATCCCGACAGCCTGGCTCTCGGTTTTCGCTAGAGGGCGCATCAGATGCAGATATCGGAACAAATTCGTTGTTGACTTACAGTCTTGATTCCACTGAATATTTTACCTTGGACGTTAAAAGAAATGATGAGGAAATTAAATCCCTTGGACTCGTGTTGAAAAAAAATTTAAATCGAGAGGACACTCCTAAGCATTATTTACTAATAACAGCAATTGATGGTGGGAAACCAGAGCTCACTGGCACGACTCAACTAAAGATCACTGTTTTAGATGTAAACGACAACGCCCCAGCGTTTGAGAGGACGATCTATAAAGTCAGATTACTCGAAAATGCACCAAATGGTACCCTAGTGGTGACCGTTAACGCCACCGATTTGGATGAAGGAGTAAATAAGGATATCGCGTATTCTTTCAATACGGACATGTCAGCAGATATTCTGTCAAAATTCCATTTAGATCCAGTCAATGGACAAATCAGTGTAAAGGGTAACATAGATTTCGAGGAAAGTAAGTCATATGAAATCCAGGTAGAAGCCACGGATAAAGGAAATCCCCCAATGTCAGATCACTGCACAGTTCTACTCGAAATTGTGGACATCAATGATAATGTACCTGAGTTAGTTATTCAATCACTATCTTTACCTGTATTAGAAGACTCTCCACTTAGCACAGTCATCGCTCTGATCAGCGTGTCCGACCGCGACTCAGGAGTCAATGGACAGGTCACCTGCTCGCTGACGCCCCACGTCCCCTTCAAGCTGGTGTCCACCTTCAAGAATTACTACTCATTGGTGCTGGACAGCCCTCTGGACCGCGAGAGCGTGTCGGCCTATGAGCTGGTGGTGACTGCTCGGGACGGGGGCTCGCCTTCACTGTGGGCCACGGCCAGCGTGTCCGTGGAGGTGGCCGACGTGAACGACAATGCGCCGGCATTCTCGCAGTCCGAGTACACGGTGTTCGTGAAGGAGAACAACCCGCCGGGCTGCCACATCTTCACGGTGTCTGCGCGGGACGCGGACGCGCAGGAGAACGCCCTGGTGTCCTACTCGCTGGTGGAACGGCGGGTGGGGGAGCGCGCGCTGTCGAGCTACGTGTCGGTACACGCGGAGAGCGGCAAGGTGTACGCGCTGCAGCCGCTGGACCACGAGGAGCTAGAGCTGCTGCAGTTCCAGGTGAGTGCGCGCGATGCGGGCGTGCCGCCTCTGGGCAGCAACGTGACGCTGCAGGTGTTCGTGCTGGACGAGAACGACAACGCGCCGGCACTGCTGATGCCTCGGGTGGGTGGCATCGGTGGCGCAGTGAGCGAGCTGGTGCCGCGGTCAGTGGGTGCGGGCCACGTGGTAGCGAAGGTGCGCGCAGTGGATGCAGACTCAGGCTACAACGCGTGGCTTTCGTATGAGCTGCAGCCTGGGACCGGCGGTGCGCGCATCCCGTTTCGCGTGGGGCTGTACACGGGAGAGATCAGCACGACCCGTGCCCTGGACGAGGTGGACGCCCCGCGCCATCGCCTACTGGTGCTGGTGAAGGACCACGGTGAACCCTCATTGACCGCCACGGCCACTGTGCTGGTGTCGCTGGTGGAGAGTGGCCAGGCACCCAAGGCCTCGTCCCAGGCGTCCGCTGGCGCCACGGGCCCGGAAGCTGCACTGGTGGATGTCAACGTGTACTTGATCGTCGCCATCTGCGCGGTGTCCAGTCTGTTGGTGCTCACACTGCTGCTATATACTGCTCTGCGGTGCTCCGCGCCGCCAACCGAAGGCGACTGTGGGCCGGGCAAGCCCACGCTGGTGTGCTCCAGCGCGGTGGGGAGCTGGTCATACTCGCAGCAGAGGCAGCAGAGGGTGTGCTCTGGAGAGGGGTTGCCCAAGACCGACCTCATGGCTTTTAGCCCTAGCCTTCCTCCTTGTCCAATTAGCCGGGATAGAGAGGAGAAACAGGATGTGGACGTTGATCTCTCAGCCAAAGTGAGTAATTTTTATTTATTCTTTCCAAAATGTCTTTGTTTTTCATTCCTCAATGTTTCCACTCCTCTGGAAATACATTAATAGTTAAGTATGAATTATGTGATTCATAATTAGACTTTTCCAGTTTTGTGGTTTTGTGGTTAAAACGGTAAGATTTTTGTTGCTAATTTTTGAACCAAATCAGCAGTAAGTTATGATATCCACACTTGTAATTTTGTTTTGTTATTAGGTGCAGTAGTAGAATTATTTTATTGCTAAATGCCTGGGTATAAGACAAATATTTTTTCTTAGATGAATTGCATTATTTAGAGAATCTGACTTCGACTTGTTTTATACTTATCCCTATACAATGCTTCTTCAATATCTTTTGCCACTTTTCATTTGGACTTCCTACTACCTGTTAGTACAAATGTTACTTGCTCATTTTATGAGTTCACCTAATGCTTATAACTCCCTATTGATTATGCTTTTCCACCTTCAGTTTCAAAAATTAGATCATTACACCTGTTGTCTTTTATGGAACCTCTTTTATTCTCTTATTCACTTGTTTGGAGTCTCAATCCTTATTTTTTACTTGAATATGATTCATTTTAGGCCTTGTGCTCTAATTTGGCAATACCGTTTATTGTTTCTTGATTTCCCAGTTGGGAAAAAAATCGAGAATAACAATTGCATTTAGAATTGCATCTTTGTTCATCTTTAGTTTATCACTACTTTATTTAATACTACTTTAATAATACTACTGTATTATATGTTAAAATTTATTACTAATAACTAAAATATCAATATGAAGTGAAAATTTAATAGTTGTATAGTATATTTATATATTCATTTTAAAAGAATGTTTTAAATCTTGTTAAAAATAATTTTCAATCTGAACAATATCTTGAAAATAATTATGGTATCTAATTTTAAAACTATCCCTACTAGCAAAACTTTTTATTCATTAGTGTCTTTTGCATACCATACTAAGGATGCTAATATGAAATAAGTTTGATAAGCCAATGTTATAATGTTATTACTGGTTAACTTCTCTGAATAGCATCCTGCCTATTAATGTGTGCCATGCAATAAGTAGAAAACTCCAAATAACCAGAACCAAATGAAATTGAAGGTAGACTTTTTTCTAATCACTACCCCTACATATTTGGTTATCTCCTCTAGCAATTAGTTGGACTCCCATTTAAGTTTCCCTACCACTGGAGAGAAATAGTAACCAACTGAAACCTGGTTAATACTCATTGACAGTGTGGGAGGTCTAACACGTAAAATAGATATTTTTCTTGACTCCTCTCCTTCCCCTCACTTCCATTTTCTTTATTTCCTTTTTTGGCACTATCCTTTGTTGCTCCCTTGTCCATGAAGTAGTAGCCATAGTGTGTCCATCTCAGGTCAGTATTTTAAAAATTTAGTTCTGTTATCAGCTTCTTGAATATAATAGAGTCAGCCAAAGTACTTGTCTTCCCAGATATGGAACTTCAATCTTCAAATCCAGCTTGCCTCTTGAAACTATTGTCTAACAAGACTCTTGGCAAAGACATTTTGAAGACTTTGGAATTTTCACTTCACAGATGTACTGATGCTATGCCAAATAAATATTGAATAGCTACCAAATAAACATTGTTTTCTATTCTGCTGCATTCCCCATCTGTACATTAAAATACCTGGTAAATGAAAATATTACAAATGAAATGGGTGAAAATGGAATTCTTCCTCCTTTTTTCCAATGTGCTTGATGTCAATGATCATTTTGTAAAAATATAGTTTGGGTCCCCACATAGTGAAAGTACTCTGGTTTCTGTTTGATTCAGAAATTTGGTGGGTTTTTTGTTGTTGTTTTGGTTTTTGTGTGTGTGTGTTTGTGTGAGTGTAGTTCTTCAATAGAGAGGGAGCGTAAAGCTATTTTCACTAGATTGATTTTTTGTTTAGACAAACAGGATGAAAATAACTTTATGGATATAGGAGGCAAGGAAAGTTTTTAAATGGCTACCATTATGTCTTTATATATTAAATTTCTTTATGTAAGAAAATGTATTGTGGTTTATTTATTGGGAAGTCTTCATTCCCCATTAATACCCAGGATGATTCAAAGATCATGATTACCAAGAATTAGAATAAAAATTAAGCTAAAACCCAAGTTTTCAACATTGAACTTGAAATACATCTTAATTGGGGAAATGTCTAGAGACTTTTTTTGTATCTTTAGAAAATCATAGAGGCTATTGAAACACCACATTTTCCCAACTAGATATGCGATCACCTTAAATTAATGCATTTTATTAGGCAATGGAAGGAAGCAAACATTTTCTGCAGGGTAAATATTTAGGAAATATTAGGTAAGTCCCTCTGAGCTATTAAACAATTAAGATACAACTATTCCCTTTAAAATATATATTCCAAAAAAGGACACACATACTCAAATGCTTATAAGAGATAAATTAATGTAATAAATGGCCCACGCGATTCCACCCTGGTGCTGCAGTTTGTAAAAGAAGAAAAAATACCTGTTCAATTGGTTTGATCATGACATTCTTCATGGGTCAGGGAAGTTTTAAGTGGTTATAAAATGGGGTAAATTGGCTTTAGAAGAGTTTAGAAATGATGTGGATTACTTATAGACAGGACAAAATGAACATGCTTGTTTATTAAAAAAAGCTATTGGAAGCAGGAAATATTCAGTTTGGCTAAAATATATAAGCACTATAGGAGAAAATAGAAGCTTAGGCACATTACATACTGGAGAACAAGCAAGTACTTATAAACTGTAAGAGTCAAAATGAGAATACCAGCGTTTCTCATGGGAGCAAATGAGTTCCAATGAATAAAATTATTTGGAATGCTTTTCCATGCAAGCTATTTGCTATAACTTCCTGCTTCCTTGCACTTTCAGCCCTGACATGACTCAAGGAAGACATCTAATTAAATGCTGATGGTCTTTGATCCTTTTATAAAACATCTGCAAATTTCCCTGTCAATAGCTTGTTCTTGGCACCAGAAGTTCCCTAGAGACCAGTCCCCTCAAGTCAACAACACCAGAAATACTAGGGTGAAGAGGGTGTTATCATTAATAAAAAAAAACCCTGGAATTCTTGGGAACACAGGAATCTGTAATGAATTTTTCTAATCAACAGTTTACAGTTACATGTTTACAAAGTGTATAGTTAGGTCTCTGTAATACTTAAAACCTGTGTTGAAAAAATTATTTCTACTGAAGTAAAAGTTGCCCCTATGGCGAAACTAAGGACCACACTCAATCAATCAGTGGTACAATGTGTACCACAGTAGTACAAAATGTATTCCTATTCTCCGAAACGACTGAAATAATAAATAAAACCAAGTAGTTTACAGTAGAGTGTGTGGGGGTTTCCACAATTGCTACTTACGGTTTGGAGCCACATGATGTCGCTCTTTACCACAAAATACATGAGAGAAGGAGGAAGAAGGGAAAATTCCTTCTATTCTTACTGGAAGGAACCATATACACTCTTTGGAGTCTGAAATATGGAGGATGCAGCTGCACTTGACTGACCGATTAAAAGATTTCCCTTGACTTTGAGAAACGATATTTAATCAGAACAAAATACTGTGCACTAAAGATGGAGTTTTCCTGGGGAAGCGGCCAGGAATCCCGGCGTCTGCTGCTCTTACTTCTTCTCCTCGCAGCCTGGGAGGCAGGGAACGGTCAGCTCCACTACTCGGTCTCCGAGGAGGCCAAACACGGCACCTTCGTGGGCCGCATCGCGCAGGACCTGGGACTGGAGCTGGCGGAGCTGGTGCCGCGCCTGTTCCGGGTGGCGTCCAAGGGCCGCGGAGGCCTTCTGGAGGTAAATCTGCAGAATGGCATTTTGTTTGTGAATTCTCGGATCGACCGGGAGGAGCTGTGCCGGCGGAGCGCGGAGTGCAGCATCCACCTGGAGGTGATCGTAGACAGGCCGCTGCAGGTTTTCCATGTGGACGTGGAGGTGAGGGACATTAACGATAACCCGCCGGTGTTCCCAGCAACACAAAAGAACCTGTCCATCGCGGAATCCAGGCCGCTTGACTCTCGGTTTCCACTAGAGGGCGCCTCGGATGCAGATATCGGGGAGAACGCCCTGCTCACTTACAGACTGAGCCCAAATGAATACTTTTCTCTGGAAAAACCACCTGATGACGAGCTGGTAAAAGGTCTTGGGCTTATATTACGGAAATCTTTAGACAGAGAAGAAGCTCCGGAGATTTTTTTAGTGCTCACAGCCACTGATGGAGGCAAACCCGAGTTGACTGGCACCGTTCAGTTACTCATCACAGTACTGGATGCCAATGACAATGCCCCAGCTTTTGACAGAACCATTTATAAGGTGAGATTACTAGAAAATGTTCCTAATGGAACATTGGTAATTAAACTTAACGCCTCAGATTTAGACGAAGGATTGAATGGGGACATTGTTTATTCATTCTCAAATGATATTTCGCCAAATGTGAAATCCAAGTTTCACATAGATCCAATTACTGGACAAATTATTGTAAAGGGATATATTGACTTTGAAGAAAGCAAATCCTATGAAATTATTGTAGAGGGCATTGATAAGGGACAGCTCCCACTTTCTGGCCATTGTAGAGTTATTGTGGAAGTAGAAGACAACAACGATAATGTCCCAGATTTGGAATTCAAGTCTTTATCACTTCCAATTAGAGAGGACGCTCCACTGGGTACAGTCATCGCCCTGATCAGCGTGTCCGACAAAGACATGGGTGTCAATGGGCTGGTCACCTGCTCCTTGACGTCCCACGTCCCCTTCAAGCTGGTGTCCACCTTCAAGAATTACTACTCGTTGGTGCTGGACAGTGCCCTGGACCGCGAGAGCGTGTCAGCCTATGAGCTGGTGGTGACCGCGCGAGACGGGGGCTCGCCTTCGCTGTGGGCCACGGCCAGTGTTTCTGTGGAGGTGGCTGATGTGAACGACAACGCTCCGGCGTTCGCGCAGCCCGAGTACACAGTGTTCGTGAAGGAGAACAACCCGCCGGGCTGCCACATCTTCACTGTGTCTGCGTGGGACGCGGACGCGCAGGAGAACGCGCTGGTGTCCTACTCGCTGGTAGAGCGGCGGGTAGGGGAGCGCGCGCTGTCGAGCTACGTTTCGGTGCATGCGGAGAGCGGCAAGGTGTACGCGCTGCAGCCGCTGGACCACGAGGAGCTAGAGCTGCTGCAGTTTCAGGTGACCGCTCGCGATGCCGGCGTGCCACCTCTGGGCAGCAACGTGACGCTGCAGGTGTTCGTGCTGGACGAAAACGACAACGCGCCAGCACTGCTAGCGCCTCGGGCGGGTGGCACTGGTGGCGCAGTGAGCGAGCTGGTGCCATGGTCGGTGGGTGTGGGCCACGTGGTGGCAAAGGTGCGCGCGGTGGATGCTGACTCGGGCTACAACGCGTGGCTTTCGTACGAGCTGCAGCCGGGGACTGGTGGCGCGCGCATCCCGTTCCGCGTGGGGCTGTACACTGGCGAGATCAGCACAACGCGTGCCCTGGACGAAACGGACGCTCCGCGCCACCGCCTACTGGTACTGGTGAAGGACCACGGCGAGCCCGCGCTGACGGCCACGGCCACTGTGCTGGTGTCACTTGTGGAGAGTGGACAGGCGCCAAAGGCCTCCTCACGGGCGTTGGTGGGCGCTGTGGGTCCCGATGCTGCGCTGGTGGATGTCAACGTATACCTGATCATTGCCATCTGCGCGGTGTCCAGCCTTTTGGTGCTCACGCTGCTGCTGTACACCGCGCTGCGGTGCTCTGCGCTGCCCACCGAGGGCGCGTGCGCTCCGGGCAAGCCCACGCTGGTGTGCTCCAGTGCGGTGGGGAGCTGGTCATACTCGCAGCAGAGGAGGCCGAGGGTGTGCTCTGGTGAGGGCCCACCCAAGACCGACCTCATGGCCTTCAGCCCCAGTTTACCTGACTCTAGGGACAGAGAAGATCAGCTGCAGACAACTGAGGAATCCTTTGCAAAGGTTAGTGTATAACATCCTTTTGTTTAATTTTCGTATTGTTTTTCTCTATCAACTTCTTCGTAAATTTATTTCTAAGAGTCAAATTTCCCTGGGTTAAAATTTTACCTCTTTTTACATATCCATTTTAACTAAAGTCTTTTGGAATTATAGGACATCAGAGCAATATATATTGCCTTCCTTCATTTTATGCTGCATTATTCAATGCATATTAACAGAACTGTAATTTCTAGTAAATTTTCACTATATTCACCCTCTTTGTTTTTGGTAATAATCAACATTTTAGAAAACATTTTACTATTATTTAACCTATTACATATAAACAAATGTGCACAGGCTGAAATAATAAAGCTCCATAAATTGTATGAAAGTGAAAAGCTCCGTTGCCTCCATCGCTGAAGCCCCTCGCATGCACCTGCCAAATCACTTCCCTTATTTTTCCTCCAGTGTAACCGCACATTTGCCTTTTATAACTGTTTGTTCGGGGCCTGTTTTGGGAACGTTATCTAATTGGACTTGCACAACATGTATTGTCTGTGCATTTGTGTGTTATTTGTATTTATCACTCATTGTTTATGAAATTATCCATGTTGTTATATGTAGTTGTAGTTTATTTATTTCTGTTTCTAGTACTATTTCATAAATATACTATACCTTATTTATTCTACTGTTCAGGAATTTGCATTGTGCCTCAATGTCTATTTCAAATAATGCCATCATAAATATATTGTACATTTCTTTGATGCCCATGTACACAGATTTCTCTCAGGTTTTTGCCTAAGAGTTGTGTTTGTGGGTCACAGAATATGTGTGTATCTTTGTCTTTTGTAGCTAACACCAACCAATTTTCCAAGATGTTTTTACCTGTTTACATTCCTAGTAGTGCATAAGGCTTTCTGCTGGGCCACATCATCTCTACATTTGTCAGGTTATTTTCATGTTAGCCATTTTACTGGGTGACTTTTGTAATCTCATTTTGAAATTATTTTATATTTAAATGAAGTTGAGTACCTTTCTATTTTATTTTGGCAATTTTTATACCTTATTTTGTGCAATAGCTGCTCAAATCTCCTATTTCTCTAGTCTGTTGTTTTTCTTTTCTTTTTTCTCTTCTTTTTGCTTCCATAGAACTTTATTTATTTCCTTATCTTGTTTTTCTTATTACTTAAACAAATCTTGTATTCTGAACATAACTCCTTTTTTTAGTAGTTTTCAACCTCATGGCTAGTTTTTAATTCTTTTTTGTCTTTTGGTGAATAGAAAGTCATAATTTTGATTAAACTCAATTTATCAATTTTTGCTTCTGATCCTATTTCACAAAGATAATTTTCTGTGGTATCTTTTATTTCATTGTTTACATTACATCTACAATCCATTTGGAATATACATATTTTTATCATTGTTGTGAGGTAGGGGTCAAGATTTATTTTTATTTCTTCTTATTATTTTTATTATACTTTAAGTTCTAGGATACATGTGCACAACGTGCAGGTTTGTTACATAGGTATACATGTGTGCCATGTTCGTTTGCTGCACCCATCAACTCATCATTTACATTAGGTATTTCTCCTAATGCTATCCCTCCCCCAGTCCCCCACACCTCAACAGGCCCCAGTGTGTGATGTTCCCCACCCTGTGTCCAAGTGCTCTCGTTGTTCAATTCCCACCTATGAGTGAGAACATGCAGTGTTTGGTTTTCTGTGCTTGTGATAGTTTGCTCAGAATGACGGTTTCCAGCTTCATCCATGTCTCTACAAAGGACATGAACTCACCCTTTTTTACGGCTGCATAGTCTTCCATGGTGTATATGTGTCACATTTTCTTAATCCGGTCTATCATTGATGGACATTTGGGTTGGTTCCAAGTCTTTGCTATTGTGAATAGTGTCGCAATAAACATACATGTGCATGTGTCTTTATAGTAGCATGATTTATAATCCTTTAGATATATACCCAGTAATGGGTCAAATGGTATTTCTAGTTCCAGATCCTTGAGGAATCGCCACACTGTCTTCCACAATGGTTGAACTAGTTTACACTCCCACCAACGGTGTAAAAGCGTTACTATTTCTCCACATCCTCTCCAGCATGTGTTGTTTCCTGACTTTTTAATGATTGCCATTCTAACTGGTGTGAGATGGTATCTCATTGTGGTTTTGATTTGCATTTCTCTGATGACCAGTGATGATGGGCATTTTTTCATGTGTCTGTTGGCTGCATAAATGTCTTCTTTTGAGAAGTGTCTGTTCATATCCTTTGCCCACTTTTTGATAGGGTTTTTTGTTTTTTTCTTGTAAATGTGTTTAGGTTCTTTGTAGATTCTGGATATTAGCCCTTTGTCAGATGGGTAGATTGCAAAAATTTTCTCCCATTCTGTAGGTTGCCTGTTCACTCTGATTGTAGTTTCTTTTGAAGATTTATTTTTTACTACCATTTTTTTGTTGGACTTTTAAAATGAGTTTGGAAGTGTTCCCTCTCCTTCAATTTTTTTTTTTTGGAAGAGTTTGAAAACAATTATCATTGATTCTTCTTTAAAAGTTTGGTAGAATTCTCCAGGAAAGATATCTGGTTTTGGGCTTTTGTTGTTGTTGTTGTTAGGAGGTTTGGATTACTGATTCAATCTCCTTACTAGTTACAGCTTTGTTTAGATTTTTTATGATTATGTCTTGGTAGTTTGTATGTTTCTAGGAATTAATCAATTTCTTCTAGGTTATTGAATTTTTTGGTATATGATTTTAAAAGCCTCTTATAATTGTGGCATCAGGTGTAATGCCACCTCTTTTGTTTCTGACTTCCAGTCTTTTTGTTTTTTTCTTAGTCTAGCTAAGGGGCTTGTCAGTTTTGTTGTTTTTTCAAAAAATCAACTAAGTTTAAAAACTTAATTTAAACTTTTTTTCATTTATTTTTGCTCTAATCTTTATTATAGTATTTCCTCCCTTTGCTTTGGGCTTCCTCATTTGTCCTTTTTTTCTAGTTCCTTGAGTTGTTAAGTTTTTTATTTGAGATCTTTCTTCTTTCTTCATTTTTAGTGTAGGCATTTACAACTCCCTTCTTTGTTTTTGTTTTCATGTTTAAGAGACAAGATCTCACTATGATGTACAGAGGCACGATCATAGCTCCCTGCAAGTGATCCTTGTGCCTTGGATTCCCAAAGCACTGGGATTACAGGCGTGAGCCACTGAGCTTGCCCAGCTTAATATTCCTTCTTAGTACTGCTTTTGTTGTATCCTGTAAGTTTTTATTGTGTTGTGTTTTCATTTTTGTTTATCTTAACATATTTTCTAATTCATCTTTTGATTTCCCCTTTCATTCAAATGAAATTTTGAACAGAATTTCGTTCAAAATTCTGTTGTTTAATTTCTACATATTTGCAGATTTTCCAGTTTTAATTCCAGTATTGATTTCTAGTTTTATTCCACTGTGGTCAGAAAAGATATTTAGTAGGATTTCAACCTTCTTGAATTTGTTAAGACTTGTTTTGTGACCTGACGTGTGATTTATCCTGGAAAATGCTCTGAGTGTGCTTGAGAAGACTGTATATTTGCTGCTGTTGGGTGGAATTTTCTGTATATGTCTGTTAGTTCCATTTCAGCTATAGTGTTGTTCAAGTCCTCTGCTTCCTTGCTGATTTTCTGTCTGAATGTTCTATTCCTTATTGAAAGTAGGATACCAAAATCTCCTACTACAGTCATTGGAGATACATTCTGAGAATTGTATCATTCTGAGATTTCATCACTGTGCAAACATGAGAGTGTACTTACATATTTACACAAACCTAGATAGTATAGCCTACTACAGACCTAGGTTACATGATCTATTGCTTCTAGGCTACAAACCTGTACATATGTTAACTGTACTGAATACTATAGGGAATTGTAACACAATGGTAAGTATTTGTATACCTAAATATATCTAAACATCTAAAAGGTACAGTAAAAACATTGTACAGATTTTTAAAATGGTACACCTGAATAGGGTACTTACCCTATGAATGGAGACTGCGGGGCTGGAAATTTATCTGCATGAGTCAATGAGTGAATGGTGAGTGAATGTGAAGGCCCAGGACATTACTGTGCACTAATGTAGACTTTAAAGCACTATACATTTAGGCTACACTCAATTTATCAAAAAATTTTCTTTTTACAGGCTGGTCATGGTGGCTCATGCCTGTAATCCCAGCACTTTGGGAGGCTGAGGAAGGAGGATCACTTAAGCCCAGGAGTTCAAGACCAGCCTGGGCAATATAGTGAGACCCTGTCTCTAGAAAATAATTTTTAAAAATTAGCTAGGTGTGGTGACACACACTTGTAGTTCCAGCTACTCAGGAGGCTGAAGTGGGAGGATCCTTGACTTGAGGAGGTCAAGGCTACAGTGAGCTATGGTCGTGCCACTGCACTCCAGCCTGAGCAACAGAGTGAGACTCTGTCTCAATTTTTTTTCTTTCTTCAGTAATAAATTAACCTTAGCTTACTGTAACTTTTCAACTTTGTAAACTTAAATTTTTTAACCTTTTGACTCTTTTGTAATAACGCTTAGCTTAAAACACAAACACATTGTACAGCTGTACAAAAATATTTTCTCTTTATATCCTTATTTTACAAGTTTTTTTGACTTTTAATTTTTTTATTTTTTTCACTTTTACTTAGTGTTTTTTTTTGTTGTTGTTGTTAAAAATGAAGATATAAACACCCATACTAGCCTAGGACTGTATTGGGTCAGGATCATCAATATCATTGTCTTCCACCTCCATATCTTGTCCCACTGGAAGGTCTTCTGGGGCAGTTACACATGCGATGCTATCATCTCCTATGATAACAATATCTTCTAGTGGAATACTTCCCAAAAGACTTTCCTGAGGCTGTTTTGTGGTGACCTTTTTTCTTTTTTTTTTTTGAGTTAATGTATTTTTTATAAGTAGAAAGAGTACACTGTAAAATACCACTAAAAAGTATAGTAAATACATAAAGCAGTAACATTTACTATCTGTATCAAGTATTATGTACTGTAAATTACTGTACATAATTGTATGTGCTATCTTGTACTTTTATATAACTGGTAGTGCAATAGGTTTGTTTACACCAACATCACCACAAACATGTGAGTAATGTGCTACAACATTATGACTGCTACATCATCACTAGGTGATAGGAATTTTTCAGCTCCATTATAATCTTATGGGACTACTCTTGTACATGTGGTCTGTTATTGGTTGAAACGTTGTTATACAACACTTGACTTTATTGTATTGCTATCTATTTCTCCATTTCTGTGAATGTTTGCCTCATATATTTAGGTGTTTTAATGTTGGGTGCATATGTATTTATAATTGCTATGTCCTTCTGGTGAATTGACCTTTTATCATTATATAATGTCCTTCTTTGTCTCTTATGACACTTTTTGACTTAAAGACTATTTTGTGTGATGTAGCTGTTTCCACATTTGCACTCTTTTGGTTACAATTTGCATGAAATTTTTTTAATATCCTTTAACTTTCAGGCTATCCAGGTCTTTAAATCTAAAGCAAATCTCTTGTAGTTAGCATATAATTGGGTCTTTAAAAAAAATCAATTCAACCACTTTGTATCTTTTGATTGGGGGAGTTTATCCCATTTTTATTTAAAGTAATTATTGATAGGGCATAACTTACTGTTGCCTCTTTGTTAATTGTTGTTTGCAGCTTGTAGACTTTTTGCTCCTCTTTCCTCCTCTTACTGTCTTCCTTTGTGTTTTATTGAGAATTGTAATGCTATGTTTTTGTTCCTTTCCTGTTTTCTTTTGTATATCTTCCATAGGTATTTTCTTTGTGGTTACCATGGGGCTTACATTTTAAAACTCTTATAAAAATGTATTTTAAACTGATAGCATCTTTACTACAATCACAAAACAAAACTCATTATGTTTACTTCTCCCCTACCCAAATTTTATGTTATTGATGTCATAAATACATCTTTTTATATTGTGTATACATTATTTTATAGTTAGTTTTTCTGTACTTTTGTCTTTTAATCAGATTTTAAAATATCAGATTTTAAAGTGACTTTTGTACCACCATTACAGTATTATAGTATTCTGTTTTTATCTATATATTTATCTTTACTAGTGAGCTTTATACTTTAATAAAATACCTATGTATTTCTGTTTAGCATCCCCTAATTTTAACTCAAAAGGCCCCCTCTTAACATTTCTTGTAAGGCAAGTCTAATTGTGATCACCTTCAGCTTTTGTTTAACTGGGAAGGTCTTTATCTCTTTTTCATTTTTGAAGACAAACTTTGGTGGATTTGGTATTCTTGGCTGGCAGTTCTTTTTCTTTTCAGCACTTTCAGTATAACATCTCACCCCTTTCTGGATGGCAAGGTTTCTACTGAGAAATCTACTGGTAGAGTTAGGGGTGTTCTTTTGTACGTGATGAGGCATTTTTCTTTTGCTGCTTTCTAAATTCTTAACATTTCTTGGATCTTGATGTCCATTTCCTTCCTCATATTTGGGAAGTTTTCAGATGTAATTTTAAAAAATAAGCTGTCTGTCCTTTTCTCTTATGGCTTCTTCTTTTGAAACTGTCATAATGAGTAGAGCAGCCTGCTCGAGGATGTCCTATCAATTTCTTAGGCTTTCTTTACTCTCTTTCATTTCTTGCTCTTTTTGCTACTCTGTCTGGATAATTTCAAATGATGTGTCCTTGAGTTCACTGACTCATTCTTCTACTTGATTAAGTCTGCTGTTGAACATGTCTGTAAAATTTTCAGTTCAATTATTGTATTCTTCAGTTCCAAAATTTCTTTTTAGTTCTTTTGAATATTTTCTATCTGCTGAAATTCTGATTCTGCTTATGCATTATTTTCCTGAGCTCACTGAACATCTTTATGACAATTATTTTGAATACTTTGTCAAGTAATTCACATAGCTCTATTTCTTTAGGTTTGGTTTCTGGAGGTGTGTTTGTGTGTGTGTGTGTGTGTGTGTGTGGGCACGCACTATTTGATTGGGCCATGTTTCCTGTTTTCTCATATTCCTTATTACTTTGTGTTGATATCTATACATTTCAAAAAAACAAAAAACAACAACACACCAGCTACCTCTTCCAGTCTTTATGGACTGGATTTGTACATGGAAAGATCTTTACTAATCAGGCTGGCTAGAGATTCTAGGGACCTCTCAAACCTTTTCTGTGGATGCATCTTCTATGGACTTGTGTGTATAATTCCTAATTAGAGGGATCTGCCAGCTTTTTTTTTTAAGATGCTCTAATCTTTTTCCCTCTGTGGTGTCTGTGTGCTGTACTGTGGGCCCTCTGGAGCAGCAGTATTCACTCAGCTCTTTTAGGTTCTGAGAAGCCCTCAGTTATAGATTCTGCTGAATCCTATCAGTGCCTGGAGTCAAGTGAGACAGAAACTTGGACTGCCCACTAAAATTCAGGAACTTTGGATGCATTTTACTCTCTCTTTCCCTCATGAGAGAGAGAGTGCTGAGCTGAGTTTCTCTCTGTGTGCTGTATCACAGGTCCTGAGGAGCATCAGCCCGCCACCCAGCTCTTTATTATTCTGAGCTGCCCTCAGGATTTTAGAATATGCCAGGTTCCATCAGTGCTCTGAGATATGCAAGACAGCTCCCCTGAAAAGTCAGAACACTGAATGCATGCTTTACTTTCTCTTTCCCTTCTCAGGGAGAAGACAGGAGCTGGGAATTTCCCCCTGTTTGAATGGAACTGTGCTGCTGGATGGGACTATAGGGAAAGTGCCCCAGAAAAGTGCCCAGCTAGTTTTACACTTGCTTGGAGCCCAGGACCCTCTTAACTGGTTTCGGCACTTATCACCATGGGAATTGGTCCTTGTATTGTTGTTGAGTTGGTATACCTGTGGAGGGTCTGGGGATTCCTATAACAGCATCTTGCTGATGTCACTACCTCTGTTATCTTTTTAAGCTATATATGCTTTTACAAATTATTTTATTGATTTCCTCTTTTGTTGATTATAACACACATCCTTGACTTATTACCTCAATTAAATCAATAATTTTAATAATTCCAGGCAACGCTAAGACCTTGAATCATTATACCATTTACTTGTACCCTACTTTTTGTTACTGATATGCCTTTCAATTATTTATATGTTCTAGACACACAGTACATTATTATCATTGTTTTGTTAACACCTATATATGTTTCTTTCTGGGATCATTTTCCTTCTGAAGAAATTAACATTTCCTTTAGTGTGGCCTGCTGGTAAAGAAACCTTTACGTTTTTATATATCTGGAAATGTCTTAATTTTACTATCACTTTTGAGAAACAGTTTTGGGTATTGAATGAAAGTTATTTTTGCCAGCACTTTTAAGATGACATTCCATGGTCTTCTTTTGAGATGATGGCTGTCAAGTTTATTGTTCAATTAGTGTGTCTTTTTTTCTGTCTAGCTACTTTGTATACTTACTCTGTTTTTCACTTTTAACAGCTTTACTATCATGTGCCCAGTGTTAATTTGCTTTGTTTTTAATCTCGCTTGCAGTTTTCAAAGCTTCTTATATCTGTGGGTTGATAATATTTTATCAGTTTAAGAGAAGATTTAGCAGTATGCCTTCAAATACGGCTTCTACTTCATATTTTCTCTTATATTCTTCTGTGACTATAAGTACATGTATGTTAAATCTTTTCACCATATTCCTTGTCTTTTATGTGCCATTTCTGTTTTTAAATCACTTTTTCTCTTTGTTTCATAATCCATGTTTTATTCTGACCCATCTTTTACTTTAGGAATTTTATCTTGTTATTCTAGGCCACTGTCAAAGTCATTGATTGAATTCTTAACTTGAATCGTGGCATTTTTCCATTTTAGAATTTTATTTTCCTTTTTAAAAATATATTTCTAACTTGGGTACTGGCTAATGTCAAAAGAAACTTTCCTCCCACAAAGTTTTCACTCACTTGATCTTGGATTTTAAAATCAGATATAACCTGAGAGATTATCATTTTTCTCCATTTAATAATGAATCAGGCCAGGCATGGTGGCTCATGCCTATAATCCCAACACCTGTGTGGGCCATGACAGGAGGATTGCTTGAGCCCAGGAGTTCAAGATGAGCCTGAGCAATATAGGGAGACTCCATCTTTACAAAAAATGAAAAAAATTAGCTAGATGTGGTGGTGCACACCTGTGGTCCCAGCTACTTGGGAGGCTGAAGTTGGAGGATGGCTTGAGCCTGAGGCTGCAATGAACTTTGACTGTACCACTGCACTCCAGCCTCGGTCAGAGTGAGACTCTTTGTCACCCAGTTGTATAGAATCAACTATAGGTAGAGGCATAAAAAAGATGCCTGAGATTGCATCTCTTGAATTTAGCTTCATTGTCCCTTTCTATTAAGTGAGATTATTTGACATGAACATTGATATTCACTATCTCAGGGATATGTTAGAACTATTCTCATATTTTCTATCCACAGAGGATATATAATATGGATATTTTAGCACATTCCCTTATAGGGCAGTTATACCTTCCTCTGTGACTCATTATACAGGCAGCGCTAAGATGTGTATTATATGCTCATGGTATCCTTTCTTACTATCCTTATAATAGAATAAATTAATTTTTATACAGAATTAATTTTTGAAGAATCAAATGACATATGTGCATAAATTATTTATACATTTTTATACAATTGCTTCAACATTTCCTCTTCTCTGCAATCTGGTATATCTATATAATTTCTATAGATAAGAGAAGAAAAATATAGCTTATTAAAATTTTATTCTGGGTTTTGTAAGGAATAAAGGACATTTGTACCCTTATGAAGATTAAATTTTCTTGTGTTAGTATATTTCTAAAGGCTTTTAGTGAATTAAATGGAGACACTTTAATATACTACACAGTTTTAAATCTAAATTTTTTTCTCAAGGAAGAACTTCTGTTTACACAATGATGCTTAAACATGACTGAAATATCTAAAGGAGAGGTTAACTGGATCAGTCAAGAAAATAATCTGTAACATTTGATTGAAGAAAATAGCTTAGAAGAAGATTTTTTAAAATGTTCTTTTCCTGTGGAGTCTCCCATGAAATTCAGATTGGATAATCTATAGTTACTGAGAAAGGAATATTCAAAATAAGAGTTGATCACTGTAGCACAAATGCAAGTGATAATTTAAAAAGTAAATATAATTTAACAGATATGAAAGTGAATCAAAAGTCAAGAGTCTTGTTTCCTCCTGAAATATCTATATAAGTACATGAGATATTTTTTCCAGACTGAGAGGAGCATGTGAACTGATATTGTTGATGACTTTTTCTCCATTGAGTATATCTTTTAAAATACTCAGTATTTATCATAATACTCTGCAGATTACAATGTACACATTGTTAATACTACATTGTTAATTTGCCTTTTAAATACTTAATATTTACTTTTTTCAAAGGTTATCTTTGTGTATTTTGTATAAAATTCTACTATAATTTATTCCATAGCTTTGTAGTTTTACATTATTTACTGTTATATAATAGAAAGTGGCTAACATCAGCTAATGCTGTTTTCTAAATATTTATTATCATTTTCTTATGTTTTTAACCATTGTGTATTAAAATATTTCAAAATTATCAGTATGAAAACTATTAGGCAAATAGTCTGGGAAATTGATTTGTGTTTCAACGATCCAAATATTAGTGAAAAGTCATGATAATAGAGATAGTAAAAATCTTATAAGGGAACTGGTAAATATATCTTTAAAGATTGTATCAGAAACAATTCTATGACAATATCTTGTTTCTTTACAAGTTTGAATTCCAGAAATCAAGTGAATTTCCTCTGACTTTGCATTTTCTGGTAATTTCTTTTTTCTTATCAAGCTATATTTTAAATGTAAAAGTATCCAACAATAGAATTGCTAATCTCTTGGTCCCTCTTGTCTTCACAGGTAAGGGATATTTTGTAATATTTAAGGAATTTTATGGAGTATATATACAAGCAGAATGTTAGCTATTTCTTCAATAGAAAACTTGGTGATATTTTCTTTTGCCCATATTTATTAAGTGAAGTTTACTAAATTTTCTAGGTCGTGTTCAAATCATACCATCCAGTAAACAGTTGGGAGATTAAAAAGTAATTAAACTAATATAAAGATAGCCTGGTTAATAAAATGATATTCTTTTCAACATGATTATATTTACTGGAACCTAAACATTTTGTGAAATAGTATGTCATATAGACAATATTAGGATTTTGACTTGTTATGTAAGTACAAAGGTATGTATTTTACAATTTTTAATAATTGCTTTATCAGTAATAGCAACTTGAAGAAATGCTATCTAGATGCTTCTAATTTGAAAATAGTGCAAAGACGATTTACCAAAGTCGTTCTATTATGCTTTTGATTTCTAGAAAGCTGAAATATCCCCATTACAGTTTTTGAGTCAATACAAAAAGTAGATAGGTGTTATAGATAAAGAAATAGGTTTTCATCGATTTGAAAATTAGAACTCCGAGAAGAAACTCAGGTAAGAATGCCATTAAAATAGTTTTAGTTGTTTTTGAAAATAACATCAACAAAATGTCACTATTAAACAGTGAAATTGGAATAAAAATTTGTTTTATGAGTAACACGGAGATAGCATACAAACATTCCATTGACTAATACAGAAAAAACTCAAAAGTTTTAATTAGATATGTTTAAATAGAGATGAGAAAAGTCAAAACTTTAACTCTTAAAAGTTATTTTTATCAGTTTGGAAATATATAAACTCCTCCCTATATAAAATACACCAGCACAAATTTCTCTAGTAAGGATTGGGGTTTCATGACTTTAGATGTATTTTTCTGTAATATTTTAATGACGCACTTATATTGACGCATTTTAAGATAGAGTTTAATGATATATTTTGACTAGAGATAAGTGATTTAAAGAATAAGAATCATGTCATTGAAAGTGAGAATACTTGAGAAATATTGACGAATATAAGCTAAATAAAGCAAAACAAAATAAAACACTTACCCTTTCATCCACATGATGTCGCTGGACACCGGAAGGTTTTTCTCCCTTCCCAGCCTCAAAGGAATACAGTGAGTAGATTTTCCTTAGACAGAAAGGAAAAGAACCTTCCATTTTTGGCTGTGCCAAGAAGCTCAGAAAGGCGATAATATAAAAAATATATAGTTAATTGGGAATTGAATTTACAAAATACATTGTGTGGTGATGCAATAGAAAGCTCATAATTGGAACGAGATTGAGATGGTATATTCCCGGAGAGGAAGTCTGGGATCCCGGCTCCTGCTGCTCTGGCTTCTCCTTGCCTACTGGAAGGCAGGGAGCGGCCAGCTCCACTACTCGATCCCGGAGGAAGCCAAACACGGAACCTTCGTTGGCCGCATCGCGCAGGACCTAGGGCTGGAGCTGGCGGAGCTGGTGCCGCGCCTGTTCCGGGTGGCGTCCAAGGGCCGCGGGGACCTTCTGGAGGTAAATCTGCAGAATGGCATTTTGTTTGTGAATTCTCGGATCGACCGGGAGGAGCTGTGCCGGCGGAGGGCGGAGTGCAGCATCCACCTGGAGGTGATCGTGGACAGGCCGCTGCAGGTTTTCCATGTGGAGGTGGCAGTGAAGGACATCAATGACAATCCGCCCAGGTTCTCCAGACAAGAACAAAGATTATTCATTTTAGAGTCAAGAATGCCAGATTCGCGGTTTCCGCTAGAGGGCGCGTCGGATTTGGATATTGGAGCAAATGCACAATTGAGATACAGGTTAAATCCAAACGAATATTTTGACTTAGATGTTAAAACAAATGAAGAAGAAACGAACTTTTTAGAGCTGGTTTTGAGGAAATCCTTAGATAGAGAAGAAACACAAGAACACCGTTTATTAGTGATTGCAACTGATGGAGGAAAACCCGAACTAACAGGTACAGTTCAGTTGTTGATCAATGTATTGGATGCTAATGATAACGCCCCAGAATTTGATAAATCCATTTATAATGTCAGATTGTTGGAAAATGCACCAAGTGGGACATTAGTTATTAAACTGAACGCCTCAGATGCAGATGAGGGCATCAATAAGGAAATAGTGTATTTCTTTAGTAATCTTGTTCTTGACGATGTAAAGTCCAAATTTATAATTAATTCTAATACTGGTGAAATAAAAGTTAACGGGGAACTGGATTATGAAGACTATAACTCATATGAAATTAATATTGATGCCATGGATAAAAGTACATTCCCATTATCAGGACACTGTAAAGTAGTAGTGAAACTCCTGGATGTGAATGATAATACCCCAGAGATGGCCATAACCACCCTTTTCCTGCCTGTCAAAGAGGACGCTCCACTCAGCACGGTCATTGCTCTGATCAGCGTGTCTGACCGTGACTCAGGTGCCAACGGGCAGGTGACCTGCTCCCTAATGCCCCACGTTCCCTTCAAGCTGGTGTCCACCTTCAAGAATTACTACTCGTTGGTGCTGGACAGCGCCCTGGACCGCGAGAGCGTGTCGGTCTATGAGCTGGTGGTGACCGCGCGGGACGGGGGCTCGCCTTCGCTGTGGGCCACCGCCAGCGTGTCTGTGGAAGTGGCCGACGTGAACGACAACGCTCCGGCGTTCGCGCAGCCCCAGTATACCGTGTTCGTGAAGGAGAACAACCCGCCAGGCTGCCACATCTTCACGGTGTCTGCACGGGACGCGGACGCGCAGGAGAACGCCCTGGTGTCCTACTCGCTGGTGGAGCGGCGGGTGGGCGAGCGCCCGCTGTCGAGTTACGTTTCGGTGCACGCGGAGAGCGGCAAGGTGTACGCGCTGCAGCCGCTGGACCACGAGGAAGTGGAGCTGCTGCAGTTCCAGGTGAGCGCGCGCGACGCGGGCGTGCCGCCTCTGGGCAGCAACGTGACGCTGCAGGTGTTCGTGCTGGACGAGAACGACAACGCGCCGGCGCTGCTGGTGCCTCGAGTGGGTGGCACCGGCGGCGCAGTGAGCGAGCTGGTGCCGAGGTCAGTGGGTGCGGGCCACGTGGTGGCGAAGGTGCGCGCAGTGGACCCTGATTCGGGCTACAACGCTTGGCTTTCGTATGAGCTGCAGCCAGCGCCTGGCAGTGCGCGCATCCCGTTCCGCGTGGGGCTGTACACAGGCGAGATCAGCACAACACGCTCTCTGGATGAGACCGAAGCACCGCGCCACCGCCTTCTGGTGCTGGTGAAGGACCATGGAGAGCCCCCGCTGACAGCCACAGCCACAGTGCTGGTGTCGCTGGTGGAAAGTGGCCAGGCGCCGAAGGCCTCATCGCGGGCGTCGGCGGGCGCTGTGGGTCCCGAGGCTGCCCTGGTGGATGTCAACGTGTACCTGATCATCGCCATCTGTGCGGTGTCCAGCCTGCTGGTGCTCACGCTGCTGCTGTACACCGCGCTGCGGTGCTCGGCGCAGCCCACCGAGGCCGTGTGCACACGGGGCAAGCCCACTCTGTTGTGCTCCAGCGCGGTGGGGAGCTGGTCGTACTCGCAGCAGAGGAGACAGAGGGTGTGCTCTGGGGAAGCTCCACCCAAAACAGACCTCATGGCCTTCAGTCCAAGCCTTCCTCAGGGTCCCACCTCTACAGACAACGTGAGTTTTCTAATATTAACATCCATCTTTCCCTCCCAATTTTCAAATATTAAATGTCACATTCACCCACTTTTTTTGTATTTAAAAATTATGTCTTAGTACACAAATATTGTGGTACACAATTATTGCACTAATTCATGTATTATATGCTTTTTATGAGGCTTTTCTGCTGGGGTAATAGATTCATCAGCTTTCTGTGATATTAAGTGTTTTTAAAATAATATTTTATATTAGCATTTGAATTTTGCATCTCTAAAAATGTAGGATAATAATTGTAAGACATAGTTTGGAGTCATTCTCAAAGTTTCAGTTTATGACTACATGAAAATTTATTTTATTTTATTGTTATTTTTTAGAGACCCTTTGTTGCTTAGTCTGCAGTGATCTGATCATAGCTCACCGAAGCCTGAAACTCCTGGGCTCAAGTGATCCTCCTATCTCAGCCGCCCAAGTAGCTGGACTACATGCACATGCTAATTAAAGTTTTTTTTTTTTTTTTTTTTTTATTTTCTGTAGAGATAGGGGTCTTGCTACTTTGCCCAGGCTGGTCTTGAACTCCTGGTTTGAAGCCATGCTCCCGTCTCAGCCTCCCGAAGTACTAAGATTACAGGATTGAGCAAGAGTGCCTGGCCTATAAAAATGTTTTAACACCACCCTTCCAATTTTGCCTTTTTGTTTCTATTGAATTTAAATTAATTATTATTTTATTACACTAATTTAGTTTGTTTTCAATTGTATTTTTGCAGCATATGGTTTATTTCAACTTTGCCTAAGCAGTTCACCTGTATACCCATGATGAATTTGATAATTGTAATTTAAAAATTATATTTTTCATTTTATTGATTTTTTGAATAGGAAACACATATACATGGTTTACTGTTCTAAAGGTGCAAAAGAATACAGTTAAATTTTCCCTTTCACCTCCTTCATGAAGCCAAAACATTCTCTGGTATCCTTCTAGAGATTTTTTTCATATACAAATAAACTTCCCTACCCCCTTAAAAAACATATGAGTATTGATTTTAATCTTGCTTTTTTCATTTACTAATGTATCTTGATGATCATGAATTATCATTACTGAAGTAGATTTGTTTTTCTTTTATCTGGATCTATGGTGTTCCATTGTGTAGGTATGTGATTGGTTATTTTTCCCTTAACATTAACATTTAGTGGAACAATGATTTAATTTTCTGGAAATTTGCATATTTTTCAATATATCTAATATATATTAGATATATAAATATCTAAAATATCTAATATATATCTAATATATTATATATTTTATATAATATATATAATAAATATATAATAATAATATATATCAGATATTTTGATACAGAATTTTGCTCTTGTTGCCCAAACGAGTGCAATGGTACAATCTTGGCCTCCCAGGTTCAAGCGATTCTCCTGCCTTATCTTCCCAAGTAGCTGGGATTACAGGCATGTGCCCACACCTGGCTAATTTTTTGTATTTACTAGAGACGGGGTTTCACCATGTTGGTCATGGTGGTCTCGAACTCCTAATCTCAGGTGATTTACCCGCCTCGGCCTCCCAAAGTGCTGGGATTGCAGGCATGAGCCATCGCGCCTGGCCTAAATTATTATATTGATGAGGAGTAACTGTGAATCTCCTCAGTTGTGCAAATTCTACTATATTTTGGTTGGGAAATTTTACTGCTTGTTGTTACTTTTAGATTAAAAAAATAAATATACCATGATACAAACTCCCCTCTTGAGTTGTTTACAAAGAGTTGTTTATTAAAGCTGTATGTTTGAGACTACGCTAGACAGGTGTCCTCTCCATCTGAAATAATGAGAACCATTTGTCTACTCTTTTGAGGGGAAAAGTATGGATTTATAGGTAGTAAATAGTCCACACTTTACATGATAAAATGTGAATTCCCTATTTCTGTTGCTTTGCCTGTTTCTTTTATTCTCATATGCATTCAATTTTATAAGTACCCTTCTATCATGCTATTTATATATTCCTAATATCCTGAGCTACTTTGAGGAAGTCCTAGAAATTGAGAAATAGTTTTTGTCATTCTATAAATCTAAAGTTAACAATGGTCACATTTTAAAAAATCAAGTTTTGTGATATAAACTATTTATATATCTCTTTATATATCAAGTCTTTATGTATATTTTGTGCAGCTTGTCTTTTTTATAGGAACCTCTTGTTTTGGGGATTGTTTTTGGTTAAGAAATTGAACCCTTTGTTTGCCCAAAATAACTGCAATAGAAAGTCAGTGATAAGAACTACTAAATAGATCCAGGTTAATTATTTTAAGATAGAATTTCACATGGAAGAAAAGGCTTTGTGTCACAATCATCTGTGAGGCATTTTACTGTATATCAGAATTTTGGAGTAAGGTGAAGATGATCATGTCATTTGAAAAGTCTTATTGGTGACTCTATTTTTCTCCTTTGAAGGAGGGGTTTAATCACTTCAAATGGATAACATTAAGGTTAAATTAAGGGCGAAGTTGATATTTGGCCCTGACTTTTATATGAAGGTAACATTTTTGCAAGTAAATTGTAGACGTAATTAAAAAAACCCAGCTAAAACAAAGGTGGTATTGAGAAAGAGGAAGAGCAAGTGGTCTATATTGTCAGAAAAATAAGATTCATATTGGAGAGTAATTGAAAATAACCTGCAAAAAGTTGATTACCTAACATGTGATTACATATTAGGTTACTAGAAGTTTCTCAAGTGTCTTGCAATTTCTAGGTTTAGTAAAATTCAATGAAAGCTGTACTCATAAAGATAAATATGATAGCATGTGAAAGACAGATGGACTTAGGTGGATGTGGAATAAGGCAAGCCAGGGAAAAGGAGTAATTTAAAAAGTAATATAGGTGACATGGGAAATGCTCATGTCATTAAAAATATGAATTTAAAAATTTGAATTTGGGGATTATTAATAATTGCTCATGCCTTGCTATTTAACAAACTATTTTCTAGGAGTCAGCATGTATAGGTGAAAGTGACAATTAGAAACATAGAAAGAAGGGATGCAGATATGGATTTGTAAATACCTCAATAAAAGTCTTATTCAAAACTTGGAAGTGAGTGAGAACAATTAAAGGAAAGGATATGGGACAGGGTTGAAGTTGAGAGAGAAAAACGAGATCATTTAGGAACAGCTGAAGAATCAAAAACAGCAAAGCACAATGGGTAGAAATTCCACTAGAATTTGAAGTGGTGAAGTATATGAAAAGAAAATATTTTAAGCAAGAATCCTAATATAAGCTGCAGATAAATTAAATGTGATAAAGAATATGCTCTAGAATTTTATCTTCCATCATTACACAGAAGAACCTTAAGAGCATCTGATATTTATTGAACAAAGAAAGCATGGACTTCAATAATCTATAAGGCTTTAAAAATTCAACCAAAATTTGATAATTTTAAGTTACATTTTTTCCCTAGAGCACTATATAATAGCATGTCCTAGGAAAGACAGATGTGGGCAAGTTTCTTTTCTACCAAGAGTGTAGAATAGTTTACATTTCTGATTTAAAAAGCAGTTCCGTTAACACTTAAATTTGCTGAACTGGTTGATATTAATGTTGCAAATATTGGTAGAAAAGTTGTTTAGCTGTGAATAATTAGATCCCTTACTTTAAATTAATAAAAGAAGTCGGGATAACACTGACCGTGCAAATTACAAACGTGAGGAGGGTTTACTATAAAAGTAGAGAAAAGAAGATACTGTTTTAAAAATATATGGTATAGCACTGTTACGTGAATTGATTTCTTACCTTTTGGAGCCGCATGATGTCGCTGTCTACCATGAAGTTATAGCTAGCCAACATTCAAATTTCTTCTATTACTGCATCATTCCCTGACTGTTGAATGATGGCGGACGCAGAAGAAATGGATTAATAAATTCCGGAACATACAGTATTTTATCTTTATGCGGAAGATCTTCTAATGGAAATAAAACCAGAGGTATTTGACATGGTGTTTACCCCGGAGGATAGATTGGGAAAGCAATGTCTGCTCCTCCCGCTTCTGCTCCTCGCAGCCTGGAAGGTGGGGAGCGGCCAGCTCCACTACTCCGTACCCGAGGAGGCCAAACACGGCACCTTCGTGGGCCGGATCGCGCAGGACCTGGGGCTGGAGCTGGCGGAGCTGGTGCCGCGCCTGTTCAGGATGGCCTCCAAAGACCGCGAGGACCTTCTGGAGGTAAATCTGCAGAATGGCATTTTGTTTGTGAATTCTCGGATCGACCGCGAGGAGCTGTGCGGGCGGAGCGCGGAGTGCAGCATCCACCTGGAGGTGATCGTGGACAGGCCGCTGCAGGTTTTCCATGTGGACGTGGAGGTGAGGGACATTAACGACAACCCGCCCTTGTTCCCGGTAGAGGAACAAAGAGTGCTGATTTACGAATCTAGGCTGCCAGATTCTGTGTTTCCACTGGAGGGCGCGTCCGATGCAGATGTTGGCTCAAATTCCATCTTAACCTATAAACTCAGTTCTAGCGAATACTTCGGGCTAGATGTGAAAATAAACAGTGATGACAATAAACAAATTGGGCTCTTATTAAAGAAATCCTTGGACAGAGAGGAAGCTCCTGCACACAACTTATTCCTGACAGCCACAGATGGGGGCAAACCTGAGCTCACAGGCACTGTTCAGCTGCTGGTCACAGTGCTGGATGTGAATGATAATGCTCCCACTTTCGAACAGTCTGAATACGAAGTAAGAATATTCGAAAATGCAGACAACGGAACAACAGTTATCAGACTGAATGCTTCTGATCGGGATGAAGGAGCGAATGGGGCAATTTCATATTCTTTTAATAGCCTTGTTGCAGCCATGGTTATTGACCACTTTAGCATAGATCGAAATACGGGAGAAATAGTGATTCGGGGTAATTTGGATTTTGAACAAGAAAACTTATACAAAATCCTCATTGACGCCACGGACAAAGGCCATCCTCCCATGGCGGGTCATTGCACCGTTTTAGTGAGAATTTTGGATAAAAATGATAACGTCCCTGAGATAGCACTGACTTCCTTATCCTTGCCTGTACGTGAAGACGCTCAATTTGGTACTGTCATCGCCCTAATTAGCGTGAACGACCTCGATTCAGGTGCCAACGGGCAGGTGAACTGCTCGCTGACGCCTCACGTCCCTTTCAAGCTGGTGTCCACCTTCAAGAATTACTACTCGTTGGTGCTGGACAGTGCCCTGGACCGCGAGAGCGTGTCGGCCTATGAGTTGGTGGTAACCGCGCGGGACGGGGGCTCGCCTTCGCTGTGGGCCACCGCCAGCTTGTCTGTGGAGGTGGCCGACATGAATGACAATGCTCCGGCGTTCGCGCAGCCCGAGTACACAGTGTTCGTGAAGGAGAACAACCCGCCGGGCTGCCACATCTTCACGGTGTCTGCGCGAGACGCGGACGCGCAGGAGAACGCGCTGGTGTCCTACTCGCTGGTGGAGCGGCGGGTGGGCGAGCGCGCGTTGTCGAGCTACATTTCGGTGCACGCGGAGAGCGGCAAGGTGTACGCGCTGCAGCCGCTGGACCACGAGGAGCTAGAGCTGCTGCAGTTTCAGGTGAGCGCGCGCGACGCGGGCGTGCCGCCTCTGGGCAGCAACGTGACGCTGCAGGTGTTCGTGCTGGACGAGAACGACAACGCGCCGGCGCTGCTGGCGCCTCGGGTGGGTGGTACTGGTGGTGCAGTGAGCGAGCTGGTGCCGCGGTCACTGGGTGCAGGCCAAGTGGTGGCGAAGGTGCGCGCAGTTGACGCCGACTCAGGCTACAACGCGTGGCTTTCGTATGAGCTGCAGCCCCCGGCAAGCAGCGCTCGCTTCCCGTTTCGCGTGGGGCTGTACACGGGCGAGATCAGCACCACTCGTGTCCTGGACGAAGCGGACTCTCCGCGCCACCGGCTGCTGGTGCTGGTGAAAGACCACGGTGAGCCGGCGCTGACAGCGACGGCCACGGTTCTGGTGTCGCTGGTGGAGAGTGGCCAGGCTCCAAAGGCGTCATCACGGGCGTCGGTGGGCGCCGCGGGCCCAGAGGCGGCGCTGGTGGATGTCAACGTGTACCTGATCATCGCCATCTGCGCGGTATCCAGCCTGCTGGTCCTCACGCTACTGCTGTACACAGCGCTGCGGTGCTCGGCGCCACCCACCGAGGGCGCGTGCACGGCGGACAAGCCCACGCTGGTGTGCTCCAGCGCAGTGGGGAGCTGGTCGTACTCGCAGCAGAGGCGGCAGAGGGTGTGCTCCGGGGAGGGCCCACCCAAGATGGATCTCATGGCCTTTAGCCCCAGCCTTTCACCTTGTCCTATTATGATGGGTAAGGCGGAGAATCAGGATTTAAATGAAGATCATGATGCCAAAGTAAGTGAATTTTCATAATTAACAGTTAATTTTTATTTTAAATTTATAATTGTTTTCCTCATATTTGTCTTCTATATTTCTGTTTTTAATTTTTAATTAATTTTACAAAATTACATATTTTCATTTTATTGTGTTTCTTATTTTAATCTCTTTGCTTCTTTAATATTCATAATTTAAGTGAAATTAGAAATCACTGTCCACAATCTGCACCTCAGAATTTTTGTCTTCAAACCAAAATATTCTTGGATATGTCGTTTTCTGTTGCATTTTAATTCAGAATCATAGTAGCATTTTTTTCTGATTAATTATATGGGATTTTCATTTGTTTGCCTTTGAGCTTTAGGATAATTTTTTTACATATACTCTTTTTTGATCATATATTGAAATTTGAGCACCAGTGTATCACTTATGTTTTTACACTTTCCATTTCAATGTTTTTCTGTCGACACTTTTATTAAGCTAACGCTTTGATTTTATCCATTTTGTGTAAGAACTCTGATCATCATAGTTTTTATCTGTGGTTCCCTTTTCAGACTTGTGATTCCGGGAGGCAATAGTGTTCATTTATTGTCCCCCTTTTAAACCATTGAGGAATAAAGGACAAAAACAATAGTTATCAGCCTGAATACTTCTGGTTGTTATGGTTATTGATTTATTTACTACCGATCTAAATAATGGAAAAATAGTGATTCAACAGAATTTAGACCTTGTGATCAAGTAAATTTATATGAAAACTGCATTCCTCTGGCATTGCGGCTCTCTTATTTCTGTTTGAATTTCACTTGATGGTCTTCTCTTCATGGAGTCTAAATCTATTTCTTTGTATTAGTGTTTTCATTGTTTCTACACAGTAATTTAAACTATTCACTATTTTGTATGTGTGTGTGTGTGTGTGACAGGGTCTTGCTCTGTCACCCATGCTGGAGTACAGTGGTGCAATAATGGCTCACTGCACCCTCGAATGCCTGGGCTCAAGTGATTCTCTCACCTCAGCCTCTGGAGTTACTACACACGAGCACCACCATGCCCCCCACCTTTTTTTTTTTTTTTTTTTTTTTTAAGAGATGGGGTTTCTCCATGTTGCCCAGGCTGGTCTCAAACTACTGGGTGCAAGTGATCTGCCCACCTTGGCCTCCCAAAGTACTAAGATTATAGGTGTGAGCCACTATGCTTGGCTAGTCATTATTTCTTTGAATGAAAAGCAGCAAAAAGTAGTGATTAAGTGTGAGTTTTGGTGTTATCCTCCCTTGCCTAAATTTCATCGCTACCAATTTTGTTTTGTGGATGGATTGTTTCACCTCTATTTCAGTTTCTTCTGTAAAGTTGGAATGATAAACACTAGTTTCAATGATAGAATTGTCATAAAGCTTTAGTAAGTTGATATTGTAAGGCGCTTATAACTGTGTTTGCCAAATAGCAAGTGCTTAAAAAATTTGCTACTAGTTTTCCGAAGAGGAAAAGAAAAACTTTATGTCATTTTATGCTAGGAAACTCTCATTACGGATTCCATATTGTTTTCATTTTACGTAAAGATTGAATTTTTGTTATTCATAGTGAGGCCATAATTACCAATTTAATCTGAGATGTCTCTAACATTTTAAATGCCATGTTCTACATTAAAAGCAATTTAAAATGTGTGTTTCAAAGTTGAAAATTGAATTAAGACTTGGACAGTGGAAAAGTTTTATGAATTCAAAAGACATTTAACCTGCTGAGTCCTCAGTGATTTCCTGGAGTTGGTTTTGACTTTTTGTGTTGTCCATGTTCCCAGGAAATATTAGACTACATTAAGCATGAATGGTGTATTTGCCCACATTTAAAAGTTGCTTAAGGGCCATTAGAGGACTGAGTTGTGGTTTGTGTTTCCTAATGTGAGCATTTTCCATTCTTGAAATGGCAGAAACTGGTAGTGGTATTTTCTGTTTTCTAAAAGAAGTACATGATAATTTTTAAGCGTGTAATTAATATTGCACTAAAATTTAAAAAAACTAACTCTACATACTTAAGAGTGGCAGAATTGTCTCTGATTATACTGAAGATCACCATTTGTGTAGCTAATGATATCTAACAGCCTCAAAACAGCATACTTTCTTAGGAAGTAGAGAACTATAGCGTTGCTAGTGAGTAAATGTTTTTTAAAAAGTTCCTAGGAGGGTCTTTAAGAGTATCACACTGTGCCTGCTGAGAATCATCGAATTAACAAGACCTGGCTTCAAATTTAATAGATAAATAAAGGTAAGTATCCTACATAAATACGATGATAGTAAAAGCAAGAATATTGTAAGAGGTGCTAGAAAGGTACATCATAGTGTTATTGGAATTGGAAAAAAATCTTTGCCTTTTTCCCTTGTTGAAGGAGACCGTGAAGAGTCATGATGTTTTACTGGTTATAAAATGGAAAGAGTTTTCCCTGGGAGAATATGGAGACTAACAGGTATTCATGAGAAGAGAGTAACTTAAGTGAGTATACAGAAAATTCCAAATGTACCTAGAAATGAGGAATAGTCCACTTTGGGTAAAGCACATGGTTCCCATAAGAGAGAGTGTGATATAAAGCAAGAAAAGTAATATGAGAAAAACCTTTTGTATAACTTTGAGTACTAGACGAGTAATTTTGACACTCTTCAAAGTCATTTGAAAGCTGTCAAAAAGTGTGAAGCAATACGAATAAAAAGTATTAACGGAAGATGACTGCAAGGATTAAATGAAGGAGAATGAAATAGGAATGGACAGGTTACACAATAAGAAGCTACTGCAATACACCAGGAGAGCAGCAATTATAAAAACTTATTTAGGAAAGCATCTGAATACAGACATAATTATTTTACATGCCATTGGGAACATTGGAGTGAAACATTCCAGAAAACGAACACAGTAAGGTAGATCCAAAAAGGATGAAATACCTCAAGACTTGATCAAAGGGCTGCTGTATGTGAGATGGCTGAGCACTGAAATTTATCTAATAAAATAAACTTACATTTTAAAAGAAATAATACAAATCATATTTGAGATTGTAAAAATAGGCATATATTCATAACACACAAGTGTTCGAAAGGATAGAATGAGGAAACAAATATAAAATGATGAACTCCTGAAACAGTATATATAGATTCTGCTAAAGCAAAAAATTCAGAATACTTCCTCCTCAAAAAGTTCACATGATACAAATTCTTCCCCTTCAAAGATTCCCCAAACCTTCTCTTATTTTGTTTTCCCAAGAGAAGTGTCTGGATAGTTGCTAATGTTTCTTGCCTCCTAAAAAGAAAACACACACACACACACCGCTTTCTAAGTTTCTCTTTCATCAATCAGTAGATTCTTGAGATCCTGGGTCCCTAAAAGAGTACAGGATTTTTCTTAACAAGCGATACTGAATCAAGAATATGAAGTTTCCTGGGATCTAGATCAAAGGAATTTAAACTTGCAGTTGTTTAAATTCATGTTGTCACTTAGGTTTCTATCTTTATTTAAAACTGTGTGAAAAAAAAGTTTTTCTAAGGCATGAGGAAGCTACAGTTCTGGTAACACTGAGTATTCAAAAGCCATCAGTCGCCTAAGAATGCTTCTAACAATCATGAGAAATGCTATTTTAACCTTTAACAACAATGAAGAAAAAAATTCAGAGTTTGAAATAAAACTTTTCATCTGATTAATAGTTTGTAATGGTTTGTAATTCTTACTTACATGATGGCCACATGATGTCGCTCTTTACCGCAAATTCTTTCGTAATCAGCAAAAGGAAGTCATTCCTTTTCGCACTGGAAAGACGCTCCACTCTCTTTCACTCTTTGGATGCACAACAATGGCCACACATCGAGATTGAAATGAAGGGATAAAAACATTCCTATAAATTCGAAGGCAAGTTTTGCTGACTAGAAAAACAAGCCAATAATTTGAAATGGTGTGCCCGAATGGATACGACCCAGGGGGCCGACATCTACTGCTGTTTATTATAATTCTAGCAGCTTGGGAGGCAGGGAGAGGCCAGCTCCACTACTCGGTCCCCGAGGAGGCTAAACATGGCAACTTCGTGGGCCGCATCGCGCAGGACCTGGGGCTGGAGCTGGCGGAGCTGGTGCCGCGCCTGTTCCGGGCGGTGTGCAAATTCCGTGGGGATCTTCTGGAGGTAAATCTGCAGAATGGCATTTTGTTTGTGAATTCTCGGATCGACCGCGAGGAGCTGTGCGGGCGGAGCGCGGAGTGCAGCATCCACCTGGAGGTGATCGTGGAAAGGCCGCTGCAGGTTTTCCATGTGGACGTGGAGGTGAAGGACATTAACGACAACCCTCCGGTGTTCCCAGCGACACAAAGGAATCTGTTCATCGCGGAATCCAGGCCGCTTGACTCTCGGTTTCCACTAGAGGGCGCGTCCGATGCAGATATCGGGGAGAACGCCCTGCTCACTTACAGACTGAGCCCCAATGAGTATTTCTTCCTGGACGTGCCAACCAGCAACCAGCAGGTAAAACCTCTTGGACTTGTATTACGGAAACTTTTAGACAGAGAAGAAACTCCGGAGCTTCATTTATTGCTCACGGCCACCGATGGAGGCAAACCCGAGCTGACTGGCACCGTTCAATTACTCATCACGGTACTGGACAACAATGACAATGCCCCAGTGTTCGACAGAACCCTGTATACGGTGAAATTACCAGAAAACGTTTCTATCGGAACGCTGGTGATTCACCCCAATGCCTCAGATTTAGACGAAGGCTTGAATGGGGATATTATTTACTCCTTCTCCAGTGATGTTTCTCCAGATATAAAATCCAAGTTCCACATGGACCCCTTAAGTGGGGCAATCACAGTGATAGGACATATGGATTTTGAAGAAAGTAGAGCACACAAGATCCCAGTCGAGGCTGTCGATAAAGGCTTCCCACCCCTGGCTGGTCATTGTACAGTTCTTGTGGAAGTTGTGGATGTAAATGACAATGCTCCACAGTTGACTCTCACTTCCCTGTCTCTCCCTATTCCAGAGGACGCCCAACCAGGTACCGTCATCACATTGATTAGCGTGTTTGACCGAGATTTTGGAGTCAACGGACAGGTTACCTGCTCCCTGACGCCCCGCGTTCCCTTCAAGTTGGTGTCCACCTTCAAGAATTACTATTCATTGGTGCTGGACAGCGCTCTGGACCGCGAGAGTGTGTCCGCCTATGAGCTGGTGGTTACCGCGCGGGACGGGGGCTCGCCTTCTCTGTGGGCCACTGCTAGCGTGTCCGTGGAGGTGGCCGACGTGAACGACAACGCCCCGGCGTTCGCGCAGCCCGAGTATACGGTGTTCGTGAAGGAGAACAACCCGCCGGGCTGCCACATCTTCACTGTGTCGGCGGGGGACGCGGACGCGCAGAAGAACGCGCTGGTGTCCTACTCGCTGGTGGAGCTGCGGGTGGGCGAGCGCGCGCTGTCGAGCTACGTGTCAGTGCACGCGGAGAGCGGCAAGGTGTACGCGCTGCAGCCGTTGGACCACGAGGAGCTGGAGCTGTTGCAGTTCCAGGTGAGCGCGCGCGATGCGGGCGTGCCGCCTCTGGGCAGCAACGTGACGCTGCAGGTGTTCGTGCTGGACGAGAACGACAACGCGCCGGCACTGCTGGCGCCTCGGGTGGGTGGCACTGGTGGCGCAGTGAGAGAGCTTGTGCCGCGGTCTGTGGGCGCGGGCCATGTGGTGGCGAAGGTACGTGCAGTTGACGCTGACTCAGGCTACAACGCGTGGCTTTCGTATGAGTTGCAACCGGTGGCGGCCGGTGCGAGCATCCCGTTCCGCGTGGGGCTGTACACTGGTGAGATCAGCACGACACGAGCCCTAGATGAGACGGACGCACCGCGCCACCGCCTTCTGGTGCTTGTGAAGGACCACGGGGAGCCCTCGCTGACAGCCACAGCCACCGTGCTGGTGTCGCTGGTGGAAAGCGGCCAGGCACCAAAGGCGTCGTCGCGGGCATCGTTGGGCATTGCAGGCCCAGAGACCGAGCTGGTGGATGTCAACGTGTACCTGATCATCGCCATCTGCGCGGTGTCCAGTCTGTTGGTGCTTACCCTGCTGCTGTACACGGCGTTGCGGTGCTCAGCGCCGTCCTCTGAGGGCGCATGTAGTTTGGTAAAGCCCACTCTGGTGTGCTCCAGCGCGGTGGGGAGCTGGTCATTCTCCCAGCAGAGGCGGCAGAGGGTGTGCTCTGGGGAGGGCCCACCCAAGACAGACCTCATGGCCTTCAGTCCCAGCCTTCCTCAGGGTCCATCCTCTACAGACAATGTGAGTCATAAATAATCTTGTTTCCAACAATTTTAAAACAATTAGTTCAATTGGTCTCCTTAAATTTTCTTTCATAATTTCTTTTTTAGTTGATAGCTTTATGTATAATTATTATTTTTTAATGTTATGCTGTATTTGCACTAATTATTTGGAAGTACGTTTAATATACACTTTTGTTTTGGGATGCGTAATACTATAGATCAAAATCTATGGTTTATGTTGGCTACTCTCCATTTTTGGAGGAGGACTTTGCTAACTGGAGCAATGGATTCACCTTTCTTCTATAGTGTATTTACAAAATCAAATATTTACATTTCCATATTTTGATAATCAATACCTATAAATGTTATAGTAAACAAATTTAATATATATGTTACCTAATATTTTATTCTATGTATTGTCCTCATTTTATAAAATATAGCTGTGTCAAAATCATCTGTTCAATTTTGCCTTTTTATCTTTAGTCTAGAACTTGAATTTTAAGCATTTCTTTTACATCTATTTATCTTCTTTTTATCATATTTGTGTAGCACTGACTTCTTTTTAACTTACTTTGTTGAGATGTATTTGCCATGTTCATGAAGAATTAATATGAACAATTTAAAATAGTTTAAATGGCAGTTTAATAGTATTTTTTATTTTGTTCCTTGTTTGTATAAGAAATATATTCACATTCAAAATTTCAAAGAGTGAAATCTAGTACGTAGTAAAAAATCTCCTTGCCTCCTCAAACCCCAAACCATTTACTTTACCTTTCTGAATTTCTGAAGCAGTTTACTTTTTTTGTATATTCCCAAGATTATTATTGCCAAATTATATAAATATATTTACAATCACCAAATTGTAAATCGCCAATATATATATTTTATAATTTGCCCCTTCCTTCCTTCCTTCCTTTCTTTCTTTCTTTCTTCCTTTTTCTTTCATTCTTTTTCTTTTTTCTTTCTTCTTTCAAGACACGCTCTCACTCCATCACCCAGGCTGCTGAAATGCAGTGGTGGGATTATAGCCCACTGCAACCTGAAAGTCCTGGGCTCACAGGATCCTCCCATCTCAGCCTCTGGAGTAGCTGGGAATACAGTTTGCATGTCATTGTGCCTGGCTAATTTTATTTTATTTTTGTAGAGACAGGGTGGAGTCTTGTTTCCCAGGCTGGTCTTGAACTCCTGGCTTCAAGCGATCCTCCTACCTTGGCCTCCCAAAGTATTGGGATTACAGACACGAACAACCACACCCAGCCTGCCTTTCATCTTTCCTTTTTTTTAAAAAAAGAAGTGATTACAGTAGAAACCTACCTTTCTGCACTTTTTGGTTTTCCACTTTAAGTTATATATATATAGTGTGTGTGTGTGTGTGTGTGTGTGTGTGTGTGTGTGTGTGTGTGTGTGTGTGTTTGACAGAGTTTTACTCTGTCGCCCTCTCTGGAGTGCAGTGGTGCAATCTCAGCTCACTGCAAAATCCGCCTCTCTGGTACAAGCAGTTCTCATGCCTCAGTCTCCCAAGTAGCTGGGATTAAAGACGCCAACAACCAAGCCATGCTAATTTTTTTTTTTTTTTGTATTTTTAGTAGAAACAGAGTTTCACCATGTTGCCCCGGCTGGTCTCGAAATCTGGGACTCAAGTGATCTGACTGCCTCAGCCTCCCAATGTGCTGGGATTACAGGAGTGAGCCACCGCATCCGGCCTAAATTATATATTGGGTTTTGTGGCATATTATTTCATTAGCGCTTATTCCTTGTTTTTGATTATTTGCTTTCTTATTTTTAAAAGTATTTGCATCTTATTTTCTTTTATGGATATATCATGATTTATTCATCCAGTACTGTATTAGGGACATTAATGAAACAATAACCGAATTGTCTAGACTTTTAAAAATTTTTTACAAATAATTTGGTTGGTCAAAAAAATGATAGTTAACGGGGCATGGTGGCACACACCTTTAACCCCAACATTTCGGGAGGCCGAGGCAGGAGGATTGCTTCAGTCTAGTAGTTTGAGACCAGCTTGTGCATCTTTTGTAGAGACTTTGTAAAATTAGCTATGCATGGTGATGCATGTCTGTAGTTTCAGCTACTCAAGAAACTGAGGTGGGAGGATCACTTAAGCCAGGGAGGTCCAAGCTGCAGTTATCATGCCACTGAACTCCAGCCTAGGTGACAGAGCAATACCTTGCCTCAAAAATAAAATAAAATGAAATAATAAAATAAAATAAAATAAAAACCCAGAACTGACAATTTTCACTGTTCCTAATATTCTAATATACTTTAGTAAATTATTTTAGGATATGTTACTGTTTTCTTTTCAACGTGAATAAGGATAGAGGTATGCAAAGTCAAAAACCTGTCTGATAATCAATAGAATTATTTACCATTAAGCCATAATATGTCATTCACATAAGCAGACCAAGTTTGCTGCTCTTGTTGAAAGATATTCAGTTTTGTGGAAAAATCTATAAATATCTTTGACCTTCAAAGATGTAACTGTAATCTGTTTTTATTGCTTTGCTTTTATGCTTACATGCATGTATATTTAAAACCTTCCTAGCATATTATTAAAGTTTTAAATATCCTATTTATATTGGGAAATACCTGAAGTTGATAGGGGATCCTCCTTAGCCACCTAAGCTGTATTCATCAATTATTATGATGATGATGATGATTATTATTTTTGAGACAGGGTCTCACTCTGTAGCCCAGACTGCAGTGCAGTGGCACAATCTGGGCTTACTGCAATCTCTGCCTCCTGGGCTCAAGTGATCTTCCTACCTCAGCCTCTCAAGTTGCTGGGACTATAGGCACACACCACCATGCCCAACTAATTTTTGTATTTTTTGTAGAGATGGGGTCTTACCATGTTGCCCAGGCTGGTCTCAAACTCCTGAGATATCGAGAAATACTATTTTCTTTACAAATTGTTTGCTACTATTTAGAGTCAACTACAGAGATTTTTTTGGGTAAATAATGTGATGACAAATTTAAATCATTTCACAGAAAATACCCTTATTTGCCTTTCCTATTTAACCTACGTTTTTGGTAAGAATTTTGTAGAAATTTGGAGGAGCTCTTAATTGCCTACTATGAAGGCATTCATGATGAATCCATGGAGAATTTACTTTTGAGGTGGACTTTGAAAGATGAATAGAATTTTGACAGAAAAAGATGAAGTAATAGAAGAAAAACCTTGAACAAAGAGTGTGCCAAGAAGGAGACAACATATTTTCTGTAAAATATGACTCCTATTGGAAAGTGGTTAGCCTTAGCACTGAGAAGATTGGCTCATGGTCACGTAGCGTATCTCCCAGATGGAAGTCTAATGTCTTGACAATTAGTCAATAGAAAGATAAACTTGTTGAAGATTTTAGTGAAATCGAGTGAAAGCTGTACTAATAAGGACAGAAATTATCACACGTGAAAGGAGAGATGGGATGTATACAAATTTTAAATATGGTAGGCAAAGGAAAAGAAGTCATAAAAATACATATGAGTAAATGTGGAGAATCACTATGCTATAAAAATTGTGATTTTTTAATGATTTGGGTTTTGGGTGATTATTGATTAGATATTCTTTTAACTTTGGTCGACTCATTTTCTAGGCAATGTTAGGGTATACAGGTAAAAATGTCAGGTAGAAAATGAAAATAGGGGGTTGCAGATATGGAGTTAAGAATACTTCAAATAATAGGCTAGTTTAAAGCCGTGGAAATAGAAACGTTAAATAAAAAGTTGGGGAAAAAAGTTTAAAGGCATAATTCTGGTAAATACTCACTTTTTGGAGCAGAAGAAAGATGAAGAACTAACAAGCCAATGATGGCAATACTGCTAGAGTTTGGCATGTCAGAGAAATCATAAAGGAAAATGTTTTAAGTGAGAGGCTGAATTTAACAAGCTATAGAGATATAGAGAAATAGTGTAAAGAATATGCACATACATTTTTATTACTTTAGTAAATAAAACGGTTCAGGCAATTTGACATTTATTGAATAAAGAAAAGCAAAAATTTAACAATAAGAACACAAGAAGATAAAATGTAGAAAAGTTAGAATTATATGCTCACCTCAGAGTAATATATACCAGTGTTTCTGGTGACCAAATAAATATTAATGCATTTCTTCCACACGAAACTATGGAGGACAGTTTACATTTCTGATATCCATGACATACAGGTCATACTTAAATTTATTATTAATTGATACGATATTTGAAATATTGGGAAGAAATTCCTTTCCTTATGAAGAAGAAATCCCTAGCTGAAACTAATGTAAGGAGCCAGACAGTATGAATGCCTCTGCAATTGATAAAGTTAAGGATTTACTATTAAATTATGATAAAGAAATAGAAAGTGCATAGAAGAACCCAGATATTGCGGAAGTAATTCATGTAATCATTACCTTTTGAAGCCACATGATGTCGCTGTCTACCAAGAAGTTCTGGTTGGTCAATGTTCAAAGTCTTTTCTCTGACAGCATCTGTCTCTAAAGGCCGAACAACGGGAGATGCAGCGGAATTGGATTAAAAGACTCTGAAAGTACAGTCGTTCATCTTTATATTAAGATAATATTTTCTGATAGGAAACGACTATTTAACATGGATTATCACTGGCGAGGAGAGCTGGGATCCTGGCGACTACTACTCTTGCTTCTGCTCCTCGCAGCCTGGAAGGTGGGGAGCGGCCAGCTCCACTACTCCGTCCCCGAGGAGGCCAAACACGGCACCTTCGTGGGCCGGATCGCGCAGGACCTGGGGCTGGAGCTGGCGGAGCTGGTGCCGCGCCTGTTCCGGGTGGCGTCCAAAAGACACCGGGACCTTCTGGAGGTAAGTCTGCAGAATGGCATTTTGTTTGTGAATTCTCGGATCGACCGCGAGGAGCTGTGCGGGCGGAGCGCGGAGTGCAGCATCCACCTGGAGGTGATCGTGGACAGGCCGCTGCAGGTTTTCCATGTGGACGTGGAGGTGAAGGATGTTAATGACAACCCGCCAGTGTTCCGGGTAAAAGACCAAAAGCTGTTTGTTTCAGAATCCAGAATGCCAGACTCTCGGTTTCCGCTAGAGGGCGCGTCCGATGCAGATGTTGGAGCTAACTCCGTGTTAACCTACAGGCTTAGCTCTCATGATTACTTCATGCTAGATGTGAATTCAAAGAACGATGAGAATAAACTGGTTGAGCTCGTATTAAGAAAATCCTTGGACAGAGAGGACGCTCCTGCGCACCACTTATTCCTGACAGCCACAGATGGGGGCAAACCTGAGCTCACAGGCACTGTTCAGCTGCTGGTCACAGTGCTGGATGTGAATGATAATGCTCCCACTTTCGAACAGTCTGAATACGAAGTAAGAATATTCGAAAACGCAGACAACGGAACAACAGTTATCAAACTGAATGCTTCTGATCCGGATGAAGGAGCCAATGGGGCAATTTCATATTCTTTTAATAGCCTTGTTGAAACTATGGTTATTGACCACTTTAGCATAGATCGAAATACGGGAGAAATAGTGATTCGGGGTAATTTGGATTTTGAACAAGAAAACTTATACAAAATCCTCATTGACGCCACGGACAAAGGCCATCCTCCCATGGCGGGTCATTGCACCGTTTTAGTGAGAATTTTGGATAAAAATGATAACGTCCCTGAGATAGCACTGACTTCCTTATCCTTGCCTGTACGTGAAGACGCTCAATTTGGTACTGTCATCGCCCTAATTAGCGTGAACGACCTCGATTCAGGTGCCAACGGGCAGGTGACCTGCTCCCTGATGCCCCATGTCCCCTTCAAGCTGGTGTCCACCTTCAAGAATTACTACTCGTTGGTGCTGGACAGCGCCCTGGACCGCGAGAGAGTGTCGGCCTATGAGTTGGTGGTAACCGCGCGGGACGGGGGCTCGCCTTCGCTGTGGGCCACCGCCAGCTTGTCTGTGGAGGTGGCCGACGTGAACGACAATGCTCCGGCGTTCGCGCAGCCCGAGTACACGGTGTTCGTGAAGGAGAACAACCCGCCGGGCTGCCACATCTTCACGGTGTCTGCGCGAGACGCGGACGCGCAGGAGAACGCGCTGGTGTCCTACTCGCTTGTGGAGCGGCGGGTGGGCGAGCGCTCGCTGTCGAGCTACATTTCGGTGCACACGGAGAGCGGCAAGGTGTACGCGCTGCAGCCGCTGGACCACGAGGAGCTAGAGCTGCTGCAGTTCCAGGTGAGCGCGCGCGACGCGGGCGTGCCGCCTCTGGGCAGCAACGTGACGCTGCAGGTGTTCGTGCTGGACGAGAATGACAACGCGCCGGCACTGCTGGAGCCTCGGGTGGGTGGCACTGGTGGCGCAGCGAGCAAGCTGGTGCCGCGGTCTGTGGGCGCGGGCCACGTGGTAGCGAAGGTGCGCGCAGTGGACGCCGACTCGGGCTACAACGCGTGGCTTTCGTATGAGCTGCAGCCAGCTGCAAGCAGCCCTCGCATCCCGTTCCGCGTGGGGCTGTACACGGGCGAGATCAGCACCACTCGTGTCCTGGACGAAGCGGACTCTCCGCGCCACCGTCTGCTGGTCCTGGTGAAGGATCATGGTGAACCTGCGCTGACCGCCACGGCCACGGTTCTGGTGTCGCTGGTGGAGAGCGGCCAGGCTCCAAAAGCGTCATCGAGGCAGTCGGCTGGCGTTTTGGGTCCGGAAGCGGCGCTGGTGGATGTCAACGTGTACCTGATCATCGCCATCTGCGCGGTATCCAGCCTGCTGGTGCTCACGCTGCTGCTGTACACTGCGCTGCGGTGCTCAGCACTGCCCACTGAGGGCGGGTGCCGGGCGGGCAAGCCCACTCTGGTGTGCTCCAGTGCGGTGGGGAGCTGGTCATACTCGCAACAACAGCCGCAGAGGGTGTGCTCTGGTGAGGGGCCACCGAAGACGGACCTCATGGCCTTCAGCCCCTGCCTTCCTCCTGATCTGGGATCAGTTGATGTAGGCGAAGAGCAAGATTTAAATGTTGATCATGGCCTCAAAGTAAGTCCATTTAAATTTAGAACTCATAAATTCTATTTGTGGAAATTGTAGTTACTTTAAAAGTGTTTCAGATTTAGTTTTTCACCGTATTTTATAGTGAAAATTTAAACATTGTTTAGTTTTTAGAAACCTTTTATAATTAATTGAATTTTCTCAGTGGCATAATACAGTATTAATCATTCTCCACAAGTTGGGTCTATCTTGAAACTCAAGTTATGGTTGGATGATATCCATTTTTTACTGAATATTTATTTTGGCCTGCCTTACAGCCGTCTTCTCTGAACAATACTCTAAGGACGTTCAGGGCATTTTGATCTTTGGTGAAAGTATTCCCCCAAAGCGTTTATTCTTTTGTCCTTAGGCACTGAACTCTTAATCTTACTCCATATGCTGTACTTTGAAATGCATGTTTTAAATATGTTGTCTTTATATTTACTTTTATTCACTTTAAGATCTCGGTTTATTCATCTTATCTGACTTTTTAGTGTCTGGTAGTCACAAATATCTTTGGTGTTTCACTATTGCCGTTTTAAGCAGTGTAGTGATAAAATACAGAATGATAGTGTTTTTCAAAATTTGATAGTTTTCATATTCTTCCTAATTTTATTATAAACTAGTTAAAAAGTAAAATCAAGAGGGAAGAGATTTGTAATCCTTCTTTTAATTCATTATTTAGACCATTTTACCATTTGGAGACATGTTTTTTATTCTACATGATTTTTACAGTTGTATTGTCGCCAACTTAACATTTTTTGAGCCTCTATGTTTAGGAAATGATTACTTTATTCTTGCAAGTATCTTCTAAACTCTAATCATTCAACCCTTTGTTCATGAGTTGGAATATTTTCAATAATATTCCACATTAAAGTGATATTTAATATATGACTTAGAAAAATGTTTTCATCAGAAAAACTATACATGATAATTTCATTCTTGCAAACCAAACATATAATTTATAAATCCTTATTATACAGAATATTTGGGATTATCATGGCCCATTAGTTCGTGTAAAAATATTTAGTATTATGGGATAAATCTTTGAAAAATCCAAGATACTTTATTTTGGTATCTTTCAACATTTTCTTTCTTTTATTTCTTCTTGTCTTTTTACACGTTTGCTTCTTGTGACTGTTGGACCTGCCTGGATATTAAATACCCATTAGACTTCGTGCATATTGCTTTGGAGAGAATGGTAGAAATTGATGGAAGGGAATGAACGATTTCTGGGACTCTGAATTCTTACAGTTTGTTATTAGTATTGTTTTAAATCTTTTAATCACTTATGAACAAATAATGTAATCATTTATGGGCATATTTTAGCCCCCTTGTCCAACTGAAGGTAACCTCAAAGCAGCATTGTTTTGTAGTTTATTTTACAGTTCTCTTAATGCCTGTCCATGTTTAGCATTTTATTTGACTATTTGAACACATTGTGTAAAAGCGAATTGTTTTCATTTTAGTCCTTTAAAAAATATGATTGTTTTCATTTAAGTCCTTTTAAAAAATATGATTATCTTTATTATCCTGTTTGAATAATATGTGTTTTCCTTTGTGAAAGTAATATTTCCTATCCTGTCTATGTCTACCTGGTTCTCAGGTATTACTTTAATTACTGAATTCTCCTAAACATTTAATTGACTTTTACAAAATATCATAAATAGGAGGATTCTTTCCACCACCTAGCATTGTATTTGGCAATTTATCATTTAAGTCATTTTAGTTCTGTTTTTCTTCAACTCTCTGATATTTGAATTTGGGGTTGTGCTTTCACAGTGAGAAAGTCTAAACCTATTTCTTGTACATTAATACTTTTCACTATTCTAATTATGGTGATGCTTTTAGCTATTAAGAATTTCTGGGATTGAAATGTGTCAGAAGTTAGTTATTAAGTATTGTGGATTCTGAAGCTCTCTAAATCAAGTCCTCCCTTTACCAATTTTTGTATGTGTAGCCATTGGTAAAGGATTTGTTATTCAGTTCCTTGGCATTATATGTATGCATGATAAATGTGAATTCTACTTTATAGATTTATTTGTATCAAGTAAGTTAATAGTTATAAATTATTAATAATAAACTCTGGCAAGTGATAGGTACATAATAAAATTTAGTTATTACCATTCTTAAGAGAAAAGAAGTTAGTGATTGCAGAAAGGCAACCTAAAATGTCAGAAAGTCGTTATGGCCTTCCATATTAATCTTATTTTTGTGTAAAACTATCTTCTGTAAAGTCATTTTTTAGATTAACCTAGGATGTTTCAATATTTTGAATGTTGTGTGGTGGAATGAAAAAAATCTAAAAGTTATTACGAGTTTAGGAAAGTCAAGTTAACACCACCTATGTGGGAAAACAGTTTTTTGGAAAGGTTAAAGTCCTTCCAAGGAATGTGTAGACTATCTTACTTTGATAGTTGTATGTTTCCCATATTTAAAAGTTGCCTGAGATCCTGCAGAGGCCTGAGTAGGCGTTTGAGTTCTTTGTATGTATGAGATCTTTCCATTAATAGTATTTTTCTTAAAAAGAAGTATACAATAATGTTTTGATGATGATTTAAAGTCAATTTATGTTGTAGTTCTATGAATTAAGTAAACCATTTATGTAGAGTGTTGTAAATAGCCTTTTAAAGTGCTTTCTCTTTTTTCTTTTCTTTTCTTTCTTTCTTTTTTTTTTTTTTTTTTTGAGACGGAGTCTCGCTCTATCTCCCAGGCTGGAATGCAGTGGCGCAATCTCGGCTCACTGCAACCTCTGCCTCCCGGGTTCAAATGATTCTCCTTCCTCAGCCTCCCAAGTAGCTGGGATTACAGGTGCATGCCACCATGCCCTGCTAATTTTTTGTATTTTTAGTAGAGTCGGGGTTTCACCATGTTAGCCAGGATGGTCTCGATCTCCTGACCTCCTGATCCGCCCACTTCGGCCTCCTAAAGTGCTGGGATTACAGGCATGAGCCACCGCGCCCAGCCTAAAATGCTTTCTTAGCAAGTAGAGAAGATTGTAATAACCAGTCTTCATTAAACATTAAATAGGACCCTTACAGATCTCTAACAGCATATCATCATGTCAGGAATTATTACTGAGCCCCAGCCCCTGGCTTTAAAATTTGAGGTCAAATAAAGAATATGAGTCACACAATGCAAGGCAAGATAATGTAACAGGTACAAGAGGTAAATCAGAATGACGTTGAAGTTGAAAGACAATCATTTCCTATTTGAATTTTTGAAGAAATACTTGAAGGGGCATGGTGTGTTTCAGTGGTTTTAAAATAAGTAAGTTCCCCCCGGGAGAATATTGAGAATGATAGACATTTCTTGGAAAGAGAAAACATAAGGAAAGTTGAAGACACAGAAAGCATCAATATGACAAGTAGAAAAGTCCACTTTGGTTAAAACACACAGTCTGCAGAGAATGAAAGCAGGAAAACCAATGTAAGAAGATCTCTTGATTTCTGAGTAATAAACTAAAGGGCCATGAGTGATTAAGGAATTTGGCCACTCTTTAGAATTAATTGGGAGCTATTTAACTACCTTGAGCAAAATAAATCACGACTTTTGAAAGAAGGTTGAACGGGAAGACAAACTCAGAAGCTCCTGCAGTAATCAAGGACAGAAGCAATTGTTAAATGCACCTCTTAGGCTGTTATCAGTAGAAATACGAAATAAAAGATAAATATGCAAAAACATTAATGGCACAATAAACACTCACGGTTTTGCCTTTAGACTTGAGATACACTAAAATCTAGATTTAATTAATCGACTTGGACGTTGGAATAAGATAGTAAAACTCACAACAAAACTTTGTAGAACTTAGTCAGGAAAAGAATCTCAAGCATAGCTTTAAAAACAGAAATTGCCCCGAGTACTAAGGATGAGCAATAATGAAATTAAAACATATTGTAATAACATTACACAAACTATATTGGAGACTACAAAGAAGAGATTATTCATAGATTATAAAGCTTGGAAAGAATCAAAACAACACATTTCTGGAAACAGATTGTATAAATGCTACAAAAGAGAAAAATATATTTTCTCCCCACGCAACACAAGACCTTAAAGTCAATTCTCGCTTTTCTTGCAATATTTTATACCTTTTCAATTCATAGAATTACTCAAGAAAACTACCTCAGTTGGTTGCTACTTTTTGTTGATTCCTTTTACCAGACATGACTAAGTTTCTTTTTCATCAGTAGATTTCTGGGCTCCTATATTCACTAGAGATTGCAACTCCTGGATTTCTCTTACACTAGAATCCTATTTCGAGCCATATGGGAGATTCTGAATTCCAGAACAAAAGAATTTTGTAATTTAAAATTCGTGATTGCTCAATGGAATCATTTTAATTGTTACTTCATTTCTGTCGTTATTTAAAACTTAAGTGGAGAGTTTTCTCAGGGATAAGAAAACCACAATCAAGGTCATACAAAACTTTTAGAGGCAGTCAGTCTGCTAAGAAGGCTCCAGCAAGAGAAACGGGATCTTCTGTTTCAACAATCATTACTTAAGAAAAAATTAAGAAAATGAAATAAGTTTTGCAGAATAACTGTGAAATTTTTATTCATGAAATATGTACTTACACTTTGGGCCACGTGATGTCACTCTTTGCCGCGATGTTCTCTCTGAATCCAGACAAATACAGCCCTTTTCCCATGGGAAAGAGGCTCAATTCTTTTTCACTCTCTCTGTGCTGAACGATGGCGAACACAGCAGAATGGGACTGACGAAATCAGATGATTTCTTCTAATTTGGAGGCAATTTTCACTAATTAGAAGAAGACTGAGTATTTGAAATGTTATACTCAAGTCGAGGAGATCCAGAGGGTCAGCCTCTACTGCTCTCGCTTCTGATCCTCGCAATGTGGGTGGTGGGGAGCGGCCAGCTCCACTACTCCGTCCCGGAGGAAGCCGAACACGGCACCTTCGTGGGCCGCATCGCGCAGGACCTGGGGCTGGAGCTGGCGGAGCTGGTGCCGCGCCTGTTCCAGTTGGATTCCAAAGGCCGCGGGGACCTTCTGGAGGTAAATCTGCAGAATGGCATTTTGTTTGTGAATTCTCGGATCGACCGCGAGGAGCTGTGCGGGCGGAGCGCGGAGTGCAGCATCCACCTGGAGGTGATCGTAGACAGGCCGCTGCAGGTTTTCCATGTGGACGTGGAGGTGAAGGACATTAACGACAACCCTCCAGTGTTCCCAGCGACACAAAAGAATCTGTTCATCGCGGAATCCAGGCCGCTTGACTCTCGGTTTCCACTAGAGGGCGCGTCCGATGCAGATATCGGGGAGAACGCCCTGCTCACTTACAGACTGAGCCCCAATGAGTATTTCTTCCTGGACGTGCCAACCAGCAACCAGCAGGTAAAACCTCTTGGACTTGTATTACGGAAACTTTTAGACAGAGAAGAAACTCCGGAGCTTCATTTATTGCTCACGGCCACCGATGGAGGCAAACCCGAGCTGACTGGCACCGTTCAATTACTCATCACGGTACTGGACAACAATGACAATGCCCCAGTGTTCGACAGAACCCTGTATACGGTGAAATTACCAGAAAACGTTTCTATCGGAACGCTGGTGATTCACCCCAATGCCTCAGATTTAGACGAAGGCTTGAATGGGGATATTATTTACTCCTTCTCCAGTGATGTTTCTCCAGATATAAAATCCAAGTTCCACATGGACCCCTTAAGTGGGGCAATCACAGTGATAGGACATATGGATTTTGAAGAAAGTAGAGCACACAAGATCCCAGTCGAGGCTGTCGATAAAGGCTTCCCACCCCTGGCTGGTCATTGTACACTTCTTGTGGAAGTTGTGGATGTAAATGACAATGCTCCACAGTTGACTATCAAAACGCTCTCGGTTCCTGTAAAAGAGGACGCACAACTGGGGACAGTTATTGCCCTGATTAGTGTGATCGACCTAGACGCAGATGCCAACGGGCAGGTTACCTGCTCCCTGACGCCCCACGTCCCCTTCAAGCTGGTGTCCACCTACAAGAATTACTACTCGTTGGTGCTGGACAGAGCTCTGGACCGCGAGAGTGTGTCCGCCTACGAGCTGGTGGTTACCGCGCGGGACGGGGGCTCGCCTTCACTGTGGGCCACGGCCAGGGTGTCTGTGGAGGTGGCCGACGTGAACGACAACGCACCAGCGTTCGCGCAGTCCGAGTACACGGTGTTCGTGAAGGAGAACAACCCGCCGGGCTGCCACATCTTCACGGTGTCTGCGCGGGACGCTGACGCGCAGGAGAACGCCCTGGTGTCCTACTCGCTGGTGGAGCGGCGGTTGGGCGAGCGCTCGCTGTCGAGCTACGTGTCAGTGCACGCGGAGAGCGGCAAGGTGTACGCGCTGCAGCCGTTGGACCACGAGGAGCTGGAGCTGCTACAGTTCCAGGTGAGCGCGCGCGACGCGGGCGTGCCGCCTCTGGGCAGCAACGTGACGCTGCAGGTGTTCGTGCTGGACGAGAACGACAATGCGCCGGCGCTGCTGACACCTCGGATGAGGGGCACTGACGGCGCAGTGAGCGAGATGGTGCTGCGGTCGGTGGGCGCCGGCGTAGTGGTGGGGAAGGTGCGCGCAGTGGACGCCGACTCGGGCTACAACGCGTGGCTTTCATACGAGCTGCAGCCAGAAACGGCCAGCGCGAGCATCCCGTTCCGCGTGGGGCTGTACACGGGCGAGATCAGCACAACGCGTGCCCTGGACGAAACGGACGCACCGCGCCAGCGCCTACTGGTGCTGGTGAAAGACCACGGGGAGCCAGCGCTGACGGCCACGGCCACTGTGCTGGTGTCGCTGGTGGAGAGCGGCCAGGCGCCAAAGTCATCGTCGCGGGCGTCAGTGGGTGCCACGGGCCCCGAGGTGACGCTGGTGGATGTCAACGTGTACCTGATCATCGCCATCTGCGCGGTGTCTAGCCTGTTGGTTCTCACGCTGCTGCTGTACACTGTGCTGCGGTGCTCGGCGATGCCCACCGAGGGCGAGTGCGCGCCTGGCAAGCCGACGCTGGTGTGTTCTAGCGCGGTGGGGAGTTGGTCGTACTCGCAGCAGAGGAGGCAGAGGGTGTGCTCTGGCGAGGGTAAGCAGAAGACCGACCTCATGGCCTTCAGCCCGGGCCTTTCTCCTTGTGCTGGATCTACAGAGCGAACGGGAGAACCCTCTGCTTCCTCAGATTCAACTGGGAAGGTGGGTTTTTCTAGCATTTTATTTATTTATATAATTTTTTTTCTTGAAAGATATTATCGATTACTCCCAGGGGCCGTTCAAATAGTTTTATTCATTTTTCTAGAAATCCAGCAGATTTTTTTTCTGATAAAGTAAACCCCTTAACATTGGAGCCGACTTTGTCTTGACTTCTAGTGAGAATTATAAACTGTATATTAAATAGATATTTTTTGGGTGCTGAATCAATTTTATTTAAATTTGTGATTAAAGTGACATTGAATTTCTGATGCTATGCTGCCATAACACTTGAAAACCAATTTAGTTGTTAGTCATTCATTAAACATTAACATCACTATCATTTATTTATTGCTAAATGATGCATAGTATTTTAGTCTACTTGTATTGTTTATAAGAAACCCAAGCAAAAATATATAGCAATTGTTACCTTGTTAAGTTTGTAGTTCTCTACATTTCTCTGGATGGAGACTGTGAACATCTGATTGTTCAGCAACCTTCAGTATCTATTATTTTAATAAGAAAGAAACTTCCCCTAAACTTTAGAAAACAGTTGCTCCACTTTAGGAATCAAATTATGTCAATAAATGTTATAAACACAGCCTTCATTTCAACTTATATAAAATATGTTTTAAAATGCCTGACAATGTAGATAATTCAAGAAATGTTGACTGAAATTTTGTCTACACTTAGAACATTTTTTGAAATTCAGTTTACAGAAATTGGAGAAAATGCTTTTTAAACAAGTGTTTCCTTTCTTCAAGAAGACATTCTCCTTTTAATTGAAATTTTCTCCATTCAGTGATAAAATGATCAGCCATGTGAAGATTCGAAACTTCGAGTTCTTTTGAAATTCAGAGTCTGTAACTTAAAACATTACCCTTATGAATTTAGATGAGAATTCACTTGTTCTGTCAGTAATCCATAAGACAGAAATCTGTTTTTTTAAAAATATCTTTTTCTCCTCTCAGCTCATACATAACACAAGGCAGAAATCTGGATATGAGATTTGCCTCTTTAATGTCACTACATGTTATGTTTCCTGAATTGTAGTATGTGACTTTCAAAATGGTGGTTTTCCACACTCTACCTTTAGTGCAAGCTATTTGTTTGTTTTCTAATTTATAGTTTTAAAAACTTCGCTTATTGAGTTTTTGTTATGTGGTTTATATTTTTCTTTCTCTTTCAGCTATTTTATTTAATATTGTGTCAGATATTTTACAAGGTATGACCTAATTAAAAACTCAGTAGAGAAAGATCAGAATGGCCTTGAGAATAGAGCCACAAAAATAACTATGAAAATGCCAGTAACGTTTATTTAAAACAAAATATTTTAATTTTTAAATTTTCCCTTAAAACACACTTTTGGAATATGCTACAATATTACATGTTTTTTGTCTTTTTATTTTTCTGAGACGGAGTCGTTTTCTGCCACCCAGGCTGGAGTACAGTGGCATGATCTTGGCTCACTGCAACGTCTGCCTCCTGGGTTCAAGCAATTCTCCTGCCTCAGCCTCCTGAGTAGCTGGGATTATAGGCACATGCCACCGCGCCCAGCTAATTTTTGTATTTTTAGTAGAGATGGGGTTTCATCATGTTGGCCAGGTTGGTCTCGAACTCCTGACCTTGTGATGCTCCCACCTCGGCCTCCCAAAGTGCTGGGATTAAAGCTGTGAGCCACTGTGCCAAGGCTTTTTTATTTTTTTTTTTTGTCATTTTCTTTCAAAACTTGAGTGGTCTCTGAGCTCCTGTCATTAAACCTATCTATATCTGTCTATCAGCACAACTCACCTTGAATATAGTCTTATACTTTCAAGTATCTTTGTCTTTGCACGTTTTTCAAGTTTCATGTGCCATTTAAACTTGGACCCAGGTATCTGATTATTTGATGTGAATAGAGGGATGCTACAGATGTCATTTGTCTCCCGCCCTAAGTCCTCCAGTCTCCTTAGAGCTAGTACTTACTAAGCATTTACTATGTCATCAATAATCATAAAACGTATTTTTTTTTTTGAGTCAGAGTCTCGCTCTGTTGCCCAGGCTGGAGTGCAGTGGTGCCATCTTGGCTCACTCCAAGCTCCCCCTCCCGTGTTCACGCCATTCTCCTGCCTCAGCCTCCCGAGTAGCTGGGACTACAGGCGCCTGCCACCATGCCCGCCTAATTTTTTTGTATTTTTAGTAGAGATGGGGTTTCACCGTGTTAGTCAGGATGGTCTCGATCTCCTGACCTCATGATCCTCCCGCCTCAGCCTCCCAAAATGCTGGGATTACAGGCGTGAGCCACCGCGCCTGGCCTAAAATGTGTTCTTTATTATTGACGGCTGTATTGATGGGATTGGTAATTTAGTCCTTCATATTAATCTCTATTCTCTCTCAGAGTACAAGCTCTCATCATATGCAAATTCTCAGAAGGGCTGTGAACACCTTAGTAATAAATTTATCTTTTGAGGTCATTAGCAAACATGAACTCACAGGGATCCAGAGATGGTAAAATTCAAAACAGCCTGTCAAGTTCAAAACAGAGAGGTGAAAGCAGAAGAGACACTTTCCTATTTTGCCTAATAGGTCTCCTTATATGCATCTGTAGTTAACATTCCTCAATTCAAGTTAGAATCATGAAACAATAATGAAGCTCCTCCTATGTCTCTTTTCAAGTTGTAATTACTATATAGGAAAAACTAAGTTGTCACCCAATATCTTAGACACTTTGAGAGCAAAGGGGGTGCTGTAAATAAGTATACAAGATCACAGACCTAAATTGAGCCTGTTCCAGACAAATTGGGGCCTATGGTCAACCTATCCTTAGACCTGCTAACGCATTAGCATTAGCAGCACCTAAGTCCTCATTGAATGTTCTGGTTCAAGGCTCCACCTCAGAAATTCTGAAATGGGTAGTAAGAGCAAATTTTCATTTTAAAGCACACCTGAGATGATTCTCATACAACCGAAATTTTAGATCCATAGCCCTATTTGATACTTGACAGTGCAAGTTTCTGTAATTTAAAAAGATGTGGTGGCCTGACACCTGCAATCCCAACATTTTGGGAGGCCAAGGTGGGAGGGTCCCTTCCTTGAGCCCAGCAGTTTGAGACCAATGTAGTGAGACTCATCTCTGCCAAAAAAAAAAAATTAGCCGGGCATGGTGGCACACATCTCTAGTCCCAATTACTCAGGAGGCTGAGGCGAGAGAATCGCTTGAGCCTGGGACATTGAGGCTGCAGTGAACTGTGATGGCACAACTGCATTTCAGCCCGGGTGACAGCAAGATTCTGTCTCAAAAAAAAAAAAAAAAAGAGTAGTTTAACTACTCCCTACTTTTTATTCAATATTGGACATCTACATTGGGATATTTATGTTATCACTTGGTATAAAATGTACATTAGTAGAAATTGAGTTTAGTTTTTATTATTTTGTGCGTGGAGATGATTGATCAATGGCAAACTTATTTTACGCTCCAGATAGCTAAAACAAACGTTGATATTTTGATACATAACTCATTACATTTTAATTCAGGGTTTATAAAAAAGTAATCTCTAAAATCAGAATTTGAATGAATTTTGATGCAAGAGGCATTCCAGAGGAGTAGAGAAGTATAGAAACAGAATTTAGTAGGACACATAAACTGATGGATTAAGTGACACCCATTTCTGTCAGTTTTCTTATTCATAAATATTGTTGCTCTGTCATTCAGATTTTAATAAAAAAAGTTTAAAGTAATTGACACATTTAAAAATATTCTTTAGAAAAGTCAAAACATCATTAAATAAAATAAATTAACCCTTGCATAAGACCAATATGTCTGTTGTTAAGTTTTCCTTTCTTGGAAAGACAGAAAACTCAAGTTTTTTTCAGCAGCACAGATATATTACATTTTCATTCCTGAATATTTGATTTCAAGAACTTTGAGAGAGAAAAAAATATTTTTACTGCAAGTGGTGATGAAAAACTTCACTGACATTGATAAAATTACTAGATATATTTCAGAACTGTGTCTTTTGGGCATTTGAAAAGCGTAAATATAACAGGGTTGAAAGCATTTGCCTCTGAAAGCAGAAATAATAAATTTCTTAATTACTTTATTCAGAATTATAATTAAGATTCTTTTTGCCCGTGTAAGATATTATAAAATGAAACTTCTTGTATAAAGGATTTTTCTGTAATAGTACTTTTCTGTTTTCTTAAATACAGAAACCACCACTCTCAGCCTGTGCAGTAGCAATAATTAAGGCATTCTATAGGTAATAATTTTGCCTGATGAGCCAAATTTGGTATTGAGCCTCATGAAAACAAATGTGGCCAAATTGAGGCCTGAGAATAGTTTCCATTTATGAAGCACTCATTCTCCTTAAGGTACTATTGCAAGCACTTACTATATTATAATTCACTCAACCACCGTATTACTATTAGGCCAAAGTTATAAAATTGGAACATGAGGGAGGGAGAGGTTAAACGATTTTCCCAAGTCATGTGGCTAGTGAGTAGGATAATAGGAATCTAAATGGAGAAATGTCTGATGTTGAAGCTAATGATCTCTAAATTCTAGTGATGACTAGATCTTCGGAGTTATAAACACCTCACAGATAGTTGATGCTTGACATTAGTGTCTAAATAAACCTTATTAAATCTCAAAATAATGAGAAAGAGAAGTAAGTTAAGTGTCAGAACTTAAATGGAACTAAAGTTGTCATTTAATAAAATATTAGTATACTCAGTAGTATGCAAATATTAAGGGCATTTTGAAATTCGGCTATTGATAATCATGTGGTTAGGGAAGAAATCACTACTCTGAGAGTCTACATTTAAGAAAACATTGCACGTGGGATCAACATTTATTGTTATTAACTATAAAGAGACGTAATGTGAGGCTTTGAAAGTCCATAGACATAAAAATACGTAAAAAAAGAATTAACATATGAATGAAAGAAAAGTTGTGAACTCATGGAATCGTACTTACACCTAAAGCCACCGGATGTCGCTGTCGTCCACAAAATAGCTTTTTAGAACAAAGGCATCAGCCAGTTTCTCAAGGACTAGGAAGTAGCGTCATTCTGAGATCTCAGCCATTTCGATAAAAAATAGATATAAGAAATAGGACAGAAAATGTCAGATCGTATGTGCGTTCTAGACCGCTGATTCGTCGATTTGTAAAACAAGAGAAGGATAAGATGGTTTCCAGATGTAGCTGCCTGGGGGTCCAGTGTCTGCTGCTCTCGCTTCTTCTCCTCGCAGCCTGGGAGGTGGGGAGCGGCCAGCTCCACTACTCAGTCTACGAGGAGGCCAGACACGGCACCTTCGTGGGCCGCATCGCGCAGGACCTGGGGCTGGAGCTGGCGGAGCTGGTGCAGCGCCTGTTCCGGGTGGCGTCCAAAAGACACGGGGACCTTCTGGAGGTAAATCTGCAGAATGGCATTTTGTTTGTGAATTCTCGGATTGACCGCGAGGAGCTGTGCGGGCGGAGCGTGGAGTGCAGCATCCACCTGGAGGTGATCGTGGACAGGCCGCTGCAGGTTTTCCATGTGGACGTGGAAGTGAAGGACATTAACGACAACCCGCCCAGGTTCTCCGTAACAGAACAAAAGCTCTCAATACCTGAATCCAGACTGCTTGACTCTCGATTTCCACTAGAAGGCGCATCTGATGCGGATGTTGGAGAGAACGCATTGCTTACTTACAAACTCAGTCCAAATGAGTATTTTGTTCTTGATATTATAAACAAAAAAGACAAAGACAAATTCCCAGTGCTTGTTCTGCGGAAGCTGCTGGATCGTGAAGAAAATCCTCAGCTAAAGTTGTTGTTGACAGCAACTGATGGAGGCAAACCTGAATTTACCGGATCTGTTTCTCTGCTGATCCTGGTGTTAGATGCCAATGATAACGCCCCTATCTTTGACAGACCGGTTTATGAAGTTAAGATGTATGAAAATCAAGTGAACCAAACATTAGTAATACGGCTCAACGCTTCTGATTCGGATGAAGGAATAAACAAGGAAATGATGTATTCATTTAGCTCTTTGGTCCCACCCACGATAAGAAGGAAATTTTGGATAAACGAAAGGACGGGAGAAATAAAAGTAAATGATGCTATTGACTTTGAGGACAGTAACACTTATGAAATTCATGTAGATGTTACAGATAAGGGAAACCCACCTATGGTTGGTCACTGCACGGTCCTAGTGGAACTACTGGATGAAAATGATAATTCACCTGAGGTGATTGTCACTTCTCTGTCTCTCCCAGTGAAAGAAGATGCTCAAGTGGGCACCGTCATTGCCCTAATCAGCGTTTCTGACCATGATTCAGGAGCCAACGGACAGGTCACCTGCTCTCTGACGCCTCACGTTCCGTTCAAGCTGGTGTCCACCTACAAGAATTACTACTCATTGGTGCTGGACAGCGCTCTGGACCGCGAGAGGGTGTCGGCCTATGAGCTGGTGGTGACCGCGCGGGACGGGGGCTCGCCTCCGCTGTGGGCCACGGCCAGCGTGTCTGTGGAGGTGGCCGACGTGAACGACAACGCGCCTGCGTTCGCGCAGTCCGAGTACACGGTGTTCGTGAAGGAGAACAACCCGCCAGGCTGCCACATCTTCACGGTGTCTGCGTGGGACGCGGACGCGCAGGAGAACGCCCTGGTGTCCTACTCTCTGGTGGAGCGGCGGTTGGGCGAGCGCTCGCTGTCGAGCTACGTGTCGGTGCACGCGGAGAGCGGCAAGGTGTACGCGCTGCAGCCGCTGGACCACGAGGAGCTGGAGCTGCTACAGTTCCAGGTGAGCGCGCGCGATGGGGGCGTGCCGCCTCTGGGCAGCAACTTGACGCTGCAGGTGTTCGTGCTGGACGAGAACGACAACGCTCCCGCGCTGCTGGCGTCTCCCGCTGGCAGCGCGGGCGGTGCAGTCAGTGAGCTGGTGCTGCGGTCGGTGGTTGCGGGTCACGTGGTGGCTAAGGTGCGCGCAGTGGACGCTGACTCTGGATACAACGCGTGGCTGTCGTATGAATTGCAGTCGGCGGCGGTTGGTGCACGCATCCCGTTTCGCGTGGGGCTGTACACGGGCGAGATCAGTACGACGCGCGCTCTGGATGAGACTGACTCGCCACGCCAGCGCCTACTGGTGCTGGTGAAGGACCATGGCGAGCCGTCGCTGACGGCCACGGCCACTGTGCTTGTGTCGCTTGTGGAGGGCAGCCAGGCACCCAAGGCCTCGTCGCGGGCTTCAGTGGGCGTGGCGCCCGAGGTGGCCCTGGTGGATGTCAACGTGTACCTGATCATCGCCATCTGCGCGGTGTCCAGCTTGCTGGTGCTCACGCTGCTGCTGTACACTGCACTGAGGTGCTCGGCGGCGCCCACCGAGGGCGCATGTGGGCCGGTGAAGCCCACGCTGGTGTGCTCTAGCGCGGTGGGGAGCTGGTCTTACTCGCAGCAGAGGCGGCAGAGGGTGTGTTCTGGGGAGGGCCTGCCCAAGGCGGACCTCATGGCCTTCAGCCCCAGCCTTCCACCATGCCCAATGGTAGATGTGGACGGGGAAGATCAGTCTATTGGAGGGGACCACTCTAGGAAGGTGGGTTATTACGTTTTCATTTTCCTTTTGTGCTTTATGAATAATATTTTCTCTTACCGCATTTTCTCAAATATGTATCAGAATATTTCATTTTTGTCTACATTCCATTTATGCTTGAATATTTCTAGTGATACCTTTGTAATATAATTTATTCCAGGAGTTTTAAAATTTTTTTATCCTACCCAGTGTGTCAGCCTTTGATTGGTACTTAAATTTTTTTAAATAACAATTTATTCTGAATACACTAATATTTTCCAATACAAATATGTGATATAGGTTGCAGTTCTGACGATTTACTTTCATAATCACTTTTCGTTACAAATATTTGTGAGATTAGTACTTCATGTTATTTCATTTCCAATCTAAATTTTGATTTGATTGTATTTGCATTACCAAAAAATTCCACTGATCTATATCTCTTCAGTGAAAATGTGTTTTCCTCCATGTGTAGAATATGTGTAGCGTACCACAGCTTATACTGCCATAGTAGATTTCAATGTTCAGTGATTACAGCTTTTTCTCAATAGTGCAGTAAGTAGGTGGGCAGTTCATTGGTAAAAATTTCTTAATCTTAGCAATTAAGTTAAATGCTTTGAACTTTAAAAACGTTTTCCATTTTTATTTTAGTTGTAGTGGTACCTGTGTCAGTGTGTATTATTCACTTAGCAGAAGAAAATGTATGTTTCTTTTATTTACATAATTTTATCCAGTAGCTCTTCATTATCTGCTCCTTTATCAGCATTAGGCATTGCTTATGATATTCAGGTATTAGCTCTTTCACTTTAAGGAAGGAGTCATGCTTATGTTTAATAATGAAGAGAATTTGAACACTTTTTACTTTTGAGACTGAAAATACTTTAGTATGAATTAATATTAAAAGTTTGAGGAGAAAATAAAATTAATGTTTTCTACTGATCTGATATATTGTATAGTTTAATAGCTTCTCTAGTCATCTTAAACAGGGTTGGGTTAGATGATATAGACTCAGAAATGAAAGCTAACTTAGTTGCAGAGTGACAAAACTACACTATCAATTGTGTTTTCCTGAAATTGGTTGTTACCTGATACCCATGATTTCATTTTTAAAAAAAATTTATTAATTCTAGTGTTACCAAACACCAATGCCATGAATTTGTCATCTTGCCTATGGCTCTTAGCAATTACTTTTTTCTTTCCTTTCTCTTTGAGTATGGAGATTGAATTTGTTACTCAGTACGTGCTTCACAAATAGCTTCAAATAAAATTAAAATTATTGTTCAAGTTTAGGAACACCAAAAAAAAATTGTGGCAAGAATTTAAGCATGGCATTCTTTCAGTGTTAATACTCTCCATGCCCTGTCTCCAGCTCTTAGAAATTATAGATGCTAAGTTAATGCAGAGTTTAGAAGTGTATTTGTTATTTTATCAAATAGGTTTATGAAATATATACTTCCCCCTCTGATATTTTGAAAAAAAATCTTCCTTAATGTCTTATATTATAAGTAATATAAAAAACTTAGTAAAAACTCATATCAATTGTAAAAGTCTCAGGTATACAAGTGCATTAATCTCTCCATCAATACTAACTTAAGGCCAGGCATGGTGGCTCACACCTGTAATCCCAGCATTTTGAGAGGCCAAGGTGGGAGGATGGTTTGAGGCCAGGAGTTCAAGACCAACCTGGGCGACATAGGGATATCTTGTACTGTGTGTGTGTGTATATATATGTATATATGTGTATATATATATGTATATATATATGATGGGCTCTCCTTACATATATATCTATATATGTACTTATGTATATATAAGCCAGGCATGGTGGTACATGCCTTTAGTCCCTACTGTAGTGCTACTTGGGAGGGTGAGGTGGGAGGACGGCTTGAGCCTGGGAAGTTGAGGCTGCAGTGACCCATGATTGTGCCACTGCACTCCAGCCTGGATGACAAAGTGAGACCCTATTTCAAAAATTGAAAAAAGCAAAAGCAATAGTAACACCATTATCCTGCAAATATGATCTTTTTCATATTAATTCACGTGATAATACAGTTGGTGCAGTAGTACTTTATTTAGGATGTCTACATACAAGATAAAACTCTTCATGGAATTCTGATTTGTAAGACAAACCCACCTTTGAAGAGGTACTGATCATACACAAGAAGGTATAGGAAAGGAGTTGGAAGCTCACAAAGAGAAACATAAACATATGCAGGAATCAGGAACGAAGAAGATAAGTGAAATAATATGAAATCAAATGCACTTATGTTTTGAGCGACAGGATATTGTTGTTCTCCATGAAAAGTTTTTTTGGTTTTTTTGTTTTTTATTTTTTATTTTTTTGAGACGGAGTCTCGCTCTGTTGCCCAGGCTGGAGTGCAGTGGCACGATCTCGGCTCACTGCAAGCTCCGCCTCCCAGGTTCACGCTATTCTCCTGCCTCAGCCTCCGGAGTAGCTGGGACTACAGGTGCCCGCCAACACGCCAGGCTAATTTTTTGTATTTTTAGTAGAGACGAGGTTTCACCGTGTTAGCCAGGATGGTCTAGATCTCCTGACCTCGTGATCCACCGGCCTCGGCTTCCCAAAGTGCTGGCCGAGTGCCACCGCACCCGGCCGAAAGGTATTTTTTTTAACAGAAGAAAATCAGATTATTCCTAGATCAGAAAGAAGCTCCATTGTTCCTGTACTTTAAAAACTACAAACACCCATTAAGACCACTTGGAACCTCAGGAACAAGGACCAAAAGGTCTCAGAGGAACTAAGTCTTTCTAGTCATGAAATATTGTTTTACTAACCAAAAGAGAGGCATAATTTTAGCTGCTAGACAAAGTGGCCAGGAATCCCGGAGCCTACAGCACTGGCTTCTGCTCCTTGAATTTTGTGAAGCGGGAAAGGACCAGTTCCACTACACCATCCTGGAAGAGGCCAAGGACGGCACATAGCGTCTTCGCGGTCCCTATTGCGCAGGACCTGGGTCTGGAGCTTGTGGAGCTGATACCGCGCCTGTTTCAGTTGGATTCCAAAAGCCGCAGAAACCTTCTGGAGGTAAATCTGCAGAATGGCATTTTTGTGAGTTCTCTGATAGACCTCGAGGAGCTGTGTGGGAGGATCTCGGAGTGCAGCATCCACCTGGAAGTGATCGTGGACAAGCTGCTACAGGTTTTCCATGTGGAGGTGAAAGTGAAGAACAATAAAGACAACCTGCCAGTGTTCTCAGCAACACAAAAGAATCTGTTTCTGAAACGAGAGCTCTTGATTATCGTGTTTCACTAGAGGGTGTCTGTGATGCCGACGTCGGGGCCAATGCTCTGATGACTTACATACTGTGCCGCAATGATTATTTTTCCCTGGAAATACCAAGAGCAGGTAAAACCACTTGAAGGTGTATTTTAAAAATTCTTTCAGATAGGTAAGTCACTTCAGAGCTACTCTTGGTGCTCAAAGCAACTGATGGGGGCGAAGCTGAGCTGACAGGCACCAAAGCATTATATATCACAGCGCTGGATGTAAATGATGATGCCCAGTGTTTGACAAAGGAGTCTATCATGTGAAATTACTGGAAAATGCAAGAGAAGGTACACTGGTTATTAGACTTAACCCCTTGGATTTTGACGAGGGTTCAAACCGTCACATTGTTTCTTTGCAACTGATGTCTCCCCTAACATAGAAGCCCTTTTTCGCATAGATTCAGACAGTGGATAAATAAATGTAAAGATAGGTTTTGAGGAAACTAAATAATGAAAGATTCAAATACAGGCAGTTGACACAGGCAATTCCCCAATGTTTGATCACTGCACAGACTTGATAGAAGTCTTGGACATCAATGATAGTGTTCCAGAGTTAGCAGTAAGTCACTATCATTCCCTGTACAGGAGGACGCTCCACTGGGTACCGTCATAGCCCTAATCAGTGTAATTGACCCTAACTTCAGTGCCAAGGGACAGACGACCCGCACCCTGACTCCTCACGTCTCTTCAAGCTGGTGTCTACCTTCAAAAGGCGCTGCCCAGAAACTATTCGTTGGTACTCCACAGCGCCCTGGACCAAGAGAGCAAATCTATCCATTGTTGGTAATCGCTCGGAATGGGGACTCGCTTTCATTGTTGGCCACAGCCATCGGGTCCGTGGAAGTGGCCGAACAGTGAACCACAATGCCCTGGCGTTCCAGCAGCCCGAGTACATGGTGTTCGTGAAAGGTAACAACCCGCGGGGCTGCCACGACTTCACAGTGTCCGCGCGGGACCGGGACGCGCAGGAGAACGTGCTGGTGTCCTACTCGTTGATGGAACAGCGGGTGGGCGAGTGCGCGCTGTCTAGCTATGTGTGGGTGCACGCGGAGAGCGGCAAGAGGTACGCGTTGCAGCCACTGGACTACGAGGAGCTGGAGCTGCTGCAGTTCTAGGTGAGAGCGCGCGACGCGGGCATGCCGCCTCTGAGCAGCAATGTGACGCTGCCAGGTATTAGTGCTGGAACGACAACTTTGTCTGCGCTGCTGGCGCCTTGGGTGGGCTGGCGGCGCTGTGAGTGAGCTGGTGCGGTATTCAGTGGATGCAGGCCACTTGGTGGCGAAGGTGCGCACGGTGGACTCCAGCTATGACGCCTGGTTGTCGCAACAGCTGCATCTGTCAGCTGGCAGCACCCGTTCCACGTGGGGCTCTGCACGGGCGAGATCAGCACGACGAGTACCCTGGACGAGGCGAAAGCTACGCGCCACCGCCTGCTGGTGCTGGTGAAGGACCACTGCGAGCTGGCGCTGACTGCCACCGTCACCGTGGTGGCGTCGCTGGCGGAGAGCAGCCAAGCGAGGAAGGTCCCATCGCGGGCTTTGGCGGGCGTCGAGGTCCGGGAGGCAGCGCTGGTGGATGTCAACGTGTACCTGATCATCGCCATCTGCGTGGTGTCCAGCCTGTTAGTGCTCACGTTGCTGCTGTACACGACGCTGCGGTGCTTGGCGCAGCTCACCGAGAGCTCGTGCATGCCGGGCAAGCCCACGCTGGTGTACCGCAGCGTAGTGGGATCTGGTCTTACTCGCAGCAAAGGAGATTTTACTCTGGAGAGTCGCCTCCCAAGGTCAACATTACGGCTTTTAGTCCTAGTGTTCTCCCATGGTTCAGATTTTGGAGATGGACTTCAATAGGAAATTTTTGAGAATATAAGTACTGTAATCCTGGAAAGTATTTCATTCCTATTAATGTCCCTCATAGTGACATTGATAATGTTCACCAAGTTATTAATTTGATTGCTTTATTTATTTTGCTTTTGCTTTTTCTTTTGAGATGCTTTATTTAAAGTACACTGGGGCCGGGTGCGGTAGCTCATGCCTATTTGTAATCCCGGCACTTTGGGAAGCCGAGGCGGGCGGATCACTCGAGGCCAGGAGTTTGAGACCAGCCTGGCCAACATGGTGAAACTCCATCTCTACTAAAGATATAAAAAAATTAGCTGGGTGTGGTGGTGCGCACCTGTAATCCCAGCTACTCAGGAGGCTGAGGCACAAGAATTGCTTGAACCTAGGAGGCAGAGGTTGCGGTGAGCCTAGATTAGGCCACTGCACTACAGCCTGGGAGACAGGGTGAAACTCTGTCTTAAAAAAAAAAGTACATTGGAAGTCTAGCCATCTTAATCACTTTTTACTACAGTCACCATGAACATTCTTTAGGAATATTCTTCAGTTGATAAGTATAATGATAATAGTAATAATGAATTAGACTGAGTGGCTGTTTCCTGTAAATGAGAAAGTTAAATCTTACCGGAAGGATCATGATGAATAATGATCCTTATGAGAAGGTCAAATCTTCTCAATTTTGAAGCAAGTTCTTTATTCCTATTCATTTTCTTATTCTGATTTGTGTCCTCCATTCCTTATTGTTTTTATGTATTCAAAAATACCATGACAATATTTAATATCATAATTATTTGAGTTTAAAACATGTTTAAATGTTTATCTTTCTATAATCGATAAGTTTATCTCTCACAAATGGTGATGAGCAGGGTTGAGGCAGCTTCGTCCACAAACAATTTTGTTTCTTCATGATCAATATCCATCTTTTTTGAGATGTTGATTGCAGTGGGTGGAATTTTAGCCTTGCCTTTAAAGGTGATTTTACTTCTTAATTTTTGTCTTCAATCTTCTTATAATTTCATTTTAGGTCATTGTCTTCACAATCTTCAACTACTTCAGATAGCCAACAACTTTGTTCTTTTTTAAAAAGAAAACAAAACAAAACAATGTCAGCTCTACTTAATTACCTGTTGACTTAATTGCTGCTGTCCTCCAGTTTAAGTTGTTGAGCTCTTCTACTATTTTGGGAAGATTTCTTTGAGCACCGATTATACTCATTTTTCTTTCATTTTTGGTACCTGGCTGTATGAAAATATTTTAGGGTAGGAAAATTCACACTTATTTGGGCTTTAAGTATAAGAGAGTCTTCCCATACATGATGAAGGGTGATACCATTGTCTGTGTTCATTAAGCTGCATGGTCTTCAGAATGGCATTGCTGAGCTTGGCAGGGTGTCTCAGGCCTGTAATCCCAGCATTTTGGGAAGCCGAGGGAGGAGGATCGCTTGAGACCAGGAGTTTGAGACCAGCCTCGGCAACATAGTGAGACCCCCATCTCTACCAAAAAATGTCATTGTTTTTAATAACTTAAGTATAAGAACCATGGGATATTAATAAAGGCACTTCCACTTGACAATTGTGGTGTTAATTATACCTTAGAATTTAACATTGTATACTTTTGATATATTTGATGCAAAATATTTTTTGCCTTCACACCATATTAATGTGAATTGCTTTCTTTAAAGGGATCCCAGAGAACACGTATTTATAGCTGTAAGGATGTGTATCAAATTATATGTAAAATTACTTTGCTCTTTTTGGCTCTAATTACAAATGAGATGGCCTTTAATTCTGTGTAAAGAAATAGTATATTTACATATTGCAGGATAACCATGTTATAGGTAGGGTAAAGTTAATATAAATGCTGAAAAGGAATTAGTAGTGTCTACCTAGAAAAATAACTTCTGAGAAGATGATTTCTATGAAGATAAACATTAAGGAAATCTTCAGAAAAGGGAAAACCCTGTCCTACTTTATGGTGCTGGAATTCTCTTCATCCATAGCTATAGGACAAGAGCCAATATTGATCAGTAACTCATGATAATAAATCACCATTGTTTGAGCAGTTTATTAATATATTTGTTAGACATCATGAAGGGACTTAAATACATTATTTCATTTAATACTTATAACAATTTCTAAAGTACATATGACTGTTCCAATTTGAAAGATAAAATAAGAGAAGCTGAGATGTGTATCTATTTTATCCAGTGCCAGTACATGGTGGAGATATTATTCAAATGTGTATCTTTCAGGCTTCAGACTCATTCTTTTATCCACTATAATGTAGAGCTTTCTTTAGTAAGTCATTTCTCTGCTCAAACATGGTCTCGGCTAGGAAAATCAAGCACAAATTGTGTACAGGCAAATCTTTCTTTCTGTTGTGCTTAGAAGAAACTTCATGATTGTCTTCATCATTAATTTTGTACAATGTGTGATTGAGATGGCACTAAGTTTTTTTATGTTAAGTGATTTTTTTCTTGTAAGAGTTCGTGATCATCATTATCATTTGTTTTAATCAATGCCACACTGAGATAGGTATTTTGGTTATGTAATTGTTAAGTAATTAAGAGTTGCCTTATAAGAACTACGTATCTGTTGTTTGGAAGTGATATAAGTAAGAATCGTTTAACATGTAAGAAAAGTCAGAAAACTGTGGTTTCCAATATCCTTGTGGAACACCTAAACTAAATACTATATACCAAAAATGACACCCTTCTTTCTTTACTGTGAATAAAGACAGTGTTTGGGACAAGTATAGATGTTGATATTATTATTTCAGGGACCCTGAACTTGGCCAAAGGATTCAAGAAATGTTTACAATATTGCATACTTCAATAACAATTTTAAAGACATAGATTCCCATGAAAATCTTCAAATGTGTGTAGGTCTTTCAGTCTTCTTCAGTCTTATTGTTGGCTGGGAAGCTCATAACAACTGACAAATGATTTGTGACCAAATAACTGTTTTTACTTGACTAAGCCATGATAGAGCAGAATTAGCATCACGGAATAAATCCTATAATTTTGTTAATACAGTGGTTGGATAATGTAATTCTAATCTGTTGGTTTTGGAGAACCTCCTGGGGTTCTGACAACGGTGTCAAAATTTATTTATGTGTTTTCAAGAAATAATAGCACTAGGTCTGTTAGAATATCAGTGGATGACGTGCACTAGTAAGACATTAAACTATGCACTCTAATACTTATATGACTAACAGGACATACAGGCAGATTGTATGTCCTGACTGATATAGTAAAAGTCAGGCACAAAGTTCCTTAATCTTCAATTGATTTTACAAAATCAGTTAACAATAACTGTATTGAAATGACTTCTTGGTATTAGCCTATACCCAGATATTAGGCTGATCCTCAAAGATGAGTTCAAAGGGCGCATAATCTCTTCACTAGGGGCTGGTTGAGATGGTGACATCTGAAATATCACAGCCAAAATGCAAAAGATGGGTCATTGATTCATACACTATATCAAACTCTTTTATGACTTGGCGTTTGTTCAGTACTACTTTATATATTCACAAAATACTGTATTGTTGGAAATTAACACCTAAATTAACATATTGTTTTAATTCAAATATGTGATATTATCATTTTTCCAGAGTAAACCTTCTAAGGTTCATTTCCCTACCTCGCAAGACTCCACATTCCATGTAACATCTTCATCCCCAATTCCCATAATAAGGTGATTGAGGATCTGTTGTTTCCTTTTGTTCAAAATAAACCTGATGTGCTTCAAATATCATGTTGAATATACTGTCATCTGGTCTAATGTTATGTTTTGATTAGAGGCTACTATGATTGATTATTTTACAGATGCGTAATGGAATTAACGGTTATAAAAGTTGATATGTCTCCTTTAATTTTTTAATACAGAATTTTGCATTTACCTGAATTAGAGTTCTAGTGTTATGACAACATTGGGAAAAGAGTAAATATGAAAAAAGTAGAACAAAATCTCAAATTAATAGTTGAATATATATATAAAATATTAGCATACACATATGATAACTTTTTCATATGCCCTTGCAGTATTTTTAGATTGGAGATAAACCATCAAAACTATAGAACAAAATATTTAAGCTAGAGTGATATTTATTCTAAATCACTTTCTACTCTAAAATTTTGTTGCATCTTCTTTTTTTCCTCCTAAATCCTAAGGGTATATGAAAAGACAAAGAAAATTCAAGCAAGTTACAACTTCAGGCAAAGAAAACTCTCATAAGCAATTCCTGTATTTTACTTAGCATTTTCTATGAAATTCCATTTCCACAAGCACTAAGGTAATTTACCATTTAGTTGAATTGTTTGATTAATTTTCTATGTTTTAAGCACAATATCAGGTACTTACAGAAGGTATAATTAAAAATCACTTCCCTTGTTTTCCATGAACTTCTGCTCCCAAACCCAAAATTCTTTCAACAAGAAACAAACTATTTTCATGAATATAACTGAATTAGATTAAGGAAACCAATGTTGGTGACTTGGAAATACCAATATGGCACAAAGATGTTCAGGGTGATTTTATTTATTTTATAAAATGATAATAAAATTTATTTTATAGTTGAAAAGCCTATTTCTGTCATATCATTGATTCTGTTACATAAAGTGCTAAATTTTGATATCTCATATTATGCTACTATGGCTTACATTAGAAATAATATATGTCAAATAAAAACTCATCTAGATCAATAGACTTTTCCTTTGTGGATTCTTTTTTAAAACTACCAAGTTTGAGAATATGAATATATTTGTTTTTCATATTGTTCTGCAATGAATATAAAGTCACTTATAATCAGAAAGCAATTAAATGTAAATAACAGTAAAGAATGAGAACTATAGAAAATAGATATGAAAATGCAAGCCCACAGAGATGAGAATAGATCATGTGGAACATAAACACTAAAGAGCTGCTTTTATAAAACTTCAATTTTTTCTTTGAGTTCCCTAGCAGCCAAAGTAACAAGGGAGACTGAAAGTAAAACAATTCAAATTTGATAGTATTTTTATATGAGGAACAACACTTTCAGGAAATGTTTAACCCTAGTTTTTCATGAGGCCACCTTAACAACTGAATTCTCTTTCTCTCTCACTCTGTGTATAAGTATTTTAGATAAGTAAAAGAACAATGTTATAATGTTAAGTCAAACATAGACACAATAATTTAAATTTGATGTTAATCGAGAAATACAATGCCATTTCCATATATATTTAGTTTCAATATGACTTATAATCTGAATATTCCATAAATAAGCACGTTGGAAATATTTGGGGGAAGAAACCCAAAACACGTGAAATTCTGTGGTGGTAAATGCAGTGCACAGTACTCACAGTTTTAGGCGCAAGGTGTCGCTCTTTACTTGGTGGAAAGTTCATTTAAAGGTTGGTCTGAACAGTGAGGCACTCCCATACAAAGGAACTCCATCATACCGGATGCCACCGTTTAAGGATCCTTTGAAACTTCTTAAGAATTCAACGAGATTTTTAACCTGAAACTGAAGAATCTGGTACTGTAAGTGTAAAGAAGCTTATTTTGGAAGCCAATTTCGTATGCGATGTTTGGTTTTCAGAGAAGGGGATTGGGCACCCCACGACTACAGCTCTGGCTTCTCCTCCTCGAATTCTGGGAGGTGGGGAGCGGCCAGCTCCACTACTCCGTCTCGGAGGAGGCCAAACACGGCACCTTCGTGGGCCGCATCGCGCAGGACCTGGGGCTGGAGCTGGCGGAGCTGGTGCAGCGCCTGTTCCGGGTGGCGTCCAAAACACATGGGGACCTTCTGGAGGTAAATCTGCAGAATGGCATTTTGTTTGTGAATTCTCGGATCGACCGCGAGGAGCTGTGCGGGCAGAGCGCGGAGTGCAGCATCCACCTGGAGGTGATCGTGGACAGGCCGCTGCAGGTTTTCCATGTGAACGTGGAGGTGAAGGACATTAACGACAACCCGCCGGTGTTCTCGCTCAGAGAACAAAAGCTGCTGATTGCGGAATCTAAGCAATCGGACTCGCGTTTTCCACTAGAGGGAGCTTCTGATGCTGACATTGAAGAGAATGCTCTATTGACCTACAGGCTAAGTAAAAATGAGTATTTTTCTTTAGATTCACCAACAAATGGTAAGCAGATTAAAAGACTGTCACTTATTTTAAAGAAGTCTCTGGATAGAGAGAAAACTCCGGAACTTAATTTGCTGCTAACAGCTACAGACGGGGGAAAACCAGAGCTTACTGGCACCGTTCGGCTGTTAGTCCAAGTCTTGGATGTCAACGACAATGATCCAGAGTTTGATAAATCAGAATATAAGGTGAGCCTTATGGAAAATGCTGCTAAAGAAACTCTTGTGCTCAAACTAAACGCCACAGACCGAGACGAAGGAGTCAATGGAGAGGTAACATACTCCTTAATGTCAATTAAGCCCAATGGAAGACACTTATTTACACTAGATCAAAATAATGGAGAAGTGAGGGTCAATGGAACTTTAGATTATGAAGAAAACAAGTTTTATAAAATTGAAGTACAGGCTACAGATAAGGGGACTCCCCCAATGGCAGGTCACTGTACAGTCTGGGTGGAAATCTTGGACACCAACGATAACTCTCCTGAAGTCGCCGTGACTTCCTTGTCCCTCCCAGTACGAGAGGACGCTCAGCCCAGCACGGTCATTGCCCTGATCAGCGTGTCTGACCGTGACTCAGGTGTCAACGGACAGGTGACCTGCTCGCTGACGCCCCACGTTCCCTTCAAGCTGGTGTCCACCTTCAAGAATTACTACTCGTTGGTGCTGGACAGCGCCCTGGACCGCGAGAACGTGTGGGCCTATGAACTGGTGGTGACTGCGCGGGATGGGGGTTCGCCTTCTCTGTGGGCCACGGCCAGGGTATCCGTGGAGGTGGCCGACGTGAACGACAATGCGCCTGCGTTCGCACAGCCCGAGTACACCGTGTTCGTGAAGGAGAACAACCCACCAGGCTGCCACATCTTCACAGTGTCGGCGCGGGACGCGGACGCGCAGGAGAACGCGCTGGTGTCCTACTCGCTGGTGGAGCGGCGGTTGGGCGACCGCGCGCTGTCGAGCTACGTGTCGGTGCACGCGGAGAGCGGCAAGGTGTACGCGCTGCAGCCGTTGGACCACGAGGAGCTGGAGCTGCTACAGTTCCAGGTGAGCGCGCGCGATGCGGGCGTGCCGCCTCTGAGCAGCAACGTGACGCTGCAGGTGTTCGTGCTGGACGAGAACGACAACGCGCCGGCACTGCTGGCGACTCAGGCTGGCAGCGCGGGAGGCGCAGTTAACAAGCTAGTACCGCGGTCGGTGGGTGCGGGCCACGTGGTGGCGAAGGTGCGCGCAGTGGATGCGGACTCAGGCTACAACGCGTGGCTTTCATATGAATTGCAGCCGGCGGCGGGCGGCTCGCGCATCCCGTTCCGCGTGGGGCTGTACACGGGCGAGATAAGCACAACGCGTGCCCTGGACGAGGCAGACTCGCCGCGCCACCGACTTCTAGTACTGGTGAAGGATCACGGTGAGCCGGCGCTGACGGCCACGGCCACCGTGCTGGTGTCGTTGGTGGAGAGCGGACAGGCGCCAAAGGCCTCTTCCCGGACTTTGGCGGGCGCCGCGAGCCCAGAGGCTGCGCTGGTGGATGTCAACGTGTACCTGATCATCGCCATCTGCGTGGTGTCCAGCCTCCTGGTACTCACGCTGCTGCTGTATACGGCGCTGTGGTGGTCGGCAACGCCCACTGAGGGCGCGTGCGCGCCGGGGAAGCCCACGCTGGTGTGCTCCCGCGCGGTGGGGAGCTGGTCATACTCGCAGCAGAGGCGGCAGAGGGTGTGCTCTGAGGAGGGCCCACCTAAGACGGACCTCATGGCCTTCAGCCCCAGTCTTCCTCTAGGTCTGAATAAAGAGGAGGAAGGGGAAAGACAGGAGCCAGGGTCAAATCACCCCGGACAGGTGAGTTTTCTACAGATTCCACCTATCAGGAAGTGTATGTGAAATTATTTAAAATCCAGTTTTTTTTCACGGATTTTTTAAGGGAAAGTTTTATGAATAACCAGTGTTTTGAATATTGTTTTAGATAACAATGTCTGTTCATAAAATACCAAATGATACACATCTTCAGTCTTTTAATCATATGAATAATCTGGCTTCTTTAACCAATAAATGTCCTATTTCTCTTAATATTTGGTTAGCAAATCCTAAAAGAAATGAGATGCAAGAGTGACTCTTCTGTAGTCACTTGAGTAGAAATAATTACTATTTTCACTAAAGTACCCATGCCCCTTCATCTCTAAACTTCAATTATGACCATAATAACTATGGATTATTTAAATTTGCTCCTCTTTGTCTTTTAGCAGAGTTTTGCCTTGATATTTCCACATTGTTAGATCAACTGGCTTTGTTTTTCTAAAGGGAGGAGGTCTTCCTATGATGTCCAGGTTGGACTGCAGTGGCTATTTACAGGTGACCTGTAGCCTGGAACTGCTAAGCTCAAAGAATTCTCCCACTTCAGCCTCCAGAGTAGCTGGGAATGCAGTGCCACTGCACTTAGTCCATTGGCTTTCCTAACTTCAGGCTTGTATCAAAGCTAGAATACTCCATTAGTATGACATGATTTACTTTTCTTTTTTTTTTTTACAGTGTTAAACGTTCATCATAAATTCATTATATATGAAACAATCTTTACTTTTGTCTTTATTCCTGTGATAATACTTGTTTTCATATTGTTTGAAGAAAAAAGTTAAGCCTTGCATTCTTATATGCTGCTTTATGGAAATAATATGACTAAAATTCTACATGTTCTTGCCAGGCAAAGTGGTTCAGGCCTGTAATCCCAGCTATTTGGGAGGCTGAGGCAGGAGAATTGCTTGAGCCCAAGAGTTCGAGGCCTGCCTGGACAACATAGCGAGATCCTGTCTCTATAAAAAATTAAAAAATTAGCCAGACCTAGTGGTGCATGCCTGTAGTCCCAGTTTCTTGGGAGGCTGACATGAGAGGATCCCCTGAACCCAGGGGTTCAGGGCTGCAGTGACCTATCATCGTGAGACCCCCATCTGAAAAAATAATTTTTTTTGCCTGTTCTTGATTTTGTTCCATGAAAAGGCAAGAGATTTGTCAACTATTGGATACTCAAACAAAATGGCATGATTTATGATTCCAAAGGAAACTAGGTAAATAAAATTATTCAAATTATCTAAACTTGCTAAAGACATGCATATAGGGCTATATTATCTATAATATATGCTAGTTGGCATTCTTCCATAAGTTTTTCAGATTCATCTAGCAGAGAAAAAATTAAATATATTAATGTGAGTACCTACTGACAATTATCAGTTTCATTCATCTCACTTTGTAACTGCTCTATCTTGTAATGCCTTATCTCTAATGTTTTTGAAATTTTCTTTCCACGTAGTATCATCCCATCTGAAGATTTGAGCAAAGATCATTTACTTCTGAGTCATTCTTCATATTTAGTTATTCTTACTACACGTAGAGTGGTGGTATTACAGACTTTCTTGAGAATCATATCTAGCTATTTCCCCCCCGTATAGAGGCATAACATACCATTTGGCACAATATTCAAAGAGTCTATGCTGAAGCCTATTCATAGACTTTAGATCGAGAGCTTTTGTATCATAATATTCATTGGCTAAAAACATTCTTTAAGTATTAAAGAGAAGGCAACAATATAAAAATATAAAATATTTCAGACTCAAAAGTGATTAAACCATCATACCACTTATGAAACTTTATAAATATAATAAAGGTGAATATTAGATAGGGCATACATTACTCATCTCCAGATGAAATTTTTGGAATAACTGAAGATCTTTTAAAGACTTGGGAATGTTTTCAGTACAGGTTAAAATTTTGTAAATTATTATTTTATATCACATAAATAACAAATTTGCATTTTAGATAATTCAAATTACTTGGACTGATTTCTGCAAAGTTGTGTCTTTTATACTTAATGCCAAGATTGCATTCTATGGTATAAAATTATAATTTCAATTTATTTTCTAGTTTGGTTGTTTAAGTATTAAGCTAAACTTAGATGTTCCTATTGGCTTAACAATTTGTTTAGGTCAAAGAGTATGTGAGAACTACATAACACACTATTATTATTTGTTTCTTTTTGAGATAGAGTCTTGCTCTATCACCCAGGCTGGTGTGCAGTGGCGCAATCTCAGCTCACTGCAATCTCCACCTCCCATGTTCAAGCAATTCTCCTGCCTCAGCTTTCCGAGAAGCTGGGACTACAGGCATGCACCACCACTCCTGGCTAATTTTTGTATTTTTAGTAGAGATGGGTTTTCACCATGTTGGCCAGGCTGGTCTTGAACTCCTGACCTCAGGTGATCTGCCTGCCTCAGCCTCCCAAAGTGCTGGGATTACAGGTGTAAGTCACTGAGCCCAGCCTATTTTTTAAAATTAAAGTTCCTTAGCATGTATGGTACATTGACCACTTTTGAAAATGAAAAATAGGAAAGAAACTTGGTGATGATATTAGACAATTTAAATAATTAGCCTGATGACATCAAAATTCAAATATGTTTTTAATTACTTAACGTTTTATAGTTTATTTAAGTTATCTTATACTTGTAGAGCCATTCTTGGTTACTCTTTCCTGGTGTTGTAAAGGTGTCATATTTCAGTTGCCTTTATTATTATATGCAGTAGGAATGAATGGCAACAAATTATTGGTTTAAAGATTTTGACTTGAGTATTAATAGACTTACAAAATCTATGTGTACTTGTTCACAATGAGTTGTAGGATCTTATCTGTTTTTTTCTCTTAAAGCTGATCTTGAATTAATGAATAAACTCATGAAAGGTCTTTTGATGCCCCCTTGCATAACAGTCACCATTCTGATTTTCTGAAGAGAAGCATGTCCTAACTACTAAATGACCTGTAGGGGAAGATTTAGAGAAAAAGCAAAAGGTTGATATCAAGTTCACATTCTCTTGACTTTAGTCAATGAGATTAGGCTCCAAAACCCTTTAAGAGATCTTTCGCATTTTAGTGCTCCATTGTTGCTTTGGGATAGTGTGAAATTTGGAGGCTTCAACTAAACATTTTACATTAAAGTGCTTTACTTTTGCTAGAGTAAAACTTTCCAGAATCTATTCCTGAGATTTGTTTTAACATGTTATGGAAATGAGAGCAGTTATGTGAAAAGTTATCACATTCAAGCATCAAGGAACCAAACAATAACGCTCTCCATATTTATGATGAATTCTAACTTTCATCAGATTTATGAATAAGACAATTTATATAAATGAAATATTGTTTGGTATTAGACATATTTTAGTTTCTTATCCTTTGTTAAATACAAATTCCTAACTTTCTCTAAAATCTTACGATGGAGTGCTTGTGAAGGTTAAAAGTTATTGAAACAGCGGAATTGTAAGCTATATAAGGGGAGGGGTGCTGTATATTATTCTGTATATCATTTTCCATGATAAAGTGTAGGTTCTGGCCTACTGTATTTGAAAGATTTCTACTTTGAAGCAGAAAACATTTTTAAGCTACAGCGTAATAAAATTGTTGATGTTTTGTTACTAATATCATGTATATTAACTAAACCCGCATTTATAAATGATCCGTGAAAAATAACCCAAAGTCGAAACATTAGAATTAAGAGTGACCCAGGAAGTGGCTAAACCGAAAAGAACCTCAGGATCTTTCTTGTACTTACATAATCAGTCACATGATGTCGCTCTACACTCAGAAGGTGAAACAGGAAAATTTTTTTCTCCGCACCCACATTCCAATCATTCACGGAATAGGATCGACTCCATAATGACTGTGATGCTGGAAAAAATTTACTAAATATGTACTTACAGAAAAGGGTGACTGCTCATAAAATACCTCAGGCAAGCGATCCCTTAAAACTGATTGTCCCAACTCAGAGGCCCTCATTTTCTGCAATGGTGATTATCGGACCAAGAGGCCCGGGATCCCAGCGTCTGCTGCTCTCGCTTCTGCTCCTTGCAGCCTGGGAGGTGGGGAGCGGCCAGCTCCACTACTCCGTCTACGAGGAGGCCAAACACGGCACCTTCGTGGGCCGCATCGCTCAGGACCTGGGGCTGGAGCTGGCGGAGCTGGTGCCGCGCCTGTTCCGGGTGGCGTCCAAAAGACACGGGGACCTTCTGGAGGTAAATCTGCAGAATGGCATTTTGTTTGTGAATTCTCGGATCGACCGCGAGAAGCTGTGCGGGCGGAGCGCGGAGTGCAGTATCCACCTGGAGGTGATCGTGGACAGGCCGCTGCAGGTTTTCCATGTGGACGTGGAGGTGAAGGACATTAACGACAACCCGCCGGTGTTCAGAGAAAGGGAACAAAAGGTACCTGTTTCTGAATCTGCGCCTCTGGACTCTCATTTTCCTCTAGAGGGCGCTTCTGATGCGGATATCGGCGTAAACTCTCTTTTGACCTATGCGTTAAGTCTAAATGAGAATTTTGAGCTTAAAATAAAAACAAAAAAAGATAAAAGTATATTGCCTGAATTAGTTCTTCGGAAGTTATTGGACAGAGAGCAAACGCCAAAACTCAATTTATTGCTGATGGTAATCGATGGCGGTAAACCAGAACTAACAGGGTCTGTCCAGATTCAAATAACCGTCCTGGATGTGAATGACAATGGTCCGGCGTTTGATAAGCCCAGCTATAAAGTAGTGTTGTCTGAAAATGTCCAAAACGACACAAGAGTGATCCAACTAAATGCTTCCGATCCAGACGAAGGACTTAATGGAGAAATTTCCTATGGGATCAAAATGATTTTGCCAGTGAGTGAGAAATGTATGTTTTCAATAAATCCAGACACAGGTGAAATTAGAATTTATGGTGAACTGGATTTTGAAGAGAATAATGCCTATGAAATTCAGGTTAACGCCATTGATAAAGGGATTCCTTCCATGGCAGGTCACAGCATGGTCCTGGTGGAAGTTCTGGACGTGAATGACAATGTCCCTGAAGTAATGGTTACTTCACTGTCGCTCCCTGTGCAAGAGGATGCTCAGGTGGGTACCGTCATTGCCCTGATTAGCGTGTCGGATCGTGACTCTGGAGCCAATGGACAGGTCATCTGCTCACTGACACCTCATGTTCCCTTCAAGCTGGTGTCCACCTACAAGAATTACTACTCGTTGGTGCTGGACAGCGCCCTGGACCGCGAGAGCGTGTCGGCCTATGAGCTGGTGGTGACTGCGCGGGATGGGGGCTCGCCTTCGCTGTGGGCCACGGCTAGAGTGTCCGTGGAGGTGGCCGACGTGAACGACAATGCGCCTGCGTTCGCGCAGCCCGAGTACACAGTGTTCGTGAAGGAGAACAACCCGCCGGGCTGCCACATCTTCACGGTGTCGGCATGGGACGCGGACGCGCAGAAGAACGCGCTGGTGTCCTACTCGCTGGTGGAGCGGCGGGTGGGCGAGCACGCACTGTCGAGCTACGTGTCGGTGCACGCGGAGAGCGGCAAGGTGTACGCGCTGCAGCCGCTAGACCACGAGGAGCTGGAGCTGCTGCAGTTCCAGGTGAGCGCGCGCGACGCCGGCGTGCCGCCTCTGGGCAGCAACGTGACGCTGCAGGTGTTCGTGCTGGACGAGAACGACAACGCGCCGGCACTGCTGGCGACTCCGGCTGGCAGCGCAGGAGGCGCAGTTAGCGAGTTGGTACCGCGGTCGGTGGGTGCGGGCCACGTGGTGGCGAAAGTGCGCGCGGTGGACGCTGACTCCGGCTATAACGCTTGGCTGTCCTACGAGTTGCAACCGGCGGCGGTCGGCGCGCACATCCCGTTCCACGTGGGGCTGTACACTGGCGAGATCAGCACGACACGCATCCTGGATGAGGCGGACGCTCCGCGCCACCGCCTGCTGGTGCTGGTGAAGGACCACGGTGAGCCCGCGCTGACGTCCACGGCCACGGTGCTGGTGTCGCTGGTGGAGAACGGCCAGGCCCCAAAGACGTCGTCGCGGGCCTCAGTGGGCGCTGTGGATCCCGAAGCGGCTCTGGTGGATATTAACGTGTACCTCATCATCGCCATCTGTGCGGTGTCCAGCCTGCTGGTGCTCACGCTGCTGCTGTACACTGCGCTGCGTTGCTCAGCGCCGCCCACCGTGAGCCGGTGCGCGCCGGGCAAGCCCACGCTGGTGTGCTCCAGCGCCGTGGGGAGTTGGTCTTACTCGCAGCAGAGGAGGCAGAGGGTGTGCTCTGCAGAGAGCCCGCCCAAGACGGACCTCATGGCCTTCAGCCCAAGCCTTCAGCTGTCTCGAGAAGATTGTTTAAATCCTCCCAGTGAAGTAAGTTATTAATATTATTTAGATATATTTGTTTCCTTGAAGAACTTCCGTTTAGGTTATAACTACATTCTCTCATTTTTCTTTATGATTCTATCCTTTAAACTATCGAATGTCTCATCTTTCTTGGTCATTCTTACTCATTTTGAACTTTTATGTATTTGTCTAACATTAATGAAGGAAATATGTAGGTACAATGGAGGCCATGGAGCACCACACTTAATATTTTTCTTTTTCTATAATATTTTATATGACTGATGAACCTTGAAAAAAACAGTATATTAGATTAAAAAGTGGCCAGATGTTTGATAACTTAAAAATTTAATTTGTTCATAATTTCAAGATTACAGGTAAGTTGCAAGAATGGTACAAAGAGTTCCTAGATCCCATTAATGGATTCTTTAACTCTTCCTCACGTGCTTAGGCTTTTAAAATAGCCTTCTTGATCACTATTCTAATTTCAGTACAATCTAGACATTTTCACATTATATTCCAGGTATTATCACAATAATATAAATGATATGTCTGACATATGATGAATGATTTTCTTCATTGCTCACAAAATATCTTCTTTATTTCAAGTAGGAATAGATACTGTACTATTCTTATTTACATGAAATATAATAAAATCATTTCTCAATTTAAAAATATTTAACCATCTGTACGATACAGTACAGTTGGTAACCAACTGTGGCTCAAACCAGTTTCAGATGATCCCAAACTTATCATAGTATACCACTGCCCTGTGCCTATTACCAAGTGAATCTTCTAATGTGCATTTTACATATTTTAACTTTCTATTTCTACAAAAATATCCAGAGGCTTCTCTTTAACCAGGGAATAAAGTCTTACATACCCCAGCCTGGTAGTAAAGGCATTAAAATTTCCAGCCTTATATCTACTTTCTTACATATCTTTAGTTTAGGATCTGGAATATAGTATATGTTCAATCACTTTTTAAAAACATATGGGGGTCTTGCTATGTTGCACAGGCTGGACTAGAACTTCTGGGTTCAACTGATCCTCCATTTCAGCCTTTCAAGTAGCTGAGACTACAGGCAGGCTCCACCACTCCCAGCTTCAATCAATAATTTTAAATAAATATATGGTATTGAAATGTATTACCTGGACATTCCCCTCTATCTTAGAAATGAGAGTATGCCCTAGAAATCAGATAATGTTTTATTGAAGAGTGTCTTGAAAGATAGACAACATTTTACCAAGAAAGTGTTAAGAGAGATAAGTAGGAACAACTGCACAGTATATGGTGTAATTGAAGGATTAGAGCAGGGGAGATTGTGAAGGCAGGAAAGCTATTTCTTTTTTAATAAATTAGGTATCAAGTAATGGAGACTTAAATTATGGCAGTAGAAATGAATTGAAAAAGACATATACAAGAGGCACTGGCAAAGTAGAAGCAGCCAGATAATGACAGACTCAATACAAATGATAAGAGAAAAACAAAAGTAGAAGTTGACTCTCACTTTTTTAGTTTGTTCAGCTGAGAAGATGACATTGCCATTAACCAACCTGCAGAACAAGGTTGGAGAAACAGTTTGTGTGTATTTGAGCAGGTAGGGAATGGAGATGAACATTTAAGAAAATGTTACTTTGAAGTCCTAAGAGAATACCGTTGTGATTGGAAATATGGGTCTGGATCTCAGAAGAGATTATTGATATAGATTTTGGGAACAACTCCTTTAGAGAAAAAAATAATCCATGAAAGAATAAAATTGCCAAGACAGACATTGAAAAGTGAAAAACAATGTGTCCAGGTACTTAGGTGGGTAAGTGTGTCGCTTCCTGTGGCTGCTATAACAAACGAACACAAACTGGGTGCTGTAAAACAGCAAAAGTTTATTATTTCTCAGTATTGGAGACCAGAAGTCCAAAATCAAGGTGTTGTCAAGGCTATACTCTCTTTGGAGGCCCCAGGGAAGAATCTGGTTTTTGTTTCTTCCAGTTTCTATTGGCTGTTGGTGTTCCCTGGCTTGTGGCTGTACCACTCCCATCTCAGCCTTCTCAGCTTTCATGGTCACATTGCCTCCTCCTCTCCATGTCTCTCTCTATGTGTTGGTTTTACAAAGGTACATGTGATTGTATTTAGGGCCCATCTGGATAATCCAGGATAAACTCCTTTCAAGATCCTTAACTTAATCATATTATTCACCATATAAAGTAAAATCCACAAGTTCCAGGGATTAAGATGTGGGCATAACTTTTTGGGGACCACAATTCAACCTATTATAGTAGGCTTAAAATCATAGAAGGATAGACAACAGGAAGCTGAAATAAAGCTCAAAGTGCAATATATCAAGTATATGTTAGAAGTTAAACATGAAGGGAAAAAGATAAACAGAAGAGGTTTTCCACCAGAAGTAGAACATTTAAATTAGTGTATGTGCGTGTGTGTATGTATACATATTTTAGTTAAAGAAGTTTGACTATCTTCATAGTGTGAGTGAAAGAAACAAGTAAAAAATAAGATACTAAAAATAAGACAGGCAGCAGGTGAATTTAGATGAAAACCATGAGAGAATAGAAAATAATTTTTAAGAGCATATGGTTGACCTTAAAAGCGGGAACAGTTTTTCCTTACAACTAGTAGAAAATGAAAACAGATAATATAAGGAAAAATGACACAAGAAGAGAGCAATTGAATTTCTGTTTGGTCACATCTCTCAATGTGTGAATCATCTGAAAGTGAACTGATGGAAATGAGGTTGAGAATTTGAGAAGAGAGGAAAGAGAATATGGAAGAATCTCTGTAAGCAAGAGGGAGGAGTTAATTATCAATTCACTTGAGAGCCCAACTGAGGTAAAGGTGAGAGTAAATTTGAAGAGAATAGTCATGGTTAAGTGACAATGTTGAGCAGCTTAATAGGAAGCATAGAGAAAATGGATTGTCAGTGTAACTGCGTGTTGGAGGCTAAAAAGAATGTTAGAGGAGTAATATAAATAGGTGAATGACTCTAGAGTGTCTGGAAGGGCATATTTTAAATGGTTGACTATGTAGTCTAATTATGTGAAGAGGTAAATAAAGAAATGTAGGGCCAGATAGAAAGAATTAGAAGAGAAATACTATGTTAGTAAAAGTAATGGAGCAGGAGAGGATGATGAGGGTAAGAGAATACCAAATACTCTGCCTAAATTTTCAGAGGAGAGCAGAGCTATGGAAATAAACCCAACAGTCATTTCCTATAGAGTTGTGCACAGAACAGGCCAGATAATTATTGGAGCTATGATATATTTTTCATTACACCATTTGGCCTGGGATTTTGTGGCTTGGTAGAGATAGTTATAACAATAGATAAAAGTAAGATCCTCTTCCTCTTTTCCTTGCTAAAGATATGTTAACATCTTTGTCTAGCTGTTGTTTCTTGGAAAATTAAAGTCAATTTAAATGACGGCAAGGTTTTACTCAGTGATGATGAAGTAAGATGGAGAGAGAAAATGGAAACTTTAACCTCCTGGTTAAATTCTATTTAACCAGGACGCCGATTCGGGCTACAATGCGTGGCTTTCGTATGAATTGCAGCCGGCGGCGGTAAGTTAAATTCTATTAAATCAATAGGATATTAGTTCCAGGCATATTTTATAAAAACAGAATCCAAAACCTTAGAGCATTGTTGTGGCTAAATTATTGTGTTTATGCACATACACACACTCACATACAAAATCCCACACATATTGACTGAACACTTTCTTTTGAATATAAATATCTTATCTACATCTCAAGTCACATTGAGGGAAATTTATTAATATGATGTGCTTATTCAAAATCTGATATATCAGTTACCAATATTTTTCACCTTCACCGATTTTATTCTTATGTGATTGTTATGTTTCCTTTTGGAGTCAATGGCTGTTGTGTGAGGAGGTCTTGAAAAATATTACAGGAAGAGGACAGTACCACAAAAACCTACATGACTATGCAGAACTACCGATCAATTGTCCCAAAACGAGTGTCGAATATTCTTTGTCTTAAAGTTCTGCATGGAATTCTTACACATGGAAAAATAAATTTGTGGCAAAATGAAACTCATCAACCAATTGTCAGCTAATATAAAATGTTGAGCAGAATGCAGTGATTTGCTGTTTCTGGGAAGGTAAACATTTAATCTTCAATTACATATTTGCAGTGAAAATGTCAGGAAATGCAAGGGGCAAAAAAATACTACATCAATGGAAAATATGAAGACTGAGTCATACTTACACTTACACGTTCATGCGCATGGTGTCGCTCTTCACTGAGAACGTTTCCGCGAAGAAAGCCGCCGTTTCTTTCTTCCTGCAGAAAATATAGCAGAAAGCGGAATACCTCTTGCGAATCCTTCCGCACTAGGAAGCCATAAAAATTGGGCCTTGAGAGACAGTTTGAGGTAAGGCGTTGTATATATTGCAGATAGCTCTGAGGTTTTTGGAGTGTACCATGCTGTCTTCCTGGCAAGGAGGCCCAAGACCGCGGCAACTACTGCTCTGGCTTCTGATCCTCGCAGCCTGGGAGACGGGTAGTGGCCAGCTCCACTACTCCGTCCCCGAGGAAGCAAAACACGGCACCTTCGTGGGCCGCATCGCTCAGGACCTGGGGCTGGAGCTGGCGGAGCTGGTGCCGCGCCTGTTCCGGGTGGCGTCCAAAAGACACGGGGACCTTCTGGAGGTAAATCTGCAGAATGGCATTTTGTTTGTGAATTCTCGGATCGACCGCGAGGAGCTGTGTGGGCGGAGCGCGGAGTGCAGCATCCACCTGGAGGTGATCGTGGACAGGCCTCTGCAGGTTTTCCATGTGGAGGTGAAGGTGAGGGACATTAACGACAACCCGCCCATATTCCCTGAAAGCAAGAAACGAATAATCATTGCAGAATCTAGACCTCCGGAAACTCGATTTCCACTAGATGGCGCATCCGATGCAGATATTGGAGTAAACTCGGCATTGACCTACCGACTGGATCCCAACGATTATTTCACTTTGGACGCACAAAACAGTCTTGAGCAAATGTCTTCATTATCACTTGTACTGAGGAAAACACTGGACAGAGAGGAAATTCAGGAACATAGTTTATTACTGACAGCCAGTGATGGAGGTAAACCCGAGCTGACTGGCACAGTTCAGCTGCTCATCACGATTCTGGACGTGAATGACAACGCCCCGGAATTTTACCAATCCGTTTATAAAGTGACGGTGTTAGAGAACGCCTTCAATGGAACATTAGTGATCAAGCTAAATGCCACAGATCCTGATGATGGTACAAATGGAGATATAGTTTACTCATTTAGAAGGCCTGTATGGCCTGCAGTGGTATATGCATTTACCATAAATCCGAACAATGGAGAAATTAGGACAAAAGGCAAACTAGATTTCGAAGAAAAGAAATTATATGAAATATCCGTGGAGGCAGTTGACAAAGGAAATATTCCAATGGCGGGTCATTGTACCCTTTTGGTGGAAGTACTAGATGTAAATGATAACGCCCCAGAGGTTACCATCACTTCTTTGTCACTCCCCATCAGAGAAGACACTCAGCCTAGCGCCATTATTGCCCTAATCAGTGTGTCCGATCGTGACTCTGGCTCAAATGGACAGGTCACCTGCACCTTGACGCCGCATGTCCCCTTCAAGCTGGTGTCCACCTACAAGAACTACTACTCATTAGTGCTGGACAGCGCCCTGGACCGCGAGAGCGTATCAGCCTATGAACTGGTGGTGACCGCGCGGGACGGGGGCTCGCCTTCGCTGTGGGCCACGGCCAGCGTGTCGGTGGGGGTGGCCGACGTGAACGACAACGCGCCGGCGTTCGCGCAGCCCGAGTACACGGTGTTCGTGAAGGAAAACAATCCGCCGGGCTGCCACATCTTCACGGTGTCTGCTCAGGACGCGGACGCACAGGAGAACGCGCTGGTCTCCTACTCGCTGGTGGAGCGGCGGGTGGGCGAGCGTGCGCTGTCGAGCTACGTGTCGGTGCACGCGGAGAGCGGCAAGGTGTACGCGCTGCAGCCGTTGGACCACGAGGAGCTGGAGCTGTTGCAGTTCCAGGTGAGCGCGCGCGACTCTGGCGTGCCGCCTCTGGGCAGCAACGTGACGCTGCAGGTGTTCGTGCTGGACGAGAACGACAACGCTCCGGCGCTGCTGACGCCCGGGGCTGGCAGCGCGGGAGGCACAGTGAGCGAGCTGATGCCGCGGTCGGTGGGTGCAGGCCACGTGGTGGCGAAGGTGCGCGCGGTGGACGCCGATTCGGGCTACAATGCGTGGCTTTCGTATGAATTGCAGCTGGCGGCGGTCGGCGCGCGCATCCCGTTCCGCGTGGGGCTGTACACTGGCGAGATCAGCACGACGCGCCCTCTGGACGAGGTGGACGCGCCGCACCACCGCCTTCTGGTGCTGGTGAAGGACCACGGTGAGCCCGCGCTGACGGCCACGGCAACGGTGCTGTTGTCGCTGGTGGAGAGCGGCCAAGCGCCACAGGCTTCGTCGAGGGCGTCGGCAGGCGCTGTGGGTCCAGAAGCGGCGCTGGTGGATGTCAATGTTTACTTGATCATTGCCATCTGCGCGGTGTCCAGCCTGTTGGTGCTCACGTTGCTGCTGTATACTGCGCTGCGGTGCTCGGCACCGCCCACCGAGGGCGCGTGCGCGCCGGGCAAGCCCACTCTAGTGTGCTCCAGCGCGGCAGGGAGTTGGTCGTACTCGCAGCAGAGGCGGCCGAGGGTGTGCTCTGGGGAGGGCCCGCATAAGACGGACCTCATGGCCTTCAGTCCCAGCCTTCCTCCTTGTCTGGGTTCTGCAGAGGGAACAGGCCAGAGGGAGGAGGACTCAGAATGCTTGAAAGAGGTAAGCTTATATTTTAAAAAATTGTCTTAGTAAACACTTTAGCCTTCCTTGCAGTTGTTTGTTTAAGACATCTTTCCTGCCAATTTCAAATTATTCTTTACTTTAATTTTAATTTTGCTAGTTGTTATCGAATTTAACAACTCTGCTGTGGACATTATGTGTTGGATTATCCTTCAGAGTGAAATCTTAACTCACAAACCATAATGAAATGTGCAAAACAAGAATATTTTGTTTCTGTTGTATTCTTAATAGTTCTAAGTATTTATCTTGCAATTGAGCATTTACAAAAAATTCCTCACGTTGTGAGAACTTAAACATTTAGAAAATGTTTGTTTTAATGAGGCTAATCGTAATCTTAAATTTAAAAAATTTTTAGTTTAATGTATACATATACCCACAAGATATTATTTTAAAGAGCCCCATAACTTTTCACATAAATGCTTTTTTTAAGTGCACTTTTCTTTCTTTCTTTTTTTAAACTGTTTTGATTGTCTCTACTTTTTTGTCCTCTAGGCACATCAGTGTTCCCCTCTCATATATCCCATGAAAAATATCTTGTGATTCTGCTTTCAATTTTTTATTTGCATTCAGATAATTACTCATACATATATATATACATATATAGAGAGAGACCTGGTAGGCTTTTTGTTATTATTTCTTTTCCAAAGTTTGAAGGGATTTCCAAAAGGTACTGGTGACTGAAAGTACCTTTTGGCAGTCCCTGCAAATCTAATGGTTTTAATAGCTGTGTAGTATTCCACAGTGTAAGTGTGCAATTATATATTATTTACCTAATGATGGGCAATCACTTTGTGTCAAGTGTTCTGTTATCTTCATGAACCATGCTGTGCTATCATTTCATATATTTCCCAAAATATTGGTGTTATTTCTACGAAATTGATTGTCAGATGTGGAATTGATGCATCAAAGATATTAATAATTTTAATTATAAAATATGTCACTGGATTGCCTTCCAAGTATTTTGGAACCAACCAGTTATGAGCACTCTTTCTATCTCAAGAAGCAATAGTGGTTTTACTTTCTGCTAATGTGATCTCTGTGAAATGATATTTCACTGTTACTTTAATTTTAAATTCCTGTATAGTATTAGTGAATTTGAGCATATTGTCATATGTATTTTGTTGATTTGTATTTGATCTTCTTTGATTTATCCATTAAGTTATTTGCCTACTTTTCTATTGAAAAAAAATTTTTAGTTTCAGTTTGGAAAAGTTCTCTGTACCTTATAGATATTAACTGTTTATCTATTTTTTGACATTTTTAATTAAAATTTTTATTTTGAGATAATTATAGATTCGCATGTGGTTGAAAGAAATAGTAAAGGGAGATGCTATGTATTCTTCACTAAGTTTTCCCCAATAGTAACATCTTACAAAAGCGTAGGGCCATACCACAACCTGGATATTGACATTGATACAGTAAAGAAGTAACATAGTTCCGTAACAACCAGATTCTTGATATCACCTTTTTATAGCCACATCTGCTTCCCTGCCTAATGCTGGCAAGCAGTAATCTGTTCTCCATTTCTCTAATTTTGTTACTTTTACTTCAGAAATAAATAAAAGTATCTCTATTTATAGATAAAATTTTTTAAAATTATTTTTATATTTATTTATTTTTTATTACACTTTAAGTTCTGGGATACATGTGCAGAACGTGCAGGTTTGTTACATAGGTGTACATGCCATGGTGTGCTTATCTATTATCTGCATCACAAATATGTTTTCCTCCTATATTATTTCTATTCATTTGTTTGTACTAATTTTGTCATATATAAATGTTTTTAAAATGTATGAATTAAAATATATCTTTTTCCTTTTATGGATTTTAAGGTCTGCATATTCAGTTAGAAAGGTCTTCCCAGCTGGGCACGGTGGCTCACGCCTGTAATCCCAGCACTTTGGGAGGCCAAGGTGGGCGGATCAGGAGATCAGGAGTCCGAGACCAGCCTGGCCAACATGGTGAAACCCTGTCTCTACTAAAAATACAAAAATTAGCGAGGCATGGTGGCACGCGCCTGTAATCCCAGCTACTTGGGAGGCTGAAGCAAGAGAATTGCTTGAACCCGGGAGGTGGAGGTTGCAGTGAGATGAGATCATGCTACTGTACTCCAGCTCTGGGTGACAGAGCAAGACTTCGTCTTGAAAAAAAAAAAAAAAAAAAAGAAAGGTCTTCCCAACTCCTATATTGAACATTCATTAATTAAATGCATTTAATAAATACTTATTGAGTGTTCTCTATGTGCCAGGCATGTTCTACACATTAGACATTTAGCAACGAAATTTATTATTTTGTAAATCCAAATTTCCAGTTGGTATCACTTTCCTACTGCCTGAAAAATTTCTTTAATATTTTTTATAGTGCATATGTTCTGGCAACAAATTCACTCAGCTTTTGTCTGAGAAATATCTTTATCTCTTTTTTTTTTTTTGAGACGGAGTCTCACTCTGTCGCCCAGGCTGGAGTACAGTGGCGTGATCTCGGCTCACTGCAAGCTCCACCTCCCGGGTTCACGCCATTCTCCTGCCTCAGCCTCCCGAGTAGCTGAGACTACCGGCGCCCGCCACCACGCCCTGCTAATTTTTTGTATTTTTAGTAGAGATGGGGTTTCATCTTGTTAGCCAGGATAGTCTCGAACTCCTGACCTCGTGATCCACCTGGCTCGGCCTCCCAAAGTGCTGGGATTACAGGTGTGAGCCACCGCGCCCGGCTCTTTATCTCATTTTTATTTTTGAAAAAGTATTTTCACTGGGCATAGTTGACAGTTTTTTAAAAGATATAATTCAGTTGTCTTCTGGCTTGCATAGTTTCTAATAAGATGTTTGCTTTTTTATATATGAGTCTTCCTCTCCCCACCCCTCATGGTTACTGTTAAAACTTTTCTTTTTATCCTGACTTTTGCAGATTGATTGTGATGTGCTTTAGTATGGTTTTCTTTATGTTAGTCTGTTGGGGTTTGTTGATATTCTTGGATCTGTGGATTTATCATTTTCATCAAATTCAGGAAAAAATCAACCATACTTCTTCTAATAGTTTTTTCTTTCCTTCCATCCTTTCTGAGACTCCAGTAACACATATGTTACAATGACACAGGTCATTGAAGCGTTCTTTATTTTTGTCCATTTCTTTCTCTGTGCCTCATTTTGAATATCTTTTATTGACATATTTTCCAAGTTCACTAATTTTTCCTTTTGTAGTATCATATCTGTTAATCCTAAACAGTGTATTCTTCATTTCAGAGACCATATTTATTTCTTATCTGTATAAGATTCTTTTTGTCTCTTTTAAAATTTATTTTACATGTCTCCACCGAATAGTCATCTTTTTATCTATATGTTTGAGCATATTAGTACATGTATAATAGATGTTTTAACTTTCTTGTCTGCTAATTTCAACATTTTTGTCCTTAGTTTGCTTCTTTTAATCTATCTTCTTCTATGGATATATTTTCTTGCTGTTTTGCATGACTGGTAATCTCTAATAAGATGCTAGACATTGTGAATTTTACATTGTCGGATGCTGGATTTTGTGTGTGTGTGCATGTGTGTGCGTGTTCCTTTAAAGCAGTAGTTCTTGATAAGAAACAGTTTTGTCCCCTCTACCCCCTACCCAGGAGATAATTTGGCAATGCCTGGATACATTTTTGGTTATTACAACTAGGGAATTGCTACTGGCATCTAATAATGGAGCTCTGAGATGCTGCTAAACACCATCCAATTGCTGCCAAACATCCTACCGTGCACAGGACAGCCGCCCAACAATAAAGAATTAGCTCAAAATGTCAGTAGTTCCACTGTTGAGAAACTCTGCTTTAAAGAGTCTTGGACTTAGTTCTGACGTGAAGTTAAGTTGCTCAGTACCAATTTATTCCTTTCAAGGCTTCATTTTAAGATTTGTTAGTACACATTCAGAGCAGCTTTTAGTGTAGCACTAATTCGGCCTTCTATTACAGCAATACTTTCCTGAGGACACCACCTAATGCCCTGTGCATTAAGAGGTCTCTCTTCTCTGATTGGTAGGAATGTGAAATATTTCCAGCCCTTTGTGAGCTCTAGGAATTATTCTACCCACTTTTTTTTTTAATTTTGAAGGGATAGCCTGATCTGGGGAGGTTGATCAGTGATCTGTGATCTGTGATCACATCACTCCACTGCAGCCTGGTGACAGAGTGAGACCATGTCTCAACATAAAAATTAAAACATTAGAATTGAGGTTTAATGTTATCAAATATTTTATCTGCATCTTTTGAGGGAGGTATAAATTTTTTCTTTGGCAATGTTAATGTGTTGAATTTATGATTTATGATTTTCTTATGGCAAACCAACCTCTACTTCCTTGGATAACCGTAATTTGATTATAATTTATAATCCTTTTAATATACTACTTATTTTGTTAAATTTTCAAAACAATTTTTTCATCTTTATTCCAGGTGATACTGATATGTCCTAGTTTTTCTTCCTAATTTCTTCTTTGTTAAGTATTCAAGTTATAAATAAGAATCTAGCATAACTTGAATACTTAACAAAGAAGAATAGTCTTTGAAAACTTCCAGAAAATTTTCTGTTTCCTGTAAAAGTTTGTATAATCTTTGAATTACTTCTTATTTGATTGGAGAACTCACTGTTGAAGTTATCTGTATCAGGATTTTGATTGGTGGGAATATTTCTGATTACTGACTCAATTTTAATAGTATAAGGACCATTCAGAGTTTAATTTACTCGAGTCAGTTACGTAGATAATATTTTTTCAGGTATTTTCCTGTTTAATCTAAATTTTCAGTTATATGCTCATACTTTCTACAGAATCTATAGTGATATTTCCCTTTCCATTCTTGATATTATTTTTGCTTCCTGTCTAATTTACTTTTCTTCAGAATTCTGCTTTCTGATTTTTGTTTTTGCTTTGAAATATTTTTATATTAATTATACTGATTCATTTCTCTTCTTTTCATTTGTGTTTGCAGGAGATGTCCTCTTCCCAGCCTTTTATTTTAAACCTTTTAGTATTATGGGCATATTCCACAAGTTCTTTGCTACTGTCTCACTGAGTAGCAGAGTCTAATTTTTCTTTCCTTGAACTTTGACTGGTCTTAATATTGGAAGTAACATTCTGGGATTTATGAAGTCAGGTCATAAGAAGTCTTACAGTATGCTTTGGTCTCTGAGAATATTTGTTTTGGGGGAAGCCTGCCACCATGTAAGAATTCTGACTACCTTGAGATTGTCATACTGTAAAGAAGCTCAAGCTGGACTTGTGAGAAGCCAAATGGATAGAAAAATTACTATCCAGTCTCCAGTTGTCTTAGCTTTCCAAGCTTAGGTGCCAGAAAAATGTAGAAGGCTTCAGGTGACTGTAGTGTGTTGGAGCTGGCTCTTTTACTGGCTTATGAGAACTGATAATGCAAATTTATTCCCAACTCTGGATTCAATGATGTCACTTTGGTAGCTTGAAATTGGCCATGGTAGGAGTATTTCTGCCACAGAAATAGGCAAATGCTACAAAACAGAGTTTTTTGTTTTTCTTTTTTCCCAGAGACCTAGTTGTTAAGCATTTACCAGTACACTACTGCACCTGATTGCAAGCAAGAACCACTCAGTTGAGTCAGAACCAGGAGAGGTAATATTAAGTTGTTTTAAGATATTAGGTAGTTGGGATGGTTTACTATATAGCAATGGATAACCTGAACAAGTACTCTTTCTTAGATAATCTATAAATTTTAACTTGAATATTTATTTAGTTTATATTTACAATACCTAGTGATATCTTTAGGCACAAATATTTCAATTTTTTGTGCGTTATTTTTGTCTCACCATTTTTATGTCTCTATTTCCTTCCTTTGTTGATCTTCTTTTGAAATGACTGAGTACTTTTTATTGTTCCATTTCCTTCTGTATTATTTGGAAGCCCTTTTCCGAATAGCTAGTGCTTACCCTAGAAAATTAAGCATGTATCCTTGATATATCAAAATCAAAAGTTAACTGAAACCCTTCCTCCTTCTGGGAAATGCAGGGACCTTACATTTTTAAAATCTTTTTAATCCCTTTTGACTTATATACTATTTCTGTCATGCTTTAAAAATATTTTAAAACCCCATAAGATATTAGTATTATTTTATACAATCAACATTGTTTTAAATGTACTTACATATTTACCAGTTTTGTTTCTCTTCCTTACTTCTTGCCCCTCTGACCTTTCATCAGGGATTATTGTCTTTCCATGTTAGAATAATTTGAGAGTTTCCTTTAGTCCAAAGATGCTGGTGAGGAATGATTTCAGGTTTTGTTTTTCTGAAAATGTCTTTATTTCATCATAATTATTGAAAAGCATTTTTTCTGAGGGTATAATCTTAGGTGTGACCCCCACAGCACATAGTAAATATTATTCCAGTGTCTACTGGTTTCCATTGTTGCTGTCAAGAATTTAGCTGTCAATCTAAATGTCATTCCTTTAAAGGTATTCTGTTTATTTTCCTTTGGCTGCTTTTCAGATTTTCTGTGTGTCTGATATTTTGCAGTTTTACCATGCTGTGTCTTTATAATCATCCTGTTCTGGATTCAGTAGGATTTTTTTTAATTTTTAATTTTTCCGTAAGTTATTGGGGGTACAGGTGGTATTTGATTACATGAGTAAGTTCTTTGGTGGTGATTTGTGAGATTTTGGTGCATCCATCACCTGAGCAGTATACATTGCACCATATTTGCAATCTTTTATCCCTCGCCACCCCCCACTCTTGCCCCCAAGTCCCCAACGTCCATTGTATAGGATTTTTGAATTTGTGAATTAATGCCTTTACATCACTTTGAGCATATCCTCAGCTATAATGTTCTCCAATGTTGCTTCTGTTCCATTGTATTTCTATAGTATTATTTTAGTACTCTAATTAAACATATTTTAATCTTATTACTCTATCCCATCTATTTCTACCTTTTATTTTAACACCTTTTGCTCTTTGGGCTTTATTGTGGATAGTTCACCCACCTTAAAGTTTAATAATTCTCTCTTCTTGCTGTTGTCTGAATTTGTACCCCCAAATTCATGTGTTGAAAATTCAATCCCTTATACAACAGTGTTGGGAGGTGGGGAATTTCAGGAAATGTTTAGATTATGAGGGATCTGCCCTCATGAATAAATTAACGGCACTGTAAAAGGACTTGATGGAAGGAGCCTGTCCCTCTCTTATGCTTTTGGCTCTGTCATGTGACGATGCAGCAAGAAGATCTTCACCAGATGCTGGTGCCTTGATCTTGGACTTCCCCTAGGCTCCAGAATTGTGAGAAGTAAATTTCCGTTCTCATAAATTACTCAGTCTGTGGCATTCTGTTATAGCAGCACAAATGGTCTAAGATACTTTTATTTATTCTTTTTCAAATTTATTGTTACTTTGTATAATTTCTAGTTTCCTCTCGAAACTTTCAAGCTTGGCATTTATATCTGGAACACAATAAGCTCATGGTTTTAGCGTCTATTTCTGATATGTCCAGTAACTGGGATCCTCATGGGTCTATTCCTGTGGTGTGTTTTAAAATTGTATCTTTATGGTGTTTTGTCTCCACATAAACCTGGTTATCTTTGATTTTGTGCTGAAAGTTGTATTAAACACTTCTTCCTGGAAATAATTTGGGGCTTATAACATTTTCTTTCTCCAGAATGGATTTTAATTGACTTTTGCCAGGCATCTTGGGGCACTAGCAATCATGGGTAATCTTAATCTATTTCAAGCTTCAGGTATTCTAGATAAAACCTCATTATCTAAAATTTACATGTATTCTTTAAGTACGGTTATTCAGTTTCCTAGCCAAACATGAGAGATTGTTTAAGAAGTTCCACCATGACTGGTAGACTCAGGATTCTGACTTTTGTTTCTCTAGTCCTTGGAGACTGTCAAAAGTATATCTCAGTATTCATTCACCTATTTTTTTCCTTTTATTTCCAGTTGGTACATAATAATTGTACATATTTATAGGATACAGAGTGACATTTTGATACATATATACAATGTATAATAATAAAATCAGGGTAATTAGCATATTCATAATCTCAAACATTTACCATTTTTGCATGGTGAACATTTAAAATCCACTCTTCTAGCTTCTTGAAAATATGTAAGAAATTATAGTTAACCATATTTATCCTACAGTGCTACAGTGCTGCAAAACACCACAACCCATTCCTCCTGTGTAGCTATAATTTCGTATCCATTAACCAACCTTTCCCCATCCTCCTTTTCCTTCACCCTTCCCAGCCTCTGATAAGCACAATACTACTTCCATGAGCTCAATAAAATTTTGTAGCTGCCGTATAAGTGAGAACATGTATTTATTTTTCTGTGCCTGACTTATTTCACTTAACATATGCCCTCCAGGCTCAGCCATACTGCCATGAATAACAGGATTTCATTCTTTTTTATGGCTGGATAATATTCCGTTGTGCATATACACCACATTTTCTTTATCCACTCATCTGTTGATGGATATTGAGGTTGATTCCACATAGTAGCTATTGTGAATAGTGCTGCAGTAAGTATGGGAGGTGCAGGTATCACTTTGACATACTGGTTTCCTTTTCTTTGGATAAATGCCCAATAGTGGAATTGCTGGATGATATGGTAGTTCTATTTGTAGTTTTTTGAGGGACTCCCATACTGTTTTCCTTAGTGGCAGTGCTAATTTACATGCCCACCAACAGCATTTATGGGACAGTGGCTCATGCCTGTAATCCCAGCACTTAGGGAGGCAGAGGCAGGAAGATCGCTTGAAGCCAGGAGTTCAAGACCAGCCTGGGCAACATAGCAAGACCCTGTTCTTCACAAAAAAGAAAAAAAAAGCAGTTGTAGAACTCCTTTAAGTATTTCTTGTAGGACTTATCTAGTTGTAGTGTACTTCCTCAGTTTTTGCTTGTTTGGGAAATACTTTATTTCTCCTTCATTTCTGAAGTATAGCTCTGCTTGGTATAGTATTTTTGGCTGATAGTTTTAAAAAATTTCAGCACTTTGGATATATCATCTCATTCTATCCTAGCCTGTAAAGCTTCTGCTGAGAAATCTGCTGTTAGTCTGATGGGAATTTTCTTATAGGTGACTTGTCACTTTTCTTTTACCGTTTTTAGAATTCCCTCCTTGTCTTGAGTCTGGTACCGTAGACTACTCAGCCATCCTGATGCCCTACCTCTTGTATAGAAACAACCCAGATCCAAAGTGGCCAGAAAGTTACTTTACCTTCTGAATTTGTGGTCTTTTTCAGAATCTCTACCTGTTAATTCTGCATGACTTTATTAGTCATTAGATACTTTTATAATTTTAAAATATCTCCAATTGTATGGTTGGTTCAAATTACCAGTTCTGCATACTGGTAATGTAAGTCCTCTGTTGAATTGATTTTTAAATACATTTATTTTATTCCAGTATCTTCTAGCTCCTGGTGTTGCAGATGAGAAGTTTCAAATAACTTGAAATAATTCCCTTCTATGTAATTATCCCTGATTTTGACTTTCTTTCCATAGTTATATATTTTTTCTATGCTATTATATTCTCATTTTAAAGATGTTGAATGACAATGTAATTTTCTTTTCTTTACAAGTGGTAGCTTATTTACAAGTATTTTTGAAGTTTATTTTCCTGGAAAGTTTTCTTAAATTATAGATTTTAGTATTTCTTCTGTTTTATTACTTCAGATTTCTTCTTCAATGGCTCCAATTATATTTGTATTAGATATTCTTTGCTTTTCTTTTGTAGCTAACACTCCTAAATCCTACCTAGCTCTTTTTTAAAAAATATTTTACTTTTTATTCTTGTTTTCATCTTATAGTTTTCTTTAGGCATTATCCATAGTGTTTATATGCTGTTATGTGCCTTCTGGTTTAGTGTTTACTTCTGAAAAAATTATTTTCCTTTTTTTTAATATTTTACTGAGTTTTCTCATCTCTCTTTTCAAAGCTTTTCTTCTCCAATCATATCATTACTGAGTCTCTCTAATTCTGATTTGTGTATTCTTGCATAGCTTTTCATTATTTTCTAAAAATGTTTAAGTTGTTTTCAAATATTACGTAGCAATTTGTGGAATTTTTTTTCTTGTGTGTATTTATTTCCTTTAGTGTAATTATTTGTCCTCTCCTTTAAAAATAATTTTATATCAGATTTGCCCATAATCCTTTTCTTATGCTCATTTTTATATGAAAAGTGCTCCCCCATAATTTTAGAAGAAACAGACCAGGATAATTTTCCTATCTTTGTTGCTCTATAGATTTCTATTCAGCTATTGTCATGAAATGATAAAAATATAATTTTTTAATGTCTTACTTTGTGACATCCTTTACCCTTTTTACTTGGACCTTTTTCCTTTGTTTAATTGTCCCCCACCCACACCATTCTGCTTCATATGGACTCAATTCCTATCAGTTCCTCCTCAGTATAGGGGTTTTTGCTACAAGAAGACATTTGTTAGTTGACAAGTTCATAGGGCTAAGACAGGTTTAGCACAATCCAATCTATTTGTAGTCCCTTCTGCTAAGTTTTGAATTTGCTTTTATTTCTAATATTTTACTGAGTTTTCTCATCTCTCTTTTCAAAGCTTTCTTTTTTTTCTTACTCAGGGATAATTGAATTAGGACCTTCGATTTCCCCCCTTCCACCCATGACTATTGTTCTCAAATTGTTTTACTATGCTTTCCAGTGAGTACTTATTGGCACTTTTTGGAGTTCTTCAATTCTCAACACCATCAAAAGCCCCATAACCTTCTTTTGCTTCCTCCTGAGACTCTTTTCATGTGCTTATTGGTCATTTCTTTATCCTCTTCGGAGAAATACCTATTCAGAACTTTTGCCCAATTTTTAATTGGTTTATTCGTTTTTCAATTGTTGAGTTGTAAGAGTTCTTTATATATTCTAGATGCAATTACTTTATTAGATATATAATTTGCAAAGATTTTCTCATTGAGGGTGTTGTCTTTTCACATTCTTTTTTAGCTCCCACTTATAAGTGAGAACATGTAGTATTTGGTTTTCTGTTTCTATATTAATTCACTTGGGATAATGGCCTGCACCTCCATTCAATGGGCTGCAAAGGGCATGATCTTTTTCTTTCTTTATGGCTGCATAGTATTCAATGACGTATATGTACAATACTGTATTGTATTGTATTGTATTTTTTTCAGACAAAGTCTCACTCTTGTACCCCAGGCTGGAGTGCAATGGCGCGATCTCGGCTCACTGCAACCTCCGCGTCCCGGGCTCAACAATTATCCTGCCTCAGCCTCCCGAGTAGCTGGGATTACAGGTGCCTGTCACCAGGCCTAGCTAATTTTTGTATTTTAAGTAGAGACAGGGTTTCTCCATGTTGGCCAGGCTGGTCTCGAACTCCTGACCTCAGGTGATCCGCCTGCCTCGGCCTCCCAACATGCTGGGATTACAGGCGTGAGCCACTGTGCCTGGCCAATGTACTGCATTTTATTTATCCAGTGCACCATTGATGGGCATTTAGGATTATTCTCTGTCTTTGCTATTGTGAATAGTGCCATGATGAACATACACATACATGTGTCTTTATAGTAGAATGACTTATATTCCTTTGGTTATGTACACAGTTATGGGATTTGCTGGCTTGAATGGTAAGTTCTTTGAGAAATCTTCAAACTGCTTTCCACAGTGGCTAAACTAATTTATATTCCCGCCAGCAGTGTATAAGCATTCCCTTTTCTCTGCAACCTCACCAGCATCTGTTATTTTTGACTTTTTAGTAATAGCCATTCTGACTGGTGTGACTGCAACCTCCACCTCCTGGGTTCAAGCGGTTCTCCTGCCTCAGCCTCCTGAGTAGCTGGGACTGTGCAGGCACACACCACAAAGCCCAGCTATTTTTCTTTTTTTTTTTTGTATTTTAAGTAGAGATGGGGTTTTGACGTGTTGGCCAGGCTGGTCTCGAACTCCTGGTCTTAAGTGATCCACCTGCCTTGGCCTCCCAAAGTGCTAGTATTACAGGCATGAGTCACTGTGCCCGGCCCTTTGCCCATTTTTTGATGAGGTTGTTTGTTTTTTGCTTGTTAATTTGTTTAAGTTCCTTATAGATTCTGGATATTAGACCTTTGTTGGATGCATAGTTTGCTGATATTTTCTCCCATCCTGTAGGTTGTCTGTTTACTCTGTTCATAGTTGTTTTTATTTTTTAATTTTATGGGTACATAATAAGTGTACATATTTATGGGGTATATGAGACATTTTGATACAAGCATGCAATGCACAATAATCACATCATGGAAAATGGAATGGCCATTCCCTTAAACATTTATTCTTTGCACAAACAAACCAGTTATGCTCTTTTAGTTATTTTTAAATATACAACTAAATTATTTAGACCATAGTCACCCTATTCTGCTGTCAAATACTATGTCTTATTCATTTTTTCTATTTTTTATCCTCATTAAAAATCTCCACTTTCTGTCCACACCCCACTAAACTTTCTAGCCTTTGTTAACCATTCTTCTACTGTCTATCTCCATGGGTTCAAAAAATATATTTTTTTATTATACTTTAAGTTTTAGGGTACATGTGCACAATGTGCAGGTTAGTTACATATGTATACATGTGCCATGCTGGTGTGCTGCACCCATTAACTCGTCATTTAGCATTAGGTATATCTCCTAAAGCTATCCCTCCCCCCTCCCCCCACCCCACAACTGTCCCCAGAGTGTGATGTTCCCTTCCCCTTCCTGTGTCCATGTGTTCTCATTGTTCAATTCCCATCTATGAGTGAGAACATGCAGTGTTTGGTTTTTTGTCCTTGCGATAGTTTACTGAGAATGATGATTTCCAATTTCAACCATGTCCCTACAAAGGACATGAACTCATCATTTTTTATGGCTGCATAGTCTTCCATGGTGTATATGTGCCACATTTTCTTAATCCAGTCTGTCATTGTTGGACATTTGGGTTGGTTCCAAGTCTTTACTATTGTGTATAGTGCCACAATAAACATACGTGTGCATGTGTCTTTATAGCAGCATGATTTATAGTCCTTTGGGCATATACCCAGTAATGGGATGGCTGGGTCAAATAGTATTTCTAGTTCTAGATCCCTGAGGAATCGCCACACTGACTTCCACAATGGTTGAACTAGTTTAGAGTCCCACCAACAGTGTAAAAGTGTTCCTATTTCTCCACATCCTCTCCAGCACCTGTTGTTTCCTGACTTTTTAATGATTGCCATTCTAACTGGTGTGAGATGGTATCTCATTGTGGTTTTGATTTGCGTTTCTCTGATGGCCAGTGATGATTAGCATTTTTTCATGTGTCTTTTGGCTGCATAAATGTCTTCTTTTGAGAAGTGTCTGTTCATATCCTTTGCCCACTTTTTGATGGGGTTGTTTGTTTTTTTCTTGTAAATTTGTTTGAGTTCATTGTAGATTCTGGATATTAGCCCTTTGTCAGATGAGTAGGTTGCGAAAATTTTCTCCCATTTTGTAGGTTGCCTGTTCACGCTGATGGTGGTTTCTTTTGCTGTGCAGAAGCTCTTTAGTTTAATTAGATCCCATTTGTCAATTTTGGCTTTTGTTGCCATTGCTTTTGGTGTTTTAGACATGAAGTCCTTGCCCATGCCTAAGTTCTGAATGGTAATGCCTAGGTTTTCTTCTAGGGTTTTTATGGTTTTGGGTCTAACGTTTAAGTCTTTAATCCATCTTGAATTAATTTTTGTATAAGGTGTAAGGAAGGGATCCAGTTTCAGCTTTCTACATACGGCTAGCCAGTTTTCCCAGCACCATTTATTAAATAGGGAATCCTTTCCCCATTGCTTGTTTTTCTCAGGTTTGTCAAAGATCAGATAGTTGTAGATATGCGGCGTTATTTCTGAGGGCTCTGTTCTGTTCCATTTATCTATGTCTCTGTTTTGGTACCAGTGCCATGCTGTTTTGGTTACTGTAGCCTTGTAGTATAGTTTGAAGTCAGGTAGCATAATGCCTCCAGCTTTGTTCTTTTGGCTTAGGATTGACTTGGTGTTGCGGGCTGTTTTTTGGTTCCATATGAACTTTAAAGTAGTTTTTTCCAATTCTGTGAAGAAAGTCATTGGTAGCTTGATGGGGATGGCATTGAATCTGTAAATTACCTTGGGCAGTATGGCCATTTTCACGATACTGATTCTTCCTACCCATGAGCATGGAATGTTCTTCCATTTCTTTGTATCCTCTTTTATTTCATTGAGCAGTGGTTTGTAGTTCTCCTTGAAGAGGTCCTTCACGTCCCTTGTAAGTTGGATTCCTAAGTATTTTATTCTCTTTGAAGCAGTTGTGAATGGGAGTTCACTCATGATTTGGCTCTCTGTTTGTCTGTTATTGGTGTATAAGAATGCTTGTGATTTTTGTACATTGATTTTGTATCCTGAGACTTTGCTGAAGTTGCTTATCAGCTTAAGGAGATTTTGGGCTGAGATAATGGGGTTTTCTAGATATACAATCATGTCTTCTGCAAACAGGGACAATTTGACTTCCTCTTTTCCTAATTGAATACCCTTTATTTCCTTCTCCTGCCTAATTGCCCTGGCCAGAACTTCCAACACTATGTTGAATAGGAGTGGTGAGAGAGGGCATCCCTGTCTTGTGGCAGTTTTCAAAGGGAATACTTCCAGTTTTTGCCCATTCAGTATGATATTGGCTGTGGGTTTGTCATAGATAGCTCTTATTATTTTGAGATATGTCCCATCAATACCTAATTTATTGAGAGTTTTTAGCATGAAGGGTTGTTGAATTTTGTCAAAGGTCTTTTCTGCATCTATTGAGATAATCATGTGGTTTTTGTCTTTGGTTCTGTTTATATGCTGGATTACATTTATTGATTTGCATATATTGCATCCCAGGGATGAAGCCCACTTGATCATGGTGGATAAGCTTTTTGATGTGCTGCTGGATTCGGTTTGCCAGTATTTTATTGAGGACTTTTGCATCAATGTTCATCAAGGATATTGGTCTAAAATTCTCTTATTTGGTTGTGTCTCTGCCCGGCTTTGGTATCAGGATGATGCTGGCCTCATAAAATGAGTTAGGGAGGATTCCCTCTTTTTCTATTGATTGGAATAGTTTCAGAAGGAATGGTACCAGTTCCTCCTTTTACCTCTGGTATAATTCGGCTGTGAATCCAATATTTTGTTTTGTTTTTCCTTTTTGAGACAGGTCTTGCTGTGTCACCCAGGCTGGAGTGCAGTGGTATTAACAGAACTCAGTGCAGCCTTGACATCCTGGGCTCAAGCAATCCTCCTGCCTCAGCCTCCTGAATAGCTGGGACCACAGGCATGTGCTGCCATGCCCAGCTACTTTTTTGATTTTTTTTGTAGAGATGAGGTCTCACTTTGTTACCCAGTTTGGCCTTGAATTCCTGGGCTCAAGTGATCCTTTAACCTCAGCCTCCAAAAGTGCTGCAGTTACAAGCATGCGCCACCATACCTGGCCTTGTTTTGATTTTTAGGTACCACAAATAAGTAAGAACATACGATATTTGTCTTTCTGTGCCTGGTTTATGTCACTTATAATGACATCCAGTTTCATCCAGGTTGTTGCAAATGACTGGATCTTGTTTTTTTTATGGCTGAATAGTACTCCATTGTGTATATGTACCACACTTTCTTTTCTGTTTTTTTAGACAGTCTCACTTTTGTCGCCCAGGCTGGAGTACCGTGGCGCAATCTTGGCTCACCGCAACCTCTGCCTCCTGGGTTCAAGCGATTCTCCTGCCTCAGCCTCCCAAGTAGCTGGGATTATAGGCACGTGCCACCACGGCCGGCTAATTTTTTATTTTTAGTAGACACGGAGTTTCTCCATGTTGGTCAGACTGGTCTCAAATTCCCAGCCTCAGGTGATCTGCCCACCTCGGCTTTCCAAAGTGCTGGGATTACAGGCGTGAGCCACGGCACCGGCCCATTTTCTTTACCCGTTCATCTGATGATGGACATGTAGATTGCTTCCAAATCTTGGCTATTGTGAACACTGCTGCAATGAACAATGGGAGTGCAGTTATCTCTTCAATATACTGATTTCCGTTCTTTTGGAAAGAAAGGAAATCCTACCTAGCAGTGGGATTTCTGGATCACTTGGTAGCTCTATTTTTGGCTTTTTGAGGAAACTCCAAACTGTTCTCCATAGTGCTTGTACTAATTTACATTCCCACCAACAATGTACAAAGTTTCCCTTTTTTTCACCTCTCCAGCATTTTTTATTGCCTGTCATTTGGATAAAAGCCATTTTAACTGTGGTAAGATGATATCTCATTGTAGTTTTGATTTGCATTTCTCTGATTATCAGTGATGTTGAGTATCTTTTCCTATACCTGTTTGCTATTAGTATGTCTTCTTTTGAGAAACATCTATTCAACTCTTTTGCCCATTTTAAAATTAGATTATTAGATTTTTTTTTCTATAGAGTTGTTTGAGCTCCTTCTACATTCTGGTTATTCATCACTTGTTAGATGGGTAGATTGTAAATATTTTCTCTCAATCTGTGGGTTGTCTCTTCACTTTGTTGATTGTTTGCTTTTCTGTGCAGAAGGTTTTTAAGTTGATGTGATCCCATATATCCATTTTTTTCCTTTGGTTCCCTGTGATTGTGGGGTATTACTCAAGAAATTTTTGCCCAGACTGATGTTCCGGAGAGTTTCCCCAATGTTTTCTTGTAGTCGTTTTATAGTTTGATGTCTTAGATTTAAGTCTTTAATCCATTTTAATTCAATATTTGTATATGGTGAGAGATAGGGGTCTAGTTTCATTCCTCTGCATATGGATATCTAGTTTCCCAGCACAGACTGTCTTTTCTCGAGTTTATGTTCTTGGCACCTTCATCGAAAATGAGTTCATTATAGATATGTGGATTTGTTTTTTGGTTCTCTATTCTGTTCCATTCATCTATGTGTCTGTTTTTATGCCAGTGCCATGATGTTTTGGTTACTATATCTCTATGGTATAATTTGAAGTCAGGTAATGTGATTCTTCCGGTTTTGTTCTTTTTGCTCAAGATACCTTTAGGTATTATGGGTATTTTGTAGTTCTATATACATTTTCAGATTGTCTTTTCTATTTCTGTGAAGAATGTCCATGGTATTTTGACAGGGATTGCATTGAATTTGTAGATTACTTTGGGTAGTATGAACATTTTTACAATATTGATTCTTCCAGTCCATAAACATGCAATATCTTTCCATTTTTTTGTGTCCTCTTCAATTTCTTTCATCAGCATTTTATATTTTTCATTGTGGAGATCTTTCACTTCTTTGGTTAATTCCTAGGTATATTTAGTTTTATTCGTGGCTATCGTAAATGGGATTACTTTTTAATTTCATTTTCAGATTGTTCACTGTTGGGACATATAGAAATACTACTAATTTTTGTATGTTGATTTTGTATCCTGCAACTTTACTGAATTTATTGTTTTAATAGTTTTTTGGAGTCTTTAGATTTTTTTAAAACTGAGATTATATCATCTGCAAACAAGGATAATTTGATTTCTTCCTTTCTAATTTGGATGTCCTTTATGTCTTCTCTCTCTCTCTCTTTCTTTTTTTTTTTTTTTTTTGAGATGAGGACTTGCTTTGTTGCCCAGGCTGGTCTCGAACTCCTGGGCTCAAGCAATCCTCCTGCCTCAGCCTCCCAAAGTGCTGGGATTACAGGTGTAACTCACTTCGCCTGGCCTAGGAAGCCCTTTATTTCTTTCTCTTGTCTAATTGCTCTAGCTAAGAGTACTATGTTGAATACTATGTTGAATAACAGTGGTGAAAGTGGGCATCCTTGTCATATTCTAGATCCTAGAGAAAAGGCTTTGAGTTTTTGCCTGCTCAGTATGATACTAGCTGTGAGTCTGTCATATATGGTTTTTATTATGTTGAGGTATGTTCCTTCTATACCCAGATTTTTGAGGGTTTTTAAGATTTCAATAGTTTTGGGAAACAGGTCGTTTTCAGTTACATGGGTAAGTTATTTAGTGGTGATTTCTGAGATTTTGGTGCACCTGTCACCCAAGCAGTGTACACCGTACCTAATATGTGTAGTCTTTTATCTTTCACTCCCCTCCCACCCTTCCCTCCAAGTCCCCCAAATCCATTATATCATTCTTATGTCTTTGCATTCTCATAGCTTAGCTCTCACTTGTATGTGAGAATATACAATATTTGGTTTTCGATTTCTGAGTTACTTCACTTAGAAAAATGGCGTCCAGGTCCACCCAAGCTGCTGCAAAAGCTATTATTTTATTTAGTTTATGGCTGAGTAGTATTGCATGGTGTATATATACCACATTTTCTTTATCCACTTGTTGGCTGATGGGCATTTAGGTTGGTTCCATATTTTTGCAATTGTGAATTGTGCTGCTATCAACATGGCTTGCACATGTGTCTTTTTCATGTAATGACTTCTTTTCCTTTGGGTAGATACCTGATAGTGGCATTGCTGGATCAAATAATAGCTCTACTTCTAAATCTTTAAGAAATCTCCAAACTGTTTTCCATAGTGGTTGTGCTGGTTTACATTCCCACCAATAGTATAAAAGAGTGTCCTTTTCACCACATTCATGCCAACATCTATTACTTTTTGATTTTTAAATTATAGTAATTCTTGCAGGAGTGAGGTAGTGTCTCATTGTGCATTAGGAAATTTAGTATACAATAAAGACAGCATTTTTATTGAGGAAAGGATGCATTTTAAAAAACAAGTTTTTCAAAAATATAGGGAGGATTGTGGTTACTTCTAGAAACAGTAGTGCAGTCAGGAAAAATTCAGCACAATATGTATCAGTGGAATTCATCTGATCAAACTTAAAATATTATTCCTTGCATTATAGTTCTGAGCAGGTACCATAGATAATAGTTCTATTGTGTTGTTCACTTTAAACTAGAGCAAGAAACTTTTCTAATAAGTGGAATTGGGAGCTGTCTAGCTGGTGTTGGCCTGATAAATGCTTAATACACATGAATGTGCATGCATATGTATGCATATACCATATACATATATTATAAATTTAACTGATATAAAAGATGTTTGGTAAATAGTTTAAAATAGTAATAAAATATACAATTCTCCCTATTATCAATTATTACAGAATGTTTCCCTTGATTTTTGCTGAACTTTTCTATCCATAAACTATCTATGGTTGTAATTGACAAGTATAGTTCTCACATGAATGTCTGTTGGTATTTTCATTTATCTTAACAAATAATATAGAGTAAAATGACAAAGACATTGAATCTTGACCTGTTTGTCAATGATGTGACTTCCTTGCTGCATTGGATAATACCTCTTAAATACTGGAAAATTATTTGTTGATTTTTGGTCTATTCACAATGTAACAGCTACAAATATGATACACTTTAAAAAATAATGGTATAATTTAACTTTTTAATTTTTTTATTTCAATGGGTTTTTGGGGAACAGTATTTGGTTACATGAATAACTACTTTAGTGGTCATTGCTGAGATTTTGGTGCACCCATCACCCGAGCAGTATACATTGCACCCAGTTTGTAGTCTTTTATTCCTCACCCCCTTCCCACCCTTTCCCCCTAAGTCCCCAAAGTCCATTGTATTATACTTATGCCTTTGCATCCTCATAGCTTAGCTCCCACTTATGAATGAGAACATGTGGTGTTTGGTTTTCCATTCCTGAGTTTCTTCACTTAGAATAATGGTCTCCAGTTCCATCCAGGTTGCTGAGAATGCCATTATTTCATTCCTTTTTATGGCTGAGTAGTATTCCATGGTGTATTATATATATAATACATATATTTTATATATATGTATATTACAATTTCTTTATACACTTGTTGATTGGTGGCTATTTGGTCTGATTCCAAATTTTTACAATTGTGAATTGTGCTGCTATAAACTTGTGTGTTCAAGTATCTTTTTCATATAATGACTTTTTTTTCCTCTGGGTAGACACCCAGTAGTGGGACTGCTGGATCAAATAGTAGTTTTACTTTTAGTTCTTTAAGGAATCTCCACACTGTTTTCCATAGTGGTTGTACTAGTTTACATTCCCACCAGCAGTGTAAAATTGTTCCCTTTTCACCACATTCTGGCCAACATCTATTATTTTTTTATTATGACCATTTTTGCAAGAATAAGATGGTATCACATTATTGTTTTAATTTGCATTTTCCTGATAATTAGTGATGTTGAGCATTTTTTTATATGTTTCATATCTTCTTCTGAGAATTGTCTGTTTATGTCCTTAGCTCACTTTTTGATGGGATTTGTTTTTCTTACTGATTTGTTTGACTTCCTTGTAGGTTCTGGATATTAGTCCTTTGTCTGATGCAGAATTTGTGACTATTTTCTCCCACTCTGTGGGTTGTCTGTTTACTTTGCTAATTCTTTTCTATGCAGAAGCTTTTTAGTTTAATTAGGTCCCATTTATTTATTTTTGTTGTAGTTGCACTTTCTTTTGGGTTCTCAGTCATGAATTGTTTGCCTAAGCCAATGTCTAGAAGAGTTTTTCTGCTGTTATATTTTAGAATTTTCATGGTTTCAGGTTTTAGATTTAAGTCTTTGATCCATCTTGAGTTGATTTTTGTGTAAGGTGAGAGATGAGGATCCAGTTTCATTCTTCCACATGAGGCTTGGCAGTTATCCCAGTACCATTTCTTGAATAAGGTGTCCTTTCCACACTTTGTGTTTGTATGCTTTGTTGAAGATCAGTTGGCTGTAAGTATTTGACTATATTTCTGGTTCTCTGTTCTGTTTCATAGGTCTGTGTGCCTATTTTTATACCAGTACCATGCTGGTTTGATAACTACAGCCTTTTAGTATAATTTAAAGTCAGGTAATGTGATGCCTTCAGATTTCTTCTTTTTGTTTTGTATTGCCTTGGGGATGTGGGCTCTTTTTTGGTTCCATATGAACTTTAGGATTGTGTTTTTCTAGTCATGTGAAGAATGATAATGATATTTTGCTGGGAATTGCATTGAATCTATAGATTGCTTTTGACAGTATGGTCAGTTTCACAGTATTGATTCCTGTCATCCATTAACATGGAACATATTCCATTTGTTTGTGTCATTTATGATTTCCTTCAGCAGTGTTTTGTAGTTTTCCTTGTAGAGATCTTTCACCTCCTTGGTTAAGTATATTCCGAAGTGTATTAGTCAGGGTTCTCTAGAGGGACAGAATTAATAGGCTAGATGTGTATATAAAGGGGAGTTTATTAAGGAGTATTAACTCACACAATCACAAGGCCCAACAATAGGCCATCTGCAAGCTGAGGAGCAAGGAATCCAATCTGAGTCCCAAAGCTGAAGAACTTGGAATCCGATGTTCAAGGGGAGGAAGATCCAGCATGGGAGAAAGATGTAGGCTGGGAGGCTAAGCCAGTCTAATCTCTCCACGTTCTTCTGTCTGCTTTTATTCTGGCTGCACTGGCAGCTGATTAGATCGCACCCACCCAGACTGAGAGTAAGTGTGTCTTTCCCAGTCCACTGACACAAATGTTAGTCTCCTTTGATAACACCCTCACAGACACACCCAGGAACAATACTTTGCATCCTTCAATCCAATCAAGTTGACACTCAGTATTAACCATCACAAGTCCTCCCCTTGTCAACTTGAACCCATACACACCTCCTGAAATTATAGATAATCTTCAAATTAAGACAATAATAAGGTCATAATTATTCCCAACATGATACAACTATCCTTCATACAACCAAGAATGCACCAATTCCCAACCCAAATGCTATTACATAAAGTTAACATTTAAATTTTCATATGAAGTCAATAAATCTTATGTCACATGATAAACAAGAAAGGAAATAAAATGAAGATATTTTCTTAGTACAAATGTATAAATGCACAAACATGTTTTTAACAAAGAAGGAGGAAATACTCACGACAATTAAAATCCTCATTTCTGCAACTGGTTGTGTGGTTCATAGCTGGTATTGATGACTACCTTCCTCTACTACTCATTCTGTATTCCCTTTGCCTTCAGCAAGCACCTCAGCAGGTAGTGGTTTTTTCCTGGTGTAGTGACCCAAACCTTCATTCCTGAAGGATCTGGGCCATTTGTAGTCCTGCCTGGATTGTGCTGTTGTAGTTTCCCATTGACACAGGGCATGGTAATACTAAGAGACACCCTAAGGGATCTTGTGTATTCCATGCATACTCTTCCTTACCTCCACTGTGGAGTAGTAGACTGATTTCATCTTGAGAGTCTGGGTCAGTCACCCCAGCCAACACTGTAACTTCCTTCTTAGATTGTTGGTTTAAAGGTAGGAGGAGCCCAAAAAGTGTCCCGGTGTCAATCTTAATTTCCAGTTTAATGGAATCGTGGTTGTGTCTTCTGGTGGCAGCATTCCTCCCTCTGGAACTAAGACCTCTAGGCCAGCAGAACATAATGTCACAGGGACAGTAAGCAAAAATTTTACTAGTGGGTCACTAGGGGTGATGGTAAGTGGTGCCACTTCCACTTCCACCCCTTGATTCCTGGACCTGTGAATTCCGGCTATGGGAGAAACAGTACCATATATTGGATGCTGATTCAGAGCATACACAACCTTCTGGAGAATTTTGCCCCAGCCCTGCAAAGTATTGTCACCTAGTTGACATTGTAATTGTGACTTCAAAAGGCCATTCCATCATTCTATCAATCCAGCTGCTTCAGGATGATGGGGAACATGTAAAGACCAGTGAATTCCATATGCATGAGCCCGCTGCTGCACTTCTTTAGTCGTAAAGTGAGTGCCTTGGTCAAAGGCAATGCTGTGTGGAATACCACGATGGTGGATAAGGCATTCTGTGAGTCCACAGATGGTAATCTTGGCAGAAGCAATGTGTGCAGGATAGGCAAACCCATATCCAGAGTAAGTGTCTATTCCAGTGAGGACAAATCGCTGCCCTTTCTATGATGGAAGAGGTCCAATATAATCAACTTGCCACCAGGTAGCTGGCTGATCACCCTGAGGAATGGTGCCATATCAAGGGCTCAGTGTTGGTCTCTGCTGCTGGCAAATTGGGCACTCAGCAGTGGCTGTAGCCAGGTCAGCCTTGGTGAGTGGAAGTCCCTGTTGCTGAGCCCATGTGTAACCTCCATCCCTGCCACCATGGCCACTTTGTTCATGGGCCCATTGGGTGATGACAGGGGTGGCTGGGGAAAGAGGCTAAGTGGTGTCCACAGAACGAGTCATCCTATCCACTTGTTTATTAAAATCCTCCTCTGCTGAGGCCAGCCGTTGGTGAGCACTCACATGGGATACAAATATCTTCACAGTTTTTGACCACTCAGAGAGGTCCATTCACATACCTTTTCCCCAAATTTCTTTGTCACCAATTTTCCAATCATGCTTCTTCCAAGTCCTTAACCATCCAGCCAAACCACTGGCTACAGCCCATTAATCAGTATATAATTGCACATCCGGCCATTTCTCCTTCATGAAAAGTGCACAACCAGGTGCACTGATTGAAGTTCTGTCCACTGGGAAGATTTCCCTTCACTGCTGTCCTTCAGGTATGTCCTAGGAAGGGGCTGTAGTGCTGCAGCTGTCCACTTTCAGGTGGTGGACATATCATGCAGAACCATCTGTGAACCAGTCCTTAGTCTTCTCTTCCTCATCAACTGATCATAGGGAACTCCCCATGAGGCCATTGTTGCAAGCTGGGGAAGAGAAGGAAGGGCGGCAGGAGTGGAGACCATGGGAATTTGAGCCACTACCTCATGTAACTTACTTGTGCCTTCAGGACCTGCTCGAGCCCGATCACATATATACCACTTCCATTTGATGATGGAATGCTGCTGTGCGCACCCCACTTTATGGCTAGATGGATCAGAAAGCACCCAGTTCATGATAGGCAGTTCAGGTTGCTTGGTGACTTGATGACCCATAGTCAAATGTTCAGTTTCCACCAAAGCCCAGTAATAGGCCAAGAGCTGTCTCTCAAAAGGAGAGTAGTTAGCTGCAGAAGATGGAAGGGCCTTGCTCCAAAATCCTTGAGGTCTCCACTGTGATTCACTTATGGGGGCCTGCCAAAGGCTCCAAATAGCATCCCTATCTGCCACTGACACCTCAAGCACCATTGGATCTGCTGGGTCATATGGCTCGAGAAACAGAGCAACTTGCACACAGCCTGGACGTGTTGTAGAGTCTTCTCCTGTTCTGTACTACATTAAAAAGTGAGAGCCTTTTGGGTTACTCGATAAATGGGCTGGAGTAACATACCCAAATGAGGAATGTGTTGCCTCCAAAATCCAATAGTCCCAAATAAGCCTCTTTCGTGGTTGTAGGAGGGGCCAAATGCAGCAACTTATCCTTCACCTTAGAAGGAATATCTTGATAGGCCCCACTCCACTGGACCCCTAGAAATTTTACTGAGGTAGAAGGTTCCTGAATTTTAGTCATTTATTTTCCATACTCTGGCATGCAAATGTCTCACCAATAAGCCCAGTGTGTTTGCTACTTCTCACTCACTGGGTCCAATCAGCAAAATGTCATCAAGGTAATGAACCAGTGTGATATCTTATGGAAGGGAAAATCAATCAAGTTCTCTCCAAACAAGATTATGACACAAAGCCGGAGAGTTGATATACCCCTGAGGTAGGATGGTAAAGATATATTGCTGGCCTTGCTGACTGAAGGCAAATTGCTTCTGGTGGGCCTTATGGACAGGAATGGAGAAAAAGGCATTTGCCAAATCAATGGTTGCATACCAGGTACCAAGAGATGTGTTAATTTGTTCAAGCAATGAAACCACATCTAGTACAGCAGCTGCAATTGCAGTTACCATTTGGTTAAACTTATGATAATCCACTGTCATTCTCCAAGATCCATCTGTCTTCTTCACAGGCTAAATAGGAGAGCTGAACGGGGATGTGGTGGGAATCACAACCCCTGCACATTTTGAGTCCTTGATGGTGGCACTAATCTCTGCAACCCATCCAGAGATGTGATATGTTTTTTGATTTACTATTTTTCTAGGTAGAGGCAGCTCTAATTGGTCTTCCTATTTTGTCTTTTCCATCATAATAGCCCTCACTCTACCAGTCAGGGAGCCAATGTGGGGGTTCTGCTAGCTGCTAAGTATACCTATGCCAATTATGCATTCTGGCACTGGGGAAATGACCACAGGATGAGTCCAGGGACCCACTGGACCCACTCTAAGTCAGACTTCAGCTAAAACTCCATAAGCCCCTACTTTAACTGGAGGACCACCAGGACGTTTTCGGTCCCCTGGAGTCAACGTCAGCTTAGAGACACTGTTCAGTAGTCCCTGAAATGGCAATCATTTCCCTTTCCCCAATCACAGTTACTCTGGTAAAAAGCCGTAGGTCTCCATGGGGAAGGATGGGAGAAAGACTAACAGCATAAATTGTTGTCAGTGTCATCCTTGTATCCCTGGGATAAATCCCACTTGGTCATAATAAGTGATCTTTTAACAGCGTAAATTGTTGTCAAGGGGAACCAGCCTCCCCTTCATTTAAGGGATTCTAGGTCTGTAAACTGGTTTAAGTCTGGAAATTGATTGAGGGGAAATTGATCCTCTGTTTTTATAATTCAAATTAGTCTTTTGTCCACTTGACCTGGAAGTTTTCTGCTTATATAAATTAAATAAGAATGCAATAGGCTTCCTATCATTTTCACTTCTAGGAACACCATGATTAATCAACAGATGCCAGAGATCTACATGAGTCAGACTATTGTGATTGCTGCTTTGCCTCTGCTGTCCATTATGGTAGCTATGCCCACCTTGCCTTTGACAGTTGACTGGCCCCTGCCACCTCGAGATCCAATTATTCCCATTGCATTTAAGTTTTGTAGTTGAGTGACTGTGGTTCCTACTGTAAAATCTGGCATACAGAGAAGAGCAATCACAAAGCTCTTCAAGGATGCAGGTACTCCCCTCACAAATCTATTTTGCAAAGTATTAGTCAAGGATATATTTTCTGGATCCTCCCAGCTGGGATGAGTAGGTCTAAACTGACTAATCCACTCCACCATCCCAATCTCCCTAAACCTTTTGATCCCTTCCTCTACATTAAACCAAGGGAGATCAGGCATTTCCAGCTTGCTCACAGTGGGCCATCTTTTAATCCATATTTCAGCTAACCAAGCACATAAATTATCAGAACCTTTTTAAACTCCCCAAGCTGCAACATTAAATGCAGAATCCCTGCTTAGTGGGCCCAAATCAATAAATTCAGCCTGATCCAATGCCTTGGATCTATGTTCCATCCACCATTATCCCACACCCTTAATATCCATTCCTATGCCTGTCCTCCAGATTTTTGCTTATATAAATAAGAAAGCTCAAGCAGTTCTTTTCGAGTGTAGCACACCTCCTCATGGGTTATACTCTGAACCTCACCCCTAGGGCCCTCCTGGGACTTTAGTCTAGTTATAGGTCTAGAAGCAAACAGGGGTGGTGGGGGGTGGGTCCTGAGGAGAATCAACATTATCTTGCCTGGCAACTGCCTCAGGGGAAGCCATCACTGTTGCCTCAGGCAGTGCAGGGTTTTTCTCCTCAGACAAATGTGGAAAGGCTGATGGCAGTGTGGGTTGGGGAGGACATGTTGCCACTACTGGGGATGAGAAAGCTGTTTCTTCTGGCAAAAAAAGTTTCATCAGAATTTATAATCTCAGTGTCCCCAGCTTCATCAGGGTCCTTTTACATATCCCCATTCCAAGTTTCAGGATCCCATTCTTTTCCAATCAATGCCCTCATTTCAACAGTAGACACCTGGCAAGGCTGTGCATGCACCTTTCATTGCAGGTCAGCCACTGGTATGATAAGAACTTGTGTCCAATTTCCCGCAATTTCAGCTCTTTCTCTACAGGAGATAAGACTCTCACTCAGGGCAATCTTAGCAGGTTTGAGGTTCAGTATCTGCTTCTGAAGCTAGGAATTAGAATCCCTAAGTTCATCATTTTCTTTCATCACTTTGTCCAGTGAACTTAGGAGGAACCAACCAACTTCATTATGTTCCTTAGTTCCCCACATATGGTCAAAGGTATTACATATAGAGTTACTAAACTCCTTGCCTCTCACGAACCGTGCATCAGGAGTGTCAAATGAATTTATTTTGTGTAACTCTGTAAACAGTTCGTGCCAAGGACTATCAGTGTTCTCCATACTATTAGAAGTACAGTCCTTAGCATTTTTGGGTCTAATCATATTAAGCAGCCTTCTCCAGAAACCCCAAAACCAATGAAAGAACTCCATCCTTAATAGTCTGTTCTTCTGGAACCACTCCTGGGACCAAAATCTGTATTAGTCAGAGCTCTCTAGAGGACAGAACTAATAGGATAGATGTATATATAAAGGGGAGGTTACTAAGGAGTATTAACTCACATGATCACAAGGTCCCACAATAGGCCATCTGCAAGCTGAGGAGCAAGCAAGCCAATCCAAGTCCCAAAGCTGAAGAACTTGGAGTCCAATGTTCAAGGGCAGGAAGCATTCAGCACAGGAGAAAGATGTAGGCTGGGAGGCTAAGTCAGTCTAATCTCTCCATGTTCTTCTGCCTGTTTTTATTCTGGCTGTGCTGGCAGCTGATTAGATTGTGCCCACCCAGATTGAGGGTAGATCTGCCTTTCCCAGTCCACTGACTCAAATGTTAATCTCCTTTGATGACACCCTCACAGATATACCCAGGAACAATACTTTGCCTCCTGTAATCCAGTCAAGTTGACCCTCAGTATTAACCAGTACACTAAGTATTTTTTTTTTTTTTTGCAGCTGTTGTAAAAGGGATTGAGTTCTTAATTTGATTCTCAGCTTGGTTATTATTGGTGTATAGCAGTGTTGCTGATTTGTGTGCATTGATTTTGTATCCTGGAACTTTACTGAATTCATTTATCAGATCTAGGAGCTTTTTGGATGAATCTTTAGGGTTTTCAGAGTACATGATCATATTGTCAGCAAACAGCAACAGTTTTAACTTCCTCTTTTCCAATTTGGATGCCCTTTATTTCTTCCTCTTGTCTGATTACTCTGGATGAGACTTTCAGTACTATGTTGAATAGAAGTGGTGAAAATGGGCATCCTTGACTTATTCCAGGTCTCAGGGGGAATGCTTTCAACTTTTCTCCATTCAATATGATGTTGGCTGTGGGTCTGTCATAGATGGCTTTTATTACTTTGAGGTATGTCCCTTCTATGCCAATTTTCTTGAGGGTTTTTATCATAAAGGGATTTTGAATTTTATTAAATGCTTTTTCAGCATCAATTGAAATGATATATGGTTTTTGGTCTTCATTCTGTTGATATGATGTATCATATTGATTGATTTGTGTATGTTGAATCATCCTTGTATCCCTGGGATAAATCCCACTTGGTCTTTTAACTGTATTGTTGAATTCAGTTTGCTAGTATTTTGTTGAGGATTTTTGCATCAATATTCATCAGATATATTGGCCTGGAGTTTTATTTTATTTTGATGTGTCATTGTTTGGTATCAGGATAATACTGGCCTCATAGAATCAGTTTGGAAGTTAACCCCTCCTCTACTTTTTGGAATAGTTTGAGTAGGATTGGTATTAGTTCTTCTTTAAATGTTTGGTAGAATTTGGCAGTGAAGCCAATGGGTCCCAGGCTTTACTTTGCTGGGAGACTTTTTGTTACAACTTTGATCTAATTACTTGTTATTGGTCTGTTTAGGTTTTAATTTCTTCATAGATCAACCTTGGTAAGTTGTATGTGTCTAGGAATTTATCCATTTCCTCTAGATTTTTAAATTTATTGGCATATAGTGGCTCATCATAGCCACTAATGATCCTTTGAATTCCTGCAGTATCAGTTGTAATGCCTCCTTTTTCAGCTCCGATTTTATTTACTTGGGTCTTCTCTCTTTTTTTCTTCATTAGTCTGTTTAAAACTTTGTCAATTTTATTTATCTTTTCAAAAGATTGACTTTTTGTTTTGTTGATCTCTTGTATTTTCATCATTTCAAATATATTTCTGCTTTGATCTTTATTATTTTCTCTACTAATTTTGGATTCAGTTTGCTGCTGCTTTTCTAGTTCTTTAAGATGTATAGTTAGGTTATTTAAAATGAGGTTTTCATTCTTTTCCAATGTAGGCAATTACAGCTACAAATTTCCCTCTAATAGTACTCCTTTTGTTGTATCTCATAGGTTTTGGCATGTTGTGTTTCCATTATCATTTGTTTGAATCAAATTTTCAATTTCCTTTTAAATTTCTTTATTGACCCACTGGTCATTCAGGAGCATATTGTTTAATTTCCATGTGTTCATGTAGTTTCCAAAATTCCCCTTTTTTATTTCTAATTTTACTTCATTGTGGTCAGAGAAGAATCTTGATATGATATCATTTTTAAAAAAATATTTTAGGACTTGTATTGTGACTAGCATATGGTCTATCTTTGAGAATGATCCACGTGCTGAGAAGAATGTGTATTCTGCAGCTGTTGGATGAAATGCTCCATAACTATCTATTAGGTCAATTTGTTCTATAGTGCAGATTAAGTCTGATGTTTCTTTGTTGAGTTTTTGTCTGTCAGTTCTGTCCAATACGGAAAGTGGGGTGTTGAATTCTCCACCTATTATTGTATTGTGATCTCTATCTCTCTTTTAGCTCTAATACTATTTGCTTTTTATATCTGGGTGCTTCAATGGTGGGTGCATATATATTTATAATTGTTATATCCTCTTGCTGAATTGACCCCATTATCATTGTACAAAGACCTTCTTTGTCTCTTTTTGGAGTTTTTGTCTTGAGATCTATTTTATCTGTTATAAGTGTAGTTACCCCTGCTCCTGTTTTGTTTCCATTAGCAAGGAATATCTTTTCCCATGTCTTTATTTTCCAGTCTATGTGTATCTTCATAGGTGAAGTGTTTCTTGTGGGCAACAGATCATTGGGTCATGTTTTTTCATCCATTCAGCCACTTTATTTCTTTTTATTGGAGAGTTTAGTCCATTTACATTCAATAATTTCATTTAAGTAGGAACTTCCTCCTGCCATTTTGTAATTTGTTTTCTCGTGGTTTCATGGTCATCTCTCCCTTCTTTCCATCTTCTTTTTCATGAAAATAATTTTCTCTGGTGGTATGATTTAATTTCTTGTTTTTTATTTTTTGTGTATCCATTGTATGTTTTTCCATTTGAGGTTACATGAGGTTTATGACTTATCTTATGACCCATTATTTTAAACTGATGGCAACTTAACAGACTGCATAAACAAAAAACAAACACACAAAAGGAAGACTAATAAAAGTTCTACACTTTAACTGTATCCTCCTGCTTTTAACTTTGTGTTGTTTCTCTGTGTCTTATTGTACTATGTTGTGAAAAGTTGTCTTTTTTTTTTTTTTTTTTCTGAGTCAGAGTCTTGCTCTGCTACCAGGCTGGAGTGCAGTGGCCTGATCTTGGCTCACTGCAACTTCTGCCTCCTGGGTTCAAGCGATTCTCCTGCCTTAGCCTACTGAGTAGCTGGGACTATGGGCACGCACCACCACAACACCCACCTAATTTTTATATTTTTAGTAGAGACGGGGTTTCACCATGTTGGCCAGGATAGTCTCGATCTCTTGACCTAGTGATCCGCCCATCTTGGCCTCCCAAAGTGCTGGGATTACAGGCATGAGCCACCATGCCTGGCCAGGTTGTTATTATTTTTGACCAGTTCATCATTTACTCTTTCTACTTAAGATAAGTTTACATACCACAATTACAGTGTTATAATATTCTGTGTTTTTCTGTATGCCTATTCTTACCAGTAAGTGTCTCGGCATTGAAGAGCTAGGTATTTCTTATAGTCTTTGCAGTCTGGGCTTGTTTATCCCTGTCCTTCTTGAGAAGGTTTTCCAGAAGGTTTTTATTTGAAGGAGCTTGGGCCTCAATCCCAATAATACTGTGGTTTTTGCAGACTAGTAGAGGTACCATCTTGGAGGTCTTGAATAAGATCCAGAATGATTATCTGGATTGCCAGGCAAAAGCACTTGTTCTTTTCCCTTACTTTCTGTCAAACAGTCTCTTTCTGTCTCTCTCTCTCTCTCTCTCTCTCTCTCTCAAGGTGCTGGGCCATCTTGAACTAGGGGTATGGTGATGCAAGCACTCCTGTGGCCCCCACTTTGGATTGTGCTGGGTCAGACCTATAGCCAGCACAGCCCTGGGTCTTGTCCAAGGCCTGCTGTAACCACTACCTGACTACCACCTATGTTCACTCAAGGCCCTAGGGCTCTAAGATCAGCAGGGGGTGACACCAGCCAAGTTTGCATCCTTCCCTTTAGGGTAGCAAGTTCCCCCTGGCCCTGGGCAGGCCCAGAGATGCTACTTGGGAGTCAGGGATTGGAGTCAAAATACTTAGAAATTTGCCTGATATTTTATTTGACTACGGCTAAGCTGGCACTCAAACCACAAGACAAAGTCTTTCCCATTCTTCCCTCCCCTTTCCACAGGCAGAGGTGCCTCTCCCTGTGGCCAGTACTACCACTGGTCCACAGGGAATCTGCCTGGCCACTGCTGATGTTCACTTAAAGCTTAAGGGCTGTTCAGTTGTGTTGTGGTGAATGCTGCCAGGCCTGGGACTCTTCAAGGAAGTGGGCACCCCTCTGCCCTGGGGAAGATCCAAATATGCTTTCCAGGAGCCAAAGCCTGGACTTGGGGACCCCAAGAGCATGCTTGTTGCTCTACTCCACGTGGCCAAACTGGTACCAAAGGTGCAAGACAAAGTCCCCTTTACTTTTTCCTCTGTTTCTGTCAAACAGAAGGAGTCTTTCACTGTAGCCACCACAACTAGGAATGTGCTGGATCACACCTGAAGTCAGCACATCTCAGAACCTAAGGCCCACAGTATACTACCTGGATATCACTGCTGGTTATTTGGTGCCCAAGGGCTCTTTAGTCAGCAGGTGATTAATCTTGCCAAGACTGGGTCCTTCCCACCAAGGCAATGGGTTTTCTATTTGTCCAGGGTGTGTCTAGAAATGTCATCCATGAGCTAGGGCCTGGAATGCGGGCCTCATGACTCTACTCAATGCCCTATCCTACTGTGGCTGAGCTGGTATCCAAGATGCAAGACAAAGTCCTCTTTACTCTTTTCTCTCCTCTCCTTAAGCAGAAGGAAGGAGTGACTTTTGTTGCTGCAAGCTTCACTGCCTGGGATTAGGGGAGGGGTGGCACAAGCACTCCCTTAGCTGCCCCAGCTGATGACTTCCTAGGTCATGTGCCACCCCTATCCCTCTGGTTCTGAGCCCAGCCCAGCACTAGGAGTTACCTAGGAATTGCAATCCTTGTGTCCTAGACTGTCTTTCAAGTTTACCTAGAACCTCAGAGCACTTAAGCATATAGTGGTGAGGCTTGCTGAGTTCTGACTGCTGGGATGAGTGATTCGCCTCTGGCCAGGCCTGTTCCAAAATCTCCCTTCATGTGCAGCTGCTGGCTGAGTCCAGCACAGTGTTGTTCCCTGCTACGACAGCACCGAGTTTAATGTAAAGTTCCCCAGTTGCTGTGCTTTACTTCCTCCAAGTGCGCAGACTCCCCACGTTGCTCAGCTGCTGCTGGGGGATATGGGAGGGGTGATGGTGGTGATCCCAGAGTGTCTCTCCAACCCTCTTCAATGCCTCTTTTAGTGATACGTTGTTAAATCTAGGTACTACGATTGCTCACCTGATGTTTGGTTTTTGTAATGACGCTTTTCCGTGTGCAGATAGTTGTTACAATTTGGTGTTCATGTGGCGGGGGAGGGGGGGGATGGTGTAGGCTTCTGTTCCACTATCTTGCTCCACCTCAATAGTCTGATGTGCAGAAGCTCTTTAGTTTAATTAGGCCCCATTTGCCAATTTTTGTTTTTGCTGCAAGAGCGTTTGGCATCTTTGTCATGAAATCTTTGCCAGGGCCTATGCCCAGAATGATATTTTCTAGGTTTTATTCTACGGTTTGTATAGTTTTAGGTTTTACATTTAACTCTTTAATCCATCTCAGGCTGATTTTTGTTCATGCTGAAAGGAAGGGGTCCAGTTTTCAGTCTTCTGCATATGGTTAGCTAGTTATCCCAGCAATATTGAGTAGGAAGTCCTTTCTCCATTGCTTGTTTTTGTTGAAGATCAGATAATTGTAGGTGTGCAGCTTTATTTCTGGGTTCTCTAACCTGTCCCATTGGTCTATGTGTCTGTTTTTGTATTAGTACCATGTTGTTTTGGTTACTGTAGCCTTGCAGTATAGTTGAAGTTGGGTAGTGTGATGTCCTTCTTGTTCTTTTTGCTTAGGATTGCTTTGACTATTTGGGCTCTTTTTTTTTTCCATATGAATGTTAGGATAGTTTGTTTTTCTAATTCTATGAAAAATAATATTGGTAGTTTGATAGGAACATCATTGAATCTGTGAATTGCTTTGGACAGTATGGTTATCTTAACAATGTTGTTTCTTCCTACCCATGAGCGTGGAAGGTCTTTCCATTTGTTTTATCATCTCTGATTTCTTTCAGTAGTGTTTTATAATTCTTTTTATAGAGATCTTTCACATCCTTGATTAGCCATATTCCTAGGTATTTTCTTTTTGTGTATGTCTATTGTAAATGGCATTGTGTTCTTGATTTGGCCCTCAGCTTGGATGTTGTTGGTGTACAGAAATGCTGATTTTTGTACATTGATTTTGTATGCTGAAACTTTGCTGGAGGTTTTATCAGATGTAGGAGCTTTTTGGCAGAGAATATAGGGTTTTCTAGGTATAAAATTATATTGTCTGCTAAGAGAGATAGGTTGACTTCCTCTCTGCCTATTTGGATGCCTTTTATTTCTTTCTCTTGCCTGATTTCTCTGGCCAGGACTTCCAGTAGGATGTTGAATAGGAGTGGTGACAGTGGGCATCCTTGTCTTATTCCAAGTCTCAAGGGGAATGCTTTGGATGGTACCAATCCTTTTAAACTTATTGAGGATTGTTTTAGATAATGTTCCATGTGCAATTGAGAAGAATGTATATTATGCTGCTATTGGCTATATGTTCTATAGATGTTGCTATGATATGAATGTTTGTGTTCCCCAAATTCATAAATTGAAACCTAATTCTCATGTTGATGGTATGAAGAGGTGAGACCTTTCAAACATAATTAAGTCATGAGGGCAGAGCCCTCATGAATGGGATTGGTGCCCTTATAAAAGAGGCCCAGAGAGGTGCCTTGCCTCTTTCACCATGTGAGGACACAGCAAAAATGTGACATCCATGAACCAAAAAGTGGCCCCCTCCCCAGACACTAAATCTGCTGGTGCCTGAATCATGAACTTTCAAGCCTCTAGAACAGTGAAAAATAAATCTCTCTTGTTTATTAACTACACAGCATATGGCATTTTGTTATAATATCCTGAACAGACTAAGACAGATATCGTTTAGGTTAGTTGGTTTTTAGTGTTGTTCACATCTTTCATTTCCTAGTGATCTTCTGCCTAGTTGTTGTCCATTATTGGAAGTGGAGTATTAAAGTCTCCAGTTATGACTATTGAATTGTCTATTTCTCCCTTCATTTCTGCCAGTTTTTGCTTCATGTGTTTTGGGGCTCTATTATTAGATGCAAGTATGTTTTTAGTTGCTATATCTTCCTGATTGGTCCTTTTGTCATTATAAAATGTCCTTCTTGATTTCTAGTAACACTTTTTGTCTTGTCTGTTTTGTCTGATATTAGTGTAGTCACTCCAGCTATCTTGTGGTTGCTGTTTGTACAATATATGTTTTCCCATTCTTTTACTTTCAATCTGTTTGTATCTTTGAATCTAAAAGTGTCTCCTGCAGACAACACATAGTTGGATGTTGTTTTCCTAAAAACTCTAGACTGACAATTCTGCCTTTTGATTGGGTTCTTTAATGTATTCACATGATGTTACTATTGATATATTTGGATTTATGTTTGTTATTTTACTCCTTTTTCTATATGTTTTAATTCTCTTTTTTTCCTATACTTTTCATTTACTGATTTATATTAAGTGAATATTTTAGAATGTAACATGGTAATTTTTAAAATAAATTTTAAACTGTATCTTTTGAGTTATTTTCACAGTAGTTTCTCTAGAGTTTACCATATATATTTTAGCTTATTGGTATCTGCTTCAGATTTATATTAACTTAATTCTAGTGAGATATAAATATGTTACTTCTAGATAGCTTTATTTCTCTTCTGCCTTTTGTATTACTGTTACACATATTACATCTTGTGGTGGATTGAATTGTGGGCCTCAAAAATATATGTCCACATAGTAACCTTTGGAACCTGTGACCTCATTTGGAAATAAGTCTTTGAAGACATAATTATATTAGAGATTTGGGGATGAAATTACCCTAAATTTTCAGGTGGGGGCTAATTCCAGTGAAAAGTTTGTTTTGTTTTTTAAATAAGAGATAGAAGATGGAAAACAGACACAGAGGAAAAGGCCATGCGAAGATGGAGACAGAGATTGGAGTGATGTCAACAGCCACCAACACCTGGAAAAGGCAGAAACAGATTCTCCGTAGAGCCTCTAAAGGGAGTGCAACCTTGCCAACATCTTGAGTTTTAATTCTCCTCTCCAAACCTGGGAGAAAAACTGTCTTAAGCAACCCAGTGTGTAGTAATTTGTCACAGCAGCCACAGAAAACCAATGCACATTTATAGTATTATATACCCAACAATACATCGCTATAATAATTATTACTTTATGTAATCTTATATTTTTTAGAGGCACTAAGAGAAAAAAGGAGAAAATTATATATTTATGGCATTTCTTATTTGTCATTGCTAGTTCTATTCATTTATTCTTGTGGATTCATATTACCATCTGGTGTCTTTTTTTAATCAGATACAGCTGTTCTCCCACACACCTCTTTTATACTGTAATTGACAAATTTGTTATATTTCTGTATGTTTTTGGTCCAACAATAGAGTTCTACATACTGTTTTATGCAATTCGTTAGACTCAGGTTTTCTATTTCACCTTCGAAGTGTGGCCCTTAGGCCAGGAGCAGTGGCTCACGCCTGTAATCCCAGCACTTTGGGAGGCCGAGGCGGATGGATCACAAGGTCAAGAGATTGAGACCATCCTTGCCAACATGGTGAAACCCCATCTCTACTAAAAATACAAACATTAGCTTGGCATGGTGGTGTGCGCCTGCAGTCCCAGCTACTCAGGAGGCTGAGGCAGGAGAATTGCTTACACCTGGGAGGTGGAGGTTGCAGGGAACCAAGATCACGCCACTGCACTCCAGCCTGGCGACGGAGCAAGACCAAATCTAAAAAAAAAAAAAAAAACAAACAAACTGTGGCCCTTAGAACTTAAAGTCATATTTTGGTTCTCAAATCAGTTCCAAGAGTAGGTGATCTAGCCCTTTCATTCTAAACACTACACATGTAGTACTAGAGTATAATATTGTATTTGCTTATTTTTTCAGAGTCAGGGTCTTGCTATGTTTTCTAGACTGGGGTGCAGTGGGGCAATCATAGCTCACTCTAACCTTGAACTCTTGGGCTCAAGAGAATCCTCCTGCCTCAGTCTCCTAAGTAGCTAGGACTACAGGTGCACACCACTACACCCAGCTAATGCATTTTTTTTTTAACACACATAAAGCACAGTTTTTTCACAATAGATTGACAACGATAATTCACGTCTTTTTTGCTAGATGATATTAAGCCACAGATCAAAAAGTCCTAGACTTTTATACTTACTTGAAAAAAACCTCAAATTTGCTGAATGCCATTGTATTAAGAGCTAATCTGTCTGGTCCAATCACATAATATATTTGCCTATATTCAAGTTTCATATTTCTACATATTTGATAAACATTCACACTAGATTTTCCTCTGTGCTGCAGACAAAAATTTTCTTCAATGGTGTCTGAAAAGGGAGGCCTGCAACCACTACCAAACCACTCTACCTGAGATTAGTTTATTAGATAGTGCCTAACCTGAAATAAAAATCTGCTGATAGAACATTCTGCAAAAAAAGCTCTATTATGTTATAGTAGAGCTCATACTATATTATGGTTTCAAAGGTAATAAGAAAAATATCATCAGATCATCATTATGGTAGCTATTTTAAGGGAACTTAATAAAAATTTAACAGTTATCATCAAACACTGGCCACCTCAATTTTAAACAGTAAACACACGAATTACTCCCATAAAAATTATAAGCATAACAGGACACTTCTTGGCTACTATTCAATACTGACTTGGATGTTCTAGATAACACAAGATAAGATACATGTGTGAATATCTATACACATATAGACATATTTATAGATGTGTGTGTATATATACAGTATATATATAAGATTTTAGAAAGGAGGATAAATATATATTACATGATAAAACTTATAGTCAATATAATTTTACACTTGTAAAATCCCAGAAAACCAAAGGAAAAAATAGAACTAAAAAAGAGTTCAATGAAATGATTAGTTTAAAAAAATAAATATAAAAAATGTAATTTTCCCACATACCTTCAAAATGTAGCAATCCCACTAAGCAAAAAGTGGTATTTCTACCAACTATAGATAAATGAAAATTCACCTTTAAATGTCTCTTATCCTCCATGAAACTCATCAAAAACAACAAAAAGTACAGCAGACAAAAAAAAAGTCTTATCTTTAATGAAACTTTGTAAAACATTTGAACCTCAACCATGATGTGTATGAAGATAAGTTACTAAGTGCCATGAAGATTGGACCAAGATATGAAAATGCTAGGAGAGGATACCTTTCACTGAAGATCTTGGAAAGGGTTGGTATATTGGTATTTTCTAGAGTAGTGATTCTCACTGAGATGCAAAACCAAAGACTCCTTGTTTTGGATTAAAAAGATCTAGGTACAGAGGCTGAGGGCAGAACTCTCTCATTATCCTATTTGTCAACACAAAATAGGAGAGAAGGCAGGACTAAATCTGAGAGTGAGCAGATGCACCATTATTTCAAGATTGAACCTAAGGATGTGGCAAGGTAAGGAGAAAAGTCAGGATGACAAGTTGCCCTGTAGCCGCCAGTTCTCATCAGTTGAAGATATATTAAAACTATGGTACACATAAGCCACTCCATCAAACAGTAAATATGGCTATACTGCAAGCAGTAAAAAAGTGAACAGGCTCTGCTTCCATACAGTCAAGAACAAAAAGAAACACTTGACAAGGTTGAGAAAAATAAATGGAAAAAAATAAAGAATTTAAAAGAACTGGAGAGAAAACTGTAGCTTTGGAATACAGAAAAAGGAGATACAGCATACTGCTAATAGATGTCCTCAAAGAGACCAAATACATAGACAAGGGGAAAAAATCCAAAGACATCATTCAAGAAAAAATTTTGAGATACAAATAAACTTCAGACTTTTACTTCCAGCAATGGAAATCCAGTTTGTCTTCAGCCAGTGGCATATCTCAGACAATAGGCAAGCCATGAGAATGGTTGTTGGACTGCAGTTTCGGACTCTATTACTACATGTATAGTATTTAGAATAAAAGAGCTAGGTCTCCTCATGTCAGCACTTATTTGACCAATGGGAGTATGATTTTAAGTTTTTAGGGTCACACTTTGAAGGTGGAATATAAAAAAAATTATAGAAAGATAAATTTTTGTTCAGATGCATCTACTGCAGCAATTTGGGAGGCTAAGGTGAAAGGATCGTTTGAGCCCAGAAGTTTGAGACCAGCTGGGCAACATAGTGAGACCTTGTCTCTACAAAAAATTAAAAATTAGCTGGGCGTGGGGGCGCTTGGCCTAGAAGTTCAAGGACAGTTTGGGCAACATAGTGGGACCCTATCTTTATAAAATATTTTTAAAAATTAGTTGGGCATGGTGGTGTGTGCCTATAATCCTGGCTACTTGGGAGGCTGGGGTGGGAGGATCACCTGAGCCCAGAGAGGTAGGGGCTGCAGTGAGCCATCTTCACACCACTGCACTCCAGCCTGGATGATGAAGTGAGATTCTGTCCCAAAAAAAGGACAAAATGAAATATCAGCAATGAAAGGTCCTGCTAAAGAGAAGGTTTGTTAATTCATAATTTTAATGTTTATCTGGTCATCTTATCCAAAAGGCAAAAATCTTTAGCCTCCCTTATCTTTGGGATATCGTTCTCTCTTAAATGTTGCTTTCTCACAAATCCCAATTTACTTGAATAAGAATGCAATGTTATGCCAAAAGTTAGGGAGGCATATGGTGGGACAAATCCTACTGGGTGGATGGTTTCTTCATTCTTTTCACAAATGAAATCTTCTGAAAATAGACGTCAGTGGCAGTTTAAATAGAGAAATGGGAAAAAGGGAAGCCAAAAATCTGAGAAGCGTGTGAAAGAGGAGGAGTTTCTGTGAAGATTTCCCATACTGTTCTCTGTATGCATTTTTCCTTTTTTCCTCACGCCCTAATCTATACCCACACATACTATCCCTCTAGGTGCAGCTCAGAATTCCTAAACCTGGTATAATTGGAGGCATGGCTGCAGACCTAAAAGTTCGGTACATCTTTACAGTTGTATTTCATCTGTTTAAGGCAGAAAGAATAAATTTTCATTCCAAAGCAGTTAGCTTGCTTAGCAGCATTAATTTAAAATGAAGAAATGCACATCCTAATCTCTGGCACTGAAGCAGAAAATTAGTTTTGGTTTAGAAATTTGGTGAAGAATAAGTTCAATTTTTATGGGCTGTTTTGCATCCTGGTGAGATCTAATGAGGTCTGTACTTGTGACTACCTAATAGGCTGACATGTTTCCTCCTTTAATTTTATCTGAGACTTGGTGTCAATGATTTTTTGGTTTCTTAATTCAAAAAGGCAAACTAGCCAAGGGGTATTTACTACTTATATTGCCTTATATCACAGTGTGCCCTTTCTAGTTCCCTAGAAGAGATAACGAATGGGTTTGTGTGTTTAGGGAGGTAACTGGTTTTTAGTGGAACACTGGCATTATCAATCCCACTCTTAGTGTTAAAAAGAGAATGCCCGAGCTACCCCTCTCCCCACCATTTTAATCAGCAATTTTTAAATGTTTTCAAATATTATAGAAATATGCAGGCTGATGCCAGGTGCGGTGGCATGGGGCTCACACCTGTAATCCCAGCACTTTGGGAGGCCGAGGCAGGCCAATCACTTGAGGTCAGGAGTTCGAGACCAGCTTGTGCAACATGGCGAAACCTCACCTCTAATAAAAATACAAAAATTAACCGAGCATGGTGGTGCGCGCTTGTAGTCCTAGCTACTTAGGAGGCTGAGGCAAGAGAATCGCTTGAACCTGGGAGGGGGAGGTTGCAGGGAGCTCAGATCGTGCCACTGCACTCCAGCCTGGGTGACAGAGCAAGAACCTGTCTCAAAAAAAAAAATAAAATAAAATAAAATAAAATAAAATAAAATAAAAAGTTAAAAAAAAAATGCAAGGTGAGTGCAGTGGCTCATGTCTGTAATCCTAGCACTTTAGGAGGCTGAGATAAGATGGGAGGATCGCTTGAGCCCAGAAGTTTGAGACCAGACTGGGCAACAAAGCAACACGCTCATCTGGAAAGGAAGGAAGGAAGGAAGGAAGGAGGGAAGGAAGGAAGGAAAAAAAATTTCAAACATACACAAAAGTTGAGAGAATTGTGTAATTGACCCCAATGTACCATCACCCAGCTTCAATAATTATCGATACTTTTAGGCAGGTTTCTACCAGAAAATATGTCCTGGAAACTTTAATTCTTGATCTGTGTTCAGATTTTGCCTTTCAAATGTTTCATTATTGGGGCTTTGGACATATTGCACCTGTATTAAAAGAAGGATTTGAGTGAGGAATTTAGTGCTTCATAGTCAATAGTCAATGAGTCTCCTTTTGGCTCGCCTCCTTCTTAGGGAAAGGAACTGGTTGTAGGGTGTTAGGCAGAATTTGGGTGTATCTGTTGTGGCTCAGAGATGTTTCTCATAGAACTGATCACTGTCCCAATATCCACGCAAAAGACCAAATTAAAAGCGAGGAGAAATACCTAATGTAAATGACAAGTTAATGGGTGCAGCACACCAACATGGCGCATGTATACATATGTAACAAACCTGCACGTTGTGCACATGTACCCTAGAACTTAAAGTATAATAATAATAATAATAATAATAATAATAATAATAAAGCGAGGGTGGGTATCTAGCCTATTCTTATCCTGCCTCATGGTGTTTTCTAAATATTTACAGAAAGAAAATTTACAGAGTAGTTTCCTGGTCAAACTCTAATGAGTATCTCAGTACTTTCCCCTCCACTTCTCACGTCTTCTTTGGGGACGGGTCGTCAAGTCTTTGAGTTTCTAGTTATTGCTATTGACTGGTTTATAACCTCCTCTTTCACCCAGATCGTCAAGGGCCGTTTGCAAAGCACTCCCAAGTAGAGCCTCTTGGAGAAGGAGAAACTGCTATCACGCAAAAAAAAAGCCTTGAGCTCGCTGGCTCCGCTGCCTCGAAAAGCCAGAGTCCGGAGGCAGTTTGATGCGGACACTATTCCCCAACCTTCTTCCCCTCCTTGTCGTCTCTATTGCCCTCTTGGCAGCTCCTGGGATACAAGAGGGTGCAGGACAGACTTCAACCCGCAGCAGGATCCAGCGCGGAAAGCTCTGCAGCAGGATCCAGCGCGGAAAGCCCCCCGCAGCACTTCTTTCGGGGGGCTCCTGTTTCCTTAAGCCTAGAAGGTGTGGTCGCTCACGTTCACCGTCCCGCCTCTCGCCGCCTCCGCTCGGCAGCTCCACGCTGAGTCCCGCCCTCTCCGCCGGAGAGGTGCGCCGGGGTCAGAGCGCCGGGACCCGACGCGCGGCTCCCAAAGGGCGGCAGGAAGAGCCCAGCTGGGCTCAGCCACAGTTATCAGCAATCTGCGGGCAGAGGATGTGGAGGTTAAGATCTGGGCAGCCTCAGGGCGTTGTCCTAGAAAACACCGTTTAAGGAGAGAAGTGTTAGTGTCTCGGGGCGTCTCCCAGGCTCCGCCCTGCGCCCGCAGCCAGCGTGGTGGTCGAGACCCCAGCCCGCTGCTACTGGAGACAGCACCTCTCGCGCCCGGGCGGGCGGCCTCGTCTCTGCACCCCTAGGCGGCGCTGCGCTCCTCAACACCCGGCCGGCTCCGCTTTCCCAGACGGCTGCCCAGCCTCCAGCCTAGCAAGCCCGGCTCCCAGCTGGCCAGCCCCGGCAATGCCGGCGTTCGGGAGGCGCAACGTCGGCGGTCGCTGAGTATCCAGCCCGCAGCAGTGACGGCCGGCAGGAGCGTGCTCTTCCCCGCGGCTCGTGCTCTCCAGGAGTCCGGAGCATGGTCCTGGGTCACCGTTGGTGTAGCGTGTTGGTGGAACGTGGACGCCTAGAGGGAGGATGGTGGGCTGTGGGGTGGCAGTTTTATGTTTGTGGGTTTCCTGCGGCGCTGCAGCGGGACAGCTCGAGTACTCAGTGCCGGAGGAGACGGAGCGGGGCGTAGCCGTAGGCAATCTCTCCGCGGACTTGAGGCTGCCAGCGGCCGCTATGTCCTCGCGGAACTTTCGCTTCCTTTCCAGCCACCGCGAGCTCTACTTCGGGGTGGATCTACCCAGCGGCAATTTGGTGGTCAGAGAGCCGGCGGACCGCGAACAGCTGTGCAGGGCCAAAGCTGCCTGCGTCTTGACCTACGACCTGGTGCTCGAGGACCCGCTGGAGCTGCACAAGATTCGGATTCACGTCCTGGACACCAATGACAACTCACCTCTCTTTCCTGCCGGCGACGTGCAGCTGCACATCCCCGAGTTCCTGACGCCCGGAGCCCGCTTTACTCTCCCGAATGCCCAAGATGACGACGAGGGAAGCAATGGGATACTAAGCTACAGCCTAAGCCCCAGTCAGCACTTTCGCCTGGACATGGGATCGCGGGTTGACGGCAGCGAATACCCGGAGTTGGTGTTGGAGAAAGCACTGGATCGCGAACAGCGCGCCACCCACCTGCTGGTGCTTACAGCTCGGGACGGCGGGCTACCTGCCCGCTCAGGAGACGCACAAGTCACCATCATTGTGGTGGACACAAATGACAACGCGCCTGTATTTGAGCGCTCCGTATACCGCACCAAGGTTCCAGAGACTGCACCCAATGGGACTGTGTTATTCCGAGTTCAAGCCTTGGATCCAGATGAAGGGTCCAATGGGGAAGTCCAGTACTCCCTAAGCAACAGCACGCAAGCAGAGCTGCGACACCGCTTTCACGTGCACCCTAAAAGTGGGGAGGTGCAAGTAGCTGCTTCACTAGGTCCGCCTGAAACGCTCTTGGAGGCATACATTGAGGCGAGGGACGAAGGTGTCTTTGGTTTAGCTAGCACCGCTAAACTGCTGGTGGAGGTGACTGACGTGAACGATCATGCCCCCGAACTGGACTTCCTGACTCTTTCGAACCCAGTACCTGAGGACGCTGCCCCTGGCACAGTGATTGCTCTCTTTAGTGTAAAGGATGAAGACCTCGATTCTAATGGTAGGGTCATTTGTGGCATGTCTAGTGCAGGCCCTTTTCAGCTGACGGCTTCCTTTGACAACTACTACAGCCTGCTGATTGATGGGCCCCTGGACCGGGAGCAGATCAGTGAATACCAAGTCCTGATCACGGCCTCAGATAGTGGCTCACCCCCACTTAGCACCCGAAGGACAATCACTGTGTCAGTTGCTGATGTGAATGACAATACACCAAACTTTCCTCAACCCCAGCAGGAACTTTTCGTTGCTGAAAACAATGGCCCTGGGGCCTCTCTAGGCCGAGTGTTTGCCCAGGACCCCGACCTGGGGAAGAATGGCCTTGTCTCTTATGAGCTGTTGGATGTTATCTCTGAAGGGCCATCAGCCTCTAGCTTGCTGGCAGTGGAATCATCCAGTGGGGCCATCACTGCCAAAACTTCCTTTGACTTTGAGCAGCTCAGGGGGTTTCATTTCCAAGTAGAAGGCCGGGATGGTGGCATTCCTCCCAGAAGTGCAACAGTGACTATAAACTTGTTTGTGGTAGATAGGAATGACAATTATCCGGTTATCTTGTTTCCCTTGCCCAGAAATGGTTCTGTCCCAGTGGAAATTGTGCCCCGCTCTGCCAGGACTGGACACTTGGTCACAAAAGTGGTAGCAGAGGATGCTGACAGTGGTTCTAATGCCTGGCTTTCCTACCACATCTCCCGGGCGTCTGACTCTAGTCTCTTTAGAATTTCAGCCAATATAGGTGAGCTCCGTACTGCTCGCTTAGTTCTTCCCACTGATGCAGTTAAGCAGAGGGTGGTGGTAGTGGTTCGGGACCATGGAGACCCACCACTTTCCTCCTCTGTCACTCTGGGTGTGCTGTTGAGCAACTCTGTCCCTCAGTTACTTCCAGACTTTGAAGATGTCTGGGAACCAGGAGGGCAGCTTTCTGCCCAGAACTTGTATTTAGTAATTGCCTTGGCTTGTATTTCCTTTTTATTTCTGGGGTGCTTACTTTTCTTCGTGTGTACCAAGTTGCACCAGAGCCCAGGCTGTTGCGCTCAGAGCTGCTGTCGCTCTACAGAGGATCTGAGGTATGGAAGTAAGATGGTTTCAAATCCTTGCATGACATCAGCCACCATAGATGTCACTACAGTTGAGAGACTTTCTCAGACTTATCTCTATCGGGCCTCTCTGGGACTTGGTTCTGATAATAACAGTTTGCTGTTGCGTGGGGAGTACAATGCTGCCGACCTGCGAAATCTTGCCACTGGGGTAGGACTGAATTTGCCAATATCCTGTATTCAGATTCGGAATAGGAAAGGGGATCACGCTAATGTCAATGCCATGGTAAGCAAATTTTATGGAATTTGATTCCTTTGGCCCGGAGATGGCTGCTAGCTGTGTTTTGAAATATTTCTTAGACAAGCCTTTCACAACATTTCATCAATTGAACTAAACACTCCTTCTTAGCACTTCCTGTGCCAAGAAATCTGGAAGTATAGAAGTATTAGAAGATTGCCCTAGGCCTCAAGGGACTTATAGTTTATTTTTGAGAAACAAGGGCAAAAATTAAAACCTATTTAAGAACAATAAAAGTAATATGACATAAAGGTCTAAAATTAAAAATAAAATACCAAAATATTTTATAAGCAACAGATGTGTAAGGCACTCTAATATTTAAAGTGAAGAATGAAAAATATGTAAGAGTCTGCTTTATATGAATATAATATGGAAGGTGAAACATTTACTTAAACTATTGCAATGCATTATTAAAAGATGACGATAACCACAAAAGATGTAAAAATAAATTACAATGGGGGTTAAAAGAAGGGAGAAAGGGAACATAAGAGAACATTTGAGTGAGGAGGAAGGAGTCAGAGAAGGCTTTGTGATAGAGATCACAGATTTAGTTGGATCTTTAATACGATATACCATTTAATAAAAAACAGTGTATTCTCTAGCCTATACTTTTAATGAATACCATTTTGGTGAAGGTGTCTTCTTTGGGAATGACACCCTAAAACATAGCTGATAGCTCCATAGCAGTGTTTTGTAACTGCTTTGGAGTTTTTGCTTACACAAAAACTGTAAGCCTCTCTCATAACATCTATTTATACTGATAGGAGATCATATTGTTGGATATAGGACTTGACAACCTTTTGTTTTGTGTTTCTATTGATAATATTTTACAAAGAGGAAAGATGAGTAATTTTTATGTCAGAAATATTTATGTGTTCAAAGGTGCACTTACCATCCAAAGTCCATTCAACTTGGATTTAATTTCTTTTATTTTAGGGGACAAATACACTTAACAAATAAGTAAATATCATATTTGAGAGTAATGTATCTAATGAAAGTTAAGTGATTCAAATATTTCAATTTATCTGTTAGTGGCCCTTGGCATTTCAAAACTTCTTTTTTTTTTTTGAGACAGGGGTCTCACTATGTTGCCCAGGCTGGTCTCAAACTCCTAGCCTCAAGTGATCCTCCCACCTAGGCCTCCCAAAGTGCTGGGATTACAGGCATGAGCCACTGCAGCTGGCCCTCAAACTTCTTGAGTGCAGTTAGGACAACATTTTGAAGCAATTCTACGGTATTACTTTTTGACTTCTCATAGAAATCCTAGATGCAAGAGAAGGAGGTGTGTAGAAATTAAGGAAGGAAAATGAAGCATTCCTTGTTTTACTATTCTAGGCAATAAGGGGAAAAGTGGCTTGTAAGTTATTCTTCCTCAAGTAATGATGTTAACTGCAAATAAAATAAATTTACATATGTTAAAATTTTCTGTACTTAATATTTTCACAATATAATAGAATCCAGCATATAAGATATGCTTAGTAAATGCTGACTGAATGAATAAATATGTGCATATATGAATTGGATGGTAACACTGTTCAACACAGAGGGAAAAACTTTAACTTACTTTTCTACTTTAGATGTGTATATGTGGTTAACAGTTTAAAGGTCACTTTCAAATGTACTGTTTCAATGATTATTTTCTTCCTCATGACCTACACTAATAACATAACAGAGGAATTTTCTGATTGTAGAGCTAGCAAGAAAAACTTCAATGCTGTGTCTGGGACTAAGTATGAGTCCAGTTCTACAGATGACAAAGGAATTAATAGGTATGCACATCATTACATTGTGATATTTGCAGTGGATACTATTTAATAGAATCTCAGTTAATTTTAGGGAAGGAAATTGGTGCACTACAATGCTAGTATTTCAGGTATCAGAGCACTTAATATGTGAACACTTTTCCTACCAAGAAATTTCACTATTTATTTCTTTTATTTTCATTGCTTTCTGTAACAAAAAGAGAGGAGAATACCAGTAATGGCTGTAAAGTTTGGGAGTGAGGAATTTTTTTTAGAAACACATTTTCACTAGACTAGAAAGGAAACATAAGTAAGCGATAGGAAGGCTGATGAATCTAGAAGTTAGAAGGAAAATTAGCTATTTAAAAGGAAAAATATAGGAATGACAGAGGAAAAAACAACCCTTCAAACCAAATTTTTAAACATATATGAATGATTAACAAAATAATAGAGATATACTGTTCATATGTGCAGGAATATTGTACCATCCCATTCATTCAGTTGAACAGTCTTTTTCCATCATTGTTGATATTTTGCTTTTTAGGTAGCTCATTGGTCTGCTAATAATTGTTGTGGGCTGGATATTTCCTTATAAATAAATGAATTGTGATTCATAAAACCATGAATAAAATAACTTCTATAAATATGGGGTATTTGTAATTCACAAAGGCATTTGTTATTTACTTCTTCCTGTTCAATTACCTATTGATCTGATCTTAATTCTTTAGAAAAGAATTCTTGTCATAGTATCCTGAATGCCTTAATAACAACAGGATTCTAGAAATAAAATATTTATTGCTTTCATTTTATTTCAAATCATTTGAAAAGCATGACATTTAACAATGATTATAATGTGTGTCTGAGTCTTACAGAATCATGTTGATGCATATGTGTTTATATTTTGCTCAAATTCTAAGTTCTTTCATTTTAGTTTACGGTAAGTTTACAGTATATATTAACATAGCCTGTAATACTAAAAATTATCAGTTTAAGAAATTCAGGAAAACATGGTTTTTATCTCTGTATTTCCAATTGATAATATTTAAGATATAAACAAAATTGATTCACTGATTGTATAACAATTAGACAATGTGTACCTCATGTCCATTTTTTTCTGTTAATATTCTTGATGGGCAATTTAAATTTTTTAGAATGGTATCTAAGAGGGTACCTCTGAGATATAAATTTCTACTTATTAAAAACTGCATTGACAATTTTTAAAGGTATAAATATATTAATGTAGCAAAAATGCATGAAACACTTACCATACAACTGGCCTTATTAAATTTCCACATGAAAGTTATACATAGTTTCAACATACCAATGTTATATTAGTGTATTGTTCACCTGGAATTAAAGCATCTTCTTTTTTGCCAGGGTATATAGGAAATAGGATATCTCCTCTTTGCAATGTCATTTGTTAACAGTAGTAGAATGTTTGTGGCATTCAAGGTGCTTTATTTAACATACATTCCACAAGTAGACTTTCCCATAGGGTAATTAGATGTTTTGTATATCTATTTTGACTTTGAAGCTGATAACCACACTAAAAAACTTTAGAATGATGAAACTAAGGAAGTTTGCATGACATATGAAATATATTCAAATTAAAAAACTCATATAGACAACACAATAATATTGTATAATATAGACCCTCAAATCAGTAAAAAGGAAAGAAAAAGAACATTATAATTTGAGTGGACATAAGAGAAAAGCAATACCTTGGAAACATATAAGTGGGAAAGTATTGACAATGTGTCTCATAATGTTAATGACTTATTGTCTTTTGTTGTCTTCAATATTTTCAGTTAGAGGGAAACAATAATATTTCAACAACTAAATTAACTTAGCTAGGTTGGAATGAAGGTGGACTAAATTGCTGAAAGGTTTTTACAATGCTCAAATGCATGTCATATGAATATCGGAAATATTAACACTTGGCAGAACTTCAAGTGAATATGGATTACAGTCCAGGATCCTGACTAAAGTATTATGGGAAGTAAGGAATTTGTTGGTAAAGGTTGTTCTTAAGAAACAAAGCTAAATAATAAAGGTAGATAGCCACTCATTTTGTTCCCAATTTTAATTGATGGCATAAGATAATGGTTCAGGATATAAATAAATTACATGTCTGTTATATTGCATTTATGAAAAAGAAAGGACTATAAACACAAAAGGTTATTATATATTCATTTGGAACTTGTTTTGGAATCTGGAAATAAATATGCAATCTCGTATTCTCCTGTGCTGTAGAGAAAGATAAACACTTTATTTCTAACCCATCCCAAATTCCTTGGCTGTTCCTAGAGCCATCTGGTTACCATCTACAGATATTCTGTGTTCATAGGGGCACTCTAATGACATACCTTCAAAATATACTCTGAATTCAAACACATTATGGTTATTCTTTAGAATTGTTAAGCAAAGACTACAGCTGTTTTGTTTAAACTCAAAATAATGTTAATATAAAATAAAAACCAATTAAGAAGTCTTAATAGTGGGTTTTTAGGTTGATTTGTCTTTTTCTTTTCTTATTAGGTTAGGCTGGCCCTGTTAAACAAGTTGGAAATCCTGTCTCTCTCTCTGTCTCTCTCACATTTTTTTTCCTATTCCTCGGACACATTTACTGAGATTGGTGATACAGCTTTCTTAAATATTTGGTAGAATTCACTAGTGAAGCTCTCTGTACCTACAGTTTTCTTTGTAGGAAAATTTTAATTGAGATCAAATTTCTTTGTATTTTTATTGCTCCTATTTCATTCCTGTACCTTTAATTTTTTCAGATATATGTTAGTTTTATCTGTACTTTTGAATATTTTGGCATAAAGTTGTTTATAATGTCCTGTTGTGACTTTTTTTCACATCTGCAGGATCTGTAGTGATGTTTCCCTTTTCAATCCTGGTGTTAGTGTCACCTCTCATTTTTCTTGACTAGACTTGGAAGTAGTTTATTAATGATATTAGTCTTTCCAAGGCTAACTTTTGGTGTTTTGGGTTCGCTTTGTTGTATGTTTGCTTTCTATTTTATTAATTTTCATACTTTATTAATTTATTTCCTTCCTTATATGTTTATATTTCAGTGTGCAACAGAAGTACTCTAAACATACTTTTCATTTCTATTTCCTCACACAAAATGTTTAAAAGATTTGTACTTAATTGTGGAGATTTATCAAAATTAATAATAATCAGTGCTTCATCAAGGGCATTCTTACTGGTATTTTTCTTACTGCAAATGTCCAATCATGAATGTAATAACCACCAGTACAGTGTGGAGCCACTGCTTTGACTCCTTCTGTGGTTCTATGGTGGCCAGCTTTACCCACCAATGCTTTTGCATTATCAATGCAAGTGTAAATATAGTGAAAAATGCAAATAATGTTTTAACATTATTTTGAAAATTATATTCACCTCATAAACACCCAAAGGGTCCATAGACCACACTTCGAGAGCTACCGTTCTAATTCTATCATTTCTTCTTTTTTTTAATTAATTGTAACATTTCTGTAATGGGTCTTCAACTATTTGATTAGCCTGAGGTACAGTTCACACAGGAAAGGCAGGATAAATGTTTGATTCTTCCCCTTTGTTTAGCAGTATTCAAAACAATGAATTGATTCCTGGCCATCTTACAAAAAGGACCAAGGCCTTTTTTAGGTGTCATTATGAACTCATTGACTTAAACATATTTGATATGGCCCAATCCATGTCAATTATCTTTTTAATGATCAAATTATGCTAACTTTGGCAAGTTGGGAACTGTTCAGCTTTGCTCCTGAGTCTTTGTGAGTGTGTTTGTGTATCTTGTTTTAAACCTTTTATTTTGGAATAATTATGGATTCACATAAAGTTACAAAACTAGTATAGAGAGATCCCATGTGCTTGTCACCCACTTTTCCCCAGTGATAACACCCTGAATCCTTTTCATGTGAGTCTTAATAGTCTTTTGAATGCTTCCTTGATTTCTGGTATTACAAGATGTTCAGATTATCTTGTACATTTCCTTTCCCAGAATCAGCCATTTTTCAAAGAGCTTTCACTTATTTTTAGTGAAAGATGATACTTAGAGATATAATCTCAACAACAGGTGTGCTTATTGCTGCTGGGTCAGTTGCTGTTTCTAGGTATCTTCAGCTACTGAGCTAAGGGATGTCTATTTTTTAAAAGATAAAATACATCACATGTTTATACTAATCTAATAAAGTTCAGCACTCCGAGGTTTTTACTTAACTTCATCAATCTTACATTCCTATTTCTCCCATACGTCAAATCCCAGTTTTCATTAACGTCAACAGAATTACTCATTTGTTATCCCACGGGACTCAAACAATGGACTTAGAAAACAATTTCAGCACTACAGAAATAATATGATACTGTAGCAGTTTAAGTTTTTGTCATTCTTTTCATTTATAAGGCACATCCTTACAAATGCCCAGTAGGCATGTACAGTCAAATTATTGTGTTTTAAAGTATCTTGGAAAAGTTCCTCTCTGTGTAGTTAAGCCACCAGCTAGATACAGAGCTAGGCTTTTTTCAAGTCGCTTTCAAATTTAGGGCTTGCTTTTTAAATTTTAATTTTCTTTTATAATTATGTGAAATATTTACATGGCTCCAAAATAAACTTATAAAACAAAATATATTTAGAGAAGTCTAGTATCTATTATTCCATACAATACACATTCTTCCCCACTTTGAGTTTTTTCACTTAAAAATATAAACGAGATTATTTCATAGTAGTATAGTATTTACACATATTCCATACTGCTTAATGGTGTCTTTTGATTAGCAATTAATGAGCTCCAATTTATCAATATTATCTTTTTTTTTTTTTTTTGAGACAGATTCTCATTCTGTTGCCCAGGCTGGAGTAAAGTGGTACAATCTTGGCTCACTGCAATCTCTGCCTCCCGGGTTCAAGCGATTCTCCCACCTCAGCCTCCCGAGTAGCGGGGATTACAGGCACCCACCACCACACCCGGCTAATTTTTATACTTTTAGTAGAGACAGGGTTTCACCATGTTGGCCAGGCTGGTCTCGAACTCCTGACCTTAAGTGATCTGCCCGCCTTGGCCTCCTAAAGTGCTGGGATTAGAGGCCTAAACCACCACGCCCAGCCAAAGTTGTCTTTTTTATTTAGTATTCTTTCTATCCTTTTAAAGAAAACATATCCTGCTTCAAGTCATGAAGATATATTCCTGTGTTTTCTTCTATAACATTGCTATCCAATAGAACTTTCTGACATGCTATAAATTTTCTCTATCTGCATATATGGAATGTGTAGCTACTGAGCACTTGAAATGTGGCTAGTGAAACTGGGCTACTCAATTTTTAATGTTACTAATTTTAATTAATTTAAGCTTAAATAACCACATCTGTTTAGTGGTTGCTGTAGTTCTGGAAGCTTTCTTGTTTTAACTTGCACATTTAGATCTTAAATTACCTGAAATTGCTTTTGAATATAGTGCAATGTAGAAGTCAAGATTTATATTTTCCACTTGTAAATCCAGTTAGATTGCCTACTTTCCTCGCTGCTACTGTGCAGTGCTACCTTTGTCATAAGCAACGTGACTTTATATATTCTGTTTCTGGACTGTCTATTCTGTTTCATTGGTCAACTTGTCTATTCTTGTGCCAATACATTCTGTGTTAAATATAGTAACTTTTCATTTGTATTGATATCTAATTGTGTAAGTTCTCTCACTTTGTTATTCTGCTTCAAGATTAACTTAGCTATTTTTGGCCCTTTGCATTTCTATATAAATTGTAGATTCAGCTTCTCAGTTTCTATTTTAAAAAACCCTGCTTTGATTTTAATTGGCACTATATTGAATCTGTAGAAAATATGGGGTATATTGAAAATATCTTATTTTGATCTTTATTGAATCTATAAAAATATGAAGCTTGTTAACATTGACAATATTGAGACAGACAACCGATTAACAAGGTATATTCTTCCATTTATCTTTTTTTTTTTTTTTTGAGACGGAGTCTCGCTCTGTCGCCCAGGCTGGAGTGCAGTGGCGCAGTCTCGGCTCACTGCAAGCTCCGCCTCCCGGGTTCATGCCATTCTCCTGCCTCAGCCTCCCGAGTAGCTGGGACTACAGGCGCCCGCCACCATGCCCGGCTAATTTTTTGTATTTTTTGTAGAGACGGGGTTTCACCGTGTTAGCCAGGATGGTCTCGATCTCCTGACCTCGTGATTCACCCGCTTCGGCCTCCCAAAGTGCTGGGATTACAGGCGTGAGCCACCGCGCCCGGCTTCTTCCATTTATTTTATTATTTTATCTTAATGTTTATGTGTGTGTATGTGTATATAGGGGTATTGCACAACTTTTATTAGATAGCTGATATTTTAATGCTATTTTAAAAGTTTAATTTTATAATACAAAAATTAGCTGGACATGTTGGCACATACCCGTAATCCCAGCTACTCAGGAGGCTGAGGCAGGAGAATTGCTTGAACCTGCGAGGCAGAGGTTGCAGTGAGCTGGGATCGCGTCACTGCACTCTAGCCTGGGCAACAGAGTGATACTCCATCTAAAAAGAAAAAGAAAGGCAGGGCATGGTGGCTCACGCCTGTAATCCCAGCACTTTGGGAGGCTGAGGCAGGCGGATCACGAGGTCAGGAGATCAAGACCATCCTGGCTAACACGGTGAAACCCCGTCTCTACTAAAAATACAAAAAATTAGTCGGGCGTGGTGGCGGGCGTATGTAGTCCCAGCTACTCGGGAAGCTGAGGCAGGAGAATGGCATGAACCTGGAAGGCGGAACTTGGAGTGAGCCGAGATCGCGCCACTGCACTCCAGCCTGGGCGACAGAGTGAGACTCCGTCTCAAAAAAAAAAAAAAAAGTTTAATTTGATAATTGGCTTTTGTTGAAAGTATATAGAAATAATACTGATTTTATGTTAACTTTGTATCCAATGTTCTTGCTAAATAGTAAAATCTCATATTTTTATATTTTGGGTTTTCTACATATACTGTCATGCTATTCCCAAATAATGTTAGTTTTATTATTGTATTTTTTACTTTCTCTCTTTTTTTAAAAAAATAGAGATAGAGTCTCACTACATTGCCCAGGCTAGTCTGGAGCTCCTGGGCTCAAGCAATCCTCCCACGCCAGCCTCCCAAAGTGCTGGGATTACAGGCATAGGCCACCATGCCTGGTCTTTTAAAAACTTTCTAATCACATAGTTTTCTTGCTTTCTGTCATTGCCTATGAAATTCAGTATAAAATTGAATAGAAGTAATGTTAATGGATAATCTTGTCTTATTCCTGGTCTCAGAGAGGAAGTTTTTAAATATTTAATATGAAATACATTGTTTGATTGGGTTTATTTGCAAAAATCCTTTATCAGATTTATTAAGTTCCCTTTGTTTTTTAATTTATTATGTTTTTTAAAAATCATGAATAGGCATTGAATTTATCACATATTTTCTGTTATTGAATGGATAATATGGATTTTTATCCTTTTATTAATAGCATGCATTATATTGGTTGATTTGTTAATGATAAACCAATCTTGCATTCTTGGAATAAACTCAGGTTGCTTATGATGTATAATCCTTCTTTATATCATTAGACTTAGTTTCCTAACATTTTCTTTACAGTTTTTAAATATATGTTTATGATAGAAACGCGTTTCTACAGAAAAAAATAATTATTTTTAAAGGCATAGTTATTGGGTACTAGACTTAGTACCTGAATGATGAAATAATCGGTACCACAAACCCCTGTGACATGAGTTTGCGTTATAACAAACCTGCCCATGTACCCCTGAACTTAAAAGTTAAGAAGCAACACACACACACACAGATGCGCACACACACACACGCACAAGAAATTGGCTTTTAACTTTCCATTCTTATAATGCTCTAGTCGGAGTTTGGCATCAAGGCTATCCTGGCTTTATATAGTAAGTTAAGAAGTGTTACTTTTCTTTTACTTATTCGGAAGAGTTGTCTTAGTCCATTTGGGCTGCTATATCAAAATAGCATAAACTGGGTGGCTTAAAAACAATAGAAATTTATTTTTCACAATTCTGGAAGCTGGAAAGTTGATGATCAAGGTCCTGGCAGATTTGTGTCTGGTAATGGCCCACTCCCTGGTTCATAAAACAGAATGTCACCTTCTTGCTGTCTCTTCACCTTCTGGAAGGAGCAAGGTAGCTCTCTGGAACCTCTTTTATGAGAGCTGTGCCCTCGTGATCTAATCATCTCTACAAAAGCCCTACCTCCTAATATCATAATCTTAGGGGTTAGCATTTCAACTTATGATTGCAAAGGAGGAGGGAACACAAACATTCAGATCATAGCAAGTTTGTGTAAATCAGCATTTTTTTCTTCCATAAGCATTTGAAGAATTAAGAGTGAAATTTATAGGCCTAGAATTCTCTTCATGAGAATGTTAATTATAAATTCAATGTCTATAACATTAATAGTTATAGAATTATACAGAGCCTCTATTTCTTGTTGTATTAGTTTGGTTAATCAAAATGGAAAATTTTAACATACCTTGCTCAAAAACAGAACAAGGAGACAAAAGAAAATCAATAAGGGTACTGAAAACTTCAATAACAGGAATAACCAACTTGTATGTATGTGTGTGTTGCTGGACATTATCATTTGTGAGATACATTTATATTGTTGTGTGTAGCTGTGTATCATTCATTGTCATTATATAGTATTTCAGGGTGTGAATGGTCAATTTCTATAAATGTTCTGCATGTTCAAGAAAAAGCAGTATTCTGACATTGCTTGTTGTTGTGTTCTGTATATGTCCATTAGGTCATCTTTGCTAGTTGTGTTGTTCAAATATTCTGCATTCTTTTTTATTCTTTTTGTTTGCTTATTTTATCAGTTACTGAGAAAATTATGTTAAAGTGTTCCACGATGAATAGTGAATTGTTTCTCCTTGGATTTTGTCAATTTTTTGTGTCATATGTTTTAAGGCTATTTTATTTTATTAGATTCTTAACCAAATATAAATATGTGATATCTTTCTGCTAAATTGAAACTTTTAGCGTTATGTATTATTTACCTCTATTTCTGCTAGTGATAAACTATTATAGTTTTTGTTTGCCTGAAATGTCATTCTTGATAGATATTTTTACATGGGTGTAAAATTCAAGATTGGCATTTATTTCATTTTGGTACATTAAAGTTACCTCCTCAATATCTTCTGGGTTCCACTGTTGTCTCATTGTGCTGCTTCATCAGTAATTTATTATCTTTCTTCCAATTTTACTAATTTTGTCTTCTTGTGTGTCCAACATGCTATTAAAAGTATTCCTTGAGTTGTTAATTTTGGTTATTGTGTTTTTCATTTTAAAAATTATAATTATTACTGATCAAGTCTGCCATGATATTTTTTATAGGTTTCTGTTCCCTGCAATTTTTTTTTTCAAGACAAGTCTTGCTCCGTCGCTCAGGCGTGATCATAGCTCACTGCAATCTTGAATTCCTGGGCTCAAGTGATTCTCCTACCTTGGCTCCCAAAGTGTTGGGATTTCAGGCATGAGCCGCTGCTCCTGGCTCCTGCAAATATTCTTAAGCTTGTCATTTATTTATTTAAATATATTAAATCTTCATCTGATAATTCCAGAGTCTGAAGTCTGCAAGTGTATACCTGCTGTGTGCTGTTTCAGCTGGACAGCTCCATATTTTTATGTGTGCCAACTTTTATTTGACTTTTGATGGTCCATATCCTGAAAATGATATTTGCCAGGATATCCTGAGATCTTGGATGGAAATACCTTTCTTCACGATAGATTTTTATACACCTTCCAGTGAGTGAATACTACTGCTAGTAAACCACTTTAAATCAAGTTCAAGACTTGAAGCTCCTTGGCTACTTAGACTACGTATTCTCAGATAAAAATATGCAGGATATCTGGTATCTAGTTACAAGTTTATAGGATTAAATTTTCCTTTCCTATTTTCCTTCTGGCCTTTTTGGTGCCAAGTCAAATTCCCCAGCAGTTTTCTGGGCTGGAGAGTAGGTGGGTTTAGTTTTCACATACTATTACTGGAAAGATTAGTCCTTTGAAGTTCCAGCTTAATGTAGTTTGGAGGCCCCATAAGACTCCCCATCTTGAACATCCTGCTTCTTTTTTTTTCTTTCTTCCTTTCTTTCTTCCTTTCTTTCTTTCTTTCTTTCTTTCTTTCTTTCTTTCTTTCTCTTTCTTTCTTTCTTTCCTTCCTTCCTTTCTCTTTCTTTCTTTCTTTCTTTTTCTTCTTTCTCTTTTTTTTTTTTTTTCAGATGGAGTCTTGCTCTGTTGCCTAGGCTGGAGTGTAGTGACAGGATTTTGGCTCACTGCAACCTCCGCCTCCCGGGTTCAAGCAATTCTCTGCCTCAGCCTCGGGAGTAGCTGGGATTACAGGCGCCCACCACCACGCCTGGCTAATTTTTTGTATTTTTAGTAGAGACGAGGTTTCACCATCTTGACCAGGCTGGTCTTGAACTCCTGACCTCGTGATCCATTCGCCTCAGCCTCCCAAAGTGCTGGGATTACAGCCATGAGCCATGGTGCCCAGCCCATCCTGCTTCTTAATTTCTGTCTTCCTACAACTTATGTCCAATTTTATGTCAAGTTCAATATTCTGTTTACCTCTTTGGGCTTAGCTTTCCTCCACAATTTGTCCTAGCAGTTCCCCATTATCTTATCAGATTTTCAGTGCTTTTAAGATAATTGTTTTAATGTTTTACCCAAGAATATTTAGTTGATTTCAGTAGGATGACTGCTGTAAATAATTTAGGCTGCCATTACCTGATATTCCCTATCATAGAGTTCTATCACCAGTGACTAGCATCTAAGTAACATTGAAATGCTTTTATGTATATCTTAAAATATTTGAATTACTTTTGTTTTGAAAACAATAGTATCTTTACTTTCCCTAAACCTTGATAAGGGATTCATATCTCTTATTATTAATTTTGGGAAAAAATAATTCATAAACCTGGTCTATTATGAAATGTTTGCTAATTGAGCCAAGAGAGCACATGCATTCATCTAAAACATTCATATAATCAAACTTTATTAAAGGTGATATTTGTGGCTTTACTTGACATAAAACAGCTTCCATATTTCTCTATTCCAGACATTTTATTTAAAATACATTTTTGAGCATAAGATATTTAAAATGTGTAGGCAAATAAGATATCCATATCATTAAAAGATATCTAAAGCTGGTAATGGTGGCTCATGCCTGTAATCCTAGCTACTTGGGAGGTCGAGGCACAAGAATCACTTGAACCAGAGGGAGGCGGAGGTTGCAGTTAACGGAGATTGCACCACTGCATTCCAGCCTGGGCGACAGATGAGACTCTGTTTAAAAAAAAAAAAGATATCTAACAATAAACAAGTAAACTATCAATTATAATACAATCAAATTCAAGCTACAACTGAAATAAATACATGGTATCTAGGAAACTCAGAGGGGAAGCAACTAACTCAGTATGGTGGGGGGTAGGGGGTTGAGGCAGAAAAATCTTCCCATATAGGATGTCACATATAATTATAGTGTTTATATTTGCCAATTGTAAAAAAAAAAATGGCAAAAGAGATCTCATTCAGAAAAGCAATAAGCACAAAAGTTTTAGGAATAACTTTAATGAGAAATATGAAGTAAAAGTATGAAATTTTGTTGAAAAATATTTTAAAATCTTGTATAAATGAGATGGCATAATGTATTTTTAGGCAGAATATTACAAAGGCATGTTTTCCACAAACTAGTTGGATTTGGCCCTGTGTCAATAAAAATTCCAGTAAGATGATTATTTTGCTTTAGCATGACAACTTTTTTCCTAAAATTTATCTCTAAGAATAAGCGTGAAGAAAAAAAAAATTGAAAAAGAGTTTAAAGTGTAGACGTTCTGTTATCAGAATTAAATTTTGGGGCTGGGTGTGGTGGCTCATGCCTGTAATCCCAGCACTTTGGGAGGCTGAGGTGGGTGGATCATTTGAGGTCAGGAGTTCAAGAACAGCCTGACCAACATGGTGAAATCCTGCCTCTACTAAAAAATACAAAAATTAGCCAGGTGTGGTAGTGGGTGCCTGTAGTCCCAGCTACTCTGGAGGCTGAGGCAGGAAAATCGCTTGAACCCTGGAGGTGGAGGCTGCAGTAAGCCAAGATCATGCCACTGCACTCCAGCCTGGGTCACAGAGTGAGACTCTGTCTCAAAAAAAAAAAAAAAAAAAAGAAAGAAAGAATTAAATTTTGGGAAGTCATTATTAGCAATATTGTGTAGTATCCATTGGACAGGATGAGAGTAGAGGAAAGGAGATCATTAAAATATACAGGTAAGAAATTATGGATATTTAAATTCAGACTAGAGGCAAGGGCTTTAATATGATATAAAGGATAGAATTGATAAGGCTAAATGTGGGAGATACAGTAAAATAATAAATAGATGCTATCAAGGTTCATGGAAATGTTGAGTTCAGTATGCAAAATGTCATGTAAATAGACGTAGACAATAATCATTTTAATTTGTTGATCTGAGTGGGGCTGAATTCTAAATATAGACTTTGATTCATCTGCATAAGGAAGCTGGATTATGGATAAAACCATCTATGAACAATGTATAAAGTGTGAAAAAAAGGGATAAGGTCAAAATATTGTGGAACACATTTAAAGGTCTGAGAGAATGAAAGTCCACAGTCTAAAAGCAGTAGGAGATGTAGGAAAAAAACTAGGAAGTGGTCCTTTATGCAAAGCAAAAGAGGAAAGTTTGAAGAAAATGAGTTGATTGAAGTTGTAAGATGTCACAGAAGTCAAGAAGAGGTCTCTGAAGTGTTCATTGGACTGGTCATTATGATGTCATGAGCACTTTAGCATGAGCAGCTTTAGAAGTGTGGTTATAGGAGAAGCAGTGAATTAAAGAGTTAAAGTAATTAAGAAAACAGAGACAGAACTACTGAGTACCCCCCAAAAGCAATTATCTTCAAAATATGGAAAACCAGATTGGGATACAAAAAGGTTTCTTGTTAAAGATAAAGGAGGCCTGAGTAAGTTTATATCTCATGGGAAAATGGTACCAGAGAAGAAAAGGTTGAAGATTAGAAGAGTTGAAAATTAAAGGGCCAAGGCTGGTTTTTTGTTGGTTTGTTTTGTTTTGTTTTGTTTTTAAAGAGGGTTTTACTCTGTCGCTCAGGCTGGAGTGCAGTGATGTGATCACTGCTCACTGCAGCCTTGACACCCCGGGCTCAAGCGATCCTCCTACCTCAGCCTCCTGAGTAGCTGGGATTACAAGCACGTGCCACCACACCTGGCTAATTTTTAATTTTTTATAGAGATGGAGTCTCACTGTGTTATCCAGGCTGGTCTCGAACTCCTGATCTGAAGTGGTCTGCCTGCCTCGGCCTCCCAAAGTGCTGGGATTACAGGTATGAGGCACTGGACTGAGGCTTCTTAAATGGTGGCAAGGAACATATTTTGTGCTTTAAATGATTTAAGTATTTAAAGATCATAGTTTTCCTGGCAACTTACTGTAGAGATCACTTCAGAATTTCCCTGGGTAGAGTAGTGTGCTGTAGAAGTATAGTGTTGTAAGCCAGTGTGGATTGGGAGTCCATACCCCTTATTTATCTATTCTGTGTATCCTATTAATAACAGTAATTATCAGGTTATTTTGCCTTTGAACACCTTAGTAAGTCTGAGCATTTACATGGAAAAAATGCTGGGTTTATTCCTCCTGTTATTGTATTTTACAAGTCTGTCGAGGGTCCACAGTGATCTTTGCCCCATAATTGTAAAATGAGATATTAGAATCATCCTTATTTATCTTAACCACCTACTCCACTGTACAGTTCCTATAATTCCACAAACTTCTCTTTATATTGGTTTATGCCTTCTTTAGATGATTGTGAATAAGAGTATTATCTTAACCTCTCTGGTGGGTCTACTTCTGTAACGGTTGTGGGTCATGAATTATTTTTTACTCAGACATAATTATCTTTGGTCTTATATAAAGAAAACCCTACAGACTCCACCAAAACACTCTTGGAACTAATAAACAAAATAAAGTTGAAAGATAAAAAATCAACTTACAAAAATCAATAGCATTTCTATACACTATTGAACTATCTGAAAAATAAATCAAGAAAACCATGCTATTTACAATAGCTATGAGAAAATAAAAATACTTAGGAATAAATTTAACCAAGAGGATGAAAGACCTGCAAGTTGAAAACTTTAAAACATTGATGAAAGAAATTGAAGAAGACACAAATAAATGGAAATATATTTTATGTTCATAGCTTGGAAAAATTAATACTGTTTAAAATGTCCATATTACCCAAAGCAATATACAAATTCAATACAATTCGTATCAAAATTTCAATGAAGTTTTTACAGAAATATAAAAAACTTCCCTAAAATTTGCATGGAACCACAAAACACCCCAAATACCCAAAGCAATATTGAGCAAAGTAAATAAATAAATAAAACAAAACATACAAACAAAAAAATGAAGCTGAAGACATCATACTACCTGGCTTCAAAATATACTTCAAAGCTATAATAATCAAAACAGCATGGTACTGGCATAAAAGACATGTAGACCAATGGAGCAGAATACAGCTCCCAGAAATAAATCCACACAGTTACTGTCCACTGATTTGCAACAAAAGTATCAAGAATATACAATGGAAAAAGGACAGCCTCTTCAATAAATGGTGGTGGGACAATTTGATATCCAGATGCAGAAAAATGAAACTAGACCCTTATCTCACACTGTATACAAAAGTCAACTCAAAATGGATTAAAGACTTAAACATAGACCTGAAATTGTAAAACTAACAAAGAAAACACAGTGGGAAAGATGAAAGATCAATAACACTGATCTGAGCAATGATGTTTTTTATATGACCCTGAAAGCACAGGCAATAAAAGCAAAAATAGACTAATGGATTGCATCAAACTAAAAAGCTCCTGCGCAGCAAAGAAAACAAGAGTGAAGGGACAATCCACAGAATGGGAGAAAATATTTGCAAACCACAGATCTGATAAGGAGTTAACATACCAAATATATAAGGAACTCAAACAACTCAATAGTAAGAAAACAAATAACACGATTTAAAAGATGGGTAAAGGATGTGAATAGACATTTCTCAAAAGAAAGCACACAAATGACCAACAGGTATACTAAAAAATGCTCAACATCATGAATCATCAGAAAAATGCGAATTAAAACCCCAATGAGATATCACCTCACACCTGGTAGAATGGCTATTATTGAAAGAGGAAAGATAACAAGTGATGGAGAGGATGTGGAGAAAAGGGAACTCTTGCACACGGTTGGTAGGAATGTAAATTAGTACAATCATAGAAAACAATATGGAGGTTACTCAAAAATTGAGACTAAAACAACTATCCAGCAATCCCACTACTGGGTATATATCCAAAGGAAATGAAATCAGTATGTCAAAGACCTATCCGCACTCCCATGTTCATTGCAGCATTATTCATGATAGTTCAGATATAGAATCAACTTAGGTGTTCATAGTGGATGAATAGATAAAGAAAATGTGAAATATATATATATATATATATACAATGGAATACTCATCAGCCATTAGAAAGAATGAAATCCTGTCATTCGTGACAATATGGATGAATCTGGAGGTCATTATGTTTAGTTAAATAAGCCAGGCACAGAAAGACAAATACTGCATGATCTCATTCATGTGGAATGTAAAAAAGCTGATCTTATAGAAGCAGAGAGTATAACAGTGATTACCAGAGATGGGTAGGGCAGTAGTAAGGAGGAGAGATTGAGGAGAGGTTGGTCAATGGGTACGAAGTTACAATTAGATAGGAAGAATAAGTTCTGGTGTTTTATTGAACAGTAGAGTGTAGTTAAGAATAATGTATATTTCAAAATATTATAGAATAGAGGATTTTGAGTGTTCTAACTTCAAAGAAATGATAAATGTTTGAGGTAATGGATATACTAATTACCCTGATTTGATCATTACACAGTGTATATATGTATTGAAACATCAGACTGTAGCCCATAAATAGGTACGTGTCAATTAAAATAATAAAAATAGTAAAATGTATAGTTACTTCCACGGGGTAGAAAATGTGGTATATATTCATGGTATACTACACAGCCTTAAAAAAAGAAAATCCTGTCATTTATGACAGGAAAAAAAAATAAGATAATCCAATGTACCATTTGTTGAAAATACTTTTTCTTTTTATTGCATTATCTTGACATCTTTGTAAAAAGTCGGTTGACCATAAATGTGTGGGCTTAATTCTGGACTCTATTTCACTCCTTTGATCTATATGTTTATCCTTTCACTAAAAGTAGACTGTCTTGATATTGTAGCTTTATAAATTTGAAAATCAGCTGTGAAATCCTCCAACCTTGTTCTACTTGTAAACATTGTTTTGGCTATTATAGGTCATTTAAATTTTCATATAAATTTTAGAATCAACTTTTCAATTTCTACAAAGAATTCCGCTGGGATTTATATTGGGAATGTTTTTAACATTTAGATCAATTTAGGGAAGATTTGGTATCTTAACAATATTGAGTCATCAGATCGTATGAACATATATACCTCCATTTACTTGGGTCTTTAAAAAATTGTCTCAGCATGTTCTGTAGTTTTAAGTATTGAGGTTTCAAAAGTTTTTTGTAATACCTATTCTTATGTATTTTATGGTTTAAAAAATTCTATTGTAAATGGATTTTAAACAGACTTTTAATTTGCAGAGACTATTTCTTCCTTTCCAATATTAATATTTGTTTATTTATTTTGTCATTATAATGGCTAGGACTTCCAGGACAATATAAACAGAAGTGGTGAGAGCAGACATTCTTGCCTTAACCCTGATCTTATGAGAAAAGTGTTCCATATTTTACAATTAAGTATGTGCTACTCATAGGTTTTTCCCAAATACTTTATTAAATTTAGGAAGTACCCTTTCTGGTTTGCTCAGAGTTTTATCATGATTCATTGTTGAATTTCATCAATTTTCTTTTAATCTATTGATATGAGCATATGATTTTTCTTCGTTTTACTAATATGTTGGATTACACTAATTGATTTTTGAATGTTGGAAAAAACCTTCCATTCCTAGGGTAAATCCCACTTAGTCATGATATATTATCTTTTCAAACATTGTTAGATTTAACTTGTATTTTAGTAAATATTTTTACATCTGTGTTCATGTAGAATATCTGTAAATAATTTTGTAAAGAATATCTTTTCTTCTTGAGGGGTAATGTTTTCATTAGGTTTTAGTATTTCTAACCTAATAAAATGACTTAGGAGGTGTTCCTTCCTCTATTTTCTGAAAGGTTGTGTAATATTGGTGTTATTTCTTCCTTCAGTGAAACATTCTGTGCCAGGGATTTTCTTTTAGGGAAAGTTTCTGATAATAAATTCAATTTCTTTCATAGACTTTCTATTAAAAATGTTAACACTATTTATATTTTATTTCATGCTCTGTCAATTTTGTTAAGTTGTATTTTTTAAAGGATTTGTCAGTTTCATTCAATTTATCATATTTTTGGCACAAAGTTGTTAATAATATTCTCTCATCTTTTAACGTCTGTATAATCTGTAGTGATAACATCTTTTTCATTTTTGATATTGGTGATTTGTGTTCTATCCTCTTTTTTATCAATAAGTCTAGCTGAGAATTTATCAATTTTGCTGATTTTTTTCGAATAGCCAGCTTTTGGCTTTGTTGATATATTTTCTATTGTTTGGTTTCTATTTCATTAATTTCTGCTTTTGTCTGTATTATTTGCCTTCTTATATTACTTCGGGTTTACTTTGCTCTCTTTTAGATTTTAAGTGGATTCTTAGGTAACTGATTAGGTAACTGACATTTCTTCTAATATAAAAAAATTAAAGCCACGAATTTATTAGTATGAACTGCTTTATTTGCATTTTACTAATTTTTATATGTGATGTTTTTATTTTTATTCATTTAAAAGTATGTTCTAATTTCCATTATGATTTAACTCTTTCACCCATTTATTACTTAGGAGTGTGATCAAGTTTACAAATATTTTTGGTTTTCCTAGCTATCTTGTTGCTTTTGATTTCTAATCTAATTCTCTTTTGGTCAGAGAACATACTCTGCATGATTTCAGTCTTTTAAAAATCTGTTTAGACTTGTTCTGTGGCCCAGCAACAGTCTATCTTGATGAACATATCACGTGCACTTGAAAAGAATGTATATTCTGTAATTGTTGGGTGTAATGATTTATAAATATAAATTATTGTTATCCAGATTTTCTGTGTCTTTATTTTTTTGTCTAGTTGTCCTATCAATTGCTCAGAGAGCAGTGTTAAAAATCACCTATCATCATTGTGTTTATCTCTTTGTGCCCATTTTTGCTTCATGTAATTTGAAGCCCTGTTATTAGGCACACACATTGATGATTATTATAATTTCCTGATTTATTGATCCTTTTATCTTCATAAAATATCGATTTGTTGCTGGTCATACTTTTTTTCTTGTAGTAGCTTTTGTGTGATATTAATGTGGCCATTCTAGTCTCATGTTTTCTGTTTTCATGGCATATTGCTTTTTGTTCATTTTACTTTTGTTTCTTTAAAGTATGCCCTTGTTGAAGCGTATTGTTGGATCTTGCTGTTTTACCCATTTTGATAATATCTGCTTTTTAACTGAAGTGCTTAGCCCATTCACATTAGTGTAATATTTGATATGTTTAGATTTGTGTCCTTCAATACATTATTTGCTTTCTATTTGTCCCCTCTGATTTTGTTCTTCTGTTTCCGCTTATCTGTTGTCTTTTGAATTATTTGGGTATTCCTCAGAATCTCTTTTAATTTTTAGATATAACTATTTTTAGATTTTTTTTAATTTGCATTTTTTAGTGGTTGCTGTAAGGATTACAGCATACATACTTAACTTTTCTCAGTCCACTTAATAGTGTACAACCTTCATAAAATATAGAAAAGTTACAACCATATAAGACTATTTAGCTCTTCCTGTGCCATTGCTTATGCTATAGTTTTCATTTGTATTAAATCTCATACAATACAAAACCCACAAGACACAGTTATAATTTTTGTTTAAGCAGTTATTATGTACTTTAGAGAATTAAGAAGGAAAAAAATAGTCATTTCTGTTTACCTAGTCATTTACCATTTCTAGTGCCATTAATTTGTTCCTAAAGAGCTGAGTTTATCCATAATGTCTTTTTGCTTCAACCTGAAAAACTTTACTTAGCAGTTTTTGTAATGCATATATGCTGCAGTGATTTATCTTAGTTTTCCTTTATCTGAAGATCTATTTATCTTCCATTTGAATGATATAGAATTCTGGGGGATTGACAGATTTTATTTTCTTCCACTTAAAAAAAATGTTATTCTACTGTCTTCTAATGCTCATAGTTTCTGATGAGAAGTGTGTAGTCATTTAAGTCATTATTCCCTGTGTGCGATATGATTGTTTTTGTTGCTCTTGCATGGCTGGGGGGACACTTATTTTAAGGTTTTCTACTTACCTTTGGTTTAGAAGTTTGACTATGATGTGCTTATTTATGCTTTTCTTTATTTTTATCCTGTTTATGGTTGGCTGAGTTTATCAAACATGTACATGTATATTGTTAACCAAATTTGACAAATTTTTGTTCCTTATATCCTTAAATTTTTTAATCCTAATTTCTCTCTATCCTTTCTGGACTCCAATTACATACATATGGTACTTTTTAAATATTGTCTGGTTTTACCATAGTAGGGTTAAAGTTTGGTCCTTTAAGACTATACATTTCTTTCATATTCTTGTATATTCTATATTGTTCAATAGGTCTCTGAGATTTATTTTATTTTTATTTTATTTCAGTTCTTTTTCTTTTCTTCAGATTGGATCATTTCTATTGATCTATTTTCAGATTCATTGACTTTTGCCTCTTTTAGCTCCATTTTTCCCAAGATCAGGCAGTGAGTTTTAATTTCAAATATTATATTTTTATTGCTAAAATTTCCATTGGCTTTCTTATATTTTCCTTTTTTTCTGATAAGATTTCCTTTATTTTCATTCCTTACCAATAAGTTTTCCTTTATCTTATTGAATATAGTTATAGTAGCTACTTTAAAGTCATTGTCCGCTAATTCCCACATCTGTGTCATCTCAGGTTTGGATTCTTGATGGTCTTTACCTTTAGGAATGCATCACATTTTTCTGGTATTCTATGTTAGGTAATTTTGGATTATATCTTGATATTATTAATGTGTTATTCTTGAGATTCATCATTCTGTTTGTGTTAGTCCATTATTGCACTGTTATAAAGAAACACCCAAGACTCGGTAATTTATAAAGAAAAGAGGTTTAATTGGCTCACAGTTCCACAGGCTGTAGGAAGCATGATGCCGGCCATCTGCTTGGCTTCTGGGGAGCCTTCAAGAATCATGGTGGAAGGCAAAAGGAAAGCGGCTCATCTTACATGGCCGGTGCAGGAGCAAGGGACGGGGGGAAGTGCTACGCACTTTTAAACAACCAGATTTCACGAGATCTCTCTCACTGTTATGAGAATAGCACCAAGGGGGAAACCTGCCCCATGATCTAATCACCTCCCACCAGGGCCTGCCTACAAAATTGGGGATTACAATGTGACATGAGCTTTGGGCGGGGACACAGATCCAAACCATGTCATTCTGCCACTGCCCTCACCCTCCGCGAAATCTCATGACGTTCTTACATTGCAAAATACAATTATCCCTTCCCAATGGTCCCTCAAAGTCTGAACTCATTCCAGCATTAAGCCAAAAGTCCAAAGTCCAAAGTCTCATCTGAGACAAGGCAACTCTCTTCTGCCTATGAGCCTGTAAAATAAAAAACAAGTTAGTTACTCCCAAGATACAGTGCGGGTACAGGCATTGGGTAAATACTCCTGTTCCAAAAGGGAAAAACCAGCCAAAAGAAAGAATTATAGGCCCCATGCAAGTCCGAAATCCAGTAGGGCAGTTATTAAATCTTAAAGCTCCAAATAATCTTCATTGACTCCATGTCTCACATCCAGGGCACACTCGTGTGAGGGATGGGCTCCCAAGGCCTTGGGAAGCTCCACTCCTGTGGCTTTGTGGGGTTCAGTTCCTGCAGCTGCTCTCATGGGTTGGTGTTGAATGCCTGCAGCTTTTCCAGGCACAGTGTGCAAGCTGCTTAGAACTGCTGGTGGATTCCCATTCTGGGGTCTTGAGGGTGGTGGCCCTCTTCTCACAGCCATTTCACTCCAGCCTGGGCAACAAGAGTGAAACTCCATCTCAAAAAAAAAAAAAAAAGAAAGAAAGAAATTTCCTCTGCCAGGTACCCTAAACTCATCATTCTCAAATTTAATGTTCCGCAGATTCCTACAGCACAGGCATAATACAGCCAGGCTCTTTGCTAAAGCATAAGGAAAGTGACATTTGCTCCAGTCCTCAGTAAGTTCCTCATCTCCATCTGAGACCTCCTCAGACTGGACTTCTTTGTCCATTTCACTATCAGCACTTCGGTCCCAATCATTCAAGTAGTCTCTAGGAAGTTCTAAGCTCTCCCTCATCTTCCCTCCACACTATTCCAACCTGTGCCTGGTTACCCAGTTCCAAAGTCACTTTCACATTTTCAGGATCTTTATAGCAATATCCCACTCTCAGTATCAATTTTCTGTACTAGTCTTTTCTCACACTGCTATAAAAACACCTGAGACTGGATAATTTAGAAAGAAAAGAGGTTTAACTGGCTCGCAGTTCTGCAGGCTGTACAGGAAGCATGATGCTGGCCATCTGCTTGTCTTCTGGGGAGGCCTCAGGAAACTTACAATCATGGTGGAAGGCAAAGGGGAATCAAGCTCATCTTACATGGCATGAGCAGGAGCAGGAGCAAGAGAGAGAGAAGGGGGAAGTGATACACACTTTTAAACAACAAGATCTCATGAGAACTCTCTCACTATTATGAGAACAACATTAAGGGGGAAATCCACCCCCATGATCCAATCACCTCTCACAGGCCCCATCTCCAACATTGGGGATTACAATTTGACATGAGATTTGGGCAGGGACACAGATCTAAACCGTATCACTGTTATATTTCTATGAAGGGTGTTGACATTTTTGTTTTAGTAGAGAATAAACTTGATTAGACTAAAAATGCAAAATCTTTCTTGCTTCTGCTTGGTAGCAGTTCAAACTTCAGTTTAGTTCTTTTAGCTTTAGCCTTTGCTCTTTATATGTGATTCAGGGACGGCAGAGATGTGGGAAGAATTTGATCATAGAATTTAGGGCTCACCTTCTTTTGTTCTGTGCACTCAAGGATTCTCTACCCCTCTCAGTTGTGGATTACAGTGCTGTTGCTCCTGGCTCCTCCCCTTTGTCCTTAAGCTGGAGAAACTAGGGATTATCTGTCAGAGTTTTAACTTCCTCATGCTGTGTCACAACCTTGATCAGCTATTAGGCCAAAGCAACAAAAACGGGAAACTCACTTCATGCTGATTCTTTTCTCCAAGTTTTAGTGCCCTCCTCTCCCAAAACTGCCTCCTTTTGTTTATTCCCCAGAGTCCTTAGATATTTGCTTTATGTATTTTGGCCAGGAGCTATAGTTGTTATCTCTGGAAGGGTCTGTTTATTATGAGCTTACTTTGATCTACTAGACTGAGCTTCAGACATTGTGTTTTGAAATTTTTGCTTAACATTACATTTATCCAAGAATTAAATTTAATATTTATTTATTTTTTTCTTCAACTTTTAAGTTCTGAGGTGCATGTGCTAGTTGTGCAGGTTTGTTACCCAGGTAAACATGTGCCATGGTGGTTTGCTGCACAGATCAACCCATCACCTAGGTATTAAGCCCAGCATCCATTAGGTATTCTTCCTGATGCTCTCCCTCCCATTGCTCCCCCAACAGGCCCCAGTGTGTGTTGTTCCCCTTCATATTTTCATGTGTACTCATCATTCAGCTCCCACACATAGTGGGACGATGTGGTATTTGGTTTTCTGTTCCTGCATTATTATGCTGAGGATAATGGCTTCCAGCTCCATCCATGTCCCTGCAAAGGACAAGATCTTGTTCCTTTTTATGGATGCATAGTATTCCATGGTGTATATGTACCACATTTTCTTTATCCAGTCTATCATTGATGGGCATTTGGGTTGATCCCATGTTTTTGCTATTGTGAATAGTGCTGCAATGAACATACACATGCAGGTATCTTTATAATAGGATGATTTATATTCCTTTGGGTACATACCCAGTAATGGGATTGCTGCGTCAAATGGTATTTCTGCCTCTAGATCTTTGAGGAATCGCCACACAGTCTCCCACAATGAGTGAACTAATTTACAACCCCACCAACAGGGTAAAGGTGTTCCTTTTTCTCCATCTGTTGTTTCTGGACTTGTTAATAATTGCCATTCTGACTGGTGTGAGAAGATATTTCATTGTGGTTTTGATTTGCATTTACCTAATGATCAGTGATGTTGAGGTTTTTTTCATATGTTTGTTGGCTGCATGACTGTCTTCTTTTCAGAAGTGTCTGTTCATGTTCTTTGCCCACTTTTTAATGGGCTTGTTTGGGTTTTTCTTGTAAATTTGTTTAAGTTCCTTGTAGACTCTGGATATTAGACTTTTGTCAGATGGATAGACTACAAAATTTTTCTCCCATTCTGTAGGTTGTCTTTTCACTCTGATGATAGTTTCTTTTGCTGTGCAGAAGCTCTTTAATTTAATTAGATCTCATTTGTCAATTTTTGCTTTTGTTGAAATTGCTTTAGGCACTTTTGTCATGAAATCTTTGCCTGTGCCTATGTCCTGAATGGTATTGCCTAGCTTTTCTTCTAGGGTTTTTATAGTTTCATACTTTTATGAATTACGTCTTTAATTAATCTTGAGTTAATTTTTGTATAAGATGTAAGGAAAGGGTCCAGTTTCAATTTTCTGCATATGGCTAGCCAATTCTCCCAGCACCATTTATTAAATAGGGAATCTTTTCCTCATTGCTTGTTTTTGTCAGGTTTGTTGAAGATCAGATGGTTGTAGGTGTGTGGTGTTATTTCTGAGTTCTCTATTCTGTTCCACTGGTCTACACGTCTGTTTTTGTACCAGTACCGTGCTGTTTTGGTTACTGTAGTTTTGTGGTGTATATGAAGTCAATCAAGTAGCATGATGCCTCCAGCTTTGTTCTTTTGCTTAGGATCGGCTTGGCTATAAAGGCTCTTTTTTGGTTCCATATTGATATGGTTTGGCTGTGTCCCCACCCAAATCTCACCTTGAATTGTAGTTCCCATAATCCCCACATGTTGTGAGAGGGACCCAGTGGGAGGTAATTGAATCATGGGGGCAATTATCCCATACAGTTCTCATGATAGTGAGTGAGTTCTCATTAGGTCTGATGGTTTTATAAGGGCTTTTTCCTTTTTGCTTGGCACCTCTCCTTCCTGCCACCATGTGAAGAAAGACGTGTTTGCTTTCCCTTCCACCATGATTCTAAGTTTCTTGAGGCCTCCCCAGCCATACTGAACTGTGAGTCAATTAAACCTCTTTCTTTTATAAATTACCCAGTCTCAGGCAGTTCTTTATAGCAGTGTGAGAACAAATTAATACACATATGAATTTTAACATAGTTTTTTCGAAATCTGTGATGAATGTCAATGGAAGTTTAATAGGAATACCATTGAATCTATAAATTACTTTGAGCATTATTGCCATAACACTGATTCTGTCTATCCATGAGCATGGAATGTTTTTCTATTTGTTTGTGTCCACTGTGATTTCCTTGAGCAGTGGTTTGTCATTCTCCTTGAAGAGGTCCTTCACTTCCCTTTTTAGCTGTATTCCTAGGTGTTTTATTCTCTTTGTAGCAATTGTGAATGGGAGTTCATTCATAATATGGCTGTCTACTTGCTTGTTGTTTGTGCATAGGAATGCTAGCAATTTTTGCACATTGATTTTGTATCCTGAGACTTTGCTGAAGTTGCTTATCAGCTTAAGAAGCTTTTGGGCTGAGACAATGGGGTTTTCCAGATATAGGATCATGTCATCTGCAAACAAAGATAATTTGATTTCCTCTCTTCCTATTTGAATACCCTTTATTTCTTTCTCTTTCCTAATTGCCATAGCCAGAACTTCCAATACTATGCTGAATAGGAGTGGTGAAAGAGGGCATCCTTGTCTTGTGCTGGTTTTCAAGGGGAATGCTTCCAGGTTTTGCCCATTCAGTGTGGTATTGGCTGTGGGTTTATCATATATATGGCTCTTATTATTTTGAGATATGTTCCTTCAATACCTAGTTTATTGAGCATTTTTAACATGAAGGGATGTTGAATTTTATCGAAGGCCTTTTCTGAATCCATTGAGATAATCATGTGGGTTTTGTCTTTAGTTCTGCTTATGTGATGAATTACATTTATTGATTTGCATATGTTGAACCAGTCTTGCATCCCAGGGATGAAGCCTACTTGATCATGGTGAATAAGCTTTTTGATGTGCTGCTGGATTTGGTTTGCCAGTATCTTATTGAGGATTTTTGCATTGATGCTTATCAGGGATATCAGCTGGAAGTTTTCCTTTTTGTTGCATCTCTGCCAGGTTTTGGTATCAGGATGATGCTGGCCTTAAAGGAGTTAGGGAGGAGTACCTCCTTTTCCATTGTTTGGAATAGCTTCAGAAGAATTGGTACCAGCTCCTCTTTGTACCTCTGATAGAATTCAGCTGTAAATCTGTCTGGTCCTGGGCTTTGTTTGCTTGGTGGGCTATTTATTATTGCTTCAATTTGTAATTTAATATTTTTAAATCTTGGGTTAAATGGTTGAATGAATGTGTGAAAAGTTAGATATCAATGAATGAATATTCTTAAATGTATAAACTTTAATCTTGCTGGATATAGGATAAAATTTACATTAAAACACTGTAATTAATCAGTCAATTTAAGTAAAATAAATTCAAGGAAGTGGTCTGAATTTCTCAGTGAGCATTTAGATATTTATGGGAGTCATATAAAATAAATTATAAATGTGACTGAGGGCTTTTTATTAAGGAAAATGAAATATTGCTATGGACATGATTCTGTGTGTTTCTTTACTACACTATGAACTAAAAATTTTGGAGACAAATCTAAGTATATAAATTGGTTTATTGATGACCGATTGGGAATATAAATAGGCACAAAAATTTGGCGAAGCATTTTGGCATGTCTACCTAAAATTTAAATATGTAAGCACTAGTCCCCCCTTACCTGCAGTTTCACTCTGAGCAGTTTCAGAAAATAGGTGAGCACAGTACAGTAAGATATTTTGAGAGAGAGACCACATTCATAAAACTTTTATTATAGTGTATTGTTATAATTGTCCTAATTTATTATTATTGTTGTTAATCTTTTACTGTGCCTAATTTATAAATCACACTTTATCATAGGTATGTATGTATAGGAAAAAACATAGTATATGTAGAATTCAGTATTATCCTTGGTTTCAGACATTCAGTGGGGATCTTAGAAAGTATTCTCTGTGGAAAAGGAGGGACTACTGTACTTTTAACAAAGCACTTCCCAGAATAAACACACAGACATATACATGCACACACTTTCAGAAATGCACTTAAATATTCAATCATGGAGTAAAAATTAATTATGAAATATCTAGACAATGAACATTATGTAGTTTTTATTAAGAAAGAAGCAGAATTATATATACTGACATGAAAGGATGTTCATTATATATGTTAAGTAAAAACTAAGTTCATCATATATGTTAAGTAAAAAAAAGTCACAAATTAAGAGAAAGTGTTAATTGATTTGAGAGTTTGTGTATTTTTTTTCCTATTTTGTGCTGAAAAGCTGAAGTTGGCATCAACCAAGGCATATTGTTATCTATGTATCAAGCTAAATAATTTAAAGATCTTTAAGACTATTAATTCAGAGATGCTGTATAAATAGAATCAGTGCCAGATTTTTTGTTTCAATTCTATCAGCCAAGTATACTATGCTTTCTTTGCTTGTGATAGAAAAAAGAGAGAAAAAACACAGAAGCAAAAAGTAAAGTTGTACAATAGTGTGTAGAGTGTGGTTCCATTTTGTAAAATGTATCAGTGTGTATATTTATATAGCATAGTCAAAAGCCTGGAGTGATATAAATTTTCTGTTACTGGTCTAGTATACAAGGGAATTAGATTTTAAAGGACTTTCATTGTTTTTAACAATTCTGAACAAATTTAATTTGGTACAAGAAGTATATATTTTAAATATTATTGAACTTAATTAAAATAAATTAGAGCTCAAAAAATAAATAAATCACAGGAAGTTCACAGTCTGACTTTATCAGGAATGTTGCTATTTTCTTAACAGGTCATCAAACATTATCACTGATGCTTGGAAAGAAGCACTTTTTATAATTTAAAAATACCTTTTATTCTTCAACTTCTGCTGGCTTAAAGAGCACTAAGTCCACATATCCTAGGAGGCATGGCTGTCCAATATATACTATGTGTACATTGATTTATGAACCAATAAATGTTTCATACACAGTTGAGATTTTAAATGAGCTTATGATAATTGGATCAAAGGAATACTAGTCCAGCTTGAGAGTACTGCAGAAAACCAATCACAGAAAGCTATGATGAAATTTTAATTATAAAGGATATTGAATATCCTAGAGTGACAACTCTGTTATAATAAATGTAACACTGAATGGGAAAGAGAGAAAGGAGATTTTTACCCATTTCTGTTTGAAATCAACTTTCTATTTCTAGTAAATTATCACACCATTCTGTTTTAATTTTTATATCTTAAAGTTATCATTCCAGTGTCTTTGGTTTACTGGGTTTATAAAAGAATTGACCAGTAGCTATATAATAGATACAGAAAAGTCTGCCTGGGTGTGGTGGCTCATACTTGTAATAATATTATATTATTATAATTGTTCTATTTTATTATTAGTTATTGTTGCTAATCTTTTACTGTACCTAATTTATACATTAAGCTTTATCATGGGTATGTATGTATAGGAAAAAATGCAGTATATATAGAATTCAGTATTATCCTTGGTTTCGGACATTCAGCAGGGGTCCGAAGGTGGGCGAGGTGAGCCCACTTTGGGAGGCCAAAGTGGGCAGATTGCTTGACCCCAGGAGTTCAGGACCAGTCTGGGCAACATGGTGAAATGCTGTCCTTACAAAAAATACAAAAATTATCTGGGCATGATAGTGCATGACTGTAGTCCCAGCTACCCAGGAGCCTGAGGTGGGAGCATCACTGAGCCCGGTGGTTGAAGCTGCAATAAGTTTTGATTATGCTACTGCACTCCAGCGGGACAACTGAGTGAGACCCTGTCTCAAAAAAAAAAGTCACAAATTAAGATAAAGTGTTGATTGATCTGAGAATTTGTGTATTTTTTTCTATTTTGTGCTGAAAAGCTGAAGTTGGCATCAATCAAGGCATATTGTTATATATGGATCAAACTAAAAAATTTTAAGATCTTTAAGACCATTAATTCAGAGATGCTGTATAAATAGAATCAGTACTAGATTTTTTGTTTCAATTCTATCAGCCAAGTATAACATGCTTTTCTTGCTTGTGATAGAAAAAAAGAGAGAAAAAACACAGAAGCAAAATTGAAGAATTTGTAAATCATTTCTAAATAATTTCAATAAAATGAGCTTTGAAAGGGAAAATTTTTAGATAACATTATCTCATCAAAATGCCTTAAAGTATATTTTAATATTCAGTAAGAACAGTGTATATTAACATGGCTAATTTAGAGGATTTATATTTTACCCACATGATAATGTATTATGCCTGTAACTGCTAAAGGAATTATGTAGCAAAATCTGTCAAGGAATACACGAGTGGGATTTATATCAGAAAAATCAAAGCCATTTGTAAAGCCCCATTACTTAGGCAGAATATCATAGGTAGGAGGTAGATGTTACTGAAAGAAGAAGTTGGGATATGAAATACAAATCTATTTTGCATCATGATTTTGTTAAGTCCGGCTGTTTATTATTAAAAACATGTACAGAAGATTCAATTGAAGTTTCTAAAAGAGAAAGAAACTTGTAGTTGTGGGAACAATAGTATTCCTTATGAAATACTTAGATATTAATAGCTTGAGACTGATAATACAATTCTTAAGTTAGGGGTTGCATGTGTAGTGGTCAGATGTTATTTCAGGATCTCAAGAAACAGAGCCATGGTAAAAAGAAGCTTCCTGGAGCTTCTGATAAATTCCGTCACCTTTTTGGGACCCAGTTTCTTCATCAATACCAACCTCATTAGGGTCCTGTGAGAAGTACATGAGGTGAGATATGTACTGAAATAATATGCCAACTCTTAAGTGCCAAGACATTAGGATGCAAGGGGGGGTGCCCAAAAAGTCAACAATTACTTGATACTCTAGATATATGTATGGATAATTTTGAGAAGTAATCCTTCTTACACAGAGGTGTAGGTTTGTTTGTTCCAAGCAGCAAACATAATGGGTATAGGAAAGAGAAACTGTGGCCTTCATATAGACTGAGCTTAGGAAAACAGTTGGAAAACAGTTCAAATTCAAGGTACTTCAACAATATCTAGTGTGTTTTTGAAATATATTTTTAAAACCCCTATCCAAATCAATGAATGCTTTGGCTAAAACCTACTTGGGAATGAGGGTGTTCTTTAGTGCCAAATACTCATCTTATTTTAGTCCATGATTTTAGTCCATGGCTAAAATCCCAAGAGTTACAGAGGAGAAATAGGGCCAAACAAGGTTTCTATTAAAATAAGAGGTCCCAAGTGATGAATGGAAACTTGGAACAGGTTTAATGGCAACTATAAGCCAGAAATTAGCTGAAATACACACTAATGAATTTGGGGCATATCTTGAGTTTCAGATAGAAAATTGGTACTAAGTTTAGTGAATTAGAAACATAGCTTAACCTAGGCAGTTGCAATTCTTGTTCCAAAAATGCTCAATTTGCTGCTGGACTGCATGGACACTTGCTACCTCCTTGTTTTGAGTCATTAACAAAATGTTGAATGGGATATCTGGAGTATCAAGTAATTGTTGACTTTTTGGTCACCCAACCCCCTTGCATCTTAATGTCTTGGCACTTAAGAGTTGGCATATTATTTCAGTACATATCTAACCTTATGTACTCCTCACAGGACCCTAGTGAGGTTGGTATTGATGAAGAAACTGGGTCCCAAAAAGGTGATGGAATTTATCCGAAGCTCCAGGAAGCTTCTTTTTACCATGGCTCTGTTTCTTGAGGTTAAAGAACATGATTTACCAGGCTCTGTTTCTTGAGAGACCAAGAGTGGATCCCTGTAGTCCCCATTAGAATTCTCCTTCTAGTTTGAACTATTCCATTAGTAAACACTTTTTGGCATGTTATTTAAACAATTACAAAATCACCTAACTACACTGTCTTGCAGCTGCCTTTCTTTTTTTGTCTTGTCCACGTGAGTATATTGGGAGACTTTGTTTAATGTCTCCACAAATTCTAGATAGACTGTTCCTGCAGCATTTCTTTTTTTAAATTTTGTTTTGATAAGCATTTATTTTGGCAATGATTCTAGTAAATGAAACTAAAGTGCCCATATGAAAAACAATCTTAAGTCTATGTGGTTAGTTTGAAGTTACCAGTTTTTAATTAAGCCGGAGTAGTCCTTAGTATGAATGCCTTCATTTCTAAGTGCTCATAAACAATCACTTTAGTAATATTACAGTTTTGAAGGAATTTATATCAAGCTTAATGGCACTTTTTAAAAGATAGGAAATTGGGTTCTCTAGTCACATCTGTAAGTTATTTCAGTGCCTTGGAAGATCATTTATCTGGCCACAGATAATTGACTTACTTACATCAGTTTTTTTTTTTTTTGAGATGGAGTCTCGCTCTGTTGCCCAGGCTGGAGTGCAGTGGCATGATCTCGGCTCACTGCAACCTCCGCCTCCTGGGTTCACGCCATTGTCCTGCCTCAGCTTCCCGAGTAGCTGGGACTACAGGCACCCACCACCATGCCTGGCTAATTTTTTTGTATTTTTTAGTAGAGACGGGGTTTCACCATGTTAGCCAGGATGGTCTCGATCTCCTAACCTTGGCCTCGGCCTCCCAAAGTGCTGGGATTACAGGCGTGAGCCACCACACCCGGCCACTTATATCACTTTTATGCTTCCTATCTCCTTATTGATCTTGAGGTTCAAGTTTCACTTAACCATTTTCTTCAATGAAAAATAATTTTATAATTTAAAAAACCTCAACCTTTAATATTCTATGATTCTTGTTAGGCCATCTCAATTGAGAATACTGATAAAGAAGTAAAACTCCCCCCAATACTGGCTAGTTTGATTTTATCTGTTAATATTACGCAATCTGCCCCAAACCTGTCTCTCCCTTTTTATTGTTACTTATCCAAAGATGGCTTGAATCTCTTATGGCTTGAATCTCTTTGTTTATTCTAAGCAATTTTCAGACACCTCAGCCAACTATCAATAATATATTAGTTTTTTAGAACTAAAAATGTAGAGGATCTCCCCCTAAAAGCCAATTGTTAATGCCAAATATTTGACTGATATATTTCTTCTGGAGGAAGGGAGATGTGAAAAAATTTAGCCATCAAGTTATGTGAAAACTTTTTCATCTTCCCATCCACTGGATGTTTTATCTGTAAATAATGCTATAATCATATTGGAAAGTATTTTCCTTCTGGGGATGCATGAAGATCAGGAATCCTATTCGTTTTTAACAAGATGGAATTTTTAAAAACTACTTTGGACAACTCTAAACATCAGAGATGACCATTTGTCTCTTTTTTATTATATAACTTGTGCTCGGTTTGTAGAGCAACATAAATACATGAATTAAAAAATGAAAACTAGCTCCTTCCCTATTTGACAGATACTTCTCAACCTCCTCTCCATAAGATATGCTCTATCCCTATATAGGAAATTTTTCTGTAGCAGCTTGAGTTTACTAAAAATAAGATCTGAAGAAAATGAAGCAATTAACATTTATTGAGAGTCTATAAGGGTTTCTACATTGTGAAGGAGACAGAAATATAAGACATGGCTCCTGCTTTCAGGTTGCTTATAATTAAAGAGATAATATTAAATTATTTGGATGAATTTAAAAATGACACATGCCATCTTACAGATATGCTGTAGACTGTGAAAATGAAAAAAAAAACCTCGTGTTTAGAGTAGACACTGTTTGATGGATTAGGTAGGTTTTCATCTGGACTTTGAAATGTATGTAAGATTTTATAAGGAGGAGAGAAAATAAGAAGCTGTTTGTATTAGAATTACACAGATAAATTTGTAAATTTAGTTCTTTTCAAAGAACATTAATTGAGCACCTCTGTGCCAAGCTCCCTACTGGATGCTGTAGATTACAGCATGTTTAGGAACTAACTTCATACTCTGTTGCTAAAGTATTTCTGTGTTTTCTAAAAAGGTAAATCTCTTGTGAGGAAACAAATCTCTTGAAGGGGTTCTCATAACAGAAGTCCCATTTACTTCATGATATAAAAAGGGGCTGTTTTCTGGTTTTGTTCTCAAAATGTAGGATATAGTTCTAGACGTAATTGGGAAAGCTTAACTTTGTTGCATACGCATCTTCCCTATCATGGTTGATTTCCTATATGGCATAGTTAAATGTGTTTATCCGTGTTTGATATCTAAAGGGCCATGCTACATATAGACTGCCAACTAAGGTTTTATCTGATGATAATAAATTGTTGTATTTCATGACGACAGCAACAACAACAATAATGTACTTAACTAGTCACTGTGCAAATTGCTTTACATACATTTTCTCATGTAATCATAATAATAACCGTATGAGTTTTGCTTACTATTGTTTTCCTTAATTAAAATGAGTAAAGTGAAGCTTAGGCTAAGTAACATGTCCATAGCCAAACAGTTAGTCACTGGCAGGAGTGTGACTGACTCCAAAGTCTATATTCCTAATTACTGTGTTCTACTTTTTAATAGAGAGCTCTTGAAGGTCCAAGGAAAGGAATGCATAATGGTGTGGTCAAGGCATTAGTGTTAATATTTGTAGAAAGGGTAATTAACAACAGTCTGAGCAATCACATTCTAACAACTAGTAAGGTTGGCAGGAGCCTCAGTATAATGGTGTGAGGAACGAAATCATTATAGTGCCAAATAGAGTATACCATCTCTTTAGTACAATGTCTTTCAAAATGAGGCTGATTGTGTTGGCTTTATATTTGACTCCTTAATAATTAAGGCAGTAAATTCTAGCTGGAGCTAAATACCTACAAGGCCTAAAACAGCATAATGGACAACCTGGCAGGTGTCCTTGCTGGAAGATGACAAGAGTGCTGAAAGGAGAGTCCTGGTTTTTCTCCCAAGACATGACATTTGGGGGCTTCCATTAAAAAATTACCAAGCCTCTGCCACTGTAATCTCTTCCTTAAGTGCCTATGATTTTTTCACAGTCACAGGTCTATGCCTGGTCAATACCCAGTGGCCAGGTCTCTGAGCTGCGTGCAGAGATGGCAGCGACTTGGAGGGCTGGGAGGAGATAAGGGGAGGAAAGATCACTTTTCATGACAACTTACAACTTGATTCCACTTATAAGCCATTTATTTTCAGAAACAAGTAATGGGTGAGGACACAGGCCAGGTCCACAATTTGTGCACTTGAGAGATTAAGGCCTCCGAGATCAAATTACCACAGCAAACTGAGACAGAATTATTGTAGGGATGTTTGGGGAGGATGCAGAGAGAAGAGGAAGAAGCCAGAGACCCAAGAAAGGAGACAGGAATAGATTTTGATGAAAATTGCTTCCTACTCTGTACCCTTGAGGAAACAAAGAGGACAAATAAGAAGCAGCAGTGATAGGAGGCTGGGCGCTTCTCTGGAATAACACTGGCTAGGTAGTGGAGCATTGATAGTGAGTGTGCTTGGTTGGTGGAACGAAGGGATGTGCTAGTTCAGGCCTTTGAATTCTGGGTGTCAGGATCACAACCTTGGCTCCTTTAACTGTCCGCTCTAGGAGGGAAGCATGCCAAATGTCAGGTCTCACTCTGACTTTGTTCCAGTCCATAGCTAGAAAATGACCCATAGAGGAAGATCTACAGATGACAGAATACTGGGAGATGAAGAGAAAGGACGTTTTAGTGAGTGCTTTTTTTGCACATGAGGCAATAGATTTCAAATTCCTGTGGAAGAAATGTGAGAACCTGGGAAGAGTGAATATTCAGAACTGAGCAGCAGAGGCAATGACACAGCATGGAAAGATTTCCTCTGATCCTTCTACCTTCTCTTTTACTGAAGTGAATTTGTTGTCTCTGTGTTGCCTCTATAGCAGTACAAGAGGAAACTTGGGGACACAGAAGAACAGAAGTCTAAGGAGTCTTATATTTAAGGAAGATAAGCTGCAGTCATTGAAATTGCTGGTTATTGTAAGATAAATCCCAGACTCCCACATTTTGCTTAATGACAGCAGATTTTTTTTTTTTTTTAACTGCAAAGCATTAATGGAATCCAAATTCCAGCCTGGCTTAGGAGATCAACAGTAACGCTCTTGATTTAATGGTTTTGCAGACTCTTGAAGACATTGTCATCCATTAAAGAAAAAATTTTAAATTACTCTTGAAAGAAAATGTCTTGGGTGATAAATGTAAAAGATTTGAAGCAAGATTAGAAAAAGCTTGAGAGAAGAATCTCTTTAAAAATTTTACCAGATTTTCCCCATTGTCGCCAAAATGGGTCAAATAATAGATTTGCCTACAGCTTCATGGAGACTATTTTTTTAAACAGAGCATTTTAAACATTTAAATATTGGTTATTTGCCAAGGCACACACTGAAAATAAGGGCCACTTGGCCGAGAGCAGAATTGAGTCTTGGATCCCAGGATGCTGGTTTTAGGCTTGCTCCCGGAAAGAGGGCAGCATTTGCCATCCCCCTCCTTTTGCCCTAGGAGTTGAGCACTTTCTGCAGTACTTAAGAGTGTCCAGGGAAGATGTGGGAGTCAGGTGAATAGTTCCCATCGCCAGTAACCCCAGAGCGCCTCCCCCTGCGTTGTTTCCTTTTAATGTTAGATCCGCCGCCTGGGTGCCCATACTTAGCTAAGGCCCCTCAGTTTATTTTCCTGAATTGCGCTTGGAGATCTTTTCCTGGGGAGCTGATAGCCAGACTTCTAGGGGCTTGACTGCTTTTCCCAGACTAATCTCCTTAAAGACCCGTTAAGCAGGGGAGAGACGGTGGAGACTGGATGAACTGGACAGTGGGGGTAGGGAGAAAGGGAGTGGCCGTGTTCCTGCGGTCCGCTGGGATCCGGCAGGTCCAGGGTGAAGGAGATGGGGCTGGAGAGGCTGAGCAGTCCGGGTTCGCTGTCCGCCACTTCGGCGCGGAATCAGAGCAGGACTTGCTGAGCCCTCCTACCGCTCCCTTTCCCCCTCCCCCTCTGTCTTCCCTTCTGTTTCCTTTTCCCTCCCCCTGGAGCTGTAGCGGCAGCAGCAGCAGGAAGCCGAGCCGGGTTGAGCGACTCGGAGGCGAGCGGAGGAGCTGGAATATGGGGAGTCAGCGAGGACGGTGGGGCCAGGAGCCCTTGGGAGGGCCTACGGAGGGAGCGGCCCCAGGCGCTTTCTAGAGCGTGAGCGGTGGGGGAGCAGGCGCAGGGTGGCACGAGCGGAGGCGGGGCCCGGGCGTGGGGCACGGCTGGGGAAGCTGCCGCCTCCGGCCCTGCCCGGCTGCCTCCGCCGCGGCCAGTGGCTATGGAGCAGGCGGGCACCAGACCTGCGGCGACAGAGCATCCACGGCTCCGGCGGCCCATGCCCTGGCTGCTGCTACTGCCTCTCCTGCTGCTGTTGCTGCTGCTGCTACCTGGCCCTGCGGCCTCCCAGCTGCGATACTCTGTGCCAGAGGAGCAGGCACCCGGCGCGCTCGTGGGCAACGTGGCTCGCGCGCTGGGGCTTGAGCTGCGGCGCTTGGGGCCGGGTTGCTTGCGCATCAACCATCTGGGTGCGCCCAGTCCGCGCTACCTGGAGCTGGACCTGACGAGTGGAGCGCTCTTCGTCAACGAGCGCATTGATCGGGAGGCGCTGTGTGAGCAGCGGCCTCGCTGCCTGCTCAGCTTGGAAGTGCTGGCGCACAACCCCGTGGCGGTGAGCGCCGTTGAGGTGGAAATATTGGACATCAACGACAACTCACCGCGTTTCCCGCGGCCCAACTACCAGCTTCAGGTAAGCGAATCGGTGGCGCCTGGAGCGCGCTTTCACATAGAGAGTGCGCAGGACCCCGACGTGGGCGCCAACTCAGTACAGACCTACGAGCTCAGCCCCAGCGAGCACTTCGAGCTGGACCTTAAGCCCCTGCAGGAGAACAGTAAAGTGCTTGAGCTGGTGCTGCGTAAGGGCCTAGACCGGGAGCAGGCAGCCTTGCACCACCTGGTTCTCACAGCCGTGGATGGGGGCATCCCAGCCCGCTCGGGTACGGCACAGATCTCTGTGCGTGTCCTGGACACTAACGACAACTCTCCTGCCTTTGACCAGTCCACTTATCGCGTCCAGCTACGGGAGGACTCACCCCCAGGCACATTGGTGGTGAAGCTGAATGCCTCAGACCCGGATGAGGGCTCCAATGGTGAGCTCAGGTACTCCTTGAGCAGCTACACGTCGGACCGGGAGAGGCAGCTCTTCAGCATAGATGCCAGTACCGGGGAAGTGCGAGTAATTGGGGGGCTGGATTATGAGGAAGCCTCCTCCTACCAGATCTATGTGCAGGCGACTGACCGGGGTCCAGTGCCCATGGCAGGTCACTGCAAGGTGCTGGTGGACATCGTGGACGTGAATGACAATGCCCCAGAGGTGGTGCTCACGGACCTGTATAGCCCAGTGCCTGAGAATGCTACACCCAACACCATTGTGGCCGTTCTCAGTGTCAATGACCAAGACTCAGGCCCCAACCGGAAAGTGAGCCTGGGTCTGGAGGCCACACTGCCTTTCCGACTGAATGGCTTTGGAAACTCCTATACACTGGTGGTGAGCGGCCCACTGGACCGAGAGCGGGTGGCTGTCTACAACATCACGGTGACAGCCACAGATGGGGGAATACCGCAGCTCACATCCCTGCGTACACTGAAGGTTGAGATCTCTGACATCAATGACAATCCACCAAGCTTCCTGGAGGACTCCTATTCCATCTACATACAGGAGAACAATTTGCCAGGTGTGTTGCTCTGTACTGTGCAAGCCACAGACCCAGATGAAAAGGAGAATGCAGAGGTGACCTACTCCCTTCTGGAGAGGGAGATTCAAGGGCTGCCAGTCACCTCCTATGTCTCCATTAACAGTGCCAGTGGCAGCCTTTATGCTGTCAACTCCTTTGACTATGAGAAGTTTCGGGAGTTCTTTGTGACTGTGGAGGCTCAGGACAAGGGGAGCCCACCACTGAGCAGCACTGTGACTGCCAACGTATATGTGGTGGACATGAATGACCATGCCCCTCACATTCTGTACCCTACCTCAACCAACTCGTCAGCAGCCTTCGAGATGGTGCCTCGAACTGCCCCTGCTGGCTACCTGGTCACCAAAGTCATAGCTATGGACTCAGACTCTGGGCAAAATGCTTGGCTTTTTTACCATCTAGCCCAGACTTCTGACCTGGACCTCTTTAAGGTAGAGCTGCACACAGGAGAAATTAGGACTACCAGGAAGATGGGAGATGAGAGTGGTAGCACTTTCAACCTGACCGTGGTGGTCCGAGATAATGGAGAGCCATCACTATCAGCCTCTGTGGCCATTACAGTAGCTGTGGTGGATAGGGTTTCCAAAATCCTCCCTGACACTCAGAGGCATGTTAAGAGCCCTCGGACATACTCTGAAATTACCCTTTATCTAATAATAGCATTAAGCACAGTGTCTTTTATATTTCTTTTGACAATCATCATTTTGAGCATCATCAAGTGCTACCGCTACACTGCGTATGGCACTGCATGCTGTGGAGGCTTCTGTGGAGTAAGGGAAAGGTCCCCTGCAGAACTGTACAAACAAGCCAACAACAATATTGATGCCAGGATACCGCATGGCCTCAAAGTGCAGCCTCACTTCATTGAAGTTCGAGGGAATGGCTCCCTCACCAAGACCTACTGCTACAAGGCCTGTCTGACAGCAGGCTCAGGGAGTGACACTTTCATGTTTTACAATACAGGGGCCCAGACAGGACCAGGGCCTTCGGGAGCCCAAGCAGCAGTGACTGACAGCAGGAATCTCACAGGCCAAAGTGGTCAGAATGCTGGGAACCTGATTATTCTCAAAAATGAGGCTGTTTCTCAAAATGAGGTGAGACAGTGGTCAGGGGGTCTTCTACAAACTCATGCATTTGTTACACATCCCCCAATATCCTGTGATTTGGCTTTATTGAGTCATTAACAGTGACAAGAGTTATCTGGTAAACTGAGTATATATAGTATCCACAATTTGATCATAATCTGCTATTTCCTCTCTAGAAAAATAGCACTAAAGAATTGTTTTATTTTTCATTTTCAGAGGCATGAAGCCTTGTCCATAAAATTGTTTGAGAAGTGAGGATTAGTCTTAATATTTAATGCTAAAACACAGATTTGTAGAGAAACAGGACAGGCCTTGGAATAGGGATTATGTTTTAGGGAGTAATGTTATGAGACTCAAGGAGAAATGGCCTCTGCTGTATCATCTACAGGGAAATTTTTCTTTTGAAATCCTATATGAGTGATGTTTCTTAAAAAGCTCTGAGGCCTCTAGGGGCTATCATAGTCACCACTATCTGCTGTCTCTGTTTATACTCTGGACTGTCTACAGTGGAAATTATCTAGTTAATATTTCTGGTACTTGCACTGAACCTATGTGATAGGATCCTCTGGAAATGCATGTCACAAGTGATAAAGCTGTAGTATTTAGACATCATACTGAAGCTAAAGTTTGCTTTGGCTGTATGATGTGGCAACTCTTCTGTAGAGGGCTGTCAGAGGGAGTGGATGATGGTGAGGCAGAGAGATTAAGTACCAATTTGTCTGGTTGGTCCAGGGAGGTATTAGAATGAGTGGATTAGGGGTGTGGGGGGATGGTGAAGACCAAGAGAAGCTGGGATTAGAAGGAAGAGAAGGGAAAAAGAATTCTCCCAATAGTCACCTTTCTTGGCATACTCTGAATTCATTGTAAGAGGATTTCCCTGAATTTAGCTTAAATGCAGCCTGTAATCTTCTGATTTTCTGTTGACAGTTTCTATGGTTTTGATGAGATGTAAAGTAGCCTTTTCAAGTCCTTCATGTCTTTAAGTTAAATGACAGTACTTCCAAAGCATGCATTCATTTTCTGGATCTAAAATTTGATTTGCTATAGCTTCAAAAGGCTGGCTTGGAAAGTGGATGGCTTACCCTACAGTAAGGTGTAGAGGCAGGTGTTAGTATATGCACTAGTTTTGAGATTTAAGTAGGTATAAGGCCAGCTTGTTCATTATTATGAAGAATGTACATAAATTATTAGAAAGTAGATGAATATGTGTGTGTGTTTGTGTTGTGTGTTCGTCTCCATATGTATGCTTGAAATAACAGAGATATGCTTTGTGATACTTAAAACTTGGATTTCAAAAGCCAAAATTTTGTACCATAAATAGTGATGAATTGTTATCTTTCCAAATAACTACTTTGTAGAAAGGGCTTTTAGAGCTACTACACAATGTGTGAACAATATTTGTCTCTCCTCTATTTTTTGCAATATATTTTCATTGACATATTGCTGTACATACATATTGTATGTAATATCCATATTGTTACATTTCAAGTTCATGGTAATCTTGAGGAATGTAATGCACAGGCACAAAAGTTCCATTCCTGATTGAGAGTAGATTTTTCTCATGGACATTTCAGATAGATTTATTCATTTATCAGAAGTGCCTGGTGTTAGTCAATGCTGAGAAACCATGGGAGGCAGATTGTAGATTAAGAAAAATGGGGGAATAAATCAAAGAGTTTCCAGAAGTCTTTAGATCGTAGCATTTGAAAGCACGTAAAAGGGTTTAGCTTTAAATAAGGTTGCTGTAGACATTTGCTTAACAAATTCTTGTGAAGCCCTTTGGGATTGGGGTGGGCTACAGGTGGTGAAGAGGCATGAACAAGTCAGGCCAGGCTCAGCTTTGCCACCAGCTGTAAGCCGGAAGCTCAGAGGAAAGACACTGTTACCCTCCCTCTCCTGACTCAAAGCTTGGGGCAATTTGATACATAAACTATTTCTGTCTTACACTGACCTGTATATTAATATGTACTTTGGTACACAAACATTTAATCTAGGGAGAAAATTATTTCAGAAAGTGCTTGCTTTTGGGAGATTTTGCCAGGAGAGTGCATGACTTTAATAAAGGCAAATTTCTGCCAGGCACTTTTGGAAATCCAGTGAAGAACCCCAAGATCTACAGCTCCAGAAATTTTTGCAGTTATAGGGAGAGAGTGTCACATTGTTACAGTGTGGCAAGATAGGAGCAAAAGCCACTCAGTTCTGAAAGTCATCATTGCCAGATCAACCTGTTAAATTCCCATGTTGGGCTTTCTTTTTTTCCTACCTAGTTACTACAGATGGCAGGAGAGTCCTGGGGTACAATTAGTACCATGTGCCTACATTAAAAGTAGATGGGAATTAGAGAGGAAGAGTAAGGGAATTTGTACTCACTAACCACCCTGCTATATAGATATATGTATATCATACATATACACATACATATATCTCATATTACTGAATCTTGAATATTATTCAAGATTATTCAATATATTGAATATTATAATATTGAATACATATATGATTTCATTACCTGCAAGTCATGCGTTAAATATTTGTTAACATCTAGCATATGAGGAAATAAGCTCAGGGAGGTTAGGTAATCTACACAGCCACACTGCTAGTGTTATTTTAAGTTGTATCCATCTGACTCCAAAAACTTTTTTTCAATACTATGAGTAGACAGAAGTTCCAATGTTTATATTCCCTTTTATATGGGATATTCAGGCATTTAAGCTATCACTAATTCACCTAGTCGTATATATTAACTGCTTTTGGAAAAAGAGTAATTTCTGGCATAGAAGCAGGTAACAAATGGGAATATCAGTGAGTTACTACTATTTTTTTATTTTTATTTTTTTGAGACAGAGTCTTGGCCTGTCACCCAGGCTGGAGTATAGGTGTGAATATGGCTCACTGCAGCCTCGACCTTCTGGGCTCAAGCAATCCTCACACATCAGCCTCCTGAGTAGCTTGGACCATAGATGTGCGCCACCGTGTCTGACTAGTTTTTAGGTGTTTTTTTTTTTTGGAAGAGATGGGGGTCTCACTATGTTGCACATGCTGTTAGTATATTTGTATTTGTTTATTTGCTTCACTATTGGCAAACCCTGTTAAGATCTTTTATTTTTATTATTTCACTGATTTTTCTCTTGTTGCTTATTAAACATCAGCATTTAACCCCAGACTCTAATCTGTTGGTAGATTTTACCCCCAGTGAGCTTATTTCATAAATCACTTGTGCAGTGAGGATTCTGAAGTAACTATTTGGCAATAGGGCAGAATTTCTCTTTGGAAATTTCTGAACTTGATACTGAATGTTGTTGGCACTCCCTTCAGAGTCTCCATAAAAAGAAACCAAATTTTTTTTTTTTTTTTTTTTTTGAGATGGAGTCTCACTCTGTTGCCAGGCTGGAGTGCAGTGGCGTAATCCCGGCTCACTGCAACCTCCGCCTCCCAAGTTAAAGTGATTCTTCTGCCTCAGCCTCCTGAGTAGCTGAGATTACAGGCACGCGCCACCACGCCTGGCTAATTTTTGTATTTTTAGTAGAGATGGGGTTTCATCATGTTGTCCAGGATGGTCTCGATCTCTTGACCTTGTGATCCACCCGCCTTGGCCTCCCAAAGTGCTGGGATTACAGATGTGAGCCACCATGCCCGGCAAAGGAAACCAAATCTTAAGGTAGATTCTGTGCATTTGTGGTCGTGGTGTTGTGATTGTTAATGAGTCACTTTGAGTACTCTAGTAGATTTGTCCAACAGTGTCTCAGTGGGCCCAGCTGGCACAACATGTAGAAATTATGAAAGAGTAGCAGAGATGAATTAAGTTTGCATTCACTTTCACTTATTTTAAAGCAATTTGTAGTCACCAAACCTTCAGTTATTTCTGCCACTATGTGTGCATATTCACCCTAATTCCAGGTATAGTGACCTGAAAGAGTTAATTCTTCTTTCAGTGGCACCTACTTTTATTTCCCCCAGCACTGATTTTTCTATCTGATGACTCTATCCTGGAACAGAGTTTACACTCGTTGTAAAGTGACATAGTAGTGAATTTATAAAAATTGCACAATGGTCAGAATAGACAAAGAAATCATATCTATGAGCTTCCACTCCAGTTTTTCATCCTCTGATGGTCACTTTATAATGACTGGGGCTGTTTTAGTTTGCAAATTTCATATTGGTCACAGGACTCTTCTTCTGAGAAAAAGTTTATTTTCTTTGGTCTGATGATACAATAATTTATTTCAATTACCTCTTTCCTCAATTTTTCTACAGACTGCTGAGCCAGATGGAATTATGGCTGAGCTCTTCTCTGTTTCTGTATCTTGTACACATTCTGACTGAAGAAGAAATCTATTTATTGTAGCTTGAATGTCATTGGCCTACTGTTTCCTTCTGACCCAGGAGTGAGCCATCACATGGGCATCTGGTCTAACTCAGAACACTCTGCAGGGACACAGCCTGGCATATTATAGGTTGCCTATTGGCATGCTGTCTACTTGACAGAATAGCAAAGTCAGTTCTGGGTACTTGCTTGTTGCCTACCAATTTTTGCTCTCAATGAGAGGTCAGAATAATGTCAATTTGCAAATGTTTGAGGAAACATTCCTGTCACCAAACCCAGAGGTTTAGCTGAATATGATGGCATTTTACAGGTGTCTTTAAATGTGGCTTTTACAGAACTTCACCTGGATCAATGTTTTGTGCATGTGATAATACAACTATAAATTTAGCTTATTAATATGATAATATTTGGAGCAGTATAATCTATAACCATGACTTCAAAAATCAAAGGTTAAAAGTATTCTTTTGCAGTGTTTTAAATCTGCTAACCTGAAAACTATACAAGGGTTTTTCTTTCAAGAATTTTAACTTGACAAATGCAAAGGAATATCCAACATTGCAAAGGTAAAGAGAAATCTTAGTTCCTTGGCATATAAGCACCATCAGTTCCTTTCTGGCCTTCCAGGGTCAGAACTCTGGGCTCCAAGGAGGTACAACTGTGAGTGAGAGAGTAGCTGCTGTGCTAGCAGGCTATGCATCCAGAACTAAACAGACCTAGCACTTTCTGTTGTACTGGAACCCATTAGGTATGTTCTAAAGTTATGTTTATTTTACTTTCCTGGTTTGTAAATTAGCATTTTAAATGACTACATTCAGAGGAAAGTATTCCACCCAGAATTCTCAAATGTATTACCTTTGTGTTTTATTTTATTTTAGTTTTTTTGAGACGGAGTTTTGCTCTTGTTGCCCAGGCTGGAGTGCAATGGCATGATCTTGGCTCACTGCAACCTCTGCCTCCAGGGTTCAAGCGATTCTCCTGCCTCAACCTCCCGAGTAGCTGAGATTACAGGCATGCGCCACCATGCCTGGCTAATTTTGTATTTTTGGGTTTCACCATGTTGTTCAAGCTGCTCTCGAACTCCTGTCTCCACCTTGGCCTCCCAAAGTGCTGGGATTACAGGTATGAGCCACTGCGCCCAGCCCTCATTTTGATATACTAGAAGACCAATATGCAACATAATGATTATTTTAAATGTTATATTCCCTTTTGCCTTAATGCGGAACAGTCTATGTATCCCTTTTCTGATGATTTGTAACAAATTACCACAAGTAAGTTGTTTAAAACACCACCTATTTGTTATCTCACAGTCCTGTACCATGTGGCTGAGTTGTCCGCTCAGGTATTCTCAAGGCTGAAATGAACACAGCTGGGCTGTGTTGTCCTTTGCAGGCTCTTAGGAAGAATCTACTATCGAGCTCATTCAGATTGTTGGCAGAATCCAGTTGTTTGGGGACTGAGATCTCTGTTTTCCTACTTACTATTGGCCTGGGGTCACTCTCAGTTCCTAGAGAACTGAGGACTCAGGACTCTTGTCCCATGGTCTGCTCCATCTTCATGGCTGGCACTGGAGAATCTTCCCTCACATGGAATCCCTCTTATGCTTCAGATCTCTCTGATTTCTGTCTCTGACCTCTAGACCCAGATTTAAAGAGCTCATGTGATTATGTCAGTCCCATCCAGATGATCTCCCTTTCTTAAAGCCAACTGTGCTACATAGCATAATGTAATCATGGGAATAAGATCCATCACAATCACAGTCTTGGAGACTATTCAGGGTGTGCACACCAGGATATAGGGATCTTGGGGCCATCTTGGAATTCTGCCTATCAGTTTATATCAATGTTCATAAAATAGCACTATGCAAAATCTGCAGTGGATATATTCTTAATACAGTCCTATTAGGAAGGAAAAGGAGATATTATATGCAGTCTCATGTCCCAGAGGGCAATTTGTTGATGTCTTCCACATGGATTTCCATGGTACGAAGATAGCATATTATTTCATTGAGTAGTTGTGTGAGTTTATTAATAAAATAGGGTATTTTAAACTTATTTTACTTTAAATCTTAGAAGAGGTGATTCATCCTTCTGTAGCTCAAATATTCTATGTCATAAATCACAGATAATACCATTACAAGATAAATTAAATCTTTTTTATAATTTTAATAGGAACTGAAGTGTATTCTTATTCTTCAGTAATACTACATCACCCATATGGACTACCTAATTGATTTTTTCCACATATGGAGTTTTGTGACCATTATTCTACCAAAAGACTAACCTTTGAAGCAATAGGACATATTAGAGTTCTTCACCAATAGAAAGTAAGCATAGTCCTGGGAGGTACCATCTAAGTATTAAAGAACTAAATAATCACAGTTATTTCAACTGTGATTGAAATTGTGATAGTAATATATGTCTTACTGTGTCAGATATATCAGTAGTCAACTTTTCAACTTGAATTTTTCCAAGTTTAATCAAGTTCTGGATGAAACTCATGTACATTTTACTACTTTTAGTTTTGTATTGTTTTAAATCAATATCCTGGAAACTCAGAAGTAAAAAAGAGAAAGAAGAAAAATATATGTCATTTCATGTAAATTTATTTAAAACACAGACTTTTGGCAAGGCACAGTGGCTCAAGCCTGTAATCCCAGCACTTTGGGAGGCCGAGGAGGGTGGATTGCCTGAGGTCAGGTGTTCAAGACCAGCCTGGCCAACATGGTGAAACCCCATCTCTACTAAAAATTCAAAAATTAGCCAGGTACGGTGGCAGATGCCTGTAATCCCAGCTACTAGGGAGGCTGGGGAAGAAGAATTGCTTGAATCCGGGAGGCAGAGGTTGCAGGGAGCCAAGATCGCGCCACTGCACACCAGCCTAAATGACAGAGTAAGACCCTATCTCATAAATAAATAAATAAATATAAATAAAACACAGACTTTTGTGTTAAGGGGACCTAAACATGACTGTCAGCTGAACTCAGCAATCAGACAAGTAATTTAATCTCTCCAAAGTTCAGATGTCTCATTTTTGCAATTTAAGTACAATAATGTTGACTTTGCATTATAGTTCATTTATTTAAACACATTTTAAAAACCTCCCAGATGCCAGAAGCCTGCTAGACTCTGACTATATAGCTACGCTTTTATGAATATCTGAAGATATGCATGTGTCTAATGAGCAAAACAGATATAATCCCTTTCATAGAGTTTACTGTCTGACAAAGAAAGAATTAGGATACATGCAACAGTATGTAATAAAGTGCAAAATCTAGTACTGTGTAGCTACTTAAAACATATTATATGCTTTCTTCCTTTCCTTTTCCCTGCCTGATCTTACTGCCATAAGAAATCTTGTAACTGTGATTCTGTCAAATGAATCTAAGAAGGATGTTGTTGCTGATGGACTAGTATAGAAAATAGCAGCATGACAAATTAAATGTGTCATTGGGGAAGTGAGATTGTATAATGAACTGAGTTTCCTGGTCAGTCCTGCTGGAACTGTGCCTTTCAGCAAAATGAGTTTGATGATTTCATTCCAAAGATCAAGTTGCAGCAATTTTCATCATGAATGTTACCCAATCATAGAAAAATTGGCAACATTTCTCAGCAGATGTTACAGTCTTTCTCAAAGGAAGGTTCTCTCAGCTGACAAGCTAACGATAGTGCTCCTGATGGCGAGGGGAGAGACGGTGATGATGACTGATTGATAAAAAGTATTTTAGTCATATTTCCAGGTTTATAAAATGATTTGCAAACATTTTCTTTTGTTCCCTCTAACACCGCTAGTAGATAATGGAAACTCCTTTGATTTGGTCTGTAGATAATTTTATGCTATGTTATATGGAATATCCACAGCATTTTGTGAACTTGAAAACAAAGGAGGAAGCAGCTTGCATATGCATATCTTGCTAGCAGATTGGTAGAATAGAGAGAGCAGTTAGCATGTGAGGACCATTGAGGTAAAGTATCCCAGAGTTGTAACTTTTTCTGGGCCTTGACTTTGGCTAATTCTCTGCATGCCAAATATCATGTAGCCATCCAGAAATCTGTCTGAATATTGAGATGGTGATCATTTCTCTCCTGGGTGTTATGAAGAAATGTGTTTATTAAATACTTTGCATCCCTTAAAGGAACTATATGAATGATAGGAATAAGAATTATTGACAGTTTTGAATGGTCTATTGATATTACTATGGCTTTGTTTCTACCAAATATGGTAAGTATAATGTAGAGGAAAATACAAAATACAACTTTTATCCCCCATTTTTTTCATTCAACTATACCTCAATATTCAGTGACAGGGCCACCTCAATCTCCGCCCATGAAAACGCATCTAGAGGAGTGTCACAAGTTTTTCACAGTGACATTTTTGCTTACTGATACAAGACAGTGATGGTGACTGATGATGTCCCAGTGATTTCTGAGTAGCTTCTAACCAGCACATAACTCCCCCAACAGTCTTTAAGTCTTTAGGTGCCCATATTTTCCTCTTTGTTCTCCCCCTTCAGACTGAGAGTTTGTAGAGAGAGGGCAACAGATCTTTTCAATACACAACTAATGCAAAATGTATCAGGTTTTTCTTGGATTTCAGCTACTCCCTGTTAAACAATCAGAGCTTAGTGAACAGTGATTCAGTGAGGAGGGAAAGCACTCAGGAAGGAGCAGGAACAAGTACAAGTTTATGAAAAGGATTAGCTAGCAAAACAAGGTCAAACTCTGCAATAGTTTGTTTTCCTCTCCCTAGTATCCCTCTTCAATCAGAAAAGAGACTGTTATCAGTTGCTGGTGTTATGACTGGGCACATCCGCCCTGGGTCAAATATGCTGCAGTCTGCAAAGCCAGCAGCAGATTGCAGTCCTCTGCAGTCCAGCCAGGCCAGCAGAACTTGTGTAGCCATGTGCCCTGTTATAGCTGTAATACTGAATTGGGAATGTTCCCTTAATGGGGCACTTGAGGGCAAAAGCAGTGAAAGCTTTTCCTTTCTCAAAGCAGACTGTTCTTCCCGTAGTGTTTTAAGAACACAGACATGTATTGGGCAAGGCAAAGCCAAAGGTGGCCTTTACAAGATTATTAAATCTGGTCTTCCAGGGTATCTAATCTGTGTGAGGACCCTGATGAACTAATTTTCTTCTAAAGTGCTATATATGTAGATATCATCATAGAGTTACACATGAAATGGCTCATTCAATACTTTTTTAGATGCCTGGAAATATTTAAGGGAGTAACTAATCAATTAGCAGCATTCCTGGGAGAACATTGTCTTGTCATTTTAACAGAAAACTCTCTTTGTGATTTTGCAGCCACGACAGCCCAACCCTGACTGGCGTTACTCTGCCTCCCTGAGAGCAGGCATGCACAGGTATGTATTTCCCTCCTCATTCACTCAGAAGTAACCTTAACTTGGTATGGCTCAGATAAACTGCATCTCCATAGGCCAGAAGCAGCTGTCAAAACTAAAAAGCTTTAGGTACTTTGCCAGGAAAATGCAATTATTTTGTCCCCATGTTTATTCCTTGAAAGATCGCAAATGGTCAGTGCCAGATGCTTATCAAGTGCTGGCATATAAGAGTCCTCTGTAAAATCACAGAAACAGGCTGCTATGTATTTTCTCCCATCAAAATTTCTACAGGGAAGTAATTTCAACCTCCTTCATCCCTCTCTACCTATGCTTTCTTTTCCTCCTTTAAAAACTGTAATTAATACTCATGCTTTGAGACTTGGGTACATTGTGCAATGTATACATACATGTTGTCTACCTTGTTTTTTTTTTAATCTCACATTGGCTATTACATCCTATTACCCTCAATAATTGATTGCTATTGTTGTTTGTGTTCACACCTATTAGAGCCTCCTCATCTTTCCCATCTGTTGCTATCTTATTGTCATCAATGACATGGTTCTTCAGAAGATGAGCCATGTAAAGGGCTCCAAATCTAGCTTACTTTAAATTAACCTAGAGTAACGGTATTAGTCTAAGACTCAGATTAAATATAATTTTGCTTTCTCTACTTTGTCTCTCTGACAGTAATTGATTAACTACCATTATTTCTGGAGGTGATCCAGTATCCATGCCATGGGGCCAAATAAAAGATTCATTATTTGCGAATGTCTTTGGAAACCAAATGGGAAGGACCAAGAAACAAATGATCACAACTATCAAAAGGATTTAATTTTAAAGAAGAAATAATCTTCAAACTTAAGCCCCTCAAAATATCTGGGCAACTATCAAGTGAATATTCACCAAACTTAGATCAGTTCGTAAAGAGAAAGCCTACAAAGTATGTGTAGAGTTAATGTGAAATTAGTTTTAGCCCATTAAAATGCATTAGATTGAAATAAATTAACATACTCTCAAGCATTACAAATGAGCAGAAATCATTACATTGGGTGCTATTTCTGATTCAGAAGCAATCAGTGAAGGGCTGAAGATTAGTAGTTGGCTTGGTAAGATGTCACATTGGAACCTGGGTCATAATTTTAGGCCAGAAACATTCATGCATATACCAGAATATTAGGTATCAGAAGAAATTCTTTATATTTATTAGAGACCAACTTGTGCTTTTGCCTGCATCTGAGCTGTTGGTGGAGACATGCAATGGGTAAAAGCATGGTTTACAGTACCAACTCTTGAAAAGTACCAAAGCTATGAGTTGTGCCTTAAAAACTACATTTGAAATAAAACATTAAAACATAACTTCCTGGACTGGGCGCGGTGGCTCACACCTGTAATCCCAGCACTTTGGGAGGCCGAGGTGGGCAGATCATGAGGTCAAGAGATCGAGACCATCCTGGACAACACGGTGAAACCCTGTCTCTACTAAAAATACAAAAATTAGCTGGGCGTGATGGCATGTGCCTGTAGTTCCAGCTACTAGGGAGGCTGAGGCAGGAGAATCGCTTGAACCCGGGAGGCGGAAGTTGCAGTGAGCCAAGATCGAGCCACTGCACTCCAGCCTGGCGACAGTGCGAGACTCTGTCTCAGAAGAATAAATAAATGAATAAAATAACATAACTTCCTTATCCCATTTTCAAATTGAAAAAAAAAAGCCAAATGTGCTCCTATTCGGGTTTCAATTAAGATATTATGAGATTTGAGTAGGGTAAGAAATAAAATAAAAATTGAAATTAAAATGCCATTTCTTTTTTGCATTGTAATACATTGAACATATTAAATGAGTTGTGAACCTAAATAATACTAATCTTTTTCGTATGTGTGCTTGGGTGTTCTCGGTCTTTCCAGTCTTGGACATCATGTAACTATTCTTTAAAAAATTCTGCTTTGAGCTGAGCTGGCTCCAGGATAGTTACACCTTCATGAATCTGACTGAGCCCACACAATTTGCTAGTAGGATCCAGGAACACTTGAAGGCTGTTAATATTTGGGGAAAAAAAACAGATAATTCTAGAGTGTAGACAAGGGGAAGAATAGTAAAAGGTCAGAGTTTAATGAGTGAATTTCTACTGGATATGTTGTTTGAAGTCAAAGAGTGAGAAAACATTGAACTTATATGTTGCCTTCCCTCTAATAGTTCAAGTTTGCCTGCTCTGTTGCCTCATATAACCCCTTTAGTCAGTAGTCTAAATTTTATTTTAGAAATTTAACTTTCAAGATAAGCAAATGTCTAGTTTAAAAGGGTCCTCTAGTCTAGGTGTAGTGGCTCATGCCTGTAATCCCAGCACTTTGGGAGGGTGAGGCAGGTGGATCACTTGAGGTCAGGAGTTCAAGACCAGCCTGGTCAATATGGTGAAAACCTGTCTCTACTAAAAATACAAAAATGAGCCAGGCATGGTGGCGGGTGCCTGTAGTCCCAGCTACTTGGGAGGCTGAGGCAGGAGAATTGCTTGAACCTGGGAGGCAGAGGTTGCAGTGAGCTGAGATCGTGCCACTGTACTCCAGCCTGAGTGACAGAGTGAGGCTTTGTCTCAAAAATAAATAAAATAAAACAAAATGTTCCTCTAATTTTGATGAGGGTTTTCTTGGACATTTTCTCTTAGGATCCCACTTATTTCTTCCTTCCTTTCTTCCTTCCTCCCTTCCATCATTCATTCATTCATTCATTCATTCATCCAACAAATATTTGAGAGATTAATATGAGTTAGTATTAGACATACATAAATGAATACTGCACCATGTTCTCTTTTCCCTTGAACAGTTTATGTTCTATCTCTGCTTGCCTCTAAAGGTCTCCCAGTTTGTATCTCACTCCCAGCAATGTTTTATGCTGAATTAATCTCTTCTGAGCGGGGATCTGTGAGTGGTGGTGATCAAGTTTCTCTAGTCTCAGGAAATATAGGGTGGGTCATCTATGCATAAAAGATATAGAAAGAGTAAAATAGAAAATAAGGTTAAGAATTAATTAGATAGCCAAATTGGAACAATACTCCAATTATCAGAAAATATTTTAGTGTGTTTTCTTCTTTAGAGTAGAGAACCTAGGAACAAGAGAACCTGCAAGAGAGGCTTGGAACTTTTGAGAACAAGCCCTCCTCATCTGCTTCAGTATCGAGATGTTAAAATGGCTTAGTCCTCTGATGGGCTTCCTGTTAGATTTAGTGAGCGCCACATGGCGTTAATAAAAAACAGAATTGCCATAAAGATAGAACATGTGTGTTCCTGGAATAGTATAGCAGGCAATAAGTAAGTCAGCAATGCTTCTGCAGTTTATGCAGGGTGACTGCTCAGCAGTAATTGCTTCAGTTCAAGCATGAGCAGAATGTGTTAGCTGCAGCCCTGGCTTCATAGTTGTAAGCAATTTCTGAGGGTGGAAGAAGAGATGGGAAAGAATTTATGATCTAACCGTTATCTGGGTCTGTGTGTTTATTCAGCTCTGTGCACCTAGAGGAGGCTGGCATTCTACGGGCTGGTCCAGGAGGGCCTGATCAGCAGTGGCCAACAGTATCCAGTGCAACACCAGGTAAAGAGCTGGGGTCTCTCCATTCTTTCTTGGTTTCTGGAAAGTGATCAGATGACCTACTTTTGTAAGATCAGGAATGTTGATGGCTCTTTTTCTTTTATATTTTTGTTATTCCCTTTTTTCCATACATACATGATTTCCTTACATATATGATTATTTTGATTTTATACCTAATGCTCTTCAGGAGTTGAAAAAGGATAACAAGGAAAGTGTGTGTGCACGCATGTGTGCATGTGTGTGTGTGTGTATGAAGTTTTTGGGGTTTGTTTGTTTGTTTAAATCAGGTACCTTTCAAATGCTTAGGTCATCCAAGCCATGCAGAGAAGATCTGGTGGCCTTATGCACAGAGATGACACTGTTAACAAAGATCTTTTGGTTGAAGACTATGGAAACCCACCCAAAGTAGTAAGGAAAGAAAGAGAAAAAGAAGGAAAGAAAGAAAAAGGAAGGAAGGAAGGAAGATGGTTTCTCATGGAAGTGGAAAATTATCGGAACCAAGGCATTGTTTTGAGTTCAAGTCAAAGTCAATCTGCTTCTCTCTGCACATCAACAACATTCTGCAGACTGACTTTTAGTGCCTTGGCATGCATGTTGCCAAACATGACCGCCTCACAATTTCTTAGTTTAGAGGGATAATAGGGACTATTTCCTAATCCAAACTTTCAGGAAAGAGAACCTGCTAAGTTGTGTAAAAAACCTAATGGCTGGGTGAGTATAGGAAAATTGCTTAAACTCACATTTGCTTGGTATCCTTATTCTTGCCCTATCACTAAAGCAGGGTCATGTAATAGAAATATGGCTTTGGAGGCCCATCGCTGTGGCAGTTTTCAGAAAGGGAAGATTAAGTGTTGGTAGAGACCACAAATTGTGTCTACTCTAATCCTCTATTAATAGAACATCATGATGATAATAGTAGTTACTAATTATTAAGCCATAATATGCCTAGACACTGTGCCAAGTACATTGTATGTGTGGTCTCATTTATTCCTTAAGTCAAGCTTGCAAGGGATTTATTACATCTATTCTACATATGAGAAACTGGAGAGGCAGAGAGATTAAGAAATGTACCCAAGTTCACGTAGCTTGTAAGTGGCAGAGGGTAGGATTCAAACCCAGATGTGTTTAGTTTCAAATCCAAGTATATCTAGCACTTATATTCATAACATGGCTGGCTTGCAATAATCCATTCAAATTCAAATACATATCTACATACATAACAGATGACAGAATGTGTGTGTAAAAGGTTTTTTCCCAAAAATAATCAGATGCCTTTCAAATTATTAAGTAACATGCAGCTAAGGGCCCATTTTTACTGGCAACTTTAAGGGCATTCGTTGATTCTAATCAGCCAGGATTTGCTATTTATGGATGTTGCACAATTCAACTAAAAGTCACATTTGTCCAAAAAATATACGAGTTGAAGCAATTCATTAGAGAGCTAATATTGCCAGATTGCAAGGGGAAAAACATAAAATAGTTCATTGACAAATCTGTACCCTCAGTGCCAACGATGGAGTGAAGAAATGATGGAGGAGGAAGTGGTTTTAGACTGCCAAGTGTTGCAGGATGTGGAGGCATCTGGGAAGGTGAGAACTTCCCAAAGAAGCCACGTGAAATCATGACTTTCTACCTTGCCTTTATTTCAGAGTTTTTCTTGCTCTTATGGAGGCATTGTAGGTCGACCTGGTAAGCCACAAACTAACTTTGAATACATTCTCCCTCCCATTGGTGATGCTGGTTGGTGTGTATTCCTAGGCAAATGTGGAATAGGAACCATGTATTGATATTTCATACATCTGGCCAAGTCCCTCTTTCAGATTCAAAAAATGTTGAGAACCTATCTTTTTTACAGAGATAGAGAAGGGGATCTCCCTTGTTCCCTTTCTTACTGTCCCAGCCCCTCTTGTATAACCCATTTTATCCAGAACTGTGCCTGGCTGCTGATGCATGAGTCACAGTCTTCATGGACTGTGCTGGATAGAGCTTACATCTTCCAACTACTCCATGGCAACCTAATCATACTTTTCAATACATACCTCTGCATCAGTGGTGTAAAGTTAAAGGGATTCTCTGCCTTCTCCCTGTCCTTCTGGTACTTTTAGGTTTTTAGGACTCAATATATGTTCTGCACTGCTTGGAGGGAATATGGCATAAAGATTAAGATTATGATTTAGAGTCAGATTTGAGTTGAATTCTAATCCCAAGCTTACTTGCTGGGTGAGCATAGACAAACTGCCTGAATTCATATTTTCTTAATTACCCTTTCTGTAAATTGGGTGTAGTAATAATAATAACACCTATTTTATTGAGTTACCATGAGAACTAAAGGAGAAAAAAAGAACTGAGCATAGTGCTTGACATATAGTTAATAAATGTCTAATCTTTTTTTTTTGAGACAGAGTCTCGCTCTGTCCCCCAGGCTGGAGTCCAGTGGCACGATATCGGCTCACAGCAACCTCTGCCTCCTGGGTTCAAGTGATTCTCCTGCCTCAGCCTCCTGAGTAGCTGAGACTACAGGCGTGTGCCACCAAGCCTGGCTAATTTTTTGTGTTTTTAGTAAAGACGGGGTTTCACCGTGTTAGCCAGGATTGTCTCAATCTCCTGACCTCGTAATCCGCCTGCCTCGGTCTCCCAAAGTGTTGGGATTACAGGCGTGAGCCACCGCGCCTGGCCTAATCTTCTTACTCTTTTTTCTTTCTGGACTACTTTTCTGCAATCTATGATATAGTGTTGGCTGATAGCCTGGTGGCCAGAATTCAGTAGTTCTCATTTGCAGGCCCAGATATAGACCCTCTGAGGTTATCTGGGTCTATATAATCCAGTCACCCCAACTGTTCCCCTGGAAATGGAGTGAGGAGGATTTATTAGTTGCTGCCTGAAGAAAAGGGAAATGCTCCAAAAAATTTGGTTGTTTCCAGACTCAAATAGAGCCTGCCTTTCATTGATTCTGTTGCCCTTAAAGCTTCACGGTGAAGATGCAGTTGCTTCCAAAAGGCTTCTTTCTGGTGCCTAAGCCTCCTTATACTTGCTTCAGAGCCCTTTCCGTGAACCAGCTGTGTATTGCTCTTCTCATCCCAACACTTGCAATGGCTGAATAAAGGAAGTGGGGCCTGCCTTACGCTAATCCTCGTTCATATGTGTTTCTTAAAGTTATTTTTCCTTCACTGATGAATTCCTTTTTTTTTTTTTTTTTTTTGAGACAGTCTCGCTCTGTCGCCCAGGCTGGAGTGCAGTGGCACGATCTCAGCTCACAACAAGCTCTGCCTCCCGGGTTCATGCCACTCTCCTGCCTCAGCCTCCTGAGTAGCTGGGACTACAGGCGCCCGCCACCACTCCCGTCTAATTTTTTGTATTTTTAGTAGAGCCGGGGTTTCACTGTGTTAGCCAGGATGGTCTCAATCTCCTGACCTCGTGATCCGCCCACCTCAGCCTCCCAAAGTGCTGGGATTACAGGCGTGAGCCACTGCGCCTGGCCTCACTGATGAATTCTTTTGCTTTTTAAAGAAACTGTTCATTTATTTTCACAGTCTGCAAAAGCCTAAGATAAAGATGCCACACTCTGAAAGGATCAACAAGGGCATCACCAAGTAATGTTTTCTGCAGGATAAACAAGTCAGGCATTAAATTGGTTAATCCTGATTACTGGCCCCTTTCTCTAGCCTCCCCTCTGTGTGAGCAGACCCGGACCACAGGCTTTCTTATTTCCTTTCAGCTTCCCTTGAGACTGAGCAGAGAGAGAAAATTAGCTAAATCAGGAATGCAGGGAATACAGTTGCAGCCTCTTCTTCAGATGGAGGAATGCGTTTTGGGGGGAGGGACATTAAAGGGCCAGTCGCTCATGTTACAGCTCTTTTTAACTTCATGAGTACTAATGCCCTGAAGAGGTTTTAATGAATGCCCTCTTGTGATCAGTTCCTAGGGCAATCCCAGGTTATAAAAGGACTGCCCCTGCCTGTGAGGGAACTGGCCTGGCTTCAGTGGGCCAGGCTGCTTTGTTATCTGTTATTGGTTTTTCCAGCTCCTCTTTCTACATTTCAAGGGATCTCAGGCCTTACCTAAGGCAACAGTACATTAGTTTTAGAGTGGGAGATGCTCACAGTTTTCAGAAGAGTTCAGAAAGTTTCAAAACACACAGCACTGCAGAAGATAACATTATAGCTTCTCAAGACCCCAGGGGATCTGGGACTAAACAGTGAAAGATTAATTAGGTAGCGGAAGCCACTAAGGCAGTGAGTCTTAGTTAGAGAACTTTGGTTTAGACAATGGTTCTCAAAGGGGCAGCAACACCAACAATACCCGGAAACTTGTTAGAAATGCAAATTCTTAGGCCCTATCCTAGACTAATGAATCAGAAATTCTCAGGATGGAGGCTGGGTGTGGTCGCTCATGCCTGTAATTCCAGCACTTTGGGAGGCCAAGGCAGGCAGATCACTTGAGGTCATGAGTTCGAGACCAGCCTGGTCAACATGGCGAAACCCCATCTCTACTAAAGTTACAAAAATGAGCTGGGCGTGGTGGCAGGTGCCTGTAATCCCAGCTACTCGGGAGGCTGAGGCAGGAGAATTGCTTGAACTCGGGAGGTGGAGGTTGCAGTGAGCTGAGATTGCACCACTGCACTCCAGCCTGGGTGACAGAGTGAGACTCCATCTCAAAAAAAAAAAAAATAATAAATAAAGAAAGAAAGACATTCTCAGGAATGGGACCCGGCAGTCTATGTTTTAACAAGCCTTCTATGTGATACCAATGTACTGTGAAGTTTTAAGAACTGGTCTAAGGTAAATATTCCTGAGGTTGTCTTATATCATTACAGGGTCAGAATGCATGCAAGGAAGCCATCTGTTTATGGTTCTTGTGAGAAGCAGGGGGCCTTTCCCCATGCCCGAGAGATAATTGTTAAGAGCTCAAGCTTGGGAGTCAGTGACCCTTTCTGAATTCTACCTCTGCCACTCAGTAATTGTATGTTCCTGGGACCATTACTTAACTTTCCTGATTCTCAGTTTCTTTCTCTATAAAATGGGGAGAATAGTGGTGTCTACCTTATAGGGTTCTTGGAAGAATTAGATGAGATAATGCACACATATTGCAGAATCTGAAGAACAATCAGGGTTTAGTAAATAGTAGCTATTTTTAAATGATTTTTCCAGGTATGAGTCTATCCTACAGCTTCAAAATTTAGACCCAGGTTGTTCTGAGTATTCTCTGTGGGAAGAATCTGCTATAGAGAAGATTTTTTTAAAGTGCCTGTCTCTTTGTTTCCTTAGGGGATTGCTTTTGCCCTGATTTGCCACATCTCTTTACTCTGTGGAAAATGGACAGTTTATGTGCCCTAGTTTTATATGGGGATTTATATTCTTAATTGTCTCAAGGATTCTTACCTGTCTGACAAAACCAACTCCCCATGGAAAGACTCCATGGAGACTCCATCTCTGATCCTTCCCCAGAAAGAAAGCATGATTCTTAAGTTTTTTAGAATCTGTTTAGGAGCACTGTCAACATGAATTTTTCTATTTCATGAGTGAGTGCAGCCTCGGGCCTTGTTGGAGAATTTAGAAAGCATGCTGTTCCACTAACCTGTTCAACCTCAACTTCTGCCGTTGTCATAGCAATGACAGTCCTGGGAGGTGTGTGCATATCCTTATTAGGAAAAAAAAATGAGATCAGGGATCTATGTGAGTGGGGCAGCTCCCGCCTGTGAGTATCCTTCGCTGTCACCTGCCATCTGACAGCCCAGGAGTGCCAGCTTGGCTTGGCTTTCTCTACCCGAGGAAAGTAAGTCCTTTTAAGATGCACTTTTACTTTCTGGGGTTGTGAAACTCATTGTGTTTGCCAGAGTTCTCTTCGCAGCTTATGTAAAGAATTTGTTTGTTTTGGATTGACCTGAAGGGAGGAAGCAAGGGTGTGGGAAGGGGAATTAGCATCCCCTACCTAGGAGAAGCCATGAAGCTTACTTAAGTCTCTGCTGGCTCCATCCATTCATGACTTTCTTCATCTTCTTCTTGGGAAAACACTCTGTACCTTCCACTTTTAATGGTCATGTAAATAAAAGACTAGAATGGAGATGTCCTGGTTTTCTGAAATTAAACATTTTTGTTTATGAATAGACTCTAAGATAATTCTTTCCCTAGACGCTCTGTATTTTCTTGGACCTCTCATTTGCCCCATAGTAATTATTCTAGGATTGGTGGCCTGGGCAGAATACAGTCATGGTTAAGACCATGATACATAATAGAAGAATTTCTTCCGTAACAGTAGCCCCAAACAGAGATCACGTGTCTCCTGAAACCTATCCAGTCTCATGTGCACTCAGATGTACGATCCTGGATATAACATTTTAGAGGGTGTAGTGAGGAGAATAGAACAACACTGTTCTCTTAGGCTGCAGTTTCCTTCAAGCCCCACGATGGAGAGAAGCAGGCTAATGCAGGGTAAGGAAATAGAGACTTATTATAGTTTCTTCAGTTATCATTGATTCCTTTAATATGCCAGCTACATTGAGGCAATACAGTCTGGCCTCTGAAAACCTTGTCAGGAGAAACAACTTTTGAATATATCTTAGAAAAATAAGACACTTTATCCCTTCTTTTGTTTAAGAGTGTTGCATAAAACAGGAGAGTTTCTGAATTACCCTCCCTTCTAGCTTTCTTTATACACCATTCTTTGTAGCTGAAGTTTTAAGCCCCTTGTCAAAAGGGAGATTCAAGTTTCTGCTGGGGACATCTCAGTGTCACAAAGGGCCAAGGAAGTAGGGTCTCACCAACTTTGCCACCTGACTCAGCTCAAAGGTGATAGGTCACCTGTGTGACTGAGAGCTTTGTGGGAAAGATGATATGGAGGGTGGAGAGTCTGCACTTCACTCTGTGGGAAAAATTGCTGAGGTTGTTTAGAATTGTTAGGCTTGGAACTCCTCCTGGGAGGTGCTTGAACAAGAAAGACCTGCTTATAACCTGAGTTGAGGGCAGAGGAGGAAGATAGTTTGTAATTCCTTTACGTTTTGTGGCTCCGGCAAGCCCTGTCCTCAGCCTCACTGACACAAGTAAACTAAAAATGAAAGTCTGTCCTAGTGACAGCAAGGGTCTTTCATGGCAATATTTTAAAAGAAACTCTGCCCAGATTTCAAAGGAACGTGAAAATTTTATCTTCAGAGGCAGTCAGCTTTGCAGTTGAAAAGGCCATTGCCTAATCTGGAGAAACATATTCAGTTCAAGCACTGGCTAGAGACTAGAGGCCCCCAGGAAAGGGCCATAAGATTGGTCACTGCCAGGAAGCCTGTCAATGAGTGTGTGGACTGGAGAGGAATCTTTCTCTGCCTCAGCACTTGGAGTCTCCGTTATTCACAATCAGAAAAAGAGGGAGAGCAGAGATAGATGACATTCCACGTTTTTCTCGGTGAGACCAAGAGCTTCCTCAGCAACAGCCCTGCCTGAAATTGTCTATCTCCAAGGGCGTGGGCTAGGCAAAGGATGGGAGAAGTCAGTCCTGAAGATGGTAATACTTAAAGGAAATAAGGGGGACAAAGGATGCTTGTGCTACTATTGAAACAGGAAATTGAGAGCTCTGTAGAAGTCAGACTCAAGAGGCATAATAATAGAAAGTTAGGGTATGAAAAGGTGACTTTTAAGAACCAAATGTGGACCCGAAAGAGAACAAAGAGAAGTTTATTGTAACTAGCGTTGTATTCCTTGTCTGCTGGATACCAAACAATGTACCCCGGGTCTTGAGATTATCGATGCCATTGTCTGTAAAAAACCAACCAAACAAACTTTAAAAATAAGTAAAGCCTGCCCTGTACAGAAAATCTAATAAAGCAAATTTGTTGGTGATGTTCCAAGAAGGTTCACCAGCTTGGGCTTTCAACCAGCATTGACCCAATCTTGTGTCCAGAGCTGTTGCTGTAGGTGGTATCATGTATCAAGCTGAATAGTGAGGTGACATTCCCCAAGTCTTCTCTCTTGTCTTTTTTGACTGTGCATCATAGATACTGTATTACCCAAGAACACACACCTGTTCGATCTCTTTTCCTATAATCACCTGGAGTCAGATGAATACCGTAAAGGTCTGTGGTAAGACTAGAAGCCTCAGCCAGTATGAATGATTTACATTAGATGCACACCAAGCTGCTTTCGGAGAGTCCAGATTTATGGGGATAAGAGCATCACTAGGTATATCAACAGCCCTAGGGTGGATACCTTTGAGCCTGTAAATTTGGCTCTGTGTTGGACGATGAACCATGGAATACAGAAGAAGCTCCCTTCTCTCAGCTAAAGCCTATTAGCAAAAATAGAGCCCTGAGGACATTGTATTTTAAGTGTATGTTCCAGTGAGTGGGTCGTTGCTGGGTCAAGTTTTATAAGTCTTTAAATCCCATACTGTTGCCTCCTGGACTGTAGAAATAGTCTCTTAGAACAAGAGAAAGGAAGACAATAGCTACCATTTATTGAGAACTGTGATAAGCACTTTACATATGTTGCATACTTAACTTTGAGAGAAGTACATTATTATTCCCATGTTTCAGATAAAAAAATTAAAGCTCATAAGAATTAAGTGGCTTTCTTACATTCACACAGCTAGTAAAAATGTTTTTTGCTCACCATTGTATTCCCATTGTCAAGCAGGATGCCTAGCACACAATGATGCTCAATAAATTTTGTTAAATTCATTAATAAATGCAGTGGTAAAGGCAGTATTTGAACTCATGTCTGCTTGCTGCTGAACTCTATACACTTAACACATTACTATTATCTTGTCCCGCATGATACATGAAGGGAATAGCTTGGTAACTTGGAAAAGACTATTTACTGTCTGAGTTCTAGGCCAACTGTAGGGTGTCTGTATTTATTTCCCATTATGCTATAACAAATTAACCATAAACTTCATGGCTTAAAACAACACAATGTATTATCTTACAGTTCTGGAAGTCAGAAGTCCACAGTGAGTTTCACTGGCTAAAATCAAGGTGTGTTCTTGCCACTATATAACAAGGATCCACTTTCCTTTAGTTTCCAATAACAGGCTCCTTATTTCTACCTGAGCCCTCACTGGCAGCACCTTTAATGCCATATTTGTAATAACAATCTGTTCATGACAATTTAGGTTTGCTCCTCACTTTTTTCTGAGTCCTCTCTAGTAGAGCCATTAATATGCATATTGCTACTAGCAGCCTGTTCAAGGTAATGTAGGCTCTTTCTATCATGCTCTTCAAAATTCTTCTAGACTCTGCCCATTTCCCAATCTCAAGGCCACTTCCGCATTTTTAGGCATTTATAACGGCAGAACCGCACTTCCAGATACCAAAATCTGTATTAGTTTCCTAGGGCTGCCATAACAAATTAACACAAAATCCCTTTTGCCATGTAACATAACATATTCACAAGTTCTAAAATTAGAATGCAGTCATTTTGGTGGGGCCATTATTCTGCCTACCACCCGGTCTTTCATGTTCAGGCAGAGGTGGCTCTGTGTGTGTGTGTGTGTGTGTGTGTGTGTGTGTGTGTAAGTTAATTTCAGTAGAGAATGAGCTAGAGTAGAGAAAGAGAATTAAGGTGAGATGTGTCATGGAAGAACAGTGACTGATGATGCTAACTTTGCTCAATCAAGAAGTGTGATCCATTTAAATCATGCTTTCAGTGATCTATCCAATCAGATAAACTACTCTCCCTTCCTGGGAAGAGTAAGGAAGGAAGTAGAGCTAAAGATGAAAGTTCTTTTCGTAGCACATCCCTGCAAAGGATGGGAGTATTGTTTTGGTGGGCATTCCCTTTTCTAAGAGCAAAGATGGAAATGTGGAGAGAGGAGAAAAATGGTTCCCATTACATTATTGTGTTCTGGACTTAGAGATATTGTTCTGCCCCAGGTCTAAGAATATTGTTCCAAGAGTTGGGAGCAGGCAGCAGAGGACAGTACTCTTTAGATCACCCAGAGGCCAATCTGTAAGGATTCAATCCTGGGGCATGGTAGCTAATGGAAAAGTCACTGTCACAAGTGATGCCAGGAGATGGGGCAACACATATTGCCTGCCTTGTATGCATCTAGCGTCTGTGTCTAAGTGAAAGCAGATTATATCCAGAACTTCCCTGGAAAATAGAAGAAAGAGCCTGATTGGTGTGTATGTGTGTGTTAGGGGTTGAGGGGTGGGTAATGTTCCTGCCAGTATTCGTAAATCCCACCTGCTTTTCCTGTGATGCTTCCTGTGTTGGGGATAGGAGGGTGGGATGGTTCAGGGTCAATTTTATGGATCCATATGTATCTAAGGATGTGTTTGTTTTTTGGGAACATTTTGTATAACAACCAGTTTCACTCTAGCTCCCTCCTTGATATTCTAAACAAGCTGGATATCTCCAAAGCTTAGGCCCTCTCCATACTTACAGCAGCTCTGACTGGAGATTAAATCACCCCTTATACTGCTGACAATGATTAGGCCATGGGACCCATGAAAGAGCCTCCCCAGAGTCCAGCATCCCCTGTGGGCTCCGTGTGTCATCAAGATGTCAATCCAACTGCTGTTCCTGCAGTCTGCAATCAGCAGGGCTATGTTTATTCAGCGGTCAGTGTCACATCAATTTCCTTCTGTTGCAACAAGTATAAATGGATTCTAAATATTTGCCTTTGGGAAATTTCTTTAGAGGGAAACTCACTAAAGCTAATTTTTTTAGCTTTTTGGTATGTTCTCTCTGAATCTGGGGATTTAGATATATAAATTAGCTTCTTTGGTCTTTTCTTGCCCAGGGTCACAACCTTGCCTCCAGGATAATACCTTCTAAGTGTTTGTGATTTGAAGGGCACTACGAAGATCCTCACAAAAACTACCTCCCAGCCGGGTCCCTGAAACTCCATCATTAACCACCTTCATCAGCATTTCTCTTTTAAAATCCTTATTCATTCCTGTTCTCCTTCTTTCTTTCTCACACACACACACACACACACACACACACACACACACACACACACACGGGGAGAGAGAGACAGAGAGAGAGAGAGATAGAGAAGTGAAGTATATAGTATCCTTTCTAGGGATGCTTTTCTTGGCTTGGCTCCAATAGAGAATTTTGTTGGGACCCTCTATATATAGTCGTGTACCAAATAATGACACTTTGGTTAACAATGGACCACATATGTGACAGCTGTCCCATAAGATTGTAATACCATATTTTTACTGTACCTTTTCTATGTTTAGATACACAAATACTTGCCATTATATTACAATTGCGCAGTATTTTGTACAGTAACATGCTGTGCAGGTTTGTAGCCTAGGAGCAATAGGCTATACCATATAGCCTAGGTATGTAGTAGGCTATGCCATCTAGGTTTGTGTAAGTACGCTCTATGATGTCCATACAACAAAAATGCCTAGTGATGCATTTCTCAGAACATATCCCCATTGTTAAGTGATACATGACTGTAGTCATCATCAAACATTTATTAAGCACTTAGGTCAGGCCAGGCTCTGTTCTAGGTGATGCAGATATAATATTAAATATAACACAGTCCTGCCCTTATAAATCTAATGGTGAAGGGAGAAATGTAAAGAAATATGATGGAAATATTACATTGTCATGTGATAAGGGCGACAATAATGCCCTACGTAGGTAGGGTCAACGAAGGGGAAGGAAGCTGGGACAAACCACCAGGGCCTGTTGGTCCAGAATGGGACCCAGGGTCTGTCTATGTTATAATCAATTCAAACCCTAGGTAAATAAGGTAAGCTAGGCTGCCTTTCTTGAGACAGTCCCCAGATTGTTTTCACAGGGCCCAAACACTCTCAGCAACCATGAACAGTGGATGTTGTGGGACCTCAGAAGATGGAATTGGAAATTCAGGGGACTAAGTCAGAGATTATTTGACATTTAATACTGGATATTGAGGCCGGGCGCAGTGGCTCACACCTGTGATCCCAGCACTTTGGGAGGCTGAGGCGGGTGGATTGCCTGAACCCAGGAGTTTGAGAACAGCCTGGGCAACATGGCAAAACCCCATCTCTACAAAAAAAATATAAAAATTAGCCGGGTGTGGTGGCATGCACTTGTAGTCTCAGCTACTTGGGAGGCTGAGGCACGAGAGTCACTTGAACCTGGAAGGTGGAGGTTGCAGTGAGCTGAGATCACACTACTGCACTCCAGCCTGGGTGACAGAATGAGACCCTGTCTCAAAAAAAAATTTAAAATACTGGGTATTGCAGGATGGCAAGTAGGATGTGGAGAGGAAGAGAATTCCAGGCAAAGGAAACAATGCGTGCATGCAAAAACAAAATACAAAAAACTGAATTGTGTAGTCTGGGTTAATAAGATGAGTGCATTTGATGGATGTGGTAGAATAAAGAGATGTTAGGAAATGAGATCAGAAATGTAGACTGGAATCAGATTTTGTAGGACCTTAAACATCCTGCTAAATAATTTGTAGTTTCATTTGTTGGCCATGGAGACCCACTAGAAGGTTAGTTGGTTTGTTTATATTTAGGAAAGAAGATTCTTTTAAGTTTCCTTAACTCTACTGAATTTTCAAAAATCAACCTACAGCAATCCAAACTTATCTGTGGAGATACATTCCAAGACCCTCAGTGGATGCCTGAAACCTCATTTAGTACTGACCTTTATATACATTATGTTCTTTCATAGGTGCACCTATGATAAAGTTTAATTTATAAATTAGGCACAATACTCTTGTGCTTTGGGGCCAGTATTAAGTAAAATAAGGGTACTTGAATACAAGCCCTTTGATACCAAAACAGCCAGTCGGATACCAAGACACTTTCTAAGTGAACTAACAGGTGAGTAGTGTAGACGGCATGGATAGGTCGGACAGAGGGATGATTCACGTACTGGGCAGGATAAAGCGGGATGGCTCGAGATTTCATCACATTACTCAGAACAGCTTGCAATTTAAAACTTATGAATTGTTTATTTTTGAAATTTTTCATTTAATATTTTCAGACTAAGGTTGACTGTGGGTAACTGAAGCCTCAGAAATCAAACCTCAAATAAGGGGCGATCACTGTACTGAATAATATGTCAAGATGAGCTATGAGCTTTTAACTTAGTGTTTTTCTTCTCCCAAACCAAATATTGGAAACTTTGGAGTGTTTAGAAAAGGAGAATCGAAAAGGGAAGTAAATGCAGCATTTTTTTTAATTGTTAAATAAAGGGCTGGGCTTGGAAATGTTCTTAGGTAATCCTGGTGGATTTGGTATATCATGTCTGAGAAAATGTGGAGAGTGAAGGGCAGGTTTAAAATTTGTCTCATGTTAGTTTCTGAAGGGAGATAGCCTGGCATTGCACAGTGCCTCACATTTCTATCGTATCACTTAATAATTGTGCAACCTGTGCTTCAGATTTATCAATGTATAAAAGAGGAGAGACCATAGGCTGTTGTAAGTATTAAATGACATAATGCACGCAAAATGCTTAGAACCATGCTTAGTTCATGGTAGCCACTCAAAAATGTCGTCAGAACTATTACTACTCAGTTTAATGCTCCTAGCACTTAACACAGTGCTTGGCACACAGTAAAGAGGATTCAAGATGTTTTTGCTAGATTACATGGAATGGTATGGAAGTGTGCAGGGTGGTGTAGAGGGTTCTCCCATTATCTTGCCTTCCTTATACTGCAATGTGCTGACAGCACCTCCATTTTATACCCTCAATGCAAGGATATCACTACTTGTCTAGAAATGGTTGCTCAAGGCTGAGAAGTGACAGCAACACAGAGCCTGGGATTGCTGCCAAATTTCAAGAAGCACAGATTGTAACAAAGTAAGGGGGGAGGGTAGAGAAGAAAAGTTTGAAAACCCAACCAAAGTCAGAAGCCATTTTGTTGTCGGCTGAAATAATGCCTCATAGAGTTTCAGGTGGGGCAGGCAGTGTGAAAACTTTGGGAATAGTCAGTGTCAAGTTGTGGTGCTAAGGGAGGAACCCAGTAGTGCTCAGGCCTGGGCAAGTCTGGCTTCTTGGGGCCCAGCATTTAGAAAGGCCCTGTGTGTTTTGATATTATGCTGTCACTATCTTGAAGTTCTTGATAATTTGTTAACAAGGGCCGCCTCCCCCCATTTTCATTTGGCAAATTTCACTGGTTCCTGCAAATTATGTAGTTAATCCTGGGTGCAGGCTAGTTTTTGAACCATGTTGGGCTAGTATTCTTCTGAACCTCTATCTCTTTGATTTAATTACAGAAGAAACAAAAGTCATAACAAATTATATCTGTGCAGGACTAAAATAAAATGAGTAGTGCCTCACTCCCTACATCCAATCATGCTTTCCAAAAGTAACCACTACCAATAATTTAGCGTGCATCTTCAGAATTCTTTATATGCCTACATTTTAATGTATTTTTAAATAAAATAGAATTACATTGTTGAAGTAAATATTAAAAAATATAGCATTTTTGCATAGAAATATTTATTTCCCTCAATCCCACTCCCCTTTGGTGAAGCAACCACTGTTAACAATTTTGTGTGTATCCTCCAATATTTTTTTGAAATTAATGAACTTTACTTTTTAGAGCAGTTTTAGGTTCACAGGAAAGTTGAGTAGAAAGTGCAGAGTTCTCATGCACTCCTGCTCTCCCACATACACAATGCCCCCACACCCCCGCCACAGTGACATCCTGCCCAGAGTGGTACATTCATGACAATTGATGAAACTATATTGACATCATTATTGAAACTATCATTACCACCCAACTTCCATGTTTACTTTAGGGTTCACTCTTCCAAATATTTCTTGCATCACTTAACAATGGGGATACACTGAGAAATGTGTCTTTAGGCAGTTTTTTCGTTGTACAAATATCATAGAATGTACTTACATAAACCTAGATGATATAGCATACTACACACTTAGGCTCTATCGTATGGCCTATTTCTCCTAGGCTACAAACCTGTATATCATGTTACTATACTGAATACTGTAGGCAATTTTTACACAATGATAAGTATTTGTGTATCTCAACATACCTAAACGCAGAAAAAGTACAATAAAAATACATTATTATAATCTTACAGGACAACTGTCATATGTGTGGTCCGTTGTTGACTGAAACATGATTATGGGGCGCATGACTATATAGAGATTTTCAAAAAGCAAAATGGGATAATGCAATATGTATTATTATACAGCTTGTGTGTGTGTGTGTGTGTGTGTGTGTGTATGTTAACAAACACCTTTCTACGTCAGTACATATAGATTTGCCACAATCTTCTTGAGTAAGGATATAGCACTATGTTGTATACCTATATTATAATTTATCCAATTTGCTGTTGGTATCTATGTTTTCTAAACAATACAATATACATTCTTATACATATTTCTTATGCATGCTTGCTAGTATTTATACAGGATAAATTTCAAGAAGTAGAATTACAGAATCATAGGATATAAAAATATCAAATTGGCAAATTGGCATTCACGTACCTGTGGTTGGACTGCACTTGTTACATACTTCCCTCTGAGCCTTCCATCCCCACCTCGAGCTAGTGCTATATGTCACTTAACTCAGTGACATCATCATCAACAGACTTAGCCTCTGCAGTTGAAAATGCTAGAGCAAACAGAGGAGAAAATTTACTTGTGAATCATAATAGCTAACCTGTACTGAACAGTTAAGCCATGTGCCAAGTATTATTCTAAGCACTTTACAAGTATTAACTCCTTTAATCTGTATAACCACACCCAGAAATTTGTGCATTATTATACTCATTTTACTGCTAAGAAAACTGACACCCATAGGATTAAATCAGATCACACATTTAGTAAGGGCACCAGGATCTGAAGCAGGATTGTTTGACTTCTGAGTCTGTGCTCTTAACCACTGCACACACCGTCTCTAGAAAGTTTAATGCCATCTTTATGCCAAAGTTTATCTACCTGGTTTATCCTTTAACACTATTATTGTATTTATTCATTTACTTGTCTTTTCCTCCCACTGTGCTGTAACTCTTTGAGAACAGGGTACTTGTCCTAATATTATTCATATTTATATCCCTAATTCCTAATTTAATGTCTAATTTATTGTAAATAAGTTTTTTTTTTTTGAGACAGAGTTTTGCTCTTGTTGCCCAGGCTGGAGTGCAATGGCACAATCTCAGCTCACTGCAACCTCTGCCTCCTGGGTTCAAGTGATTCTCCTGCCTCAGCCTCCCAAGTAGCTGGGATTACAAGCTTGCACCACCACGCTAGGCTAATTTTGTATTTTTAGAAGAGACACAGTTTCACTATGTTGGTCAGGCTGGTCTGGAACCCCTGACCTCAGGTGATCTGCCTGCCTTGGCCTCCCAAAGTGCTGGATTACTGGTGTGAGCCACATGCCTGGCCTTGTAAATAATAAGTTTAGTTGAATAAATAACAATGCCTCCGGGAGGTAGCTATTATATCCATTTTACAGATGAAGAAACTGTAAGTCAATGTTAATCAAATAGTATCCTAGAAAATAGTAGAAAGCAGAATGCTGGAGCTGAGATTTGAACCCAAGACTTTTGATACTTCGTCCAGTGTGCTTTCCACCATGCCTAAGTAGTCTCCTTCACTTCCTCCTTCAGAGGGCTATGGAGAGTAACCTAGCAACCATTTCTAAGCTGGAAAATGTCACAGCCGGAAGTCTTCAGTCCCCTAGAAGGAAAAGAGCCTGATGGGGAGAGGGTCCTTGGAAAAGAGAATTTCTGGAAGTACTACATTTGAGAATAGGTGGTTAAAGTGGGAGTTGGATTAGTAAAGGAATACTGCATAGTAGTAATACCCATTCTTTATTTCAGAATTTCTTCATGACAGACATTGATCTGTGTGATTTATAAGCCTTGTCTCTTTTTAATGTTCACAATCCCATTAGATGGTTATTGTTATCTTTGTTTTGCATATGAAAGAATGGGAGCTAAGAGGCCAAGTACCTTGCCTCTTATTCGTTCAACGAATAAGTGGTGAAGCAGATTCCAACTCAAGTCTATGTTACCCAAGAACCTACATTTTAAGCATTTTGTTACCCCCTGGATATGACAGCCAATGAAGAGGGGGTATTTTGAGAAGAGACTATAAAGGGAAATTGCCTTCCCTACATCCTGGGGGACCTTATCAACCAGGAAACAAGGTAGAGAAAACTGTGCAGCCTGAGCCCTGCTGGGTTGCGGGGGGCTCACAGAAAGAAGAAATGTGATTTTTTTTTAGCTAACTACGGAGACCAGCCATTCCAATGTTTGAATCTGGGTTCGCAGCACATGATGTCTTTATACTCTTAACCTAGAAATGGCAGAGTTATTTTGGGCACAAAGCAAGAGCTGTGGCTTTAAAAATATGCCAAGTGTATTTATCTCTTCCGCTCCAAGATTACTGAAAATTAGCCCAGCTGTAGCTTGGGACACCAAACAGCCAAAAAATCTTCTTCCAGCTCAACTCATTCCACCCAAAGAGGGTGAAATACCCAGGAGTAGCAGCTCTAGCGGCCTCTGGGTAGTGGTATTAGATTGGCCTCCCCATTGCTAAGCCTGACATCCAATCACACACACACCACTCTCCCAGCTGCTCTGTAGATCACAATGCTAGGCCTGTGAATGGAGCTCAACTCCGTCTCTTCCCTCATCCCCAAGGCTTCACAAGAAGTAAACAAAACAAACAAAAACTATTTGATTATTGAGCCAAGGAGTCAATGTGAGAATAGTTTTTCACCTTCATTATCAAATGCCTGTGTGGAGCTGAATGTGGTGGCTGACACCTGTGATCCTAGCACTTTGGGGAGGCAGAGGTGGGAATATTGCTTGAGGCCAGGAGTTCAAGACCAGCTTGGGCAACACAGCAAGGCCCTATCTCTCTCTCTGTCTCTCTCTGTCTCTCTCTCTCTCTCTCTCTCTCTCTCTCTCTCTATATATATATATATATATATATATATTTTTTTTTTTTTTTTTTTTTTTGAGACAGAGTTTTGCTCTTGTTGCCCAAGCTGGAGTGCAATGGTAAGATCTCGGCTCACTGCAACCTCCTTCTCCAGGGTTCAAGTGATTCTCATGCCTCAAACTCCCGAGTAGCTGGGATTACAGGTGCCTGCCACCATGCCCAGCTAATTTTTGTATTTTTAGTAGAGACAGGGTTTCACCATGTTGGGCAGGCTGGTCTCGAACTCCTGACCTCAGGTGATCCACCTGCCTCTGCCTCCCAAAGTGCTGGGATTACAGGCATGAGCCACTGTGCCTGGCCCCTATCTCTGTATATTAAAAAAAAAAAATCTTAGCCAGGCATAGTGGCGCACACCTGTATTCCTAGCTACTCAGAAGGCTGAGGTGGGAGGATCACTTGAGTCCAGGAGATCCAGTCTGGCAGTCAGCCATGACCTCACCATTGTACTCCAACCTGGGCAACAGATATAGACGCTGTCTCTAAAAAAAAAAATCCTGTGTGATTTAGGACAAATTATCTTGCTGTAATTTAAGCCTTCATATTCCTTTTTTATAAAATAAATATGCTTTAAATATGTATTTAGATATACACTTATAATAATAGCTTTAATTAATTGTAATTAAATCATTTAAAATTAAATACATGCAAAATACCCCATAAACTGTCTAATCCATAATAAGCAATCAATAGTCCTTAAACAAATGAATCTTCTGTTGCTCTGATCTTAATAAGTAAAATTTAACGAGTTTTTACTTTGCACCATGCACTTATGCTATGTGCTGTATAAGGATAGTTACATTTAATCTATAAATCAACCCTATGGGGCGGGCACTCTTATGAACTTTTTTTACGGATGAAAACTGAGGCCCAGAGATATGAAATAATTTGCCAAACATCACCATAATTTACATGATGTAGCCAGGTTTAAGCCTACTATTCTGATTACAGAGCCTAAGATCCTACAGAGAACAGGGAGTATATTTTTACATTCCCTTGTTTCCATGGAAAAGTCTTTCCACTGTCAATTGAAGGACTAAGCAGCAGCGGGGAAGTGCTGGAAATGCTAGCCCAGGTGGGCTTAGCTTTCTCCCTCTCTCTCTGATCCTGGACAGGATTTGGGTTTCAGACCACGATTCTCCTGTGTTTTGTGGGCTGTGATTACTCAGATTAGGTTTGCCCAATTCATAAAGGACTGGCGGGGGTTGGGGGTGAAGGTGTGGGAGAAGGCGGAGCTTGTCCAGTCGGTCCAACAAACCCCACAGATGGCGAAATAGGGGGCGGGGAAGGAGCTTGAGATATTTTACAACCTGGGCTGTTTCAGTGGTTGATGGCGGATGGTTTTTGCCTTTTGGTCAGCCTGAGTATATACTATCATTCTACAATCGGCCAAATTCTGACAGAGAGGGAGACAGAGAGAGAGGTTGATTAAATTGATGCCCAAAACCAAGAAGGAGCAAAGAAATCGGGGCTGTTTGAAAAAGACTGCAGTGGCTGACTTGGGTGGTGAGCGGAAATAAGGAGGAGGGAGAGGCGGGGTGTCTCTGCGCGGAAAGCCTGGAAGTTCACTTGCAAACACAGAATCTGCACAGCCTTCGGTGCCCTGACTCTTTCCTGGGCATCCAGAGGCAGCAGCAGCCGCCAGCGCCAAAGAACGAGCAGTCCAGGGGCTGGGCCGGAAACGGCTATAATCATTTAATAGCCTTTGCCGGCTGCACTGACTTAGCAGAGTGGGCGGTAGGCAGGCTCCAGAGTGCTGTCTGGCAAGATAGTCCCCGGCTTTAATCAAAATGATGGGTTTTCTGGAAGCTCTTTATTAACCTCAGCACTGAAATCCCAGAGCTGGTAACAAAGGGATGAATGGGGAGCAAAGGGGCGGGGCCGAAACCTGGAGGCCGGGCTGCATCCGCACCCCTTCCCCCACCTCCACTCCTTTCAACTCATTCTGGCTTAGGGCTCCTGCTGGCATCTCTGTGCCTCCCAAATAGTAGTAACAAAACAGGCAATAACCATAATAATTGGCACATTTGTATAACGCTTTAGCATTTTCAAAGGATGACCTTGTTATACAGCTCAGGATCTGAGTCTCCTAGCTGGAGTCAGACTCCCTAGATTTGAGTCCCAGGATCCACCAGTTAGTGACCATGTGACCATTAGTCCTTAGTCCCCTCATCTATAAAACAGACACATAACACAGACAGAGATACTAGAAATGTCTACTTCATAGGGCTCTTGTCAGGACCAAAACCTATACGACGTGCAGATTTGTTTAACTCTGTTGCACACACATAGGAAGGGCACAGTAAATGTTAACTACATCGACAACCCTGTGATGTAGACAGGAAGGGGATCATCTCCATTTTATGGATGAGGAAACTGAGGCTCAGAGATATTTATGTAAATGGCCCAGGACTATGCACTAGTGAGAGAACCAGGGCAAGTCCTCAAGAACAGAAAGAGAACAAAGCAAGATGAAGAGAAGATCAGAAAAGTGAACACCCTCCAACACCCTCCAGCACATGCCCCTCTGAGAGCTTTCCTGAAAATAGTATCCTTGGTCAAAATGAGTTTATGTTCTATTAGGGAAAGTCAGTGTAAATCAGAAAAGCCCTCCTGGCCTTAACAGAACAGTTCCAAATGCAGATGAGGGTGAGTTTAACAGGCCTGGCATTTGCTTCACAATCTTCTGGCCCTTTCCTGGCATTTGCCTTGGCAAAGACTCTGACCTGATCAATCCTAGTCCCTGAGGCTCAACTCCATCAACTCAGGCAGCCAGGGTTAGTTTAGCATGAAAGAGGAAAGCTGGAAATTTTGCCAAAAAGATTCCTGGGCAGTGCCTAAGGGAAGTGCCCAAATTGGATTATAGGATTACATGAAGTGGCCAGCTACTTCCAGAGGGCAGGGTTTTTTGTTTGTTTGCTCTGTCACCCAGGCTGGAGTGCAGTGGTGCAATCTCAGCTCACTGAAACCTCCGCCTCCCGGGTTCGAGTGATTCTTATGCCTCAGCCTCCCAAGTAGATGAAATTACAGGCGTGCACCACCACAGTCTCGCTAATTTTTATAGTTTTAGTAGAGATGGGGTTTCACCATGTTCCCTAGGCTGGTCTTGAACTCCTGGCTTCAAGTGATCCACCTGCCTCAGACTCCCAAAGTGCTGGGATTTTAGATGTGAGCCACCATTCCCGGCCCCAGAGGGCAGTTTTTAAAGTAGAAGTGAAGATCTGTATGCATTTATTAAAATATATGTTGTTCTGATTTTAAAATATATCCCTACCAATTGTGAAGATATCGGCTAATCCAATAAAAAAGCAAAACCATATTTTGTATAATTATGGTCGTATTCTGTTAAATAAACTTTTAAATCCTATTGGGTTGTAATCTGTAGTCTGGGAAGGGCTCTGCCTAACGATTCAGACCCCTACCAGATTTATATGTGTCTGAAATCCTCCTTCTAGCCTCTTAACAGGCCCATTCATTTGGGTCTTGACTGCATCCTCAGTCTTGTCTTTGCCTGAGGGTGAGCTAGGACCCTGGGAGCATAAGGGAGGGGACTTGCCGGAGATCCTAGAAGGGAAAGGAGGCAGCACTGAAAGAAGAAACATTTCCTTGATTGATCATTTGCTGATACTGGCCCCTGGTTGGGGTTAGGGGTAGAAATGTGCTTCTTCCGTTTTCATCTTCTTCAAAAGGGAGTATCTCCATGATTCTGCCCCAAAGGCATGACATTTTATAGGCAAAGCCAGCCAAGTGTCTTGAGTGCTCTTAACCAAAAGGAATTCAGATTAGGAGGTCAGTCAGTGTTTGTCAGATCCTTAAGCTTTTGTTTTACTGGAATGAGTCACAGTCTACATGCTGCTGAGCTCTCAGAGATGTTTGTTTTATACAACAACCAGAACAGGTGAGGCACAGTGGTCTGTGAGGGACTGGAGAGACCACACCTTGTTCTGCTCTGCGGAAGCTGGACATGTGGAGGAGGCACCTGACTAGATCTCTGCCTCCTGGAGTTTAGGCTGAGTCATATAGAACCAGGAAGCTCAGTGACATGTTAAAGTGGATTAACTCTTGGCAGTCCTGCTGTGAGGGGCTCCCTCTGCCAATACACACAGCCATTAATGTCCTTTAACTGTGCAAGATGAACATATCTCTGTGTTCTGCATCTCCAGATGACAGTGCTTAGGCCTCATGCAGAGTCCTGGTTATGGTTGAAGAAAAATTTCCATTTTGGGCTCTGAGGGCAACTAAAGGACTGTGGAGTGGTGCTGAAACCCAGTTTTAGGTGCCGAATCAGAGGTTTTTAAATACATTTCTCTCTTTTGTCTCAGTCTCTTAGAGACAGGACCTGTATTTTAAAGGTAAACAGGCAGATTCTGGCTGAGCTCAATTGCAGATTTGATTAACTTAGATAGATCAAAGTCATTAGTCTCAGAGAAAAAATTTGTTTCTCATCCCTAAAGTGCTATTGTGTCAGCTCTGCCAGGGTGTAAGGAAAAGGGTTTGGAAGAGAGAAGAAAATTTCTTACCCTCTCTCGTCACTGCCTGCTGTAAATTTGCAGTATCATTATCTTGGTCTCCTAAGCCCTGAGAGCTGCATTATATATAATTGCCCATATGTGATACCATTTACTGAATTCTTGCATTGTGCTAAGGATCAAGCTTAGTACTTTACATGCATTACATCATTGTCTTTAGGGACCCCAAAAGTGCCTCATTGGAGAGTTGTTTGGTCTGCTAAAGAGTGGGTACCACTTTCACTTCTCACATCAGTCCTTTCATTCATTCATCCAGCAAGTATTTACTAAACACCTGTTATGGGCCAGGAATTGTGCTAGGCACTGGTGATACATTGGTGAATAAACAGATACATTTTTTGCCTTTGTGAATCTTACAGTGGTAGAGAATAATAGGCCAAGGGGGTGCTGCTTGGCTAGGAATGTCATAGAATGCCTTTCCAAGGAGGTTACATTTAATACAGACTTGAAGAGTGAGGAGTCATGCTAAGAATGGATGAGAGGCTCACGCCTGTAATCCCAGCACTTTGGGAGGCCGAGACGGGCGGATCATGAGGTCAGGAGATCGAGACCATCCTGGCTAACACGGTGAAACCCCGTCTCTACTAAAAATACAAAAATTAGCCGGGCATGGTGGCGCGTGCCTGTAGTCCCAGCTACACAGGAGGCTGAGGCAGGAGAATGGCGTGAACCCGGGAGGCGGAGCTTGCAGTGAGTCGAGATCGCGCCACTGCACTCCAGCCTGGGCGACAGAGCGAAACTCCGTCTCAAAAAAAAAAAAAAAAAAAAAAAAAAAAAAGAATGGATGAGAAATCATTCAAGACAAAAGCAAACCAGATGTGTAAAGATCCTGAGGCAAAAACAACTCCAAGGAGCCAGGTATGGTGGCCTGTAGTCCCAGCCACTTGGGAGGCTGAGACAGGAGGGTCGATTGAGTCCAGGAGTTTGAGGTTACATCAAGCAATGATTGCACCACTGCACTTCAGCCTGGTTGACAGAGTGAGAACCTATCTCTAACAAACAACAATAAAAAAACAATTCCAAAGAGTGTTTGAGGATCTGAAAGAAGGCCTGTATGGTTGGAGTATAATAGTAAGAGGGAGATTTGTAGATGAGAGTGGAGAAGAAATAAAAATCAGATTATTGAAGGGACTTATGTATCATGGTAAGGAGTTTTTTTTTTTTTTCTCAAGGCAGTAGAAAGCTTAAGCAGAGGAGTGATATAATCTGATTTATATTTTTAAAAGAGTTTGCTATATGTATGTTATGCCTCATTTTTTTTTAAATTTTTTATTTTTAGATGGAGTCTTGCTCTGTTGCCCAGGCTGGACTGCAGTGGCACGATCTCAGCTCACTGCAAGCTCCACTTCCCGGGTTCATGCCATTCTCCTGCCTCAGCCTCCTGAGTAGCTGGGACTATAGGCGCCCACCACCACGCCCGGCTAAGTTTTTTCTATTTTTTAGTAGAGACGCGGTTTCACTGTGTTAGCCAGGATGGTCTCAATCTCCTGACCTCGAGATCTGCCTGTCTCGGCCTCCCAAAGTGCTGGGATTACATGTGTGAGCCACCGCGCCTGGCTGTTATACATCAGTTTTTAAAGAGAGACATTAAGAAATAAAGATGACTCTGGCTACTGTGTGGAGGGTTGGAGAGAAGCAAAAGTGGAAGCAGACTGAATAAGGAGACTATTGCTGCAATTCATATAAGAGATGATGGTGTCCTGAAAGAGTGGTGGCAGTGAAAATTGGGAGAAGAGGACAGAGTCAAGATATATTTAGGAGGCAGAAATGACAGGTCTTGATGATGTATTATAAATGGAGAATGAAGAATAGAATAGAGAAAAATGAATAATTAGCTTTGAACTTTCTGGCTTGAGAAATGGGGTAAATGGGGTGTAATTTACTGAAACTGGAAAGATTTAGAAAGGAATAGATTCGAGGAATCAAGAGTTTGATTTCAGATTTCTTCAGTTTGGGATGCCCATGAGATTTCCAACTGGGGATACCAGATAGGCAGTTATACATGAGATTGGAGCACAGAGAGATGTGGGCTTAAAATATAAGTCTGCATCTCATCAGCTTATTCATATGGTATTTATATCTATGGATATGGCTGAGATCCCAAAAGGAGAGAGTGAAGAGAAAATAGAGAAGAGAGTCTAGGGCCAAACCCAAGGAAGCTTCAACACACAGATGAGGAGACTGACAAAGGAAACTGTCAAAGAACAGTCAGAGAGAAAGGTCAGGAGAATGTTTTGATGGTGGGGGCCAGAATATGCTGTCCCAAAATAAGAAGGATTGTTGAGCTGAAGGCAAGTTAAAAGAAGCAGATACAGGCTGGGTGCAGTGGGCTCATGCCTGTAATCTTAGCATTTTGGGAGGCTAAAGTGGACAGATTGCCTGAGCTCAGGAGTTCGAGACCAGCCTGGGCAACATGATGGAACACCATCTCTACTAAAATACAAAAAAAAAAAAAAAAAAAAAAATTAGCCAGGCATGGTGGCATGTGCCTGTAGTCCCAGCTACTCAGGAGGCTGAGGCACGAGAATTACTTGGACCTAGGAGGCAGAGACTGCAGTGAGCTGATATCTCGCCACTGCACTCCAGCTTGGGCAACAGAGCAAGGCTCTATCTCAAATTTAAAAAATAATAATCATGATAATAATAAAAGAAGCAGATATAGGAGAGGTCTTCTGCCCTCCCTGTATTTGCCTAAAAAACCATAAATTTACAAAGACAAAAGTTATCCTACTTCCACCTCCCTCCTCTGCCTCCCACCACCAGGGAGAACAAAGGTTAACCACTGAAGATAACTTTGGACTCTTATTGGCCTGGAAATGGTACTGCTTTACAAATTAGCCTTTATCTGCCATTCATTTGCCTTCCCCCAAGTAGCTACCCATTAGAGACTCAAAGTCCTTAAAGGTCTTTTCCTTTGTCTTACACTTCTTTAAAAATTTATTGTTCTTTGTTGAAGATGCTATATAAGCTGGAATTCTAAGCCACCTTTTTGAGAACTGCTCATTCTCTGGGTGTCTGTCATGTATATATGAAATGTACATGTTAATAAACTTCTGTTTCCTTTTTTTTCTTGTTAATCTGCCTTTTGTAACAGGGGTCCAGTCCATCTAAGAACTTATTGGGGTTATTCTACATGACAAAGAACTCATGAGAATAAGTGTTTCAAGAAGGGGATGACAAATGCTGCTGAGAGGTTTGATAAGATGAGGACTAAAATGTGACCATTGATTGTGGAAGTAATATAATGAACTTGACATGAGTTATGTTAGAAAATTACTGCTCAGGGACACCAAATTAGAGGAGACTGAGAAGTAATAGGAAATTGAAATAGCAGTTGTACCCAACCCTAAACTGTAATTGAACATAAACAGTTTATTTGATGGAGCTTTTCACGTGTCAACCAAAGGAGCAGTGTTAGATACATAAACATTGCTATGATGTCAGAGTTCCAATGTCATGGCCACTGGGATCACTTTGCCCAGACAGACCATTACCCTTCCTCTCCAGCTCTGACTTCTACTCTTCTAGAAGTCACTGGTATACTTTATGGTGTGTCTTCCAATCAGACTCTTGGGAATGTCTTTTATTGAAAACTCCTGTGGATGCATAATCATTTTCCCAAGACTCAGGGCAGATTTCACCTCCTCTGGAACCCCATTAACTTTCTCAAGTATAATTAACAATTTCTTCTTCTGGAGTCCCACAATACTTTACATATACTTTAGTTATTGCATGTATTAAGTTGGTTTCTAGTTGCTTGAGTGTATGTCCAACTAGACTGTGAGCACACTGAGGGAAGGAATTTGGCTTGGAAAGTAAAATTGGCTCCCAGTGTTTTATCTAAACAAATAGGCTCAATTTACAACAGGATTCCATCCTCTTACGCTGTGTATTCCCATCTCTTCCATGCTGCATCCCACCACCCTTCAATGTTATTACAATAAAATTAAGATCAAATAATTTATTCAGCTAATTTTTCTTGTTTTGGACAAAATAGACATCCTAATACATTTATAGCCAAAGTTTAATCTAGACACTAAAAGGAGCATATTTTGCCTTTAGGCTCTGTATTTCCCATCCCGTTCCCAGTCAAGATAATCACAACTGTATTCTTTAGGAAATTCTTCACAAAGAACCAAACATATGTTACTATGAAACTAGATTCTTGGTATCCTGGTGAAAAAACCTGCCCTCTTGCTTGTCTGTAAATACTGGCCTTGGCTGGGTGTGGTAGCTCATGTCTATGATTCCAACACTTTGGGAGGCCAAGGTGGGAGGATCTCTTGAGCTTCAGTGTTTGAGACCAGCCTGGGCAACATAGTGAGATCCCATTTCTATAAAATTTTTTTTAAAAAGCTAGCCTGGCATGGGAGCTTGTGCCTGTAGTTCCAGCTACTTGGGAGGCTAAGATGGGAGGATTGATTGAGCACAGGAGGTCGAGGCTGCAGTGACTGCATTTCAGCCTGGGTGACAGAGGGAAATCCTGTCTCAAAAAAATTAAACAAATAAATAAATAAGTAAACACTTGCCTTGCCCTCAGACTTGAACAAACAACTCGTGATTTTTCTGGGGAGGTTCAGCCTGCCTATGCAGTACTCCTGTACTCTACCAGCAGTGTGGCATCAAGAGCATGTGTTGACCCTGTTAATGATTTGTAATGTTTTGTCTTTCAGAACCAGAGGCAGGAGAAGTGTCCCCTCCAGTCGGTGCGGGTGTCAACAGCAACAGCTGGACCTTTAAATACGGACCAGGCAACCCCAAACAATCCGGTCCCGGTGAGTTGCCCGACAAATTCATTATCCCAGGATCTCCTGCAATCATCTCCATCCGGCAGGAGCCTACTAACAGCCAAATTGACAAAAGTGACTTCATAACCTTCGGCAAAAAGGAGGAGACCAAGAAAAAGAAGAAAAAGAAGAAGGGTAACAAGACCCAGGAGAAAAAAGAGAAAGGGAACAGCACGACTGACAACAGTGACCAGTGAGGTCCTCAAATGGAAACAAGCCACTTAGCCAGTTTTTGTAATAATGGCAAATCTCTCCCATGTAGCAATTCCCTGCTCCTTTTTCCTATCTACATGAGCCCTCTTAGAGACCTCAGAAATCTGCAGAAAGTTCCCTGTGTCTGTCTAGAACGCATTTAACAGGTTTTGTCGTAAAAGCTTTACTAAGTCTGGTGTTAACTCTTTCTCTCCACTCTGGCTTGTTTTCAGAACCTAAAAAGCAGACCCAAGTTTCCTTTCTCCTCCGCCGCAAAGGAGAGGCTTCCCAGCCCCGCCAGTGAGAGGTTGGACTCTCTGCCCTGTGCTCCGGGGATCCTGTCTTGATGACACTTGCAGGGCAGGCTGAAAAGTTTTGAGATTGAGCAGCTTGGGAGTTTGTGGCCACTGGGTATGTGTGGCTACCGCGGGTATGCGAGTGCCAGATATTGGCTGAGACGAGCCAGCTTAGACTAATTGGTACAAGGAAGGCAAGAAAACAAAGACAAATAAACAGCGGAAGTTATCAGTATGGAGGGGAAGTGTAAACTTAAAGGGACCAGACTTTCTAAATCTTACAACTCAAGAGGTGGCAGCCACCCTCTAGGAGACAAAACTACCCCCACTGACAAGGCTTTAGGAGACCCTAAAGTCTGTTGGCTGTGACGTCATTATACCTAAAATCTGCATCATACCTGCAAGCCAACAGTTCAGTGTTTTAACAGAGAACCACCCTGGGAAACAGAAGCAGATCTGATGTGTTTCCTATACATGTCCTGTGCTCACTTTATTAAAAATTCTTTTGCACACAATGTTTATGAAAAGGCCAGATCCTTTTCCAATACTTATGCAAAAGCAAAAGAAAACCCCGACACCTCACCTTTCGCTGTTTGTTGTTTCATAGATTTATTTAAAAAAAGAGAAAGTCTATAGCTATAAATCTTTAAAGAGAAATATGAATACAATTCCCCTAAACTCTCCTCAAAAGAGAATTCAGTCTACAGCCATTTAAATGATCATTGCTGCTACAGAAGTGCTTTAAGAGAATTGCCTGAAACATCTGTATTATATCGGCCACCTGCCAATCACAGCTTTACTCTTTCAGGTCACTCTGGGGCTGCCTCTTGCATGTATTACTAAATAAAATGATCTCTCTTTCTCTCTCTCTCTCTCTTTTCTAAGAAACAATTATGTGCACTTTGATACACAACCTTCTCTAACCAACTATATATCAAGACCCAAAAATTGAAGAAAAATATTGTTTTCTCATACAGTGAGCAGATTTTTCAATCTACTAATTCTGTGACTTGTCTTGGTGTGCTAGCCTACACCTTCTCTTTGGTTTAGTTTTCCTTTTCTATAACACTCTGAATTGCTAATCTTACTAACACCTATGATGTTACCTGAAATCAATCTCCCATATGTATGCTGTATGCTATGCTAAGACTCCTGAAATATACTTACTCTGTGCTTGTGTATGTGAATGTTAATGCAACTATTACCTAGAGTGAACTTTAAGCTTTATTGTTGAATGTAATTCCATTATATTTCCTTTTGTACACCTGTGAAAAAGTGGAGTAGTGTTTTTTTAACCATTGTTAATCAGCTTTTGTGTATGAAAGACACAGTAAAATTTCTTTCTTAAATCAAGATACTGGTGATTCAAGGAATTTTATTTATGGTCCAGCCAAGAGCCATCTCGTGCCAAGACTTCTGCTGGCAAGGGAATGGATAAAGCTGTTTTGTTCTAGTAACAATTTTGGAATGAATACTGACAATATTCCATGAGGGTGTGCAAGCACAAATTTTACCAATCTGACCTCTTTGAAGTTGCAGAATGCTTTGAAATTCTAATGGTATCTGAAATATCAGCTCATAGAAAGTAACAAAATTTGCTGTCACCTTAAATAAGACATTTTAATTTTGTTATAATGTACAATTTAGAAGTTTGATTAATTATATTATCTATTTAGGCATTAATATAAAAGAGGTAGGAGTCTGTTATTTAAAAAAAGCATTAAATTTAAAAAAAAACTGTCTTGTCTACTTTTAGCTTCATTCTCCCATATTTTGAAGGGTGTGTAACTTCAGCTCTGCAGGATTGCATGGGGTAAAACTTGTTACCAACACATGTGAACCATTGCTACATTGTAGGTTGTGATCATTTTGCCCCACTGAAGCCCATGTATCTGACCTTACGTGCCTTTTGAACTAGGAGAATCGGGCTAATTTATTAATGATGATAATTATAATGTATCTGTACAGCACTTTTTACATTTGCGAAGTGCTTTCCAATCCATGTTAGTTACTAGTTATTACAGCTGTAAGGATAAAACACGTCATGTGGATTCATTTTGAATTGGTGCTATTGGTATTTCCTCTGTTATTGCTAATAAATGAAAATGGTGGTATGAAAGAAATGGTGGTCATTTCTAAGAATAGGAGGAAATAGAACACTGATAAGCAATTAATACTGAAGAAGATTGCTGCAGTATGAAACTCACTGTAACACTCTCTTATCACGTTAGCTTTTATGTCCATTACTAAGGCAAAAGCCCCAGTGGAATCAAGATTCAAACTTCATATCATTAGAATGGGCAGCCAGGAGGTTGCTGCGTCACTTTGTAGTTACACTATTTCAGTTTTCTCTAATAAGAATTGCAACAAACCCATTTTTATCACAAGAGCCCTTCTAGGCATCTTTTTCATTACTTGTTTAGCCCTTGCACCTCTCTACAATTGGAAAGCCAAGTGACACCCCAAAGAAATGAACTTTTAGGTCAGGGATAGTGGCTCTTGCCTGTAATCTCAGAACTTTGGAAGGCCAAGGCCAGAGGATGGCTTGAGGCCAGGAGTTCAAGATCAGCCTGGGCAGCATAGCGAGATCCCATCTGTACAAAAAGAAATAACTTTTATTGAGTACAGGGTGTATGCCAGCCACACTACTGCATAGGTTCAGCTGTGACAAATAGATTGTTTTGTCCTTTTGTAGTTAAATTTGTATAAATATAAGCTTTAGATGCTGTAGGTTCTCAGTTAGGAGCAATTTTGCCCTCCTGGGGACATTTGGCAACGTCTGAAGTCATTGTTGCTTTTCATTACTTGAAGTGGAGGGTGCTATTGGCATCTACTGGGTAGGGGGCAACGATGCTGTGAAACACCTGGCAATGCACAGGACAGCCCCCTATAACAAAGGATCTTACAGCCCAACATGTCAATGTCTCAAATCAAGATTGAGAAACCTTGAGATAGAGTGACCATATAATTTGTGTAGTCCACTTTTGAAATGGAACAGGAGACACCATTCGTTATTACTTCAGGATTCAAGATGTAAACTGGGACTGTCCCAGGCTAACTGGGATTTATAGGGACTCTATAAATAAACTGGTATAGCTGTGCCACTAACTAGATGGGGAATTTGAGGCAAACCACTACTTCTCTCAGTTTTTCAGTCATCTCTAAACTGGTCATAATTATAATACAGACCTTATAGATTTGTGAGGTAATCTTAAAAGGTTTTAGCAGGTCTGGCACACCATAGTACTCAATAAATATTATTATTTATTAATCCTTTTCTTCCATTTCCTTACCCCCTTTTCAGAGATTTAGCTATTAGACCCAGGGAACTTTTCCTACTGACTAAAATGTGAATGAGGGATGGCCAAAAAAATCAACATAGTCTTGGCAATAAAAATATTTTATTTACTCCTCCGCTCTTTTGCTCACCCCAGGAGGAAAAGAAATAAAGTCAGTTTCATAACTCCTTACCTATTTCTATCATAATAATAATCAAATCCCTAAGTAGTCAAGTGGCCAGTCTGTTTGCAGCTATTTCACCTCAATTATTGGTGATCTGAAAGCCAGAAACCAAAGGGTTTGAAGTACAACAGCTTGAGAGAGAAAGAGAAGAGTCACCTCCAACAACTTCTTTCGGCAGATGAGCAAAACAGAAATGCCAAATTACCCACAGACTTGCCTGGGATTTCACAGGCAATAAAGGACAAGACAGGTGCATCTCTCTCAAGGGTCAGGCTACTTGATATAAGTCTCACATATACAGAGTGCAGGATTCATTCTTTAGAAATATTGCAATTGATCTAATTTTAAAGGATGAGATTCTCCAATGAGTGTCTAGAGCCTTGGCTTTGAATTTTAGGCTCCTAGGTAAGATTGTAAGTGCCAGGATCTCATGTTAATGTATTTTACGTTTAAATTATAAACATTATGTTTGTTATAAACCCCAATCTAAAGTACAAATGTAACTGACCAAACACTAATGCAATTTTACTGTTAAATCTAGATTTAAAAACCATGCAAACATTAAGAGATACAATAAAACAAGTAAACAAACAAAACTACAGATACAGTTCCTCAAGACTTTCAGTCCCTGGAGCTTTTCCAGGAAATGGAAATGGAAATAAGTTGGCCACTCTTTGACCTATTTCATCATATTTTCATGTGCTTCCTTTCCTTGTAGAAAAAGCTGATTATGTTATTTCCCTCAAAATTACCTTGACTGTTGGCTGGCAGGACACAACTTGCAACCTGAGAAATTTCTTCTGGCTTTATGCACACACACACACACACGCGCACACACACACGCGTGCGCACAGTCATACGTGCACACACGCGTGCACACACATGCACACGCACACATGCTGACACACATGCACATGCACAGAGGTTCTTACTGTAACTAGGAGGGGGCTTTAGCAAATGAGCATGGTGCTGTCCTCCTTTTGAAACTGTGCCTAAGAGTGGTACATAGCAACCTTTTTGTTATAATCAGTCAGGTAAAATGTTTGCTGGGTCCCATTTTCTCTTGGGGTTGATCCATTGGGAAATGCCTGCTGACGTATGAAATCTTAAAAGTTTTTTGCCTAATAAAGTCTATCACCTTGTCTTTGAACTTAAGCTCCTCTGAGCTGGACACTAGTAAATTTACTTTCATAATATGAGTCTAGTTTGCATAAAGAAATAAGAAAGAGTAGGTAGTGAAAAACATAAAGTCCAGCATTTTGTTAGGTTACACAATTGTCGGGTGACTTGGGGATCATCAATCCACAAAGAACATGAGCAAGTCAGACAACCACTCAGCCAGTAGCTGGTCTTAGAGCAGAGCTAAAACAATTGGCACCCGAAGCATAAATATATGGGAGACTGACACAACAGTTCTCGTTTTAGAGTTTGCTTTCACTAGACTTACTTTATTTAGTTTTATGTGAAATTGAATTTTTATTATAAAAGGTAATACGTGTTCTTTAAAATAAATCAAATAAACCAGAGATATATAAAGAAAAATTATTAATCTCACCATCTTCTTTCAATTCTCTCTTACATGGGTATCCAATTTTAACAATTTCAAATGTGTTTCTCTGCATTTTTCTCTATACACACACATTTATATCACATACACATAGTTTTAAAAATAATTGTTTTCCTTTTTTTTCTTTGAGACAGGATCTCACTCTGTTGCCTAGGCTAGAGTGCAGTGGTGCGATCTCAGCTCACTGCAACCTCTGCCTCCCGGGTTCAAGCAATTCTCCTGCCTCAGCCTCCCAAGTAGCTGGGACTACAGGCGTGTGCCACCAGGCCCAGATAATTTCTTTTGTATTTTTAGTAGAGACAGGGTTTCACCATGTTGGCCAGGCTGGTCTCGAACTCCTGACCTCAGGTGATCTGCCCGCCTCGGCCTCCCAAAGTGCTAGGATTACAGGCATGAGCCACCGCGCCCAGCCTGTTTTCTTTTTTATATAAAAACAAAATGATGCCATGCTTGTTGCCCTGTAGATTTTTCTTTTAATTTACAATAACATGAAGATTTTTTTCAGTTCAACTCTACATCACTCTTTTTAATGCCTGTATAAATTCCACATAATGGCCAGATCATAATGTCATAAGGCATTTAATTTTTCTAGATTTTTGCTACTCAAAACCAAAAATAGCACTTGTTCACAATTATAAATTTAGCACCTGAGCTTTATAAAACCTGGTCTAGGTGTATTACAAAAAGGACGTTTGGAAGACTATTATGAACTTTATGTGACTCCCTCCACAATAATCACATTCCTTTACTGGAACTCACTCAGTTCTAGTATTCAACGTTGAATTGTGGCTCTATTTGTAGATGAATGGTGAAAAACAGACATTCACAAGAAAAACAGAAAAATGTTAGAAAGATATGTCTTCATTTACTTATCCAGAATAATTTCATGGGAGCTTCATTTCATCCAAAGACTTCTCCATTCAATCACAGATTGAAATGTATGTATGAAAGAAGAAGTCTCAAAGACAATTCAAATACTTGCTTAGACCTGTGATATTTTAATATAATCTGGTTGAACATTGGGTAGAAAGCAGTCTAACTTTTTTCTAGGTTGTTACATGTTACCTGAGGGTAGACATATTAACTTTGTACCAGTGGAGCTTATTTCATTTTAAGAAAAACAAATTGCTTATCAAGTAATGAATCCAAGACAGCCAAAAATCAAGGCAGCCATTCATGTATTTAAAAAATCTCAGTTACAAAACCATCTGGCTATAAACTTCAGGAAACCTTCCTTATGAAATTATTGATACTATTTTATCCCTTAAATCAGCCTTTCAAGACGTAATTCCAGTCTGGGTTCAGTGGCTAATGCCTGTAATCCCAACACTTTTGGAGGCTGAGGCAGGAGGATTGCTTGAGCCCAGGAGTTTGAGATTACAGTGAGCTATAATCAGTCACATCACTGTACTCCAGCCTGGGTTACAGAGCAATACACTGTCTCAAAGAAAAAAAAGAAAGAACTGCATTCCTAAATCAGGTTTATTCCATTCTCTATGGCTAATAGAATTCATCAGCCAGACACAGCACACATTTCTTCCCAACTGCTGTAGCTTTCCAGATCACCTTCCTCTTGGTCCTCCTCAAGCCTATGATCAATTTTTCAGAAATCTTGGAGTCTGGAAGTCCTAGCCTTCCTTTCACACTTTTCACAGTAGTATGCTAGCTTAGAGCCCAACCAGATATCTGGTAAGTCGGTTCTAGGACATAGGTGGGTGGTCCATATACTTGGGATCAGTAGCTGGGATAGGCAGTGCTAGATTTTTCCTGGGGATGCTTATAGGATGGGGAGGAAGCCTTGTACAGGTTAAACAAATAAAATTAGGATCATTCAGGTACTTTCTTTGCATAGATTTGGAATGATAGGGCCAAGGGGCTATGGAATGAGACCATTTTTGCTGACAGAGATGTGCATTTTAAAATAGATTCTTGGGTTGTGAGTTAAAGAAACCAACACCATCTAGTTTAAGCTAAAAAGGATGATTTATTATAAGGACACAAATTTGTTTCATTGAAACTAAGAATGGGAGTAAGTTTAGGCCTCTGGAACCAGTAACTTGGAAGCCAGAAAAATTCCTTTTTAAATTTATCTTCTCTAATTATCTCTCTTAATCTGTTTCATTCTTCCTGTCTCTACAGATCAGCTCCCTCTCCTTCTCTTTGCCACAGCTTCTAAATTTATACACACTAGGTTCTAGTGGCCCATAAAAACCTACGTTCTGTTTCTTTTTTCTCTTCTTTTTTTTTTTTTTTTTTTTTTTTTGAGACGGAGTCTCGCTCTCACCCAGGCTGGAGTGCAATGGCGCAATCTCAGCTCACTGCAAACTCCTCCTCTCGGATTCAAGTGATTCTCCTGCCTCAGCCTCCCGAGTAGCTGGGACTACAGGCGCTCACCACCACACCTGGCTAATTTTTGTATTTTTAGTAGAGACGGAGTTTCACCATATTGGCCAGGCTGGTCTCAAACACCTGACCTTGTGATCCGCCCACCTTGGCCTCCCAAAGTGCTGGGATTACAGGCGTGAGCCGCCGCACCCGGCCACATACTTTCTGTTTCTAATTCCTAGTTCTAACTTCTTCCTGGAAAGAAAAACTAATTGGATCACCTTGAGTCAGGTAGCCCATCAGCCATGGGCCAGAGGACTGTGGGTAGGAAGGAGAATTCTCAGAAAAAAGGAGATCGGATACTTAGAGACAACTTTAATAGCTTGCTGATAGCTGATATTCCCCAGATACTGTTAGTATATTAAACATCAGTGTATAGAATCTTAGAAACTTAGGGCCCCAAGGAAACTTATTTAACAAATGAGAAAATTGAGGCTCACAGAAAGGGGAATGACTCATTCAATGTTACACAGCTAGTCAATGACAAGGCAGCTATTCTCCTGTTACCACTCTACTGCACAGCTAGAGGCCACCAGGAGTGAATGACAATACTCATTTCATTATATGTTTGAGAGCCAAAAGTAGTACAATTTAGGGAGGTCATGTTAATTTTATATAGAGAGTAGTATTTCATTGTTATATATGTTTTATTAATCTTTTTATTCAAGATGAAATATCAATATTGATTTCCCTTTATTGATTCTAAAAGTAAAACAAGCTTTTATTTTTTTAAAAAATAAAATATACAGATGTCCAGAATTTGGAAAGTAGCAAGTGAAGTATCTCCTGAGAGGCACCATTAAGAGTTTGGCATCTATTTCTCCATTCCTTTTTTCATGCATTTGTAACTGGGTGCTTGAAAGGACTCAATAAATAGCAGCCTTCTCTCTTGTCCAGGGTACTGAATTAATTGATAAATAAGACAAAAGAATGGCATCATAAGGCAAAAATATTCCTTTTATTAATAATAAAGATGTTAGAGAATGTAGATTAGTGTGAGTGCCAAATGGGACTGCTAGATGAACCCCAGAATTAGTCAAATTTTTAATCCCAGTGTCTGGCAAGAAAGACAGTGTTGAACAGAAAAGAACTATTATTCCCAGCAGAAAGCTTAACTCCAGGAGGAAAAGAGGCAGTGCTGAGCCAAGTATTAACCATTTATTCTTACCCAAGTTGCCAATCAAATACGTCCCTAAAACCTCCTGAAGCAGAGTGAATAAAGGGGTATGGAAAAGTTAAGAGTGTGACTCCAAGTTCCCTTTGCGTACAAGAGAGCATCAAGAGGGAGAAGATGCATTTTTCTGTAAATATGTATATAGTTTTTAAAGGATCATACTGGTCTTAGTTTCTGTAACTTGCTTTTTTTCCACATAAATATAAATCCTTTTAATTATTTATATTAGTATTTCATGATATAGCTATAGTATAATTTATTTAACTAGTTCTCCATTAATAGACAATAAAGGTTTTTTCAAATTTTTACTACCATGAATAGTCTTTTACCACATTTGGCATGTAAGTCCAGTTATTACCTCAGGATAATTTTCAAAAAGTAGAATTACTAAGTATCAAATATATACATTAAACTTCTTATATATATATTTCAAAATTGGCCTCTGGTAATGCAGTATACTCTTGCCAAAAGTTTATGAGAATTTCTTCTACACCTTGCCCAACACTGGATCTTAAGAGTCTTTCTCATCTTTGAAAACATGATAATCAAAGGATTATGATTTAATTTGCATTTCTTTACCATAAAAATGCACCTTTTTTCCATCTCTTCCATCAAAAGATTATGATTTGACTGATCTGACTTATGGTGTCAACTATTTACCAGAATACAAGGTGCCTTTAAGTATCTGAGTAGCAAATTTGGCTTTAAAACAGTGTGAAAAATTGAGTGTTATTTGGCCCAGTGGATATATTAGATATATTACAATGTGTGATCTCAGAATCAATGTTCAGTCCATATATTCATGCAATGGATAATTACTGTAATAAATGCAGACTTGACATTTCAGTAGAAGGAACATAGTGCATTAGGCCTGTGTCCCAGAGGGCTTGTTGGATCAGGAGCTTAGAAACTATCAAATACAGTAGGCCAAATGCCTTGGCTCTAGAGCTCCCCCCTTCAGTCCTCATAATGGCCAAATAGAAGGGTGCAAGATTTTGCCATCCATACTTTTTGGAAAAGGAGCCAACATATCATTGTTTTTAGTTTCCTGGGTACCTTAATAGAAGTATGATTAACTCCCCATATAGCAGACCTCAAGCCTGCTTTACGGAGTCTTAGATCTATTGAAAGATTTGGTAATGCATGTTAATAATACCAACAAAGTAAATTTTGACACTAATGTCTAACTGTATACAGAAAAGATAATTGAGTTGAAATAATTAGTATCTATAAAGAGCTTAGATCAGGGTCAGGCTCAGGGGAAGCACTAAATAAATATAAGCCATTTTTTAAAAGTTGACAATATGGCACCTGAGCCCATTTTGAGTGATTGAGGATCATTTTCTGTTTCTTTCTCTTTCTTCTCTTTCCTTCTCCTCCCAGTTCCCCAATTCATCCTCTTTCCTATACTCTTTCTCTTCCCCATTGATTCTTTCTACCCACCTCACCATTTTTTTCTCTCTTTATGATTCTTTTTCTTTACCTTCTTCCCATACTATCCTTATTAAATGTCTTTGTAATCTACTCATCTCCAGTGAGAGTCAGGTTATGGTTGAAATTCTCAATAACAACTAAGAAAATCAACAATTAAAAAAATTAAAATTGACTTAATGTTTAATTAGGTAACAATTTAATTTTTCCAATTCAAGGCATTTCATATGGGCCATATGAAAACACAAGTTTACTCTTTTCTGAGTATATTTGTATGCCTTAAAAGTAAGTTGATAATTTTTTCTCTTCCATTTTTAGAGTTTATACTGGATACTTTCAAAGTTACTTTTATTGTAAGAAAACATATGTTGGCTGGGTGTGGTGGCTCATGCCTGTAATCCCAGCACTTTGGGAGGCCAAGGCAGGTGGATCATCTGAGGTCAGGAGTTCCAGACTAGCCTGGCCAACATGATGAAACCCCTTCTCTAGTAAAAATACAAAAAATTAGCCAGGCATGGTGGTGGGTGCCTGTAATCCACCCACCCATTGAGGCAGGAGAATTGCTAGAACCCGGAAGGCAGAGGTTGCGGTGAGCCGAGATCATGCCATTGACTCCAGCCTGGGCAACAAGAGTGAAACTCAATCTTAAAAAAAAAAAGAGAGAAAAGAAAGAAAGAAAAAACCACGTGCATCTTAGGCTACTGATCAGAGAAAGGAAAAGTGTCTACAGAAACTTGATTGCTTGCAGAAATGACTGTTCCCTTCTAATTAAGAAAATAAAAATCACATAATTTTTATTTCTTTTTCACTTCTTTCCCTCTTTGCTTGTCTATGGAGTCAGTGAGAACACAGAGGGCTAAAAGGAGAAAACTTAGAAATGCAGGTAGGTTGAAGGCAGACAAAAGAGTTTTTACCCATACTATACAAAACCCAAAAATATCAGTTGGATTAAATAAGTAAATATAAATTAAACCATAAAGAACTAGAGTAAAACAAAAGTGCATGTCCATTATGGGGAGAAGGATTTTCTAAGCTTAAAGGCAATAAATTAAAGCACAAATAATGGAATAGATTTGATTACATAAATTTATTTTATATCCCCAAATTAAAAGGCAAAACATTGCCAAAAATATTAACAGAAAGTACAATAAAAGATTATTTGAATTACATAAAGAAATCATACAAATAGATAAGAAAAATACTCAAGCTCCAAGACATATGAACAGATGATTCACCAACCAATTTTTAAATGTTGAGGAAAATGTTCAACTTCATTAGTAATCAGAAGTAGAAACTTGAAACAATTAGATACCATTTGTTACTTATTACATTATTAAGAAGTTTGAAAAATTCCAATTTTTAGTTCTTATAAAGATGTGCAGTAACACTTTCTCTCCACTCCTTTTTCCATTCTTGGGGAGCTCTGATGACTTGATGTTTCTAGCCTTTCTATACCGGATCCCTCTTTTTTCGGGGAAAATATTTACCCGGTAAATGAACTGAAAGGGTACACCGGGCATGCATAAATCATTCCTGTTCTCTTTTCTTCTTCTTGGATCAAACTCTTCACCCGGAGCCCCTGCTCTACTCCTGCTGGTGTGACAGGGAGGCCTGCCCTGGGTTTAATTCTGCAGGTCTGTAGAAGATGCATATTTGCCTGGAGATACAAATATATTTCTAATATGAGATTTATTAGTGATAAATAGGATATTTTGGTCTCCATTTGCCTTCTTCTATGTTTCATACCTCTATTGCTTTAAATATTGGCTTCAAAGAGGAATATTATTTATTAATGACCATCAAAATTCAACACTGTGCCATTGTGTACCCGAAGCGTTAAAGATGTTTAAAGTGTTTTCTCCATTCCTGGAAATTACATTTAGACAAAGCCATATGCACTAATATCTTCATTATATTTTTATTAGTAATGATATAATAATGGTTATGAACCTATGCTCCATGTACTAATGAAGTTGTCCTTAAAAGGCAAAAATCAAAATGTAAAAGAATATACATACTTCAATTATTCAACCAATATTTTTTAGCAACTATTATGAACCAAGTACTTTGCTATATAAAGTAAAATACAAAGAAAAAAGACTGGGCCAGACATAGTGGCTCATGCTTGTTATCCCAGCACTTTGGGAGGCCAAGTCAGGAGGATTGCTTGAGAAGTTTGAGACCAACCTGGGCAACATAGTGAGACCCCATTTCTAAAAAAAATTTTTTTTAATTAGCTGGGCATGGTGGTGTATCCCTGTAGTCTCAGCTACTTGGAAGGTTGAGAAGGGAGGATCCCTTGAGCCCAGGAATTCAAGGTTGTATTGAGCTATGATTGCACAATCCCACTCCAGCCTGGTTGACAGAGTGAGACCCTGTCTGAAGGAAAAAAAAAAAAAAAAGAAGAAGAAAGGAAAAGAAAATAAAGAAAAAAAGACTAGAAGGAAATATATCAAAATTCTTAATGTATATTTTTAAGTAGTGGTACAAAGTCTATATCTTCTTTCTGATTATACGCATCTTTGTGTCTTTTAAAATTAGCATGTATTACTTTATAAAAGGATATACACCTTCAGAATATATAGAAAAACACCAAAAATTCAACAACAAAAAACAGACAGCCCAATTCAAAAATGAAGGTTGGGAGTGATGGCTCATGCCTGCAATCCTGGCACTTTGGGAAGCTGAGGCAGGCAGACGGCTTGAGCTCAGGAGTTCAAGTTCAGCCTGGGGAACATGGCAAAACCTCATCTCTACAAAAAAATACAAAAATTAGCTGGGCATGGTGGTGCACACCTGTAGTCCTAGCTACTCGGGAGGCTGAGGTAGGAGGATGGCTTGAGCCTGGGAGGCAGAGGTTGCAGTGAACCAAGATCATGCCACTGCACTCCAGCCTGGGCTGTAGAGCCAGACTCTGTCTTAAAAAAAAAATGAGAAGGACTTGACTAGACATTTCTCCAAAGAAGATATACAAATGGCCAATAAGCACATGAAAAGATGCTCAACATCACTAATGATCAGGGAAATGCAAATTAAAACTACAATAAGTACCATCTCACACCCAGGATGTGGTTGGCTACCACATATCCTTTTGATGGTAGCCATTTGTTTTGTGGATAGCTACTATCAAAACAAAACAGAAAATAACAAGTGTTAGTGAGGGTATGGAGAAATTGTAACTCTTGTGCACCATTGATGGGAATGTAAAATGATGCAGTCACAGTGGAAAACAATATGACCAATCCTCAAAAAATTAAAAACGAATTACCGTAGGACCCAATAATTCCACTTTTGGGTATATACCAAAAATAATTGAAAGCAAGGTCTTAAAGAGACATCTGTAAACCCATGTTAACAGCAGCATTATTCACAATAGCTTAAATGTAGAAGCAACCCAAGTGTCCATCAATGGATGAATGGAAAAACAAATGTCATACACATACAATGGAATATAATGCAACTTTAGAAAAGGAAGGCAATTCTGGCACGTTCTACAACATGAATGAACCTTGAGGGCATTATGCTAACTGAAATAAGCCGGTCACAGAAAGACAAATACTGTGTGATTCTACTTGTATGAAATATTAAAGAAGTCAAAGTCATAGAGACAAAGAATGGCTGTTGCCAGTAACTGTGGGGAGAAAGGAATAGGGAATTATTGTTTAATGGGTACAGAGTTTTAGTTTCACAAGATGAAAAGAGTTATGGATGAATGGTGGTAATGACTGTACAACATAATACATACCTTTAATACTACTGAACTATACATTTAAAAATGGTTAAGATGGTTAATGTTATGTGTATTTTACTACAATAAAATATTGAAAAAAATTATATGCCAAAATAAATTCAAGAGGAAGTAAAACACATACACCAGGAGACAGAAAGAGAAAGAGAGAGAGAGAGAGAAATAATATAACTATTAAGAGCAAATGTGGTGTAGCAGTTAGGATTAGTTTAGGTTAGCGTATTTTTAAAATATTCAAAATAAAAGTGACTTAAATATGGTAGCAATTATATTCCTCTCATAAAAAGAAGCCTGGACGTAGGGAGTCAGGGCTGTGGAGGTAGCTTTACTGTGACATTAAGGATCTAGGATCATATCTTCTATTCTGCCCCCTTAGCCTGGAACATTGGCAAGGTCTCTCATAGTTCAATATGGCTGCTAGATCCAGCCGTTTCAGGAGCAGGAACAAGAGAAGGAAGTCTTTTAAGGTTTCCCAGAATTCCCACCCCACATTTCTGTTTATTTCTCACTGGCCAAAAGAAGACAACAAAAATTACATGCTCACATGGTCACAACCTGATGCAAGGATGTGACCCATTAGAAATAAGCATTCTGTATCTAAAGAGGGCAGAATATTGGAGTTATAGCCTCTGCAACAAAATGGGTGAATTTTAAAATGTGGCACATATACACCATGGAATACTATGCAGCCATAAAAAATGATGAGTTCATGTCCTTTGTAGGGACATGGATGAAATTGGAAATCATCATTCTCAGTAAACTATCGCAAGGACAAAAAAACAAACACCGCACGTTCTCACTCATAGGTGGGAATTGAACAATGAGAACACATGGACACAAGAAGGGGAACATCACACTCTGGGAACTGTTCTGGGGTGGGGGGACGGGGGAGGGATAGCATTAGGAGATATACCTAATGCTAAATGACGAGTTAATGGGTGCAGCACACCAGCATGGCACATGTATACATATGTAACTAACCTGCACATTGTGCACATGTACCCTAAAACTTAAAGTATAATAATAATAAAAAATAAATTTAAAAAAAGGTTAATTTACCGAAAAAAAAAATCTCAAAGTGGGGAAAGATTTTATAAGAATAACAGAATACTAAGAAGTTATAGAAGAGAAAATATTTATTTTGCATATATAATTTTAAAAATTGCATTAAAAAATCACCATGAACTAAGTCAAAAGACAAAATATATTGTTATTTATATCATAGAAGAGGACTAATTTCTATACATATAAGTAATTCCTACAAATTAATAAGAAAAAGCACAAAGAAATATAAAATAACAGCAAATGGCCAAAAAGAAGTAAATGCTCAAAAGGGTTAAATAAGATAAATCAAAATATATTATATATTATAAATATTTATTACATACCTATCTAATATATTATGTTTATATTAGAAATCTTTATTAGAAATATAAAAATAAAACACGTTTGACAGTCCTTTAGAAACTAACAGTCTAAAAATGAATTCAACTGCCTAGAAATGGGAAAAGTATACTTTAAAGAAACAAAAAACAAAATTTCCTGTGTGCGGTGGCTCATGCCTATAATCCCAGCACTTTGAGAGGCCAAGGCGGGTGGATCAATTGAGGCCAGGAGTTCAGGACCAGCCTGGGAAACATGGGAAAAACCCTCTCTACTGAAAATACATAAATTAGCTGGGCGTGGTGGCCTGCACCTGTAATCCCAGCTACTCGGGAGGCTGAGGCACAAGAATCGTGTGAACCTGGGAGGCAGAGGTTGCAGTAAGCCAAGATCGCGCCACTGCACTCCAGCCTGAGTGAGAGAGTAAGACCCTGTCTCAAAAAAAAGAAAAATTATTTGGAAAACATTAAATAAACCCAGTCCAGTTTATAAGACCTATATACACTAGAGCAGTGGTTATTAGTCCTGGCTAAACCTAGAATTACAGATACAGTTGCCAGATTTAACAAACGAAAACATAAGATGTCCAGTTAAATTTAAATTTCAAATAAATAGCAAATAACTTTTTAGTTTAAGTATGTCTCATGCAATATCTCCTATACAATATTTGGGACATACTTATATGAAAATATTATTTGTTTTCTCTAAAATTTACATCTAACTGATGTTTTACACTTTATCTGACAATGCCTGGGCTCTACTACAAGCCAAATAAATCAGAATCTCTGGGGTTGTGGCCTGGGCATTGTTTTGAAAAACTCCCCAGGTTAGAATCACTCGATGCATAGCTAGGATTGAGAACCACTGCTCTAGAAAATGATAATTTTAGATGATTAATTAGGGTAAATTGGCATCAGGAGAATTGACTTTAGGTGAATTGGTATCAAGGTGAACTAAATTCCTGTCATCATCTTAGCATGTTATTTAACAAAAGCTTGTTCATCCCTCTAGGTCCATATATCATGTCCTTCTAGGAACCTAATCCATTTTGTAATCATTACTTACAAGGTCCCACTTTGAATTTGGCATCTGCCTCTGGCTGCCTTCTTTGCATAAGTGAGGTCTCTTCTGAGAGCAGTTTGCTTGTCTTGCATGTTAGCCAACGCCTGGAATTGAAGATGTGAACATGCTTATCTTGAAGGTTAAAGTTGAAGCGCCCTGGTTTCGAATCAGCAATGACTCGGAAGTCCCTTTTAATGCTTTCAGGCAGTTTTATTTTTCACTTGCATAGATGAGGAAATTGTAGGTAAGAATAATTTGATGAGTTTTAGGTGTTACGGACATAACCAAAGGCAAATTCAAGTATCTTAACCCTTAATAAATTAAGTTGGTTTAAGAAAAGATATTATGGTGAAAGTCTCCAATTTTGGTAAGTGTTGTTTATAAAAACAGGTAGACAAACTTACATCTCCAGACTTCTTTCAAAACAAAATGTCACCTTAGAGCACTTCTTTCTTCTTCTGTGCAGCTAAAGTGCTATCTGTCTCCTCATCAGTTCCAAATGACCAATGTGGCAGAGAAGAATGGGCTGTTATTTGATGCCAAATTGAATCTGCAGAGACTCAGTGAACTAGGACCAGAGAATTATTACAGTGACTCAATATGTGTGTGTCTATTTGTGATTTTTAACATTGATAGTAGCAAGGCTTACTTTTAATTTCCTCTTAAATATTAGGCTGTTTCAAAATGTCCACAGTTACTGATTAGGCCATTGTGTTTCTGATCTTGGTGATAAAAAGTAGCGAATTTTTAAACTTAAAAAAAAAATTCATTTGGGAGGTTCTAACTGAACTTTCCATATTTCAAGAGTACCCATCCTAGCCACAGGAAAACATGAATATTCTTCAGCTCAGAGCTAAATTTTAGTCATGCTTATCGCCCTTTGGTTTTCTCAGGCCACTGCCCCATGTGAGAGCTAGCAGCATCAGCAGCACAACTATCATCCCAATATTCTGATCATCTGAGAAGCAAGGGCTTCAGGAATGGATTTGTTTTCAAAAAGCGTACAAAGCCAGAAACTTGATTCCTCCATTTATGGATAATATCCAGGACAGATGGAAAGAAACACACCAGACAGCAAATGCCCTTGTCTCTGGTCTCCATATCTGCATTGGCACAGGTCAAACACAGTCTCTATGTGGCCCTGGGCTTAAAGGAAAACATCAGTTTTAGCTAAGCGAGAGCCCCAGAATTCAGTATATTTGTGACACGATCCAAATCCTTCACCCCCAACTTATAGCCTTACCATCACTATGTGACCATCAACATTAAGGTCGTGGTTTATGCCAGTTTCCAAAAGTTCAGAACTCCCCGACCATCTCCTTTCACTCAGAGAGTAAATCCCATGTTGTTCTGTAGATTTTTTTTACGCTATTTCTATCTTTCCTTAACTCCTGAAGCCTTTGTATTATGCCCTGTGGTCAGTCATTAGCAAAATTCCCTATGTTTGCAGCCTCTTTTCTGAAAATTTGCTGTCTTTGTTTAAACCGAACACTGGTTCTCCCTAAGGAGATTATTTCCATTATTCTTCTCAAAATGTAGCTGTGATTTTTCCTTAGCCTTTAATCCCACTGGGCCTAGAAGTAAGAAATTATCTTCCCTGCTCCTTCCAGATCATCCTACCACTTGCCACTTCTGTATCACCCTACCTTGCCCCCCACCTTGCCACTTCCAGATCTCCCTATCTCCCTTCTGCCTAACAACATTCAGCTTAGAATCTCATGCGGTCAAATTTTAACACCCACTACCTCTCCTTGTAGCAGTCATCTCCTGATCCCATGTCACTCACTGTCATTTCTTGATGATTTTACCTGCTGGCTCAATATCTTCTCTAGTACTATTCTAAACATAATACTTGGTGATTTCAATATCCACATAGATGTTTCTTCTAACAGCCTACCTTCTCCATTCCTTGACCTTCTCTCCTTGAATTACCCAGTGCTCTACTGACCTCAGCTACCTACTCCCATCTAAGGTCAAATATCTTTATGTTATCAGTGACTGCAACACTTTCCTAATTTCTAAGTATCAATTTCAAGCATCAAACTTTCTAATTGCCCCCTACAATTTTCCCAGCTTACTCCCTCTAAGACCCGAAAATAATGCCAACCATTCCAATACATAAAATCTATTAGTCCTACCATCTTTTCGTCATCCCTACCACCTTCATGTCCTAATTCTTTTTATCCAGTGAAAAGTCTGGGGTCAATCATTATAATCACTGCATTTTATATACCTTAAAATCCATGATCCTCCCTCACTTTAATATACTTGCTTATAAAAATCCGAAGCTTCATAAATCAAAAACTAGATTTATAAATTCAAAGACTTGTAAACCTAAAACTTTGCCCACATCAGGCTTGTATTCACATATGTTAATGTAGCAGGAGAAAAACATCACAATATTGCTAGCTGTTCTTATTTTATATTTGTGATTACAAATCTCAAGTGGCCCTTAACGTTGTCTGGCAATTATATAGTATTTTCCTAGCCCATTTACTCTCTCGTCTGCATCCATCCTACCTTGACCAATTCCTACATTCTGATGTCTTTCCAACTTTCAGCACTCCTCCCACTCCTCCATCAGTAGAGCATCTAACTTCAAATAAATTTGATAAATGAAGTGATCAGAGGAGCTGCCCATAAGTCTTATCTCATTGACCTACTGACCTGCCTTTGTTCTCTTGTACTGTATGTTATGTTCTGTGACTACTAGATGAACTCCCTGTGTCATGTACTCAAGGACATTGCTTTCTACCACCACTGTATTATCAATTTTCTCTTTCCTACTGGATCTTTCCCATCACCATACAAGCATGTTGTTATTTCTCACATCTTAAAGTAACTATTTATTGACCTCGTTTTTCCTTCCAGCTACTGCACATTTCTCTCTTCTTTATACAAAAAATTCCTTGAAAGTGTTCCCTATACTGACTATCTCCAATTTCTCCTCTAATTTCTGTTTTATAGTTTAAAAATTATTACATTATATTATATTATATTATGTTATATTATATTATATTATATTATATTATATTATATTATATTATATTTTTGAGACAGAGTCTTGCTCTGTTGCCCAGGCTGGAGTGCAGTGGTGTGATCTTGGCTTACTGCAACTTCTACCTCTCGGGTTCAAGTGATTCTTATGCCTCAGCCTCCCAGGTAGCTGGGATTACGGGTGCACGCCACCATGTCCGGCTTATTTTCGTATTTTTAGTAGAGATGAGGTTTCACCATGTTGGCCAAGCTGGTCTTGAACTCCTGGCCTCAAGTGATCCACCTGCCTGAGCCTCCTAAATTGCTGGGATTACAGGGGTGAGCCACTGCAACCGGCCCAAGTTTTAAGATAATTATATTTAAACAATTAGTACTCATAGCTACTTGGCTGTAGGTTCAAATGACTTCATTTGAAACCACTATTCTTCATTTTAGAAATTAGTACTTGGCCTGAAAAGATCATTGCAATGCTCAATTTTATTTATTTTAAAAAGTTCAAACCTATAGAAAAGTCAACAGAATAGTAAAATAAACCTCTATACTCCTTTCATCAAGATTCACCATTTAACATTGGCCACATTTACTTCTCTCTTTCTCTCTCCCTTAACCTTTCCTTCCCTGTCTCCCTTTCTGTCCTTCACTCTCTTCCTTCCTCTCTGTGTAATTTTTGGTGTATCATTTCAAAGTATGTTTTAGACATGACACATCACTGCTAAATAAAGCAGCATACACTTCCTAAGAATACGACATTCTCCTACATAATCATGATGGCATTTTCTTTTTTATTTATGTTTCATTTATTTATTTATTTAAGACAGAGTCTCACTCTGTCGCCCAGGCTGGAGTGCAGTGGCGTGATCTCAGCTCACTGCAACCTCAGCTTCCCAGGTTCAAGTAATTCTCCTGCCTCAGCCTCCCAAGTAGCTGAGATTATAGGCGCCCGCAACCATGCCTGGCTAATTTTTGTAGTTTTTTAGTAGAGAGGGGGTTTCACTATGTTGGCCAGGCTGGTCTTGAACTCCCCACCTCAGATGATCCGCCCGCCTTGGCCTCCCAAAGTGCTGGGATTAGAGGTGTGAGCCACCGTGCCCGGCCTGTATTTGATTTTTTTCTAGATTCTCCATATAAGTGAGATCATGCAGTATTTCTCCTTCTGTGTCTGGCTTATTTCACTTAGTATAATATCCCATAGTTTCATCCATGTTGTTGTAAATGGCAGTGTCTCCTTCTTAGGATGGCTATTATCAAATAGACAAGAGATAGCAAGTGTTGGTAAGAATTTAGAGAAAAAGGGACACTTGTACACTGCTGGTGGGAATATAAATTGGTATAGCCATTAAAGAAAATGGTATGGATATTCCTCAAAAAATTAAAAATAGAACTACCATATGACCCAGCAATTCTTCTCCTGGATGTATACCTAAAGAAAATAAAATCATAACCTCATAGAGATATCTGCACTCCCATGTTCATTGCAGCATTACTCACAGAGCCAAAGTATGGAAACAACTCAATTGTCCATTGGCTGATGAACAAACAAAGAAATGGTGATACAAATATATGCCATGGGATATTATTCAGCCTTAAAAAGGAGATACTGCCTGAAGTGTAATTTTTAGAATTGCTTTAGTGTATGGTCTGTTGGTGGCAAACTCGTTTTTTGGGGTCTGAAAATGTCTTTATTTCATATTTGCTTTTGAGGTTTTTTTTGAGATGGAGTTTGGCTCTTATTGCCCCGGCTGGAGTGCGATGGCGCGATCTCGGCTCACGGCAATCTCCGCCCACGGGAATCTCCGCCTCCCGGGTTCAGGCGATTTTCCTGCCTCAGCCTCCCAAATAACTGGAATTACAGGCATGCACCACCACGGCCGGCTAATTTTGTATTTTTAGTAGAGACGGGGTTTCTCCATGTTTATGCTAGGCTTTGAATTCTAGATTAACTTTATTTTATATCAGAACATTGACAATATCATTCCATTGTCTTCACGTTCCTCTTTTGCTGCTGAGTTCATTCTCAGTCTGTCACTACTTTATTTACTATTTATTTATTTATTTATTTTTGAGACAAAGTCTCACTCTGTCACCCAGGCTGGAGTTCAGTGGTGCAATCTCTCTGCTCACTGCAACCTTCACCTCCCAGGCTCAAACGATTCTCCTGCCTTAGCCTTCCAAGTAGCTGGGATTACAGGCACTGGCCACCACACCTGGCTAATCTTTGTATTTTTGGTAGAGACAGGGTTTCACCATGTTGGCCAGGCTGGTCTTGAACTCGTGACCTCAAGCGATCCACCCACCTTGGCCTCCCAAAATGTTGGGATTACAGGCATGAGCCACAGCGTCCATCCTATTTTTTAAATTTTTTAAAAAAATTTACCTTTCCTATGGTGCTGAAGTCTGTCACCACTTTAAGAAATCTCTCTTCTATATCTATTTTAAGATAATCTTTCTCATTTTCACTGTCCTGCAATTATACTATGCTATATGTATGTGATTATTTGTTTTTATCTTATATGAGATTCATTTGGTTTCTGAATTTGTGATTTGGTATTATGAAAAATTCTAATTAATTATCTCTTTAAATGTTGCTTCTACTCCTCTTTTATCCTTCAGAGACTGCAATTATACCTATGTTTATCATTTCACTCCATTTTCTATGTCTTTTAAACTCTTTTTATAATCTCTATCTTTTTTCTGTCTTTCCTACAGTCTGCCTGTCTTCTAGTCTATTATTCTTTTTCATTCATGTCTGATTTGTTCTTAAACCTACTAACTGAATTTTAAACTTTTATTTATTACATTTTTGTATTTGTAGTTTTATGTGCTCTTCATCCAAATATGCTTGCTCATTCCTCATGATGTTTTCCCTCTGCTTATTTTCAAACTCATCTTTTATTTCTTTAAATATATTAAATATAATCTTTTTATATTGTATTCAATAATTTCATTATCTGAAGTCACTGTATGCCTGCTTCAGTTGTTTTTATTTCTGCTGGATCTCAATCTAGTATCTTGTGACATTGGTTTTTTTTATGGTAAATCGCTCACTTTCCTTAGAATTCTATATTTAGAAATTATTTGAAGCCTGGGTTAAAGGTGGATTATTCTAGAGATAATTTGTACTTGCTTTGTCCAGGCTCCAGGGGTACTACAAGTTTGAGATCAACATAAAGTTATATTTTCAACTTGAAGTTTTGTTTCTTTTCCCAACTATCCATGTCTAGTGAATACAAGCTTCAAAACTACATGAGAATAAATAATATACCTATGTACCCACAAAAATTAAAAATTAAAAAAATAAGATACAATATTTCAATTAAGGAAAAAAAAAAAACCCTACATGAAAGCCACAAGCGGTTCCAGATCCCTAGTTGTGATCCCTATTCCCCACCATCCTGCCCCTACAGTTAGTCTCAGGAACAGTCAGATTTTTCAGCTAGGGATTTTTGGTAGTCCCTGGGTGGAAGTCATATCTAGTTCACTTAACACTAAGTTATATTCATCTCAGGGTCTCTCCTTTGATGAATCTCCTACTAGACTTCCTACACTAGTTGATTCAAAATCTTTTCACCTGGTCTTTGTGCTCAGGATGCGAAAACTGAAGCTCAATTACTGAACATTGGAGACGAATGGATATGAACCAACTACGGATACATGCAATAAGGTGGATGAATCTCAAAGCATTATGCTAAATGAAAAATGCTAGCTGCAAAAGGTACCTACTGTGTGACTCCATTTAAACAGGGATAGAAATCAGATCAGTTTTATCAGAAGCTGCAGGTGGGGTAAAGGATTAAATACAAAGAGGCATGAAAGAACTTTTCGGGGTAATGAAAATATTCTATATTTTTATTGTGGTGGTAGTTAAATGACTATGTATGTTCGTCAAAACTTGTCAGACTGTACCCTTAAAATAATGAGTTTTATTGCATGGAAATTGTATCTTCATATACTCAAATGTAAATGAAACCAGCTGAATACACACACACATGTACATGTGCACATACCAGAAATTCAAATGTATCCAGTCCTATAAATATCCCAGCTGGTATCAGTGATCTGATGATCTCTCCAGTTCCCAGAAAGCAGAAATTTTTGTCAATCATTCACTGCTGTATCCCCAATACCTAGAACAATCCTAAAATGTCATAGGTCCTTTATAAATATTTATTGACTAAACAAATGGATTTCTAAGCAGTGGCCCTCAAACTTTTAAAGATCAAAAGCACTTTGAGGCCAGGTGTGGTAGTTCATACCTATAATCCCAACACTTTGGGAGGCCAAGACAGGAGGATCACTTGAGGCCAGAAGTTCAAGACCAGCCTGGGCAACACAGTGAGACCCTGTCTCTACCAAAAACAAACAAACAAACAAAAAATTAGCCAGGTCTGATGGCAGGCACTTGTAGTCATAGCTACTTTGGAGGCTGAGGCAGGAGGTTCGCTTGAGCCCAGGAGTTCTAGGCTGCTGAGCCATGATCATGCCATTGCACTTCAACCTGGGCAACAGAGTGAGACCCTGTCTCAAAAAAAAAAAAAAAAAAGAAAAGAAAAGAAAAAGAAAAAATGAGGAACAAAGATATTATCATAATGAGAAAAGCACTAGACTTGAGTCAGAATCTGATTTCCAGGACTTTTTTTTTTTTTGCTAACTTGAGGTGTAATATTGGACATTCTACTTTTCTGGCCTTCAGTTTCCTTATATGTAAAATTAAAACTATACCGGGTCTCTCTTTTGCACAGAAAAAAAATTATAATTTAAACTCTGCATAACACCTAATTATGTGTTTTCATTTACCTCTTCCACACCCAGATTTCCAGGAATAATAAGAGAATGAATCATCAGTTAGGTGTTATCTTGAGTTTATTAAATCTTAGAAAAATTGAATTTCTTTCAGTTATACTCAGAGCATATTAGAAATAAAGCATCACTTATTAAATATTTCTTGATAAATTATTATATTCATCATGATTCATATTATGGAATTGGAATAAGAGGAAATGCTTAATCTGTACAGAAACCCCTTAGAGCCTCATGAGAGTGAATTAATGAAAAATTGGAGTGGTTAGGCAATCTTGGAAGAGTTAGAGAATAATACTTTTAAAATGTTCGAAAATTATCTGAAAAGAATTTCAAAAATATTACTAAAATTGATTATCACCTTATGATAGTGCTTATCTGTATTAGCTAATATTTCTCTAATTATTATATATTATATAATATTTTTGTAATTTATATATTGTATATTTTTATAATTTATATATTAGGTAATATATTTTTATAATTTATATATTATATATTTTTATAGTTTATATATTATATAATAGAGAAATATTAGCTAATACAGATAAGCACTATCATAATATTTATTAGCTAATGAATACTGATTACTACACAAAAATAAATAGCCTTTACAAGCAAAAAATAAAATCTGACAATGAATAATCAATTTTTAAGGTGGTTTGAAGGTCACTAAGAAGTATTAAAGCAAGTCACCCTAAAGGAGAGAAAAATAATGATAAATTTTATTCCCTTTTCCACAGTGTTCTTCAAATGCACTATCCTTTCATTGCTTCTAAATCTTTGTACAAGCTTTTTGCAATTGTTTTCCTTCCTCTTTGCTTAGATAACTCTTCATCTTTCAGAGCCCAGCCTTTCCCAGCCTCCCATTTCCCATCTGTAGTTTTGAGTTCTTCTATTACCCTGTATTCTTATGCTGGCGGTCTGTAACATATTTGCTGTAACAATTTTTTTGTCTGTCTTACCCATTAGGATCTAAGTTTTGTGAGGCTAGGATGGGATCCATCTCATTCGACATTACATTTTCTGACTCCAGGAGAGGCCAAACATAGGAGATGCCTAATAATATTTAGTAACTGAATGACTAGAGTGGTGATTGAGTGTTAGGTAAAAAACAATCTTTAGAAGAGAAGTCCCTTGATTGAACAATGCTGTGGAAAAGAGCTGGCTCAGGTGACAGCATTCTAAAGCTCCTTTACTGGGCCCATCAGATGGAACTGAGCTTTGTAGAGTGGACAATTTGCAAGATTAGGAGACCTAGTAATTACAACAATTATTGGAAACAGCCTCATCATGGTACAAACACAAGTAATAAAAGAACTCTTTTGCAAACATCAGTGCATCATATGGAGTCCTCAGTAAAATAGGAAGTTTAACAAAGAGCTCTTCACAAAGGAAGCTTATTTTTCTATTTTGAGGCCCAGAGTAGGTATTTGTAATATCTCAGAAGAAGGGAAGAATTTAAAACTATTATTTTCATTGTTACAAATCATAGAATTAAATAGTATCTTCAGAGCTATGAAGAAATTATGACTCAATATTCCCTTTAGGCAGCCATCATTACAGTAAAACAATCTATATACTTTGATCTACTAATACTAAGAAATAGTGAATTTAGAAGTTAATTAATTATATGCATATAGACCATCAATCTTAGCAATTCATATGACCTCTACTTCAAGTAGCATTATTTACAATGAACTCAAGCTCTGTAATATTTTCATAATGGATTATCATATTAGATCAGGTTTTTATTTTACTACTTCATTGAATCTGCTCTGCCAAGGTCACAAGAGGTTTCCATCTTTCTATCTCAAGCCTCATTTTACTAAACTAAAGCAGTATTTCCTTTCTCCTTCAAACAGTTTCTCCACATGGTTCTCAGGGGACATTCTTTCCTGGATTTCCTCCTACCACACTGGTCATTCCCTCCTTCAGTCTCCTTTGCTGGCTTCTTTCCATTTTCTAGACCTCTAAAGCTGATGTGTGCTAGGATTCACCATCTTCTCTATCTACGTGAATTTTCCAGGTGACCTCATTTCATTGCTTTATAGTTTTCCTAATCTTTACTTTAAAATTCATATTTGTAGATATAGTATCTCCTCTAAGTCCCCAGATCCAAATATTCATTTGCCCACTTGATATGACTTAGATGTTTAACAAGCATTTTAAATTTAGCATGTCCAAAATAAAATTGTTGATTTTTCCATTCCAAAACTAACCCTAACTTTCCTCATGTTAGTAATGACACCACCAATCACTAAGATATTCAAAACAGAGAGCATTCTTTTTTTATTATTTCATTTTCCATTAAATCCATCATGAAATCATGCCAATTAAAAAAAAAAGTTCCAGACCCAACCAATTTTTTAAACTTCTTCAGCACCCCTACCCTTGTACAAACTACCATTATCTTTGGCCTGCATTATTGCCATGAGCTTCTAATGAATTTCCCTTCTTCTACCCATACAACAGCCAGACTTATCTTTTTATAATGTAAATCAAATCTCCATTAAAAACCCTTAATTGGTTTCTCATCATCCCCCTTCTCCTTTATAACATTTGCCACTATTTCATATAATATTGTGTATCTATTTTTGGGCTCCCTAAAGGCAGGGGTTCCCTAATAATGCATACCATATATTATTGATGCTATATGCCCAGAGTCTAGTGTCTGGCACTTCATAGGTGCTCAATAAATATCTGCTGAATAAATGAATAAATTAACAAGTATTTTAAATTTTCTGGTATCTGGTATTACAACCCGGCAAAAGAGAAATAAGCAATGATTATTTGATGACAGATAACTGTTTTTCTAGCTACATCATAGGATCAGACTTACAGCCCCATGTACCATATTTTTTCTCATGTGACTGTAACAAATTCTAACTCTTTATTCTAGAGTATTTTTGCTTCAGCTTCATGAGTCCTATGATGTGCTATTTTCCATGAAGTGGCAATTTATGAACTATCCTTTTAACGCCAATAAAACATAAAGTTATATTATGAAGATATATGTATATACATATATGAAGCTATATAGGGTAGAGTGTAAATTTTTACAATCAATTTACAGATATGGGCCTATATGACATATATGGGCCCATATCTGTAGGCATGATTTTTTATAGTGAGTTAGTATGATGGAGAAGTTGAAAAAAATCTATGCTAATATCTCTTCAGAAATTTCTCTACTGCCGAGACATAATATATATTTTTATATGAGCAAGAACGATAAAAAGCAAACAGGGCTGTTAAGTATCAAAGCAGAGTCTAAATTTTTATAATTTACTTATTATTTCCACAAATTCCTACTGAACCCCTACAATGTACCAATTATCATGCTAAGCACCAGGAAAACAGAAGAGAACAGGACAGATACGGTCTCTGCTCTCACTAGAATTTACATTAGAGTGGAGAAGTTAGACAGTGAACAAGTAAACAAATATATATAAAGTTATTTAAAATTGTGATTAGTGCTCTACCAAAATAAGCATAATGTTATAATCAATAAAAGAAGTGCACTGTGGCAGGTAGAATAATGTCCCCCTCAAAGATGCCTACATCCTAGTCCTGACGCCTGTGAATATATTACATAGCAAGGGGAAATTAACATTGTGACAATTTGTCACGGCAGCAAATAGAAAAATAACCCAGAGATTTTAGATGGGAGTCAAGGAAAGCTTCTTTAAAGAGACGTCATTAATCTGAGTTGACATATTAGAAGGAACATGTCATGCAAAGAGCTGGTGATAACCCACTCCAGGTAAAGAAAACAGCAAGCTCAAGGACCCCAAGACTGAAAAGAGATTGATTAATGTTCTAGGAACTGTTGGAAGGTCAGGGCAATTGAAGTGTGGTAATTGAGGGAGGAAGTGGTTAATAAGATTGGAAATTTAGATAGGATTTGTTTATGCAGGGCCTTGTAGGCCATATTAAGGAATCTAGATTTTACTCTCAATGCAATGGGAAGACATTGAATTGTTTTAAGCATGGGTGCAACATAATCTGTCTTATGTCTTTTAAACAAACTATCACATGTACTCCATAAATACATACAATTTGCATCAGTAAAATTTTTTAGTATATTTTTATTGCAATATACCATACTTAATATGCACAAATCATAGTGTGCAGTTTAATAGATTTTTGCAGTGAATACACTCATGTCAAGAAATAGAATATTACCAAATCCTGAAGTCTCCCTCATTCCCCATTCCAGTCTTTATCTCCATCGAGGCAACCACTATCCTCACTTTAATCATCTTAGGGTAGTTTATACAATTATTGAGCTTTAAATTAATAGAATCATAGAAAAATTTGTTTCTGATTTTTTTCCTGCTAAACATTGCATTATGTCTGTGAGGCTGATACATATTGTTGCATGTAGTAGTTTTTAAAAAATTGTCATTGCTGTGTATGTTACTGTATATGGCAACAACAACATCTTTATCCATTTGGATTGCTTCCAGGTTTGAGCTATGATGAACATTCTTGTCTATGTCTTTTTGTACATACACGTAGGCATTTCTGTTGGATGTATACCTAAGAGTGCATATCTACGGGTATGTTTTATTGAACTTTAGTAAATTGCTGCCAGCTTTTCAGAGTGATTGTAACAATTTACACTCCACCAGTACTGTGTGATAGTTGGAGTTGCTTCATCCTTTCCAAGGCTTGAAAATGTCAGCTTTTATTATTTATTTATTTAGCCATGCTCTTGGATGGATACAGGCTTTTAGTTGTGGCTTAAATTTCCATTTCTTTAACAGTTAAGGATGTTGTAAACCTTTTCATATGCTTATTGGCTATTTGGATATTCTCTTTCATTAAGTGCCTGCTCACTGACTTAGTACTTAGGTTTTAAAAAGATAATTCTTGTTTCTATGGGGAGATTATATTAGCCAATACTACTAGGCACTTGTTTGGATCTTGAAACAACATGAATAAATTTTGGGTGTATGCACTGGAAATTTACAAGTGCTCTTTTACAGGGGAAATGCTACAGAAACACAGGTGTGCTGCAAAACACCATGACAGTGCAATTTATCTGTAAAATTGGCCATGAAACTGTGAGTCAAATCATGCATTCTGAAAAGTGTTGATCTATCTTAAGATATCTTACTGTTGTCCTCTCCAATACCAACTCCAAGGGAATATAATACTATCTTATGAATTGAATTTATTAATAAAATGGTGTCCTTTAAACACAAGCACTACAGAAATTTAATGACTGAAGGAGAGAAAATGCAATACTGCATAAAATTTAGTTTAGTGCCTCCAGAAAAAATTAATTTTACTAGTTTGAAACCGAGTTAGACGAATTCTGAGACATAAATATGTGAAGGAGAAAGGACATGCTGAATTAATGGGAGTTCTGGCTGCCTGCCAGGGGGATTCTACAAAGTCTTACAATACAAAGTAAATCATCCCTCTGGAGCAAGTGGTATGCCCCTCCAGAATGAGGAGGGCTCCGCCCAACAATAAATTAACTTTGTACAGCATGCTTTATTGCTCTGCAATGCATTCTGGCAGGCTTGCTTTCATTGTCTCTTCCCTTGGGCTGGCTTGCTTTGCTTGTCTTTTAAAGATGACTCAGCCAAACTTTTAGTCTTTGCCCTCATCTTCTCCCTTTCCCTACTCCTCATCCTCCAATTTTTCTTCCCAGAAAGGCAAAGCCAGAGCAGAGCCCCTCCCTTTTGGTTATTGTTCCAGCTCACTGAGTATTGGCCCTGAGACGTAAACGGTTTCTTTCCTCTTTTCCAACTTCATGGTTTACATTCATTTTATTAGGCTACCTCTGGCCCTCTCAGTTCTCTGAAGCTAGTGATCCTAAATATCTATGGCGTCTGGGCATGGGGGTGCTTTTCATCCCCGCTTCCTACTGCAACAACCCCTGCAATCCCCTCTGCAGCCCCAAGCAAGGAGATCCGTGTCGTCAGGAGTGCGGTGCAGCCACACATCCAAGGCTGACAGGGCGGGCACTCTGCCAAGTCCTGCGCGCTGCTCGCCTTCCACAACACCTTCCTCAGCTTCGTCTGTATTTGAAGAGCTTAGTAAATTAATTTCCCAGGGGCAGAGAAGGGAGGAAGAGGGAGTGTCTGAGGGCTGAAAAATGCAGTCGACTCGCCCTCTGCTGGTTAAAGATCCGAATTTGTCGCCGCCAAAACAACGGGGAATGAGAAAGCAATCCATATGGTACGGAAAAATTACAACAAAAACTCGGCTTAATTTAACCCACCTGTGAACCTTAACTGCCTACTGTTCCTCTTTAGCGCTGCTTACTTCCCCAGCACTGAGATTTAATTAGATTGATTCTAAACGCTAGCCCCTGAACTCATTTTCATTTGCCCCTGGTTTCTGCCGTTCTAAAACGCAAATAATCCCCACCCACAAGTTCTCTTCTTGTCTAATTAGTCGCTAAGCAACTGAAGATAACAACTAAACCATTACTTCTAGAACACACTCGTGTTTCACTCCAGTGTCTTTGCCTTAAATAGTAATTTCAAGCGAACAACAACAACAAAAAAATCAGCTGCTGTTTGTGTTTCCGAGATTAATTAATTGGAAATCGAGAAAAAGCAAATGTAGTCCGTCCCAGTGCTGGTGTCTTAGGAAAGCTGACAGGCAGCTTTGTGCAAGCCGAGGTATTGGCCGCCATAACGCACACTGACTTTTGTACCGCCTTTGCTGTCTTACGCATTTTGTCGGAATAAACCAACACACGGAGGTTGGGTAATCTAGCCCCTTTACCCTGTACAGCAAGACAGCATTTACGAGTCACTGAGATTCTGGAGAGTAGAGAGAGAAAAACAACCACAGGATTTTGCAATATGGTGTATTATTTAATATCAGTCTGTTCCTCCTCCAGGCTAAAAATCCCAAAACAAGGGGTTCCTACCCCCCTCCACCTCTGGCATTGTAAATTAGCCAGTCACGCGACCCTTGGAACCAGTTGGGATTGGCCATTTCCTTTGTGTGGTGAAAATCTCTGCAGCGAGTCATGGGACCGAACTGGGCGGTGTCGCTGTCCGTGGCCATGGTGCTGAACTCTGGGCGTGGCCAGAGAGATTTCCTTTACATGACAGCTTCCGGTAGGGCGGGGTCGGGGTCGCGTTCCGAAAAGTGGATCCACCTGCCACCTGGTGGCAGATGAGGAAAATGCTATTGATAAAGTGTAAAGGGTTCTTTGGATTAAGACTTAAAACTTAAAAGACACAAATTGAAGATTTGGGGCGTCAGGAAGTGGTTTTTTTGAGAGATCTGCCTATTTTTAAAGAGAAATGGAAAAATTTAGAATTTTCAGAGTGATCTCTCGCTTCTACTCAAAATAATTTACGAATATGTTTAAATTTCTCCAAGCATTTTTTCCAACACATCTTGTAATCAAATAGGTATTTTTAAAGTATCTGTATATATAGGTATTTAGAAATATTTACTAAAACTTCCACAGGGTATATTTTACTGAAAGAAATACTAAGGAAGCACTATGTTGTTAGCCAAAAATATTCCAGGAAGCTTAGCCGAGAGTGCTACTCTGATCTCAGTTTCTGGAAGATGAAAAGTGTGACTATATTTAGGAATTGGTAAGAGGTGGTGGGAATTCTAGGATGAAAACTCTTGTTTTTTATTTTTTCCAAGCCTAATACATAAACTATCAGAGTGCTAAAAATACAGAAAATTTATGGTATGTTTATTACTTTTAGTCTGTGTATATTATTTACACTATTTTACACAGTGATGATTAAGTTACTGTGAATTACATACATCCAGCTTCAGAGGAGGAAACCTTAAGTTGCTTTGTAAGTACAGATCTTGATAAATAGCAAGAAAAAATAGGGGAAATACCTTGTTCAAGTGTTGTTTCAGAGTCTTACTGTATGTTCAGGTGTATGGGTTACAGTGTAAAATCAATTCTAGCAAGTTGAGAGTGAAATAAAATTCTTTCCCAAGCAAACAATCTTACCACTCTCAGAAAAAAGACCCATCCCAGGGCACATTTGGTTTTATAAGTCAACCAGCCCAGTTAGTATTTCCTTTTCTTATAGCTATTTTCTCATTTACTCTTCTATGGGTCTTAACATAGAATAAAAATATAATAGCATAGTTACTTAACATAAAAGTTACCATTTCTGTTTTAAGGTTTAAAACAAAATTTTGTTGAATAGATATTAATTTCAATAAAAATGTAGGTACTGATTTTGGTGTTAACTGAATTTTCTATAAAAAGGAGAAATTGATAAGTGCTTATCAAGGGAAAGAATTATCACTCTAATATAGTCTCTATTTGATTAAATTGAGACGTTTCCAAACACTTGTCAGATTTCCTGGAAAGACATCCATAGCCTGTTCTACCAATATGAAAAAAAGCATGAATAGTAAGAAGATGAAAGACATCTGTTTTAAACAAGAGTGTACTACAAATCCAGTCTATAAGTGGTATTGGTTTATATTATGGCTTCTTGTGTTACTGTGGGAGAAGGAAACTTTATACGCACATGCACAGGTTGAGCAATAAGAGGCATTCTCATTTAAAGCAACAGATGGGAGATCAAGAGCAGCTGCAATAAACTGAGCTGCCTAAAAAGGACTTCTATCCACCAAAGCATCCTGTTTCTGCTAATATGAATAAGAAACCTTAAAAGCATGAAAAGACACAATGGAAGAATAAAATTTTAAAATAGTACTAAAGTTTACAACTGCAGGTGTGACCTCAATGTTTCAAAATACACCTACTCCTAAAAATAGACTTTTTTTTTCAGGCTTAAAAGGTATATATGAATGAAAATTAGAGGTGACCCCAAATATTAACCTGCCTGTTAAAATTACTATTACAATAAATATTATCAATATTAAAATTTTAAAACTACCTGAACTTTGGGTACAATAGTAGAAGCAACAAATCAGAAGAGATGCTCCAATATTTTAGTTAAGGTATTTTTTTTCTAAAAGAAGTTGAAAATAGTGAAAAAATTATCATCAGAACAATTTCAGAAACATTTAAACCTATGACTTAAAGATGAATAAAAATAAACAATACATTTTACATTAATGTTAGAATCAATTTTGATCTAAACTAATTTTATAAGCAGAAAATGTAGAGTCTTAAAGGAAAGAACATTGGGTAAAAAGAATTTGTTATTCAATATGCGACTAAGTACATTTCTCTTGCCTCCCTGAGTGGATTTTCAAAAAAGTTAATTAGCACTTAGGTAATAGTGTAATAATTCCAAAATTCTTTAATGTATATCTTGAGATTTATTTTGATGGGTAAATATATTGATGCTGTTGTGAACTAAGGCTTCTCACTTTGGGACAAGGAAAATACAAAATATGAAGTAGGGGAGGAAAATAAAGATATCTGTATTAATGTATTGAAAGTGTAAGTCTCATGATCCCATATAGATATACGTATGCACATACACTTATACTATATATATATATACAAATATGTATTTATTCAAGGCAAGGATCATTCATGGATGTTGGAAATCAATGGTTAATAAAATTGTTTTGGGAATAGCATATCCTCGTAGTTTCAAATCTCTCCACAGATCACTAATTAATTATAAAAAGAATTAAAAGGTACCTATCCAACTGAAAAATTTGATGGACACCATTTTATAACCAAATTGCCAAACTTAATATCACCAGTGATGGAATAAAATGACATCATATGCCCTCTGATGTGATACATTGAGAAGAACACAATATCACTTATGTGGTATTTTTGCAAAAATATTTAACCTCAATCTAACCAAGGGTAAACACAACAAAAAATTCCAAATTGAGGGATATACTGTAAAACAACTCTTTAAAAACATCAGTGTCGATCATTAGAGAAATGCAAATTAAAACCACAATGAGATACCCTCTCAAACCAGTCAGAATGGCTATTATTAAAAAGTAAAAAAATAACAGATGCTGATGAAGTGTCAGAGAAAAGGGAGCACTTATACACTGTTGGTAGGAGTGTAAATTAGTTCAACCATTGTGGAAAGCAATGTGGTGATTCCTCAAAGAGCTAAAATCAGAACTACCATTTGACCCAGCAATCCCATTAGTGGCTATATACCCAAAGAAATATACATCATTTTACCATACAGACACATGCACACAAATGTTCATTGCAGCACTATTCACAATAGCAAAGGCATGGAATCAACCTAAATGCCCATCAATAACAGATTGAATAAAGAAAATGTGGTACATATACACCATGGACTACTATGCAGCTATAAAGAAGAACCAGATCATGTCTTTTATGGCAACATGGATGGAGCTGGATGCTATTATCTCTAGCAAACTAATGTAGGAACAGAAAACCAAATACTGCATGTTCTCATGTATAAGTGGGAGCTAAATGATGAGAACTCATGGACCTAAAGAGGGAGAATAGAGACTGGAGCCTACTTGAGGGTAGAGGGTGGGAAGAGAGAGAGGATGAGAGAAAATAACTATTGGGTACCAGGCTTAGTACCTGAATGATGAAATAATCTGTACAACAAACCCCTATGACATGAGTTTACCCGTATAATAAAACGGCACATGTACCCCTGAACCTACAATAAAAGTTTTTTTAATAAATAACTAACTAAATAAAAACAGCGGTGTCATGAAAAAGAAGTTAGTGTCATTAAAAAACAGCATCATAAAAATGTTTTCCCTGTTTCAGTTTAAAGTAAACTAGAGAAACATAACAACTAAAATCAATGTGCAATCCTTGATTGTATCCTACATTAAAAAAAAAAAACCAGCACAAAGAACATACTTGGAACAACTGGGGAAATTAGAATATGAAGTATGTATTAGATAATAGCACTGTATTCATGTTAAACTTCCTGAGTGTGATAATTTGTATTGAGGTTATGAAGGATACTGTCCCTGTTTGTAAGAGGTACCTGTTGAGATATTTAGGAATGATATCATAATGTCTACAGCTAACTATGCCAAAATAAAATGTTTACATATTACATAGGTTAGCTATTGTCATAGAATGTAGTGCAACAAAATACTTCAAAAATTAGTAGCTCAAAGCAACATTGATTCCCATTGATGCATCTTGGGGTCAGAAGATTTAGGCTGAGATCAGCCATGCTCCGCTTCAATATGTAGGTTGTGTCCAGTGCTGTTCCACGTGTCTTTCATCACTCTTTTATCAATAGACTATCCAGAGAATGTTCTTATGAAAGTAGCAGAAGAGCAAAAGGACAAGCCCAATTATGCAAGCACAACTTGCTTCACTCTGTGTATTAGTTTCCTTAGGGCTTCCACAAGAAATGACTACAAATTGAGCAGCTTAAAACAGTGGAATTTTATTCTCCTGCAGTTGTGGAGGCTAGACGTCCAAAATCAAGAAGTCAGCAGGGTTCCACTCCCCCTGAAGGCATAGAGGAAGATCCTTCCTTGACTCTACCAAGTTTCTGGTGGTTGTGGACAATCCTTGTAGCAGCATCAGTCCAACCTCTGTCTCTGTCATCATGTTGCCTTCTTCCCTATGTGTGTCCATGAGTCTCCAAAATCTCTCTCCTTATAAGGACATCAGTCACTGGATTTGGGGCCCACCCTAATCAAGTTTGACTTCATTTTAATTTGATTACATTTGCTAAGACTCTGTTTCCAAATAAGGTCACATTCACAAGAACCAGTGGTTAGGATTTCAACATATCTTTCTGGGGGACAAATTCAACCCACAACACTCTTAACGTCCCATTGAGGGCCAAAATAACTCATATGGCCAACTCCAAAGTCAAGAGGTAGGGAAGTATAGTGAACCCAATGTAAAGTCAAAGCATATCATGCAGCTAAACTCAGCACCATTGGAGTGAAGAGGTATACATCTCCCATAAAAACTGTGGAAGAGATAACTATTTTTGAATAATGTATGTGCATATATAATGTATTACATAATATAGTAATAGATAAATATGAAAAAGAAAGTGTACAAATGTAGCAAAATTGATAAATCTAGGTGAAAGTAATATGGTCATTTATTATTATATTCAATGAAAACAAATCTGGATTTAGGTAAGGAGCAGCTTTATTCAAAAAAGACTATTACAGACCCTCTGACCATGGAAATCTTCAAATGTCTAAAAATCAAATTTTAAAAAAAGAGTTTAAAAAAGAAGACGTAAACAGGGCTAGCAGGAACTTTGTGTGGGAGCAGGGCAAAGGGGGTAGGATGAGCAGATGGCATGATCAGGGCACTTTAACTGGAGATATGATTTTCCCTCCTGTGGTTGGCCAGTTCTCAGAATAAACTGTTAAGTGGGAGATGTTCTGCTTTTTAGAGCTTGCTCAAGTTTTGGGGCCAGCTAAAGTTCAGGGACCTGTGGGGAGAAGAGAAGCCTTATTAAAGTTTAGTTAAGGTAAGCCAATGGGTAAGTCATAAGTGATTACAAACACTCTTGTAACTCTTCCAAAACTCTGAAATATTTTGAAATAAGATTTTTGAAGTTTAAAAGTTAGTACTAAGATACAGTTTTGAAATGAATTTTTGTTCTCCCAAAACTTCATGATATCCTACTAACTGTGGGTTGTCCCTCTTCCCAACATGTAGGTTTTGATCCTGACTTTACAAGCTACGACGCTGTAGATTTAGTCTGTGGGTTCCCAATTTTACCTTCACCAGAAAGTATACAGGCTTAAAAAAAAAAAAAAAACTGCCACCATGTTTAAAGGTCCTAACATTTTCCAAGGAAAAAGAAAATATTTTGGATTTTAATTCCATCTAGCAGATATTAATAAATCGCCTGGGGCTAACCAAACAGATTAAGATTCAGAGGAACTGAATTGAAAAGCAGCATTTCTGTGCCTGGCTTATTTCACTTAACATAACGTCCTTCATGTTCATCCATGTTGTGACAAATTGCAGGATTTCCTTCTTTGTGAAGGCTGAAGAATATTCCATTATGTACATATACTACATTTTCTTTATTCATTTACCCACCGATGGGCACTTAGGCTGATTCCATATCTCAGCTATTGTGAGTAATATTGCAATGAACATGGGAGTGCTGATATCTCTTCAACATACTGATTTCATTTCCTTTGAAAATATCCCCAGTAGTGGGATTGCTGGATTCTATGGTAGATCTATTTTTAATTTTTTGAGGACCTTCTATACTGTTTTTCATAATGGTGTGACCTCATTTATACGTGGAATCTTAAAAAGTTGACCTCATAGAACTAGAGAGTAGAATGGTGGTTGCCAGGGGCTGGGATGAGGAAGGAGAGGTTGGAGAGCCAAAAGGATACAAAATTTCAGTTAGGAGAAATAAGTTCAAAAGATCTATTATTCAACATGGTGGCTATAGTTAATAACAATGTACCATATTCTTGAAAAATGCCCAAGACATGGATGGTAAATATTCTCACCACAAAAATAATAACTACGTGAGGTAATATATATGTTAATTAGCTGAATTTAGTCATTCTACAATATAAATATGCTACAAAATACTATGTTGTCTATGATTAATTTTATCTGTCAGTTAAAAATAAACTAACAAAAAAAAAGAAAATAAAAAAAGAAAAGCAGCATTGCTTAAACTTCACCTCATAAGAATTTTTTTTGTTTTGAGACAGATACTGACTCTGTCACCCAGGCTGGAGTGCAGTGGTACAGTCATAGCTCACTGTAACCTCAAGTTCCTGACCTCAAGCAATGCTCTCCCCTCAAGTAACTGGGACTACAGGCTTTGTCACCATGCCTTATTTATGTATGTATGTATGTAGAGACAAGGGTCTTGCTATGTTACCCAGGCTGGTCTCAAACTCCTGGCCTCAAGTGATCTTCCTGCCTCAGCCTCCTAAAGTACTAGGATCACAAGCATGAGCCACCACACCCAGCCAAGAATGTATTTGTTAACTTACAATTTTTTTGATGAATTATTTTGAAATTGATTGTATTAAGACTTCCTAGGATGTCAGAAGCTTCTGCATAATTTGTGAATCACTAAATAAATATTTCCTTTTAAAAAAAACCTCCCCAATAGCCTTTTTGATGATGCTAAATAACATTAGTGGGTAGTATACTCCATTTTTTTTTTCTATCGAAATTGCTCAAGGCTATTCTCTGTTTATGTATATTGACTAAGCATAAACATCTTTTTTAATATATTCAGGACTCATAGAACATAAAGAAGTAATAGAAATTAATAGAAAAAAAGGTAAACAATGCAATGTTAAAAAAAGGCAAGAGAACTGAACAAAAACTTCCCAAAAAATGATATTCCAATGACTACAAATATATTAAATAGTGTCTACTTCATCAATAATTAATGAGAAATGCAAATTAATCAGTGAAATGTAAACACAGTCACTCACCAGAATGGTCAAAATTTTAAAAGACTAGTAATTCTAAGTGTTGGAAATAATTTGAGCAACTAGAAGTTGCACTGCTGATGAGAGTGTAAATCAGTACAACTTTTTTTTTTTTTGGATGGCGTCTCACTCTGTGGCTCAGGCTGGAGTGCAATGGCGCGATCTCTGCTCACTGCAACCTCCATCTCCTGGGTTGAAGTGATTCTCCTGCCTCAGCCTCCTGAGTAGCTGGGATAACAGGCACGCACAACCATCCCTGGCTAATTTTTGTATTTTCAGTAGAGACGGGGTTTCACCATGTTGGTCAGGCTCATCTTGAACTCCTGACCTCATAATTGGTCTGCCTCGGCCTCTCAAAGTGTTGGGATTACAGGCGTGAGCCACCACGCCCAGCCAGTACAACTTCTTAGAAAGCAGTTTGGTGACATCACGTAAAGCTGAAAAGAACATATCCTATGATATCAATGCTACTTCTATGTATATATTCCCCCCCAAAATATGTGTATACATGTGCACAAAGTGACACGTACAATGATATGCTATGAGCAGCAGAATAATAAAATAGGTAAATGCATTTTGCTGCATTCATACTGAAAAAGACAAAAGCAGTCCACGAGAGCTAGGAGCTGGCCTGACACTCACAGCTAGGACATAGTGATCTTCTGTTGAACAAAAAATGATTTCATAGGACACCAGTATCAGACAAGGCCATACCATGACTATGATGGAGCAAGAGGAAAATGAGAGCACACCATAAGTGTGTCTAAATACAGACAAAAAAGAGTATTGTCCAATCCACAAAAATGCCCAAACATCTTTCTGTCCTGGCTAGTATTAGTCACTTCAGCTTACTTACCAATCACAGAGTTAGCCTCACCCCTTTCCTCTCACCTTCTACATAAGAATTATCAATATACTCATCATAGAGTTAACTCCACTTATGATGACATCCAATCCAGAGCACTCTGCTTCAAACCTCCCCCAAATCATCTAACACAAGACCAAATATATGTTCTTTCTAACACCGTTTCACTGAGATGCTCCATGACTCTCTATGGTGTACAGCTTCCCTTGTTATAATAAGTCAGTAAATATAACTTTGTTCAACTACAGGTGTGTGTCTGATGGTCTCTAGCTAAAGGACATTGACAATATATTGGTATTTTATACGGTAATGGAAATAAATGAACTAGAGCTAAAGATAACACCAATCTTACATTGAGCTAAAAAATGAGGGAAAGAAACAAAATTCAAAGGATTACCTACTGTACACTTTACTTGATACATAGTTTTGTTTTATTTCTACTCATACTCAAGTAAGATATATAGTTTTCAAAAGAGGCAAAACTAAACTGTTTAAGGATGCACACTTAAGCCAGGTGTTAAAATAACTGACAGAGATTGAGAGATTCATTAATTCCCTCATGTCAGGATGTAATTAATGTTCTGTACACTTTCTACTTTCATTCTTTTTTTCCTATTGGAAAATATAGTTAGATTTCCGTTAAGTGGCCATAATTTTATAGCACCTGGGACATAAAGTATTGAGCACAAATGAGAAATCAAATGTTTTAGGTAATGAGCATGAGACAGCATCAGAAGACAAGTTCTAGTTCTTACACTGCCATGAGTAGCTGTATGAATTGGGCAAGTGACTTCATCACTTCGGGCCTTAGTTTCTTCATCTGTTTTTTTTTTTTTTTAAAGTGGAGAGTGGGTGAGAAGGAGACTGGATCTCATCTTTCTGAAATGTCTTATTAAACATTCTATTATCCTATGATCATAAAGGAAACTCAACAAATATCTCCTATATTTCTATTAGGTCATTTTCAATATGTGTAAGCAATCTTATTTTATTTGCTTTAAAATCCAAAACCAAATATTTATCTTCATTTGATTTATTCATTATATTATCTGGGAAGCAGAGTAGTGTACTGATTAAGAGCATAGACTTCGGAGTCAGACAAAATTAAATTGAGTTTTATTTCTAACATTTGCTAGGTAGGGGACCTTGACATAACCTCTCCCATCTCACTTTCTTTGTCTTTTTTTTTTTTTAATAATGTCTACTCCATATAGTTGTTGCAAGTATTAAATTAAATAATGCATGTAAATCACTTGTCATAGTCTCAGTACATGGAAATCATATCCAATAAATACTACTGCCATTATAATCATAAGTGACAAGCCAGCTGCTCCCTTTGTGCACGTGTATACAGATATTTGGAGGGGGGCGGAGCGAATACGTAGAAGTAGCATGATAGCGTAGTGCAAATCAAGAGGTCAGTTGGCTTAGTCCCCTGTCAGTGTACTTACTGGACCTCAAGTTTCTGAAGGAGAATGTCTGTTCCCATTCCTTTTCCTACTGACCACTTCCTCCACATTCTCTAGCTCCCTGCCTCATATATTTGGCTTGGGCTTCGGAAGACTCTGCAGGATCCTTGTGCTTCTTTCTTGGTCTCTGGATGGACCGCAGAGTGTGCAGATGTAGCTTAAACTTGTTGCTGTTCGCCCACAGCTTCAGTGGCTCCAGACAGCTAGCAGATAGAATGACTTCAGCTTGAACGACTAATCTCATTGGCTTCTCAATTCCCAAGGACTTTTTTTCCTGAAAGGGAATTAACAGGTGAGTCTGTTGTTGCTTTGGCAACAAACTTTCAACCTCTACCTAACTCTCCGGAATGAGAACATATCTATTAATACATTCGCTAGACTGGGGAGTTGAGTCGCTCAATGCAAATTTTCTTTCAAGTGCAAAACAGCTTAATGGGCTCGGCTAGCCTTTGGTGGTGCTGCAGTTAGAGGCTAGTGAAGCGGAGAGCAGCTGTTGCAGTAACCTGTTGCAGAAAAGTGAAAGTATATCCGCAACAGTTGGCTCTGATTGCAGAGAGCGCGCTTGTGAGAACTGATGGCGGGTACGCGCAGAAAATCTTTGCAAAACAGGCAAGTGGGATCTCTTCTCATTTTTCTGTGCATATCTGTGGGGGATGCGACAACTATCCGCTATTCAGTGGCAGAGGAAATGGAGAGCGGCTCGTTTGTGGCCAACGTAGCTAAGGACCTAGGACTGGAGGTAGGGAAGCTGGCTGCGCGCGGGGCGCGGCTGGTTTCCGAGGGCAACAAAATGCATTTCCGGCTCCACCGCAAGACGGGAGATTTGTTTGTGAAGGAGAAACTGGATCGGGAGTCACTTTGTGGCAAAGCCGACCCTTGTGTTCTGCACTTTGAAGTAGTCCTGGTGGAGCCGCTGCAGTCCTTCCGGGCCGAGGTCAGGGTATTTGATATCAATGACAATGCCCCAGTTTTCCTAAACAAGGAGCCGCTTTTAAAGATTCCGGAGAGCACCCCTTTGGGTTCACGTTTTCCTCTGCAGAGCGCCCAGGATCTGGACGTGGGCCTTAACGGTCTCCAGAACTACACCCTGAGTGCCAATGGGTATTTCCACCTGCACACCCGCTTCTGCAGCCACGGGCCTAAATATGCTGAGCTGGTGCTGAACAAACCCCTGGACCGAGAGGAGCAGCCTGAAGTCAACTTGACAATTACGGCGGTGGACGGCGGGTCCCCGCCTAAGTCTGGCACAGCTCACATCCACGTGGTGGTTCTGGATGTCAACGACCACGTGCCCCAGTTCTCGCGACTGGTGTACAGAGCCCAGGTATCAGAGAACAGCCCCAATGGCTCTTTGGTGGCCACGGTGACTGCCGTGGACCTAGACGAGGGCACCAACAAAGCGATAACTTACTCTTTAGCTCAAAACCCAGAAGCAATTCTCAAGACGTTTCAGATTGACCCTCAAAATGGAGAAGTTCGACTAAGAGGACCCCTCGATTTTGAAGCCATTGAAACATACGACATTGACATTCAAGCTACAGATGGTGGAGGCCTCTCTGCCCACAGCAAAGTCCTGGTAGAAGTGGTGGATGTGAATGACAATCCTCCCGAAGTGATGGTCTCCTCTGTGTCCAGCCCACTCCCTGAAGACTCACCACCACAGACAGTAGTAGCCCTTTTCACTATCAGAGACCGGGACATTCGAGTGGGAGGAAAAGTCACCTGCTTCCTCAGAGAAGACCTTCCCTTTGTAATCAAACCTACATTTGGGAATTCTTACTCACTGGTCACTGACAGAAGCTTGGATCGGGAGGAGGTCTCAGGCTATAATATCACCATTGTTGCCATGGATACTGGACCACCTAGCTTGTCTGCCGAGACTATGATAGAGGTGCTAATATCCGACGTTAATGACAATCCTCCAATATTTCGGGAAGATTCCTATATCTTGACTGTTCGAGAAAACAACAGTCCTGCGGTTTTTATTGGCAAAGTCCATGCTGAGGATCTTGATTTGGGTGAGAATGCCCAAATAACATATTCTCTGTTGCCTCCAAAAAACGGAGATCTTTCAGTCTTTGCTTACATATCCATAAATTCAGGCAATGGGAAGCTCTACGCGCTGAGAACCATGGATTATGAGGCCATTCAAGATTTTCAATTTGTGGTAAAGGCAACTGATGGGGGCTTCCTGTCACTGAGTAGCCAAGTTACTGTCAGAGTGGTTGTCCTAGATGACAATGACAATCGTCCAATGATCTTATACCCACTGCAGAACGGCACCTTGCCCTGCAATGACCTGGTGCCCAGGTCTGCAGAGGCAGGCTACCTAGTGACCAAAGTGGTGGCTGTGGATGGTGACTCAGGTCAGAATTCTTGGCTTTCATATCATCTACTTAAGGCCACTGACCTTGGGTTATTTTCTGTTCAAAGACAAAATGGAGAAATCCATACATTAAGGCAGATATCTGAGAGAGACCCCATGATGCAGAAATTGATCATTCTTGTTCAGGATCACGGCCAACCAGCTCTTTCCACTACTGTCTCACTCAACATCCTGCTGGTAGATGGCTTTTCAGAGCCCTACCTGCAGTTCCAGGATCCAACCAAGCATTCTAGAAAGGTAAATCCATCCACTAAATATTTGGTCATTTCTCTGGTCATCCTTTCCTTTCTCTTTCTCCTCTCTGTCATAGTGATCTTCATTATACATGTCTACCAAAAGATTAAATATAGAGAAAAGTTCACAATTCAAGAGCATTTCTATGATGACTGTAATTTCTCTAACAACCTGGTACAAGGACAAGGCAATGGATCCTTATCTCGGCCTTGTCCATATGAAATGTGTTCAGCCACTGGCACTGGTAATAGTGAGTTTCGCTTTCTTAAGCGTTTTATGCCCAACTTCCCTTTCCCTCATGCCACTGGGGAGATAAAAATGGAGGCTGGCTCCAGTTTGCCCCCAAATTCTGATAGGAATAAGTCTCAGAGATTAGAGGGCCATGACCAGGTATCTGATGACTATATGTAGCTCCTATTTACAGGCTCAGTGAGAGAAGAGAAGCAAAATTTTATACTTGGTATGCAAAGATGTTACATCCTCATTAAAACAAAAACTGGTAGTAGATTGCAGCTTTAGTAAAGATAAGAGTACTTAGTTTGGTGAAAATGGGAAACCTAGAGTGAGGCTAGGCTTACTCAATACAAAGCAGTTATCCTGATCCCCAGATCATATATCTATAACCCTTTCTCCAGTTGGAATTCTGTTTAAAGAAATGTCACCCTCTATAAATGCATATGTGGTAGGAACTTCTGCTTTTCCATCTCTGTGCTAGCAAGTAATGAATAAGCCATTATTCACATTTTCCTTAGAAGTTCATTGGTCCTGGCCCAGGAAATACTTAGTTCCATAGAGAGATCCTTTTATTTGCCTCTAAATTATTTTCCAGTAGAAAGTTATGCATGCATAGGGAAGAGAACTACCTTCCCTTTTTGATATATTGGGAAGTGATTAGGTTTGACAAGCAGAGATATAGTTTATTATTCAGGAATCTCTAAATTCTTGTCCCTGATGAGTGATTATCTTTGATCAATACCTTGCCTGCAATCATTCATAATCATAATCATGGAAATGCCTGGTAAATGGTGATCTTCACAAATAATCATGGTGGGAGGAAGGGTGGAGAAAGAAAAGGATTTCACTTATTTGCAAATGTGAATAAGGGCAGACATAAGGATAAAGAGATTCAGTTTAGGAATGTTCTCCAAAATTAAATTAGATGTAGTTGTTTTTTTTTTTTTTTTTTTTTTTTTTGAGACGGAGTTTTTCTCTTGTTGCCCAGACTGGAGTGCAATGGCACGATCTCGGCTCACTGCAACCTCTGCCTCCTGGGTTCAAGCGATTCTCCTGCCTCAGCCTCCTGAGTAGCTAGGATTACAGGCATGCGCCACCATGCCCAGCTAATTTTTTGGTATTTTTAGTAGAGACGGGGTTTCACCATGTTGGCCAGGCTGGTCATGAACTTCTGACCTCAGGTGATCCACCAGCCTCGGAAACCCAAAGCACTGGGATTACAGGCATAAGCCACCACGCCCAGCCAGATTTGATTTCTTGATTGTTTGGAGCCATAGGCAAGTCTCAAATCTCCCTCTTTTATATCCAGATGTCTATCCTTGCAGTCCCAGAGAAAATCTATTTGAAAAAACGGAAATGGAGGGTGGGTGAGGAAAAAAATAAAGTATGACGGCTGGGCACCGTGGCTCATGGCTGTAATCTCAGCACTCTGGGAGACGGAGGGAGGCAGATCACCTGAGGTCAGGAGTTCGAGATCACCCTGGCTAACATGGCAAAACCCTATCTCTACTAAAAATACAAAAATTAGTCAGTCGTGGTGGCACGCACCTGTAATCCCAGGTACTCAAGAGGCTGAGGCTGGAGAATCGCTTGAACCTGGGAGGTGGAGGTTGCAGTGAGCTGAGATTGTGCCACTGCACTCCAGCCTGGGCAACAGAGTGAGACGCTGTCTCAAAAACATAAAAATAAATACATAAATACATAAATACATAAGGCCTGCTGTAGTTAATAAGTGTTACAGAACACTCTAAACTATTTTGTGCCATTAAGTGTACACAACATTTATTGTAAACCATTTTGTAGTTTGTAGAGCAAATATAAAATAAAAAGACATTAAAATTAAAAAGTTCATTAATACTAATTAAGTGGCATTAAGGAAAGACACATTTTCAGGTAGTACTAGATTTGATTGTAAGCCATTTTCCTCTCTGAGTATTCTGAAGTTAACACATGCAAACTGAGAAAAAGTGGCATTTTTAGTAAATCATTCATAAAATGAAATGGAGTGGGGAGACAACTTAAGCTTCTCTTTGATCACCACTGTTTGATTTCATAAGCTATTCTGAGCCCTCTCATTCTAAAATAAGCCAATGTTAAAACATTAACATATTTCAGGGATTCTCCCAACACTGCTAACTGTGCCTTGAAAGTCAAAAGTTTGCTTTAGAGAAGGGCATGGTGGCTCATACCTGTAGTCCCAGCTACTCAGGAGTCTGAAGGAGGAGGATTGCTCAAGCCCAGGAGTTCAGGGGTGCAGTAAGCTATGATTGCACTTCTGCACTCCAGCCTGGGCAAAAGAGTGAAACCTCATCTCAAAAAAAAAAAAAGTGTGCTTTAATGAGGCTTTAATTATATTCCTTATTTTATAAAAATGTGTGTAAATTCAGACTCACTAGAATACATCCTCTTGGTATTTTAAGGGTAGAGCATTATCTTTTAAAATACTTCTTAAATATACCAAATCATGTTTATTGATACAAACTTCATTCTTGGACTTAATGACTGATACCTAATGGCACCACCTGGCTGTTTACCTGTTGGCCAGGAATACACTAAAATTTAGTGCTGTTATTTTTTAGATGTTAGAGATGCTTAGGGCAGAACTGGTGTAACCTATGGCTGCCTTCAATGTTAAAATGTTAAAGAACAGATGAAGCAAATGCACTATATCAATGAATTGCTTTTATTTTTAATATTAAATATTTTACATACATTGAGTTATGATTCCGATTTAGAGTAAAGGTTTTCTTGCACAAAACATAGAATAAGTGTTCCAGTGTATTTGTGTTCCAATTGGTGAAGGCATGCTGAAATTTCTATTTCCTTTAAATGAAAAAGGAGATAGAATTTTTATTTATTTATTTATTTTTTGGAGACAAAGTCTTGCTCTGTCACCCAGGCTGGAGTACAGTGGCATGATCTCGGCTCACTGCAAACTCCGTCTCCTGGGTTCAAGTGATCTTCCTGCCTCAGCCTCCTGAGTAGCTGGGACTACAGGTATACATTACCACGCCCAGCTAAATTTTGTGTTTTTAGTAGAGACGGGGCTTCGCCATGTTGGCATTTCGCTATGTTGGCCAGGCTGGTCTCGAGCTCCTGATCTCAGGTGATCCACCCGCCTTGGCCTCCCAAAGTGCTAGGATTACAGCACCATGCCCAGCCTAGAATTAATTTTTATGGGTAAGCAATAATTAGTTAATAAAACATGCTTAAGTAAAAGCTACTGTATTAACTGTGTTTCATTACACTTAATGATGTGAACATAATCAATGGAAACTGGCTTAATGTCAAGGATAGGAAAAGAAAATGGTGTAGATTCATGATTTTAAGACTTTGATATTCAAATAGCAGTGAAATTCATGAATACATATATACACACATACACAATGGACAGAAGATGTAGATTTGTCAACTTTTTATTTTTTCACATTAAATGAGATAAAATCTACCACTTCACGCCACCATTATTCCATAAACGAAATGGCATTTTAATATAAAAATGGTTAAGATAGGCTGGGCATGGTGGCTCACACCTGTAATACCAGTACTTTGGGAGGCTGAGGCAGATGGATCACAAGGTCAAGAGATGGAGACCATCCTGGCCAACATGGTGAAACCATGTCTCTATTAAAAATACAAAAATTAGCTGGGTGTGGTGGTATGTGCCTGTAGTCCCAGCTACTTGGGAGGCTGAGGCAGGAGAATTGCTTGCACCCAGGAGGTGGAGGTTGCAGTGAGCTGAGATCATGCCACTGCACTCCAGCCTGGCGACAAAGCAAGACTCTGTCTCAAAAAAAAAAAAAAAAAAGAAAAAAAGAAAAAAGAAAAAAAAAGGTAAGATAACAATCTCATAAAAGAAACCATCCTTTAAATTTAAAAAATGTATCGATTTAATAAAAAATTATTTTGCCACCATTTTTCTTATTTTTGCCTTAGGTGAAAATTTTGTCACTCTAATTTTATTCAGACTTCAAGTTCCCAAGAAAATTCCAATCCTACCTGATAACTTAAAATAAGAATATATCAATTCACTGAATGTGAAGTAGGCCACTTGTTTTTGGAGAGAACTCTGTACACCAGCTGAGATTAAGTCCAGGTCTCTATCAGCAAATTAAGACAAAGAATGGAAATAATTAGGGCAATTACTCTCTCCAAAGTGTCAAGTGATATTATAACTATTTCTATGTATTCAAAGCTATAACCTAAGAACCTTGAAAAGTGTCTTGTACAAAAAGGCTTTTTATTAGGAAATAATTCTAGACTCATAAAATTGCAAAAATACTATAGATAGTTCCTGTATATCCTTCACCTAACTTCCCGGAATGCTAACATCTTATATAACCATAGTAGTTATCAAAATTAAGAAATTAACCTTGGTATAATTCTATGAAGTAAACTACAGATCTTATTCAAATTTAACAGTTTTCCCCCAATGTCCTTTTTCTATTCAAGGATCCAATCCAGGATCCTGCAAAGCATTTGTTATGGCTCCTTAGTCTCTACCACCTGTGACAGTTCCTTACTCTTACCTTGTCTATCATGACTTGAGATTTTTGAAGAGTACTAGCCAGTTATTTGTAGAATGCCCCTCAGTTTGGGATTCTTTGTTTTCTCATTATTAAACTGAGGTAATGCATTATTGGGAAAAATACTGCAGAAATGATATTGTATCCTTTTCAGTGCATCACGTCAGCAGGTATGTGATGCCAATGTCACACTACTGGTGATATTAATCTTTTTTCTTTTATTGTGGTAAAGAACTTATAAAATGTACCATGTTAGCCATTTTTAAGTATGTTAGCCATTTTTAAGTAATGTTAAGGTGATGTTAATTTTGATCGCTTGGTTAACATAATGTCTGCCACGTTTCTCTACTATAAAGTTACTTTTTTCTCTTTGTAATTAATAAACACTTGGGGGATATGCTTTGAAACTATGCAAATATGATGTTTCTGCTTAAACCAATTTTAGTATCCATTGCTAGATATTTCCTGTGGCAATTAATATTGTGGCATTCTAATGGTGATTTTCTATTTCTCTATTTCCTTTTACATTAATTAAAATTCTTCTGGAAGGAAAACTTGTTACTTTCCCCCCCACTTATTTAGTTAGTTATTTCTTTACATAAGGATACCTGGATATCTCCTCTATTATTTGGGTTACAAACTAATCCTATCATTTACTTTGTTGTTCAGCAAACTCTTTTATCTGAGATGAAGAGCAGATTTTTAAGACTGGAATTATCCATATAGAATACATTTTTATCAAAATTAGTATTTCTTTGTAACTCTACATGTTAGATTATTTTAAACAATCATAAAGTAACCCCATTAAGGTTCATGCATAAAGTTTTAACTTTAAATGAAAATTATACTAACATAATTTTAAATTAGTCATACATTTTAAAATAGATATAAACTGAAAATTTTAAAATTTGTTGTGCAGACATGTTTATATAGTTTAAGCTATATATACCTGAGATACTATTTAAAAATAGACTTATATGCTGAAATTAGACTTACAGATATACAAAAAATGGAATTGGTCTGTCTGATATTATGTAATTCTCCTAAAAATAAAGAATTTCTTTATCATGTTTGTGCATTTTTTGTTGTTTTCCATTTAGGGATGAATTTGTCTTATTCTTGGAAGCATAATTCATTCATATGATTATCCCATATAAATAGCTATTTTCTGTAGAGTTTAATATCTTCAAAGTATGTGACTAAGTGGACATTCATTCTTCAACCAAAAGTCTGACTTCATTTTCAAATATGTGTAACACTTTTAAAAAACATTATTAAAGTATTTGTTGTGTTTATATAACACTGAAACAGGCCGGGCATGGTGGCTCACACCTGTAATCCCAACACTTTGGGAGGCCAAGGTGGGGAGATCACCTGAGGTCAGGAGTTCGAGACCAGCCTGGCCAACACGGTGGAAACCCCTCTCTACTAAAAATACAAAAATTAGCCAGGCATGGTGGCTCACACCTGTAGTCCCAGCTACTTGGGAGGCTGAGGCACGAGAATTGCTTGAACCCAGGAGGCAGAGATTGCAGTGAGCTCACATCATGCCACCACGCTCTAGCCTGGGCAACAGAGTAAGACTCAGTCTCAAAAAAACAAACAAAAAAACCCCCAAAAACAAACAAACAAAAAAACCACTGAAACAGAATGTGAAAAAGTGAAAGTAACAAAAGTTTTCTGGTCAAGCTGGTGAAGTAAGTTTATGCTTCTGTGTACCACGCTCTGCTCTAAATACAGCAGTAACAGGTAAAAATTAAAAATTAAAAAAAATGCGGCTGGGCGTGGTGGCTTGCACCTGTAATCCCAGAAGGCCAAGGCAGGCGGATCACCTGAGGTCAGGAGTTCGAGACCAGCCTGACCAATATGATGAAACCCCGTCTCTACTAAAAATACAAAAATTAGCCAGGTGTGGTGGCATGAACCTGTAATCCCAGCTACTTGGGAGGCTGAGACAGGAGAATCGCTTGAACCCAGGAGGCGGAGGATGCAGTGAGCCGAGATCAGGCCATTGCACTCCAGCCTGGGCAACAAGAGCTAAACTCCGTACCCCCCACTACCCGCCCCTGGCCAAAAAAAAAAAAATGCAAGGCCAGGCACGGTGGCTCATGCCTGTAATCCCAGCACTTTGGGAAGCTGAGGTGGGTGGCCAAGGTCAGGAGTTCGAGACCAGCTTGGCCAACATGGTGAAACCCTGTCTCTACTACAAAATACAAAAATTAGCTGGGCGTGGTGGCATGCACCTGTAATCCCACCTACTCAGGAGGCTGAGGCATAAGAATCGCTTGAAGCCAGGAGGCAGAGGTTGCAGTGAGCCGAGATTACACCACTGCACTCCAGCCTGGGCGACAGAGTGAGACTCCATCTCAAAAAAAAAAAAAAAAAAAAAACCAAAAACAAGGAAAACCAGAAATGAAACAGACATAAAATGGTAAGTGGGGATAAAATCCTTGGATTTCCAAGCTATCAGGATGGGAAGTTGGCATAGGCTACCATTGGTTTGGCTCTTATGGGCTCTCAGGAACAAAATGTTCACCATGAAAAATGGAGAATAAAAGCCAGTGTCATTGGTTAGAGCCAAGAGGTAGGATGGGTCAAGGAAGGTTGAAAAGCCATTGCCAAAAAATTCCTGAAGCTATACATTATGGTATGTTGCAGGCCTATGAAGGCTGGAGGACACAGAAACAACATCCAGAATATGTACTGGGCTCTGTAGCCAACAGACTTAATGTAGTCATCTGTACTATTTCCAGTACCATGCTGGGTCAGAAGCCCAAATCATTACTATACAACCTGATTCTAGACCATGTCCAGGGTCTAGGAAATGGACATAAGTAGAGAAAGGAATGAAAAGGAAGACATTTTCAAAAAGTGTCATTCAACATAAAACTGTTTAAGATGCTTGCAGAGATGAATTTAGAAGTTATACCCACCAAAGATAGTAAGTTATGAAATAAAAAAAGACTGAAATAAAGTAAGAATGGATCCATATAAATATAGCCAACCAGAAATTTTAGAAATGAAACTTATTAATTGTAATAAAACCTCAATAGATAGTATAAACTTCAATCTGGAAGCTAATGAAGACTAAATTAGTAAATTGGTATGTAACTATGGAATTATATATGGACACGTGGATATTTACTCTATTATTTAGGTTATAATTCAATTCTATCATTTATTTTGTTGTTCAGTAAACCCTTTCAACAACCCTTATTTTGTTGTTCAGTAAACCCTGTTTGTTCAGAATAACCCTTTGTTGTTCAGTAAACCCTTTTATCTGAGATAAAGGAAGATTTTTAAGATCTGCCCAATAACTGAACAAAAAGATACAAATTACGAAAGAGTATTTAAAGATGTTATCTACTGTGATAAACCACACTGAAACTTAAAGGCATAGAACAGACATATTATGCTCAGGGACTCCATGGATCAGGGATTCAGACAAGACCCAATGAGGATGAATTGTCTCTGCTCTGTGATGCCTGAGGCCTCAGGTAGAAAGACTCAAAGGCTGAGAGTGACATAGTGGCAGTGAGCTAGTATCATTTGGAGGTGACCTCTCTTCCATGATTGATGCTGGCAGTGAACCATAATACCTGTCTATGTGGCCTGGGCTTCTTTAAAACATGGTAGCTGGGTTACAACAGCAAGTATCACTTTCACCACACTTTCCATTGGTCAAGCAGTCACAGAGACCAAATTCAAGATAAGGGGACATATGTCCTACCTCTTGAATAAAGGAGTGGTAAAGAATTTGGAGAAAAGTTTTTAAAGCTGCCACAGGAGACATGGAAGATAGATGGAAAAACTCTAATATAGGTCCCAGAGACATTCCAGAAGAAGAATTGAGGAAATGGCAGAGAAGAGACATATATTGATTCTGGTTCTTGCCAAGACGGCAGAGTAGCATGGGTTACAGATACTGCAAGAGCAGTCATGGAGGAACCATATATTGAAACATTATACAACTTATGTGGTTGGGTGGTTGGCTTATGCCTGTAATTCTAGCACTCTGGGAGGCTGAGGCAGGTGGATCACATGAGGCCAGGAGTTCGAGACCAGCCTGGCCAACGTGGCAAAACGTCATCTCTACTAAAAATACAAAAATTAGCCAGGTGTGGTGGTACATACCTGTAATCCCAGCTACTCAGGAGGCTGAGGTATGAGAATCACTTGAACCCGGGAGGTGGAGGTTGCAGTGAGCTGAGCTGAGACTGTGCCACTGAATTCCAGTGTAGGTGACAGAGCAAGACTCTGTTTCAAAAAAGAGAGAGAGAGAGAGAGACAGAGAACTTAGGAACTTAGGAAATAATGAAAAAACCCTAAGAAGCTTTTGAGGAGGATGGAGTCTGTTTAATACTGGTGTGTTAAGGCTTAGTGGTGGCTGCAGCCTGGGAAGGAGGGTAAGCCATCATGTTTGTGGTATGATATATTTAAAATAAATCTCCTATTCCCACCTTTGGACAGTGATTTCCTGCCTTCTCACTGGAAGTAAGTGGCAACAGTTCAGATTGCGGGTATAGTTTTCATCACAGGTAACAGTCAAGGCAATTTAAAAAATCTGCTTGGGTCAAAAATTTATATTAATTAACTGTATACTGACTAGCCTTGGACATTCACCCTCCCCTTCCCCTCACCTCAAATCCCATTGTTGGTGAATTATAATTTACAGTAACTCTTTCATGTAATGCTTTTTTTCTGGAAAAAGGTGAATGGAAGGTAAAATCCAAACCTGAAGAATTGTTTGATTAGGGGGCTATGAGACAGTAGTGATTAACTGGAATTCCCTGGCATTTAGGAAATTCCACCATAGACTGCACCCTCTCCATTCTTCTCTATCTCATCTTGGTTGACAAGGACTAGATCTAGTCCATGTCTCTTCTTCATACACATTATCAGAAAGAATAGTTGATAATATTGGCTCAAAATAAGTAGGTATATTTGAAAGTAAACCTACTTAGGTATAGTAGGTATATTTGAAAACATATGTACTTAAAAAGCAAAATAAACTTATACTGTTAATATCAGAACTGAGATATTATTACTGTAGAACCAAGAATTTAAAAGTAAGCATAACAAACTTATGAAAATAAGCTATACAAAAGAAGAACTATAAATAGTTTAAAGAATAAGGTGAAAATAGTATGCATAAAACTATAATTATTTAAGCAAAGTATATAATAGATGAGATAATAGAAAGGATAAAGCTGAAGAACTACTTAGTGAGTTAGAAGATCACATTGAAAAATTCTCTCAGAAGGAAGTAGGGAAAGAAAAATAATTAGAAGATATATAATTAAAGTTAAGAGATATAGAGGCTAAAAGAAGTAGCAATGCATAAAAATTGGTGTCCCAGAAGAACAGAAATATAAAAATGGAGAGAATGGTTTTTGAAGAAATTACAGAAACAAATGTCTAAGAATTAAAGAATAATGAAAGAAGGCCTCTGATTGGAAGGCTTGCAGAGTAGTAAACAAGACAAAGCCATGCCTAGACAAATTGTGGTGAAATTTATGCATAATAATGACAAAGAGAAAGAACACATTACATAAAATGAAACACGATGAAACTGACAACAGACTTCTCACTAGCAGCACTGGATGCAAGCAATACATGGTATTGGTTCTTGGAAAAGACTAACAAAATAGAAAAAAAAGCTGATGGCTGTGTGCCATTAACATCCAAGAGAACTACTGGGAAATTTCAGGGCTATGTGGCAAATACTCAGCCAATTTATTGTGTGGATATTTTCAGACATATGTTATTTTTCTTACACTTCTTCATGTGAAGGATGCTAGAGGAAAATTTCCTAGAACTGGTCATGTTGTCACTACTTGCCTTATGCTGGAGCACTTCCTGAAACACATTTCACCTCTTTTAGGATCATAATCCCAGCATTCTGGGATCAAAGGAAAAATGCCTTGCAGATATTACACAAATAAATTTAAGACATAGGTAAGAAAAAGAAAGTTAGCATGGGTCTTAATAAGTTAGTAGTAACCACCAGAAAAATATAAATAGAATGCATGACTTTCCAGTTAGCAGAACAAAATCTTATCTAGCCAGTAGGAATCAGGAAAGGGGTTAAAAACAATAAAGAAATATTGAAATGTGATGGCAGAGATATGTGCTAAAATAACAGTAACTAAAATAAACATACATAAGCTCACCCATCAGGAGTTAGAGAATTTTAGTTTGAATTAAAAATCAAGCCCTAGAAATGTGGAGCCTATAAGAAACAGATTCACGACAGTTGTTATAAAGAAAGGTTAAATGTAAATGGATGAGAAAAGAATTACATCCAAATATTAATCCAATAAAATATAGAATAATTTTAATAATATAAAAGACAAGTACAAAAAGAAATATAAATCAATAAGATATAATGATCATGAAAATATATACACTCAATAATGGAGCCTCAAGATACATAAAGGAACAACCAAAAATGCTGAAAGAAATAGATAATCAGCAACTAACATGGAATTTTTAATACACTACATTGAGAAACATCAAAGACAAGTAAAATTAAGGAACATTTGAAAATCATAATTGATGTGCAGCAATATATTAAGAAATAATTCATCACAAGAACAAAAAATACATTCTTTTTGAGCACACAATAGAATAATCTTAAAAAATGGCTGAATACTAGTCTAGAAAGAAAGTGTCAAGAAATCTAGGTAAATCAAAGCAGATATATCTATCAAAATGCAAAAATATTTTTAAATAATTACCAAAAAATTTCTTTAAACATATCCTATTTTACTGGAACCTAAATAGCAAATTATTAAGTAATATTTGAGTTAAAGAGGAAATCTTAAAGAAAAGTACAATGTTCTTGGAACTTAACAACAGTGAAAATATAACTGGCCCACATTTTTGGGGCAGAGAAAAAGAATTTAGATGGAAGTTTTTTATTTTAAATGCATGTGTGAGAAAAAAAAAAGAAATATTTAAAGCAAATGAGTTCAAACATTTTTAAAAAGTAATAAGCGAACTCAAAGAGGAAAGCGGATGTAATAAAGATAAGGGCAGAAATCAATTAAAGTATAAATAAAGAATAGAGTGGCCAGGCGCGGTGGCTCACGCCTGTAATCCCAGCACTTTGGGGTGAGGAGATGGAGACCATCCTGGCTAAGGAGGTCAGGAGATGGAGACCATCCTGGCTAACACGGTGAAACCCCGTCTCTACGAAACATACAAAGAAAATTAGCTGGGCGTGGTGGTGGGTACCTGTAGTCCCAGCTACTCAAGAGGCTGAGGCAGGAGAATGGCATGAACCTGGGAGCGGAGGTTGCAGTGAGCCGAGATCGCGCCACTGCACTCCAGCGTGCGGGACAGAGCAAGACTCCGTCTCAAAAAAAAAGAAAAAAAAAAAAAAGAATAGAAATTAGCCAAAGCAAATGAACTTATTTTGAAATATGTATATATATTTCAAATGTAATATATATTATATTATATATGTATATATAAAATAGATTATCTATGTATATATAAAGTATACTTATATATGTATATATAAAACAGAAAAATTAGAGGAAGGCTGTCCAAAAAAGGAAAAGGTACAATAACTTAAAACACAGAATAAAAAAGAAGTAACTATAAAGACTATAAAAAATAAATAAGATGAGTGAAAAGCTAAGTGCTTAGATAAATTTATATGAAAATAGAAATGACAAATTGGTACAAATGTCATAAAATTTTTGAATAGATAATAATTATTAAAATAATGGAAATGGTAATCACAGACCTGACACCCCCCCAAAAAAGAACTAGTCTGGATGGTTTTATAGTTTATCAAACTTCCAATAAACTGTTAATAGTAATAGAAAAAAATAAAGTTGAACACTTATATATAATAGATACATATGGAAACATTTATCTTTAAAAAGACTATATATCAAAAGTCTACTGTAAACATTATACTTAACGAGGAAACCTTAGAAACAGTCTCAATAAGATTAGGATGAAGAAAAGAATACCTACCAGAACCACTACTTCTCAGCAGAGTAAACAGACCCTGGCCACTACTACAAAACTTGAAAGAGGCTTAAGCAGTATAAGGTGTAGAAGAGACAAGATAAAAGTATTGGTATTTGCAGATGAAATAATCATCTATGAAGAAAAATCACTAAAATCTAGCACCTTTGCTAAAGTCATCTTTCTGAAGACTTTATCAAAGGTCCTACATATGGTATCAACCAAGGGTGGAAAAAAGTGTTCCTCCATACCAGTAATAACCAACTAGAAAATACTATATAGGAAATGATTAAACAACAGCCAAAAAGTACATATTATAAAGCGAAAAGATTTATATATTTACTTCAATATTTATGATTTCTGCTCAAAGATGGGCAAAATAAAAAAATAAGAGGCAGATGGCATAATGCAGAAAATATTTCCAATGTCTAAAACCAACAAAAGATTGACATTTAGAACTCACAAAGAACCCATGCAAATAAATATTTAAAAGATAGTCAGTGCTATAGAAAATAGAAAAGAGCATAGGAAGAAATGCCCAAACTCATGAGTAATCACATACATACAAATTAAAAATAAAATCACTTTTATATTCAGCAAAATGAAAAAGAAATACAAAGCTAGAAAACATCAAGTGTTGGCAAGGATGTGAGCTAATGACAACTTATACACATCTGAAGGAAATAGCTACTAGTACAGTAACTTTGGAAAGCATTCTAGAGGTATTTAATGAAAATAAATGTATGTATTTATCCAGATTCTGTATAAATATATCAAAGAACTTCTTACACTGATTTGTAAGGAAACATATACAATGAGTCTATCATGGCCTTGTTTGTAATAGCTGGGTACTGAGTTAAATGTAGCCGTCCAACAACAGGAAAAATAAAGAGTAAAATGGTAATGGTAATGTACACTATTGAATGTCACACAGAGGTCATATGCAACAAACTTGATGTTCAAAAACAATGTGACTAGATCTCAAAAACACAATTCGAGTTTTTTAAAAAGCTAGAAATGGAATAAGAAACTGAAAATGAGTACCCGGGTATTGACCATATTTTACAGGGACAAAAACAACAAAGCAATATTTTGTAAGCATAAACATACATTTAAAGACACATATTAAACATATAGGCTAAGAATGTAAATAGAGAAACAGGAGTGCTGAAAGTTAGGGGAAAATGAAGTAATAAAATAAGGGGATTCCTGCACAGACCAAAGTTGATAATGTACTCTAAACTAAGAAATACAATTAACCATCTGCATCTGGGATTAAAAAGAAAAAGAATGTGTTACTTCCAAACAAGTGGAATAAAAAAGAAAGAAAACTTAATCCAGTAAAAAGCAGGAAAGTAGAGAAAAAGCCCCAGAAGATTGAAATTACAAAACAGTATTAGAAAAATAAATCCAAATTTATCAGTAATCACAATAAGGACAAACAGTTTGTTGTATGTATGTATGTATGTATGTATGTATGTATGTATGTATTTATAGAGAAAGGGTCTTTTTATGTTCCCCAAGCTGGTCTTGACCTCCTGGCCTCAAGCAATACTCAGTCTCCCAAGTTCATTTATGAAAAGACAAAAACATCACATTGGATTAAAAATAATACAGCTAAATGCTTTTTACAAATGACATAACTAAAACTTTAAAACACTGTTTATCAGTTTTCTGCTTACTGTTTTAAAAAACTACTACAAATGTAGCAGCTTAAAACACCACATATGTATTATCTTACAGTTATGTAGGTCAGAAGTCTGACACAAGTCTCACAGGTCTAAAAACAACGTGTCTGCAATACTACATTCCTTTCTGGAGGTTTTAGAAAAGAGTCTCTTTTCTTGCTTTTCCAGCTTCTGGAGAACTCCTTCCTTCATCTTCAAAGCCACGAATGTTGCATCTCTCTATACCTTTCTTTCATATTCACATATCCACCTCACTCTGTCCCTTTCCTCTCTAGCCTCTCTTCCAATCTTAATGACCCTTGGGATTACATTGCACCTAGAAGGACAATTTAGGAAAATCTCCCTATTTTAAGGTCAGTTGATTAGTAACCTTAATTCCATGCACAACCTTAATTCCCTTTGCCATGTAACATAACATTCACAAGGTCCAAGGATTAGGATGGAGATATCTTTGAGGGCTATTATTCTGCCCATCACCCAGTAAAATGAAAGCAAAGACATGGAAAACATACATGTACAATACTAAATATGAATACCAGTTATCAGAATATCAATATCTGAAAACCTGTATGAATATCAGAAAAAAAGTCCTAATGGCAAAAAGCATTATAGGACAATTCTGCAACTGAATGTATCTAATATAACCTCAAAATTTATAAAGCAAACAGCATTTTTTTTTTGAGATGCTGTCTTGCTCTGTTGCCCAGGCTGGAGTGCAGTGGGGCCATCTTGGCTCACTGCAACCTCCGCCTCCCAGGTTCAAGGGATTCTCCTGCCTCAGCCTCCTGAGTAGCTGGGATTACAGGTGCTCGCCACCACACCTGGCTAATTTTTGCATTTTTAGTAGAGATGGGGTTTTGCCATGTCAGTCAGGCTGGTCTCGAACTCCTGACCACAGGTGATCCATCCATCTCAGCCTCCCAAAGTGCTGGGATTATAAGTGTTAAGCCACTGCGCCTGGCAAACAGATTTAAAATAAAAATTGGTGAGTCCATAATCATATGTGGGGTTTTAAACATACCTGTTCCTGTATTTGATAGATGAACCAAATAGAAAATAGCTAGGAAATCCAAATTTGGATTTGAAGAATTCAAGGAATGGGCTTGATCTAAAAGATACATATAGGGAGAGAACCCTATGCTCTATAGCTTAAATATCCCCATTATTTTAAAATACACATAAAATTTTTAAATAAGATGACAACATATTAGATCATAAAACAAATCTAACAGACACCAATAATTTATATTATAAGAACAACATCTTTTTTTCTTTCTTTCTTTTTTTTTTTTTTTGAGACAAAGTCTCACTCTGTCGCCCAGGCTGGAGTTCAGTGGCGCGATCTTAGCTCACTGCAACCTCCACTTCCTGGGTTCAAGCGATTCTCCTGCCTCAGCCTCTCGAGTAGCTGGGATTACAGGCATGAGCCAGGACACCCGGCTATTTTTAGTAGAGACAGGGTTTCACCATGTTGGCCAGGCTGGTCTCGAACTCCTGACCTCAAGTAATCCGCCTGCCTCGGCCTTCCAAAGTGTCGGGATTACAGATGTGAGCCATCACACCCGGCAAAGGTAACATCTTTTGACCTCAATTTAATTAAATTAGAAATCAATAATTAAAAATCATAAACCCCCCATGTAAGGTTTTAAAGCTTAAACTTGAAGAAAATAGTTTATAATGAAAATCTGAAAATATTTCCTGAGTGATAATGAAAATGCTACATACCAAAACTTGGAAGATGCAACTAAAGTGCTACTTAGAAATACGTACTGTTAAATGCTTATATTATAAAGGAATCTTTATATAAGTAATCATGGCTGAAGCAGGGCTTATGCCTGTAATTCCAACACTTTGGGAGGCTGAGGAGGGCAGATGGCTTGAGCCCAGGAGTTCGAGACTAGCCTGAACAACATGGCAGATCTCTGGCTCTACAAAAGGTATGAAAATTATCCAGGCATGGTGGTGCATGTCTATAGTACCAGCTATTCTGGAGGCTAAGGTGGGAGGATGGAGTGAGTCCAGGAGGTTAAGGCTGCAGCAAGTTGTGATCATGCCATTGCACTCCAGACTAGGTGACAGAGGAAGACCCTGTCTCAAAAAAAAAAAAAAGATAATTATCTGATTGAGAAAAGAAAAAAAGGCATAAGTAAATAATATTTGGCACAGACAAAACTAAAGATATAGCAGAGATTGGGCTGGGCACAGTGGCTCATGCCTTTAATCCCAGCACTTTGGGAGGCTGAGGCGGGCAGATCATGAGGTCAGGAGTTCGAGACCAGCCTGGCCAACATGGTGAAACTCCATCTCTACTAAAAGTACAAAAATTAGCTGAGCATGGTGGTGCGCGCCTATAATCCCAGCTACTCAGGAGGCTGAGGCAGGAAAATCACTTGAAACCAGAAGGCAGAGGTTGTAGTGAGCTGAGATGGCGCCATTGCACTCCAGCCTGGTTAACAAGAGTGAAACTCTGTCTCTCAAAAAAAAAAAAAAAAGATATAGCAGAGATTAACAATTCAAAAGAAAAACCTATGAACAACTCTATGAGAATGAATATCCTGGAAAAACTGGTTGAAGAAAAATAGTAAAATTGAATAGACTTAATCCAATTAAAATAATTGAATCAGTAGTTAAGTATGTACCACACACATTTCCAGGGAGGAGAGTGGGCTCAAAAGGTTTCTGTCTTTTTTTTTTTTTTTTAAAGACAGAGTCTCACTCTCGTCCAGGCTGGAGGCAGTGGTGCCATCTCGGCTCACTGCAACCTCTGCCTCCTGGGTTCAAACAATTCTCCTGCCTCAGCCTCCTGAGTAGCTGGGATTACAGGCACATGCCACCAGGCCTGGCCAATTTTTTTTGTATTTTTAGTAGAGACAGGGTTTCACCATGTGGGCCAGGCTGGTCTTGAACTCAAGTGATCCACCTGCCTCAGCCTCCCAAAGTGCTGGGATTACAGGCATGAACCACCATTCCCAGCCTCAAAAGATTTCTCCAGCAAGGTGTGGTAGCTCACCCTGTAATCCCAGCACTTTGGAAGGCCAAGGTGGGAGGATTGTTTGAGGTTAGGAGTTCAAGACTTGCCTGGGCTGCACAGTCAGACTCCCTATCTCTACAAAAAAAAATTTTTTTTTATTAGCCAGGTATGGTGGTACACACCTGTAGTCCTAGCTGTCCAACATGGTGAAACCCCATCTCTACTAAAAATACAAAAATTAGCCAGGTATGAAGGTGTGCACCTGTAATCCCAGCTACTCAGGAGGCTGAGGCACAAGAATCACTTGAACCCGGGAGGTGGAGGTTGCAGTGAGCCGAGATCACACCACTGCACTCCAGCCTGGGCAACAGAGCCAGACCCCGTCTCAAAAATAAAAATAAAAATAATAAAAATAAAAGTTGTATCATTTATAATAGTATTCAAAATACAAAGGATCCTGGGAATAACACTAGTAAAAGATGTGTGGCCTCCAAAAATAAAAATGTAAAACGTTATTTAAAAATTGTATCATTTATAATAGTATTCAAAATATGAAGGATCCTGGGAATAATACTAGTAAAAGATGTGTGTGGCTTCCAAAAATAAAAATGTAAAACTTTTTAAAGAAAATTTAAAATTCTTGAATAAGTTGAGACATATAAGACATGTAAGGATTAAAGACTTTATATCAATTCTCCCTGAATTTATCTATAGATTCTGTGCTGTCACAATCAAATCCCAACAGGTATTTTTGTTGTTGGTGGTGGTCACATGTTGCCATGTTCAACAAGACTAAATTACACTAAATACTTGGAACTGCAAAGGACCAATAGCCAAGGCACCCTTGAATACGAAGAACAAAGTGAGAGGACTTGCCATTCCAAATATAAAAGTTTATTTAAATAAAGCTGCAGTAATTAATACAGTGTGGTACTGGTGGAGGAATAGAAAAATGAACTAATTTAGAGCCCCTAAAATAAACTAACATACATATGGACAGAGAGCACAGCTATGGGGAAAAGGCAGCATTCCCTTAAATGGGTGCTGGGACAATTAAGTATCCATATAAAAAATAAAATTTGGGTCCCTAATTCATACCATACAAAAGAATCAATTTTAGGCTATTTAGAAATCTGAAAGTGGGAAACAAAATGCAAACACTTAGAAGATAATATTGGACATCTATTCATGACTTTGGGGAAGAATGTTTTAAACAGGACACAAAAGCACAAATCAAGGAAAAGACTGATAAATTTCACTACCTTAAAAGTAAAAACTAGTCATCACAGAACACCATAAAAAGAGTGAAAAGAAAAGCCTCAGTTTGGAAAATGATATTTGTACCATGTATAAACCACAAAGTTCTAGTATTCAAAGCCTATAAATGGTATCTACAAATCAATAATAAAAAGGCACACAACCTAATAAAAAGCGTCAAAAGTCTTAAAGAGGAAATCCAAGTGGTGTGGTTGATAAACATATGAAAGTTCTCAAATTCTTTAGTAACAGGAAAATGCATATTTTAACCAACATGAACTACACACCCGGATTGGCAACTATTAAAAGAACAAGGGTTACAGAGCACATGAAACAAAAGCAGCTCTCATGCACTGCTAGTGTAAGTGTAAACTGGCTGAAAACAAAAATAAAAACACAGGAACACAGTCTGGCTTCATCTCATCAAGAAGAAGAAATGCAGATATAATACTGTAATTAAACTTCTAGACGGAGCACCTCTGAAACTGAGTAGATGTCAACAAGATGAAATATATAAGGATATCTGAGCCAGGTGCAGGGGCTCACGCCTATAAACACTGTGGGAGGACAAGGCAGGAGGATCGCTTGAGGCCAGGAGTTCAAAACCAGCCTGGGCAATATAGGAAGACCCTGTCAGAAAGAAAAGAAAGGGAGGGAGGGAGGGAAGAAAGGAAGGAAGGAAGGAAGGGGAAAAAGAGGGAGAAAGAAAGAGAGAAAAAAGAAAGAGAGAAAAGAAAAAGAAAAGGAAGAAAAACGAGAGGAGAAGAAAAGGAAAAGAAAGGAAGGAAAGAAGGGAGGGAGGGAGGGAGGGAAGGAGGGAGGGAAAATCCAGGCATAGCAGTGCATGCCTGTAGTCCTAGCTACTTAGGAGTCTGAGTTAGGAGGATTGCTTGAGCCCAAGAGGTCCAGGCTGCAATGAGCTATGATTGCATTGATGCACTCCAGCCTGGGCAAGAGTGAGACCCGGTCTCAATATATATATATATATAAAACCTCTTTGTAAAGGGGGAAATAATATATTTTCAGGAGCCTTGAATACATCAACGTTTTATTTTCTAAAAGACCTGGAACAAGTAAAGCAGGCATTAAAATTTCATAAAGCTGAACAGTGGTTAGGCTAGTCATTGTTGTATTATTTTCTCTATGTATTTTATGTTTTTTTAAAAAACTCTACCAACACATAATCAGTTTTACGGACATTTTCTTGACTTGACTGAAATAAGGTTTTTTGACATTGCCTACAGGTTTCCCAACAGCCAGATTTCTTAGTCAAAATGCTTGCCTGTTAAAAAAAAAATAGTACTTTAAAATAAAACAAATGTAAGTTGGAAACTTTTAAATTGAATAGGTGATTTATGCATAGAACCTTTTATATATGGCCAACAAAGGTACCATTGTAGGAACTATGGCTTTCTGCGTTAATGTGAATTGATCATAGAATGAATCACTCCTCACTCAATTTTAATTAAATCAAAAATTACATAAAAAATGCAAAGTTTTAAAATCCACCTTATAAGCAAAATAATTTAATTTTAAAACTATAATAAACCCTAGAACTCATCTATACTATATTGGATCTAAGGAACCTTTTCAGGTATTCACTGAGAATTCCTCTCCAGGGTTAAATAAATGTACTGATGTCACCTATTAACCTCAAACTGAAATTATACTGATTGATCTGAATTTAACTGCATCTCTTTGAACACACTGATCATGAGTTATTAGGGAATTCATCCATTTGCTAAATCTTATCATTTCAATTTAAAGTGCACACTAAGTGAACTTGCTCACATTTCACTAATTTCAATGAACTCTCTGAGATTACTGGACAGGAGAAAGAAGAAATCCTATCAAAGGCTAATTCGTTCCTTAAATTTCACACACAGGTCTTATGAAATAATTGTATATTTTCTTCCAAAGGCCCACATAGAAAAACATACATAAATCCAGCAGTCTATCAATAAATCCACTGAATTCACTGTAAACTACATAAACACATTGACATCTGTTAAGTTGCCAAATGCAATTTACAACATTTAAAAGTCACCCAGGATCTCAGTTTTAAGAATTAAATATTACTTGTAAAACACGCCATAGTGTTAATGTGTAGGATTCACTGATCTATATGTAAATGCAATATGCTTTCAGTACAAAATTTTGTGTGAATTTGATCCTAATTGCCAGAGATTTGATTGATCTAATTATATATAAATTTGAAAGGAATTTGAAAATTTAGTCTTGAAAATAAAATCCACAAATATACATTGCCACCTCCAGTCACTAAATACATGAGGAACCATAAAGGAACTTCTAATTTCCCTCTAAAATTAACTTTCCCTGAACTTGCTATTTATATAAACAAATAGAAAAATAAAATTTAATACAAATAGAGAAAAAATGTCTTGCAAAACATCCAAATTTGAACTCAGTGAAGTACTAGGACTTCAGTGACATTTGGTTGAAGCCTTTGCACTACCAGTGAACCCCGTAAAAACACATTTTCTCTAGTGCGTATACAAATTGGAGTTTCCCTTCTTCCTGACATTTCAGTTAACACTGCACTTCTTTGACCTCAAAATAGTTTCAGAGTGAAATATCCCTTGGCCTTAGGAGAATATGAGAAAAGCCTGTTCCTAAACATTAAACTTAATTAGAATTCATTGCTCCCTTAGTAAATAAGCAGACTTCTTTTTTAATCAAATGAGCTCTCAGAGAACTCAATATAAAACCTCTTGACATATTAGTCAATTGGACTTTCATTGACCTCTCAACATTTCTAAATTGGGCTTCCATTCACCCCCCTTTTTTTCCTAGAAAAATCATAAAAAATACCACTATTGTGAATTTCAAGACGGTAGTTTTACAAACATAAGAAAGCCTCATAATACTTTAAGGCCAATGGGGTGGCTCACCCTGTAATCCCAGCAGTTTGGGAGGCCTAGGTGGGTGGATCCCTTGAGAACAGGAGTTGGGGAACAGAGCGAGACCATGTCTCAAATTAATAAAAAAAATTTTTTGGAACAACTAAGCGGTAATAGAAAACCCCAGAATACTCAAAAGGCACACAGTCACAAATCTGTTTAATTAGATTATGCTTCATAAGCCCTGCAAAATCTTAAAAACCTCTATTTTGCCTCCAAATAAAACCTTTATTCATCTCACATAACAAGATATGAAGGAAAAAATTCAACTGATCTTCAATTGAATATTTGTCAATCTTAAATTGTGACTGACAAGGTGGCTTGAATTTTTTCTCTATATATTTGCATATTCAGTATGTGTGGCTTTATACAAGGGAAAACAGCAATACAATTTGAATAAGTAATGGAATAAAGGAACAGAAGAAGAAATTATACTGAACAGAATGTCAACATGCTTAATTAAAAGTGCTGTTTTTGTCCAAATATACCTGGATTCTCTTCCATGAATTTACATTTAAGTAATCAATACACACCAAGTATTATGCTAGTATCTGGAGAACCTGAAACGTATTTTACTTGACCAAATCTGAACCCTGATTATGTTTAATTAGGAGAGAGAAGTGGCACTGTCAGACAATACCTCATGTTAAAAAAAAATCAGCTCTAGAAAAAAGATGATTCTGAATTTACTTTAAGTAGGTATTTATTTTTAAATTGCTATTTCAATTTCTTGCTTTGGATGTCTTTTTAATATGGTCCTTTACATAATCTACCTAGTGAATTGAACCTATTCAGAAATATTTAATCTGCTTTTATCTTCAGTGTTAATAATTCTTACTCTACTATACTATTCTGCACTTCGTATTCACTAAATAAACTTGAATTAACTCCCACTTGTGTTGATTTATACAGTTCAATTGTAGCTATTTGTACTTGCTTCTTTATGGAAGACCATCTATATAAACAAATATATACACACAAATACTTCTGTAAATAAAACCCACCCTACTCCCTAAAATACCTTCTGATTGTGATATTATAGTGTATAGTTTAGGGGAAAATTATCTTCTTTTTATCTTAATAATCCAGTTTCCCTTTGTACATGGTTACATTCACTGGTGAGTTGCCAACTGAGCACTTCTTGTGTACTCAGTCACCTGACCTTACTCTATGCTGAAAATGGAGGGCCGGGCGCGGTGGCTCACGCCTGTAATCCCAGCACTTTGGGAGGCCGAGGCGGGTGGATCACGAGGTCAGGAGATCGAGACCATCCTGGCTAACAAGGTGAAACCCCGTCTCTACTAAAAATACAAAAAATTAGCCGGGCGCGGTGGCAGGCGCCTGTAGTCCCAGCTACTCGGGAGGCTGAGGCAGGAGAATGGCGTGAACCCGGGAAGCGGAGCTTGCAGTGAGCCGAGATTGCGCCACTGCAGTCCGCAGTCCGGCCTGGGCGACAGAGCGAGACTCCGTCTCAAAAAAAAAAAAAAAAAAAAAAAAAAAAAAGAAAATGGAGAAAGAATCAATGCAAAGTAGAAAACTGGGAGAAGCAGAGAGAATCCAAAAGAGAATGAAAAGCTGAGGAAAGAGTAGTTTGCTCTACCTACGCAAACTACTTTCCATAATTATTACTCAGAAAAATAATTTTCTGTACCAGCAGTTCAGCAAGTACACCTTCTTGAAAGTTTTCTGTTAAAACTTTCAATTAACCTGAACCAGCCTCAGGATAATTCTTCCTAGACGCTCCAGCCTGTCTGTTCAAACTACCCAGATTTACTCTTACTTTTTTCTCCAACCTGTGCCTATGCAGACAAACGCACCAGTTCTCAACATCTGGTTTTTTACCTTGCTGCTCCATATCACATGAAACACACGTAATACTTCCACTTCAGAAGCCAGAATTAGTATACTTTCAGATGTAACTAGCACAATCAGCCCACGTATAGTTACTAACCTACCCTTGCAAAGTAACCTACAGAAATAAATTAACTGGGTTGTGTAATTTCCTAACTCGTAGTATTTTAATTCCATTCACAAAACTGCCTCAAATTACACTTTATATATGGAAGGAGGACTCCATTCTCAAATGTATGCATTTTAAAACGATCTTTATGCCACTTGAAGTTTAATCCCTATTCATGCCTTTTTTTTTTCTTAACATGATCAAAACGCTGTGATTCCAGCAAGCGAAAGAGCATTCAGATCAGCTGATGAGTGCACTGCAAAACAGTCGCAGCTATCCCATCCCCAGAATGTGCCAGAAATAGTAAAGAAATGTTCCAGCGGGGCGCGGTGCTCATGCCTGTAATCCCAGCACTTTGGGAGGCCGAGGCGGGCGGATCACAAGGTCAAGAGATCCAGATCATTCTGGCCAACATGGTGAAACCCCGTCTCTACTAAAAATACAAAAATTAGCTGGGCGTGGTGGCGCCCGCCTGTAGGTAATCCCAGCTACTCGGGTGACTGAAACAGGAGAATCGCTTGAACCCAGTAGGCGGGGGCTGCAGTGAGCCGAGATCGCGCCGCTGCACTCCAGCCTGGCGACAGAGCGAGACTCCATCTCAAAAAAAAAAGAATAATTAGAAGAAATGTTCCAGCCTAAAGGGGGGAAAAATCCTAATAAAATCTTCACAAATCCCTTTCCCTTCTTTTCATCCTCTTTCAGTTCGACTTTGCTTACACAAGAAACAGCTGCCTCCCCTTGCGGAAGTCGGAAGCCAAGCGCATTTCAAAACAGCTTCTGTGGCCGCAATTTTTCTCAGGCTCTTACAGAATAGATTTCAAAACAGTTTTAATTAATTCAACAAAAAGTTCAGCTAAACTTAGGTATCAATTGGTCGCTCAGTTAGTGCAGTACGCAGAAAGACAAGAAAGTCCGCGGAATCCGCTAAGACCGAGACTACCTGAAGTCGCTGTGGCTAGCACTTCCGGTACCGGCCCTAAAAGCGGTCCTACCAGAAGGAAGAGGAAGTGAGTCCAGTAGACTGCCCAGGATTCCTGGAGTAGCTCCTTATAGAACAGGGTTTCTCTCCTGGATGTATAATTTAGGAGATGGGAATTTTTACAGCCTCCGAAATTACGCGTCGGCTCCAACAGATGTCTAACTGTGCGGACGAGGGTGACAGCCAGTGTTTTTTTGTTTTTTTGTTTGTTTTGTTTTGTTTTTTTTGGGACAGGGTCTCGCTCTGTCTCCCAGGCTGGAGTGCAGTGGTGCGATCTCGGCTCCCTGCAGCCTCCGCCTCTTGGGTTCAAACGGTTCTCCAGCCTCAACCTCCCGAGTAGCTGGGATTAAAGGCGCCCGCCACCACGGCCCGGCTAATTTTTGTATTTTTAGTAGAGACGGGGTTTCACCCTATTGGTCAGGCTGGTCTCGAACTCCCGACCTCAGGGGATCCACCCGCCTCGGCCTCCCAAAGTGCTGGGATTACAGGCGTGAGCCACCGCGCCCGGCCTCCAGGCTTCTTAACTGCCATTAGTTGCAGCAACTCTGAAATGAGAATGAAAACCTTTATGAATTTAATACATGCTAGCACTGTATTTCTTCCTTTAATTTGAAGGTGACTCAAAAAAGCTCTTTTCCTACTAGCGTGGAAAATTCACATTGCAAGGAGCTACTTCCCTCTTCTGGTCCCAAGTACTATTTCCCCCTTTAGGAAGTTAGGAACAAATTTGGTCCTCACTGAAAATCTGGATGGGGGAATGTATATATTAAGACTTCAGTGTCGGCCGGCAGTGGCTCATGCCTATAATCCCAGCACTTTGGGAGTCGGAGGCGGGTGGAACATGAGGTCAGGAGTTCAAGACCAGCCTGGCCAAGATGGTGAAACCCTGCCTCTACTAAAAATACAAAAATTAGCTGGGCGCGGTGGCAGGTGCCTGTAATCCCAACTACTTGGGAAACTAAGGCAGGAGAATCGCTTGAGCTCGGGGGGCGGAGGTTGCAGTGAGCTGAGATCACGCCACTGCACTCCAGCCTGAGCGGCAAAGTGAGACTCTGTCTCAAAAAAAAAAAAAAAAAAAAAAAAAAAGACTTCAGTGTTTAGAGAAATCCACTATATTGTGCATGCTGTTCTCTCTGCATGAATTGCTGTTTCGCTCCTTCTTTGCCTATCTATCCTTGCCATTTATTCAGGGAAGCCTTTTTTGACTGCTCTGACTGGATAAAAATCTATTATAGGCTTTTATAGGTTCTCAGAGCCACCAGATCACTTATTTGTAGTATGTAGCCAAATTTCAGTCTTTCATCCATTTGTGGGATGATTTGATTAAAGTATTTCTTCCCCATCAGATCATGCTTCCTGAGGGTAGGGATAGTGTTTGGTTTTACTTACAGTTTGTATTCCTCAGAGATGATCTCAGTTTCTTGGAGTAGACCCTCAATACAATTTTGTTAAATAAATGGATGTTAGTAAACACTGATATTTCTACAGGGAGACCAGAGACTATGAGTATAGATTACTGCAAAACCTAAATAGGGTTGAAATTTAAGAGTTTGTAAATAAAAATTCAGAAGTAGGAAAGTGATACTCTTTATCAGATCTCTGTGGACCATATTTCTATAAATAAAATATAGTCTTTTTATCAGTTAATATCTAAGTCTGAGACTGAACTATGGTGATATTTAAATGAAAGAGGAAATAAAAATGAATAAATAAGAGTCCCTGTCATCCAATTACTAAAAGTCTGGTGGGAGGATATTAGTCGGCTTCATTCAACACAACCTGCCTTTCATTCCAAAATTCATATTCCTTGGGAAAAAAAGCAGAGTATTGTTCAGAACATGCTTGTCACATTATACTCCAGTAATCTTTATTATTTTGGGAAGGAAAAAATATGAATGTCACATCAGATTTAGTCACTTAACAAAGGAACCATTATGCTCCATGGAATACCATGCTGTCATGGCGCTTATAGTATCCTGGGAAAGACTATGTATCTAACATATATACATATGTGTGTAGAGATATATACCCTACTAGTGGAGTCAGAGAAGGCCTCATTGAGAGAGCTGGCATTTAAACTAGAATGCAAAGGAAAGCAAGGGCTAACCAACATGGGGATACAGAGAGAACATCACACGAAAAAAAAGGAAGACTAGAAGGAATTTGGAAATCTTGGAGAATAGATAGGTCAGTGTGGCTGGAAGTCACTTATTAAGGAGAGGACTTTTAAAAATGAAGCCAGAAAAGTAGGCAGGGGCTGGGTCATTGCCAGATCTTTTAGTCCATACTGAGGATTTTAAACTTTATTATTGAAGCAATGAAAACTCACTGCAGATATTTCAGCTGCAGAGTGACAGAATTTTACTTTGATTTTTACAAGGTCATTCTGACTGGTCTGTGGAGAACTGGCTGAGTGGGTTTGAAAAAGACAAGAGACATATTTATAAGAGTCCAGTGAGCAAATGAAGATATTCCAGGTAAGGGTGTTGTAAGTGGGTTCAAATAGAAATGGAATAATTTGTCATAATAATTTGAAGAGAAAATACACCAAACTTGATGATGGGTTAGACAGGGTGGTGAAAGAGATGGAGATGTCAAAGATACTTCTGATCACCATCTTCAGAAGCCTAAAGATCTTCCTTTTTAGGCTTTAGAAATTAAATCCTTCATTCTCCCCTCAAAAGTGGCAAAACATATGACATTCATTATGATAGTACAGTATGGAAGGTGCATCCTGAATCTTGAAAGAATCTACCATATATGGGATCCTTAAGAAACTTAGGTCATAGCAGTTCTTTGAGAAACATCCCATTGTCAACTGTGGAAAAGTAAAAAAGTTTTGAGACTCGCTAGCGTACTCACAACATGAATATGACATTCAAGATAGACTTCTTAGTTTAAAAGAATTAGATAGATTCATGGCAGGGCTACCAAACCATGTAGAATGGAGACCAGTATGAAAAAAAAATATTTTAGGCCATGTGCAGTTGTTCATGCCTGTAATCCCAGCACTTTGGGAGGCTGAGGCAGGAGGATCACGTGAGGTCAGGAGTCCGAGACCAGCCTGGCCAACATGGTGAAACCCTGTCTCTACTAAAAATACAAAAATTAGCCTGGTGTGATGGCAGACACCTGTAATCCCAGCTACTTGGGAGGCTGAGACACAAGAATCGCTTGAACCTGGGAGATGGAGGTTGCAGTGAGCCGAGATTGTGCCACTGCACTTGAGCCTGGGCAATAGAGTGAGACCCTGTCTCAAAAAAAAAAAAGAAAAATATATATTTTAATATGTCTCTCTACATCTTTGATCTCATTGTCTCTTAAGAATTTATTGCCCATTTCACAGATGAAGAAATTGAGTCTTGTAGAAATTGGGTATTGTATTAGTATAAAGAACACATTATACATTTTATAAATGAAGAATCGTAATAAGGTCAGGGAGGTTAAAGGGTCTTCCCACTATGGCACACTTAGTATGTAGCAATTGCTATATTAAAATTCCATGAAACAGAAGATAGAACAAGAAAAGAAAGTGTATAGGGGAAACAAAATTAAGAAGCCTTAATATATAAAGGATAAATAAGGAGTCCCCAAAGGGATTGAAAAGGAATGGGTAGAGAGAAAAAATTTCAAAAGAGGGTGCTGTCACAGGAGTCAGAAGAGAGTGTTTCAAGAAGGAGGGAATAGTGGACTATGTTTAATGTTACTGAAAGTTCAAATGAGAAGAGAATGAAAGTATCTACTGAATTTGGCATTATGGAAGTGAATTAATGAACACTTTTAGTGTCGAATTGTAAAAGTTTAAGGAGAGACTGAGGAATTGAGGAAGTATTGTCAGTACGTGTATAAAATCTTTTCAAGAAGCTTGAATATTTAAGAAATTAATAGAAATGAGATGGTAGCTGAAAAGAAGTGTGGGATCCTGGTAAGTTTGTTTTTGTTTCGTTTTGTTTTGTTTTTTTGAGACAGTCTCACTCTGTTGCCCAGGCTGGAGTGCAGTGGCATGGTCTCAGCTAACTGCAACCTCTGCCTCCTGGGTTCAAGCAATTCTCATGCCTCAGCCTTCCGAGTAGCCGGGATTACAGGCGCGCCACCACGCCCAGCTGATTTTTTGTATTTTTAGTAGAGACAGGGTTTCACCTTGTTGCCCAGGCAAGTTTTGAACTCTTGAGCTCAGGCAGTTCGCCCACCTAAGCCTCCCAAAGTGCTAGGATTATAGGTGTGAGCCACTGTGCCCAGCTTCTGGCAAGATTTTTGAGGTGGATGATAAGATCAAATAATTCATTGAAAAGAGAGAGTTTGAATATGCAGGAATGAAAATAATTCATATTCAACAAGGGTGAAACTGTGAGTGAAATTCTCATAACTTATGCTATGCTTAAAGGTTCTAGATTTTTGCATAAATAAGAATGTGCTGCATGTTCCATTGAGGTAAGGGAGAAGGATAATAGAGTGCAGTGTAGGAGTCATTTAGACTTATATTTGTTTGTAGGAGTAAACCAGACAATGTAGAGAAGTTCTTGCTTTCATAGTATTACACTAATAATAGTAAACATTTATGAAGTACCATGATGTTCCATGCTCTGAGCTGAGCATTTCATAAGCGCTGTTTCTTTTTCTTTTCTTTTCTTTTCTTTTTTCTTTCTTTCTTTCTTTCTTTTTTTTTTTTTTTTTTTGCGATGGAATCTCGCTCTGCCACCAGCCTGGAGTGCAGCGGCTTGATCTCAGCTCCCTGCAATCTCGGCCTCCTGGGTATAAGTGATTCCCCCCTGCCTCAGCCTCCTGAGTAGCTGGGACTACAGGTGCGCACCACCACACCTGGCTAATTTTTTGTATTTTAGTAGAGACAGGGTTTCACCATGTTGGCCAGGACGGTCTGAATCTCCTGATCTCATGATCCGCTCACCTCACCCTCCCAAAGTGCTGGGATTACAGGTGTGAGCCACCGCGCCTGGCCTGCACTGTTTCATTTGATTGTCACAACTTCATGAAGGAGATAACACTATTATATCCATAATTTTTTTCAGATGAGAAAGCAGAAGTTTGGAGAGATTAAATACTTTTCCTAATTTAATGTATGTGAAGAAGCAGAGCCAGGACTTGAATATGACTCTTAACATCATAAAGTCTTTTTTTTTTTTTTTTTTTTTGTGACAGTCTTGCTCTGTTCCCCAGGCTGAAGTGCAGTGGTGCGATCTCAGCTCACCGAAGCCTTCTGCCTTCTGGGTTCCAGCGATTCTCCTGCCTCAGCCTCCTGGGTAGCTGGGATTACAGGCGCATGCCACCACACCTTGCTAATTTTTGTATTTTTAGTAGAGACGGGGTTTCACCACGTTGGCCAGGCTGGTCTCAAACTCCTGATCTCAGGTGATCCGCCCACCTTGGCCTCCCAACGTGCTGGGATTACAGGCGTGAGACACCGTGCCCAGCCAACATCATAAAGTCTTAATCACCACTTTAAATATTTCCTTAAGATATTGTTAACTCAAGCTGCAGGATTTTCCTTTAAACTGGAGATGTGAGCCAAGTTCAAAGAGAAAAAAGAGGCCTATCCCTATCCTTTTTTTTTTTTTGAGACAGAATCTTGCTGTGTTGGCCAGGCTGGAGTGTAGTGGCATGATCTCGGCTCACTGCAACCTCCATCTCCTGGGTTCAAGCAGTTCTCCTTCCTCAGCCTCCCAAGTAGCTGGGACTACAAGCATGAGCCACCATATGCAGCTGTTTTGTATTTTTAGTAGAGACGGGGTTTCACCATGTGGGCCAGGCTGGTTTCGAACTCCTGACCTCAAGTGATCTGTCCGCCTTGGCCTCCCAAAGTGCTGGGATTACAGGCGTGAGCCACCACGCCCGGCCCTATCCCTAGTCTTTTAGTTGTCATCCCTTGACACTTCATACAGGGCTCTGTGATGTTGACTGACTGAAAGACTGCAACCCCGCTATGGGCCACGATGTTCATTCACATCATTCGAGAAAAATCTTATTTCCTGCAAAATCAGAAATACTTCATCTGCAGTAGAAAATCATTTCAATGGGTTTGTGTTTAAGTTGGTACCATAAAATTAAACTTAGCTTAAACCTCACCTCCTCTGAGACTCTTCCTGATACCTCACTTCTGTTCTTAAATATCCCTTTTTAGTACCTGATAGTGCCTATGCAAATCACCGAGTCACCTTTTTAATATTCTAACCTCCTGCGGTGTAGGCACCAGACTTTACTCAACTTTATATCCCCAATGTCTTTTACAGTGCTTGAATATAATCTGTGTGTAAAAAATACCTGCGAAGAATTAATCAGTTCAATGAATTTATGGCCAAATGACTGGCTTGATTGAAATGAAAGAAATCCAATTCGGTTCCTCTCAAAGGAAATCTCACAGCTGATATTATGATAATAAACAACCATTGTTTTTGTTCACATTAAGTAAACTAAATATTGGAGAAGTAATTAAAACTCAAGAGGTGAGAATTCCGCCCCTAGATGTGAATATGAACAGATTTTGACAGTTTCCGCAGGAAAGCGCTGTACAGCCCAGGTTTTCAGTTCGGACGCCTGGTGGCACTACAGGCTAAAAAGTAGGAGGAGGAGGAGCCCTGCATTTGCCTGCAGACTCCATCTTAGAAAAGACAAAATCTGAAAGGTGCTGGGAACAGATACGAGTTGGAAAACGTCCGCAGCGAGCTCAGATTTTAGAGCTTTCTTCAAACGAATGGGGACTACACAAATGTTTGGAAGTCTTACAGGATTTCCGAAGACTTCATTTACTAAAGGCAATGCACTCAGAGGATATACAGGAAATTGTGCGAGAAAAAAATCTGGCAGAAAACGCAGGTGGTGGGTTTTCATTTTCTTCCCGGGTGTAGCGCAGGCGGCCCAGGAAAAGGAAAACTGCTTTTTTATGGTCAGGGTTTCTGGAGATTGGCGCTGGCGGCGGAAAGGGGAGCGGCGGGAGGACAGACTGGAGCAGGATAGTTTCCAAAGAGACCAAATAATATTTCAGATCGACCCACAGAAGAGTCCTTGCTCTCAAGTAGAAAATCGGACCTATAGGAGCCCTGCATTTCCAAGAATTACCTGTATTTAAAAAAAAAAAAAATTTGTCTTTTGAGAAAAATCTGTGTCTGAGGTGTAACCGTTTCCTCCTTTGAAAAATTCTTCTGAATGTTCCAGAATGTGCACCAGGAACATGTATGAGGTTTGGGTAAATTTTCCATCATTGGAAACTACACACTCATTTTCAATTTCCATGTTCACAATAATGTGCTGTGCAATATTGGGGTAAGTAATTTGTCCATACGCGTGAAAAAAATCGCTGGATGAACCACAGCCCAAGGTAAGTTTAACTCTCCCAGAGAAGAATGGTAGATATCTGAGACCTCCTAAGTCCAAGTCATGACAATCAATGACAATCTTTGAGATGCAGGTCTCACAGCAACCGGCTGAAGATTTAGTCTGAGTAAATAATTATGAATCGGCTCTCAGAATTCTCCAGGCTCACTGAATTCTGCAACCTCTGGAGAGCATTTTAAATGCTAGCAGAACATTTTAAATACCACTGATACCCCATGCATCATAAGCATCCACTGCAAGAGAATTACCAGGAAATTTCAGTGCCACGTGGCAAATACTCAGGCAATTACAAGCAGAAATAGTTTCAGAAATTGTTTCTTCATGTGAAGGACGGTGGAAGACCATGCCATTGGATGACAATCACATAGAATTGGTCATGTTGACACTTATCTGCCTCATCCTGGAGCACTTCTGGGAAGACTTCATCTGTTTAAGAACCATAATCTCAGCACCCTGAGATAAAACAACAACAACAACAAAAACAAAACAAAACAAGAAAAAGCTTTGATCCTTCCTACCAGAGTTTTCTTTTCATTGGATATTTAAAATATTCCATAATCTGACAACCTAATAATGCAAACCAGAAAAGAGAGCTACACGCAACATCACTGTATTTCCAATGAAATTAGGTTCCAGGAAGCTCAAAACAAGACAGTAGGTAGAGACAGCTATCATCCTTGGCGTTCTTCCTTTTGGATTCTGGATAAAAGGTAGAGGAATAACAGCACCGTTCTGAATGTTTTGGTTATTTTATGGCTCTAATTTCCATCGTGTTTTTTTTCTGAAGCATAGCTAATTGTTCATTAACAGTTAACAGATATTGATGGCTTAGCTATTTTTATCTTTTTATCTATTTCACAAAGGTCTATTTAGAATCTAGTAGTGTATTTCCTCTTTATTGTTAAGCACAGAAAAGGAACGCATTTTTTTCTGCTCATGCCTAGTTTCCTTTGATCTTTCTCAAAGGTAAATTACCCCTAAAACTTTGAGTAGACTGTCCTAGCAGATATTCTGAAGCTTGACAAGGAAATTCATCCCACTTCAATCCATAAAATGATAGTCTTCGTAACTTCTCAAAGAAGGTCAAGCTATTTATTTTAAAGTCATCTTTTGCTTTTCTTGATATTTCGTAAATGATGGCTGACAAGTTGTGATAGTCTACTTTTCAGCAGGACTGGTCTCCATTTACTTAGTTTAAGTAACTATTTACTTGATTACTATTATTAATATATGGTTTTAACTTTTTATTTGAAATAGTCATTTGATGATTTTGGTGATATTGATGACCACGAAATCAAATGGAGATATACAACTACAAGAAAAAAAACTGTAGAAATAAATGTCTTTTTCGTTATTTAAGACGTAAATCAACTGAGTTGCTGTGTAGCTTATTTATGTCAATGTTAAATTTGTGTTTGTTAATTTTTACTGTTTCCTTATTAAACATCAAAAATGATTAATTCTTTGGCAATTAATATCATAGCATATCCAGTACATTAAATGTCATGTAAAACAGACCGACAAAACAATCTTATCTTTTTTTTCTTTATGTCAGTGTTTAATACTCTCCTGTATGGCTTAGGAAAATTAAAGAAGATACAACAGAATATGCCTCAAATAAGACCTATTTGTTGATATTTAATATATTTATGATAGTTGCTGATAAAATGAAAACAGACATTATTCAATACACTGGATAATAATTACATAAATACAAAGTGTTTGGTGTTTTCATTTGCCTTTCTCAAATACTTTTTTTCTTTCTAGAGAGTTTAATGCACTGACGGGGGGTGGGGGGCGGTCCTATAATGGCACTGCAGGCTCAAATGGTGGTTAAAGCAGATTGCAAATACAGTGCTGTATGTTTCATATTATATTACCCTGTCTGTGAAAGTTGTATTGGATGTCTAAGATTCTGGTGGCATAAGTAATAGAAACATTAGGGTGATCAGAGTTTGTGTAGGACCATATTTGCTGGAAGGTGTTAGAAGAAGGAATAATGTAATACTTAAAGCCCAGTCTAAAACAAAGTGTGATTCTGTTTTACTAAGCATGTACCATTCAGGATACTGAACTGCAGAATTCTGTTCCAGAGGTGCTGGAGAGTGGTTCCTTCATTGCTAATTTTGCAGAGATTTTGGGCCTTAGGATGGGGAACTTGAGAGGTATGGGGAGCGAGAGGGTAATTCATGTTTCTATAGATTTAAAAAACTGCATTTTCAAATCAAAAGACTCAGGAGTGGGTACTAAATAGAAATTGGATCCATCTGTGAGTCTCAAAGCACCTTGGAAAAATGTAACTCATTTGAGTTACTCATTTGCCTTGAGAAAGGTAACTTGGAAAAATGAGTTACATTTTTACAAGGTGCCTTGGACTCACAGATATAGCCATTCACTAGTGTGTATTACTGGATCTAGGAATGCTGCAAAAAATCAAGGAGAGCATCTTGTAGAGACCATATAGATGGCAGAACATGTAGACAGAGCAGTATTCATAAGTATATTTTGAATCCTAATTCCCATGTCTTCTCTTCTGTTTGCTTAGAGAATGGTGGCAGAAAATATCCTGAATGAGGATGGGCAATTTTCTCAGTGGAAAGAAATGGGTTGAGGTTAATTTAACTATCATGATATTGGATGGTGGGTCCCCACATAGATCCAAATCTGCATTGGTCTTCACCAAAGTTGTGGGTTATCAGTGATTTTACTCAGCTGTAATATATAGTAGTTCAGTACAGTAATCCCAGAAAAAAAGTTTTTCCTCCCTGGCTATCACTTTTCTATCAGGAATTTGGATACAAGGTATAATATAAAACTATCTTTAAGGTTTTACCGGGCTACTGAAGACTTAATGAAAACTTTAATAAAGCATTTACATTGGTATAAAAGTACCAAAAGCAAACCCATCACTCAAACCCGTAAATTCCAAGGCTATACTAATCTACAGTGTGGATTCTGAGATCATCAATAATTAAAGACTCTAGAAAATGTAACTTCTTGCTGTAAAAGACAGTCCACTCCTAATCATCATGTCATCATTTATGAACTAGGTCCCAAGGAGCCATATCTGCTTTAAGACCATATCTGCTGTTTCCTGTGTTTCAGATCCAGATCACAGAAAAAAAAATAGATATTTGGGCTTCATAATACCACCTTCCCTTCACCCTAAAGCCTTCAATAGAGGTAGATTAAAGACAAGTACAATTCTATGATTACTGCCAGAGATCTGGAGTTACTGTAAGCTGAAAGGAAACAATATAACCAGGTCTTCATTTTCACCAAACTGCCTCTGCACTTATCAAGTATGAAAACACAGCCCTAGAGTGTGCATTTTAGCAGCACACTGCCATAAACAGAGACTTAGAAAAACACCCAAGTAACTTATTTGCTTCTGGTTTCCCAGGATGTGCAGTACTCCATGACAGTGGACACAAAGAATCTGTTTGTAAGGCCCATAAGAGTCAAGTTCTGTATGAGAGAAACAGACACTACTACTACCATGAGCTAGCAGCATGGTGTTGGTGTGGTTGGTAATATTTGATGGCAATGGCAATTCTCCTTTGTGTTATATTTAATGCAGAACGGATTATGTGATGTTCAAGGTGGTGGCAGTAGAAGGAGACTAGGTCTGGAAGGTCTTCATGTCCTATCAGTTACTCAAAGACTTGAGTCTCCATCTGTATAGCGTGTTAGCCCAACACTGGGAAGTGTGCACACTAGGTTTGTGAGTGATGGTAATCTAGCCAATCATAGACTTCAGGTTATGGTCAAGGACACTGAGATGCCACCTATGTATTCCAGATTCAGACAACAACTGCTGCTGGTCAGCTGTTTCTTTCAGCTCTACTGGCTACATCTTGACAGACCTCAGGAATATGGGGTCTGTCACTTAGATTCCTCACTTAGCATATACTATGGTTTTAGTATTCCTTTGTTTTCTTGTTGGCCTGCTTCTTTACACAGTAGATGTTCAAATAATTACTGTGATATGAAAATATGTTATAATTTTCAAGTATTTCCTTATATTTCTTTAGCATATCTAAATTGATTATTTATGCTTTGTATTTTGTAGTCAGAGTTTCAGGTTTCTTCCCCTCACCCCGTATTCTTTGCCCTCTCTACACCTTTGGATTTCTTCATTATTTACTAATTTTCGATATTGTATTTAGCCATATTATTTTCTTTTCTTTTTTTTTTTTTTTGAGATGGAGTCTCGCTCTGTTGCCCAGGCTGGAGTGCAGTGGCGCCATCTCAGCTCACTGCAAGCTCTGCCTCCCGGGTTCACGCCATTCTCCTGCCTCAGCCTCCCGAGTAGCTGGGACTCCAGGCGCCTGCCACCATGCCCAGCTAATTTTTTGTATTTTTAGTAGAGACAGGGTTTCACCGTGTTAGCTAGGATGGTCTCGATCTCCTGACCTCGTGATCCACCTGCCTTGGCCTCCCAAAGTGCTGGGATTACAGGCATAAGCCACAGCACCCAGTCCATATTTTCTTTTAAAGTAAAATTTCAATAGTGATCTTAGTGAAAATTCAATCATCTACCAGATTACCTAAACCTGATTTAAGTTTTAACCTATTTTAATCATAAAAAAAAGTCTGAGATTTTTGGAAGAGGTCATACCTCTGTCTCTCTCATCTCTATTTCCATCTATATCTGTCTATCTAGCTTTATCTGCAGTCCTGGTCAAGATTTTTATTTTCAAGGGGACAGATTGTCCTAATAGACTCTGATGGTTCTCCTTAAACAAAATTGGGCAAGATTCTTGTGCAGGTATCATTTTAAAAACCTTTTCTTGCTTATTTGTACTGTGGGAAGAGAATAAACAACACCATTTCCCCTTTTTGAGTTATATTTATTTCTTGTTTCATTTGCTTGTTTGTTTGTTGTTGTTGTTGTTGTTTGAGACAGGGTGTCGCTCTGTCTCCCAAGCTGGAGTGCAGTGGTGTGATCTCGGCTTACTGCAACCTCTGCCTCCAGGGCACAAGTGACGCTAACACCCCAGCCCCCTATGTAGCTGGGACTATGGGCGTGAGCCACCACACCTGGCTGATTTTTTTTTTTTTTTTTTGGTAGACATGGGGCTTTGCCACATTGCAGGCTGGTCTTCAAAACTCCTGGACTCAAGCAATCCACCCATCTTGGACTCCCAAAGTGCTGGGATTACAGGTGTGAGCCACCACGTGTAGCCGACCTTTATTTTGAAATCTTGTTTGCTTGAGCTTCATGAAATGTATGTCTTGATAGATTATGGGGAAACTTATTTGTATCCTCAATAAGGTAAAAGTAAATTAGTTGAATATGCCCCCAATTTTCACACTAGATTAGGGTAATAAACTATGCCAGAACACTCCCTTCTTGTCCTAGAATATTTCTCTTATATTTTCTGCAGAATCTTAGTGTTAGATCACTGAAAACCCCTCCTTCTTCTGCCATCTTATGGCTGAGTAAGTAAAGCCAGCTTGTGGGCAGAAGGCATTGAAAGGCTGAAGATCCCTCTCTATTGAAAGAGGGATACTAGTGGGGATAATATCTCCATATCATTTGGCATTATCTTTGATAGGAAAATGGTCATGTAAATCCCTTTGACTACCCTTTCTCCTAATTCTTGTAATTTTCATCTCATGGCAGTCAAAAGATCAAATCACCCTTTAGTCCAAAAAAGAGAGAGGCAAGCTTAATTATGACAGATACTCAAACAATGTGTTCTTATTTAGTTTTTGAATGGCTGTACTTTTGTAATAAGACTGTAATGACTTGCTTTCATTTTTGGTATGTTTTTGAAAATATTTTTCTATTCCTGTATATGAAATTATTTGTGTAACATTTTAATATGTTAGATTTTATTAAATGAATCTTCAAAATTATGAAAGTGACTCCTAGGATAATGTCTCTGCTTGTGCAGCATATGAAAAGTAAAGCGAAACCTAAGAAATTAAACCTACTGTAATAACATAATTTTTAAATTATGCAATAGATTCCCCTCATTATAATATAAATAATTACTATATGTAAACATATTTCATTCAGACTTATAAATATGCTATAAATTATAATCTAATATATATGATTCCTTATTAAAGGAGATTAAGAAAATAAGAGCATTTGTAAAGAAGGAAGGTGTATTCTCATCAAGGTTTAAGAAAATAAATGATTTAAAATAGCATAGCGGATATAATGCATTTAAAGCTGGAAACCTATATACGAATATAAAATATTGGTGTTGGTTATATAATCTTTGAAAAAGAGAAACTTACTTCTATTTCTAGGTGTGTTAATAGCATTGAAATGAAAGATGGGTAAAACCTTCTGAATTGTGAGGACACATGACAACATGAGAGGTTTTAAAATTTTTTTCACAATAAAACCTAATGTGTTCTTGGTTATTGTATCCTCTGAAATATCTTAGATATTAAGTTTTCTATTCTCCAGCTTGTGAGAAGAGATTATGTTATTTTCTTCATATTACCTATTTTCCTCTCCTTTATGTTATCCCAAATTAACCATAACTGCTTTAGTTCAGAAAACCTGTCCAAAGGAAATAGCCATATACCTGGTTAAATATAAAATTTCGAGTAACCTACCAGTTATAATTTGCCTGTATGATATAACTGATCTTCACTACATCTATTTCGGACCCTAATCAGGTTTTGCAGATTATATAAAAAGCTGTTTTTAAAGACTTGGACCTTGGGTGTTATTCACCTCAATGAATTTGTTTAATGCTCAATGTCAATGAATTAACATATTTTGAATTATTATAACATCCATATAAAAGTAATAATCATGGAAAGCAAAAAATAATATCAACAGGTAGAGATAGGCATTTGTTTTCTAAATGTTAAGAAAAGGAACCTGTGATTATCCTTTTTTTAGCCAGTTACAAGATGATAAATGAGAGCTTTTTAAAATATTATGCTATTGTTACATTTAATAAATCATCCAGTCCAGTTTTCTGAAAATACAGGGGATAGAAGAACAGGTTAAATGATACCATGAGGAAACAATCAAATTTGGAATGTAGGACATCCTACAAAACAACTAGTCTGGACACTTCAGAAATCTAATGTCATTAAAGATGGGGGAGTATTCTAGAGTAAATAGATCTAATAGCCAAATACAATTATCAAAGTTGGTTGAAAAAGTTTCTAAGACATTCCTTATAACAAATAGTTAAAAAAGTAAGTGCATTTGTCAAAGGAACTTGAGTGAGTGTGAATTCTTATCAAAATTGAGGAAAAGATAATGGAAAGACAGTGAAATTTGATTGGGGCTGGATTTTAGATAACTGTAGAATTTTTTTAAATTTTCTTAGGTATGATAGAACCATTATGATTATATGAGATAATATTATAATTATGTGATACCTGCTGAAATATTTAGAGGTGAAATATGATGTCTGCAAGTTACTTTCATATAAGTCATCAGAAAAGCGGGTGTGTGTACAGAATAAGATAGAACAAATATGGTAAAATATAAACAATTGTTAAGTTTGGATGGAGGTTAGAGTTGTAGTTTATGTATAGTTCTTTTAACTGTTCTATATATTTAATTTTTTTCTTCATCCCCCAATTTTTTAACCCAATGGATCTTTTAGAGACACATCCTAATATTTATTATTATTATTATTATTTTGAGATGGAGTCTCGCTTTGTCACCAGGCTTGGAGTGCAATGGCATGATCTCAGCTCACTGCAATCTCCGCCTCCCGGGTTCAAGTGATTCTCCTGCCTCACCCTCCCAAGTAGCTGGGATTACAGGCACCCATCACCATGCCTGGCTCATTTTTTTTGTATTTTTAGTAGAGATGGGGTTTCACCAGGTTGGCCAGGATGGTCTTGATCTCTTGACCTCGTGATCTGCCTGCCTCGGCCTCCCAAAGTAAAATTATTTTTTAAAGCAGCCTTAGAGTTTACAGAAAATTGAGCAAATAGTACAAACAGTTCCCCTCACATACCGATTTTCTCCCACTCAAAGTTTCCCTGTTATCAAAATCTTGCATTACTGTGGTACATTTGTTACAATTGATGAGCCAATACTGGTAAATTATTAACTAAATTTCATAGTTTAGTGTTCACTCTTTGTGTTGTATAGTTCTGTGGATTTTGACAACGGCATAATGTCATGTATCTACCATTGTAGTATCGTAAAGTACCCCATGTTTAACCTCTTCATCCCCCTCCCTCTTCTTCCTAGCTATCACTTGTCTTTTAAATGTCTCTATAATTTGGCCTTTTTCAGAGTATCATGTAATTTGAATTATACAGTATCATTGCCTTTTCAGACTGGATTCTTTCACTGAGAAATATGCATTTAAGTTTCCTTCATGTCATTCTGTGGCTTGATAACTTCTTTATATTAACATTAAAAAAGAAACAAAAAGACAAAATTAAAAAACCTAACAACAAACAATGACATATATACCCTGTTTGGAAGCAGATTGAAGAAACCATCACTGAAAAGACATTTTTAAAGATAATTGGGGAAACTGGAATATTTACTGGCTATTTAATATTATGAAATTGCTCTTTGCTAGATGTGGTAATTGAATTGAGGTTATGTTGAAAGTTCTCCTAGGCATTAGAAAGGAAAATAATATTGATACATTTACAATAAGGAAATATCTGGCTGCTCTTGGAGAGTTTCATGAGGCTCAGACACATCAAAGTTCAGGAAAATGTGAAGTGGGAGCAGTGCAAAGAAAGAAATATGAGTAAGGAGACTATTTCAGTGCCCATTAAAATACTCTTATTTGGATTCTGTGCTTTTCCTGGGTCTCTGTTTTTCAGCTGGGTTTGAGTGTGATGATGGTAATCTAACCACCACTGAGTTGCACACATGCCCAAACTCTGAATAAAAATAGAACTTTCTTAGTCTAAGCCTTCTTTCCGAAGCATGCTAGGACTGAGATCACTCCCTTCCAGGTTCTGAAATTTATTTTTTCCAGTTTGAAAAAAAAAAAAAGCTTGGATTTGTGAGGGAAGTGAAGATTTATTTATTCTTGCCCTGTCTCTATGGGTGCAATGAAGAGCCTTTCGAAACGCCAATAAGACTTCGGTACACTGAGAGACACTACTTGAAAATACTCAATTTCGATTGCCATCAGCCTGAAAGAAAGCACTGGGATTTTCTTAAAGTTTAGGAGAAAATAAATACTCGGAAGAGACGCGGGGTGGCGCTGCAGCCTTAGAAGTAGCAGAAACAAAGCACCCAGCCGACGCTCCCTTACCCAGATACTCAGCTAAAGAAGCAGCAAGCAGGAAGAGGAGGCTTTCTAAGGCGGTCGCTCCGGGAAATCCGGGCCCTAGGATTGTCCACTCATCCCAGTATCAGCGAGATACGGGGAGATAGAGTTAGCGACAACGTGAGCCAGAGCTGGAGCACGTTTGGTGAGAGACCAGAAAGCAATGGAGGCCGGAGAGGGGAAGGAGCGCGTTCCGAAACAAAGGCAAGTCCTGATATTCTTTGTTTTGCTGGGCATAGCTCAGGCTAGTTGCCAGCCTAGGCACTATTCAGTGGCCGAGGAAACGGAGAGTGGCTCCTTTGTGGCCAATTTGTTAAAAGACCTGGGGCTGGAGATAGGAGAACTTGCTGTGAGGGGGGCCAGGGTCGTTTCCAAAGGAAAAAAAATGCATTTGCAGTTCGATAGGCAGACCGGGGATTTGTTGTTAAATGAGAAATTGGACCGGGAGGAGCTGTGCGGCCCCACAGAGCCCTGTGTCCTACCTTTCCAGGTGTTACTAGAAAATCCCTTGCAGTTTTTTCAGGCGGAGCTACGGATTAGGGACGTAAATGATCATTCCCCAGTTTTCCTAGACAAAGAAATACTTTTGAAAATTCCAGAAAGTATCACTCCTGGAACTACTTTCTTAATAGAACGTGCCCAGGACTTGGATGTAGGAACCAACAGTCTCCAAAATTACACAATCAGTCCCAATTTCCACTTTCATCTTAATTTACAAGACAGTCTCGATGGCATAATATTACCACAGCTGGTGCTGAACAGAGCCCTGGATCGCGAGGAGCAGCCTGAGATCAGGTTAACCCTCACAGCGCTAGATGGCGGGAGTCCACCCAGGTCCGGCACGGCCCTGGTACGGATTGAAGTTGTGGACATCAATGACAACGTCCCAGAGTTTGCAAAGCTGCTCTATGAGGTGCAGATCCCGGAGGACAGCCCCGTTGGATCCCAGGTTGCCATCGTCTCTGCCAGGGATTTAGACATTGGAACTAATGGAGAAATATCTTATGCATTTTCCCAAGCATCTGAAGACATTCGCAAAACGTTTCGATTAAGTGCAAAATCGGGAGAACTGCTTTTAAGACAGAAACTGGATTTCGAATCCATCCAGACATACACAGTAAATATTCAGGCGACAGATGGTGGGGGCCTATCTGGAACTTGTGTGGTATTTGTCCAAGTGATGGATTTGAATGACAATCCTCCGGAACTAACTATGTCGACACTTATCAATCAGATCCCAGAAAACTTGCAGGACACCCTCATTGCTGTATTCAGCGTTTCAGATCCTGACTCCGGAGACAACGGAAGGATGGTGTGCTCCATCCAAGATGATCTTCCTTTTTTCTTGAAACCTTCTGTTGAGAACTTTTACACTCTGGTGATAAGCACGGCCCTGGACCGGGAGACCAGATCCGAATACAACATCACCATCACCGTCACCGACTTCGGGACACCCAGGCTGAAAACCGAGCACAACATAACCGTGCTGGTCTCCGACGTCAATGACAACGCCCCCGCCTTCACCCAAACCTCCTACACCCTGTTCGTCCGCGAGAACAACAGCCCCGCCCTGCACATCGGCAGCGTCAGCGCCACAGACAGAGACTCGGGCACCAACGCCCAGGTCACCTACTCGCTGCTGCCGCCCCAGGACCCGCACCTGCCCCTCGCCTCCCTGGTCTCCATCAACGCGGACAACGGCCACCTGTTCGCTCTCCAGTCGCTGGACTACGAGGCCCTGCAGGCGTTCGAGTTCCGCGTGGGCGCCGCAGACCGCGGCTCCCCGGCGTTGAGCAGCGAGGCGCTGGTGCGCGTGCTGGTGCTGGACGCCAACGACAACTCGCCCTTCGTGCTGTACCCGCTGCAGAACGGCTCCGCGCCCTGCACCGAGCTGGTGCCCCGGGCGGCCGAGCCGGGCTACCTGGTGACCAAGGTGGTGGCGGTGGACGGCGACTCGGGCCAGAACGCCTGGCTGTCGTACCAGCTGCTCAAGGCCACGGAGCCCGGGCTGTTCGGCGTGTGGGCGCACAATGGCGAGGTGCGCACCGCCAGGCTGCTGAGGGAGCGCGACGCTGCCAAGCAGAGGCTGGTGGTGCTGGTCAAGGACAATGGCGAGCCTCCGCGCTCGGCCACCGCCACGCTGCACGTGCTCCTGGTGGACGGCTTCTCCCAGCCCTACCTGCTGCTCCCGGAGGCGGCACCGGCCCAGGCCCAGGCCGACTTGCTCACCGTCTACCTGGTGGTGGCGTTGGCCTCGGTGTCTTCGCTCTTCCTCTTCTCGGTGCTCCTGTTCGTGGCGGTGCGGCTGTGCAGGAGGAGCAGGGCGGCCTCGGTGGGTCGCTGCTCGGTGCCCGAGGGCCCCTTTCCAGGGCAGATGGTGGACGTGAGCGGCACCGGGACCCTGTCCCAGAGCTACCAGTACGAGGTGTGTCTGACTGGAGGCTCCGGGACAAATGAGTTCAAGTTCCTGAAGCCAATTATCCCCAACTTCGTTGCTCAGGGTGCAGAGAGGGTTAGCGAGGCAAATCCCAGTTTCAGGAAGAGCTTTGAATTCACTTAAGTGTTAATAAGGATCTACTGAGGCTAGTCTCGTTTAATTTGTGGAAAGTCCTTTTTTACTGCTTTGCCCATTGGAGGTGTCTCCTTTTATTAGAAAGTAACCATCTTATTCCAATTCTATGCATGTTACTGGTATTTATAAATGTATGAGTTTTTTTGCGGTATAATAAATGTAAATTTTCTTTGTATTCTAATTGTTGGTTAGTTTCATTGCAATTTAATTGCATTTAAAGTGTAAAAGTAAATTTTGTATTTTCAGAAATCTTTAAGTTAGAGCATCTTTTCCAGACCTCACAGTCTATGGTCCTAGATAATTTTGAAGTCCTACATTTGAAAATATTTGTTATCATTACATGAGTTATATTTTCCAGCCCAGAATATTTGTGTTTTTTATATCCTCTTAGGCTAGTGTAAATTCTATCCTGTGAATTCACATTGGCTAACCCTTTAAATAGGTATATTTATGAATAATATAGCAAGCACCGTCCTTACGTTTTTCAATATATGTAATTTTTTTTTTTTTTTGAGATGGAGTTTTGCACTTGTTGCTCAGGCTGTAGTGGAGTGCAATGGCGCAATCTCGGCTCGCCGCAACCTCTGCCTCCCGGGTTCAAGCGATTCTCCTGCCTCAGCCTCCCAAGTAGCTGGGATTACAGGCATGCATCATTATGCCCGGCTAATTTTGTATTTTTAGTAGAGACAGGGTGTCTCCATGTTGGTCAGGTTGGTCTTGAACTCCTGACCTTAGGTGATCTGCCCACCTCAGCCTCCCAAAGTGCTGGGATTACAGGCGTGAGCCACCGCCCCCCAGTCCAATATGTATACTTCTTTCAAGTGTTGACATATGAAAAGTATTAGTCTTTAGAGATTGTAAGAATTTTAACTGTTGGATTCTACAAGGCACTAACATCATAAGTGCTCTAATAAATTTTTGTCAAAAGTCAATCATTAATATTCAAAAATGTAGATAAATAATACATGTCTAGCAATTTTCAAAGGCATGCTAATTCATCATGCTTTCTCTTTCAAATAGTTTTTTTAAGAGCCCTCTGCTTATTCCAGTCCCCCCCTTTAAAATCTTTTAAAATTATTAATAACCTATTAACTTTGAGCACTTCATTAAAATCCAAAAAATTTGAGGGAGTACATGTCTTTGTCCTTTACCTTTAGAACCCTCAAACATAGCTTGGTATTGCTGTTTTTAAAATTTTCTGGAGCATTTAGGATTCACTTAGAAACAAGCCTTTAGGGAGAAAAATTTATCTAGCACCACTCACTCTATTTTTTTGCACTGACTACTTCTATTTTTCCCCCTTTCATTTCCCTAGACTTTTCAATGCTTTTTTATAAAGGTGCTTGAGTTCTGTTTCTCAACAGCTCCCTCATTTATTGAATGATTCACACAGTCACTGGAATATTATAGGCTCTTAATAAAATTTTTGAATGATTGAAAGAGAGAAAAGTATTTTACCTGTGATATATTGATATTTAAATAAACTAGAACACTTAAAGGAAAACATTTTGCTGGAATCAAATACTCTTTGGTGTACAATGAATTATAATTTTGTTATTAATTGAATTGGTTACCATTGTTTGAACATGCAGTTATCATTCTGTTGTCGCTTTCCTTCAACATATTTTTACTTTTTCTCTTAATGCTTAAATTGAGCCTCCTTTCCTGTCCACTGGCTTAAGGAATACAGATGGCTTTTAATTTTATTACTTAAATTTCCTTCCATAGTTCCCTAAATGACTCACCCAACTGTTTTCATTTCTTGCAGTTTACTTTCTGATCCATACATTAAAACAAATCTTAATTCTTAATGTTACTCAGTCTATCTTTATATTTTTATATCATTTTTACATACATTTGAATGAGCTATCCTATTAAAATTTTAATATTAACTTTGAAGGTCTTGTTTTGAGATTAGCAATGGTGTAGAGCGCTGTGTTGGTATCAAAAGTCTCTGATCAACCAACTCATTACCTGTAGGATTTTGGATGAGTCACAAAGTTTCTTTTCTTCTACCCAAATGATAGCAGGTATTTGAATAGCTTGCAGTTATACTCAATATAAAGACATAAAAGTGAAATTGCTGTTATTTTTAGTATCACTAGTATTAAGAGCAAACATTCTTGATAATTGTGTAGAAGTACAAAAGCGGCTACATTGAACACATATTTGCACTGTTTTATTTCTGTACCAACAACCTTGCAATGGCTTCCTTTTGTTCTTAGAATAATAAAATCCAAGCGCCCATTATTTGGCCTTGGTTTACCTTTTCAGCCTTCCTTTCCACTTACTCTTGAGACATTAAGTTTTGTATTCACTGTACTTCATTCATTATCTATTAATAGCTATGCTTTGCTCTCTCAGGGCCTTCACACATTCTACAGTCTTAGCCTGGCACACTTCTCCTATTTCATGTTTCAGATTAAATGGTGCACCTTGGGGGAAACTTTCTTAATCACTCTCCATTAAGTTAGGTCCCCGTATTGCATACTTTCAGTGCACTCAGTACCTTTTCTATGTAGCACTTTTCACACTGTTTAAACATCTGTTTAAAGACTGTACACCCACTAGATGGAAAATTGTTGTAAGATATACAGACATTGTCTTGTTACCACCACTTGCCTAACTTCTACAAACTCAACAATTATCTGTGGAAATAAACTAATACAGATGAAATGAATAATTGTAAATTTGCTCTGAAATAAGAAGAGAAAGCACTTTAAGTGTTCCTTGAGCATGATAATCTGGAAGAAATTAGGTATTTGTAGTCCTCTGGATCCACCTCTGACATGATATATTTTCTTTTTTACCACCTTGCAGGAGGTGTCTTTTCCTTGTGTTTTTCTGGTATATGCAATTCGGGCTCATTTCACAAAGTTTAGGAAAAAAAGAAAAACATAAATAGGATAGTGAAGCATGCTATCATCTAGAGCAAAAATCTTTTGAAGTTTGTGTGTAATTATTACAAAAGGGGAGGGGTAAACTAGTATGTGTACACTTCCGTTAAATCGTGTAAATGAGGACTCTACCAGGAAGAATCGCTGCTCGTAGATAAAAGTGCATTTTATTTCCCTAGATTGCATTTATTTAATTCATATAACATGAGAAACTCCTCCAGTAGCGTCAACTAGGGTTGATAAGAATAATCGATAAAGCAAAATAAAAACACCTTCTCCAAGATTTTGTAACTGCAAGCGAACGCATGGTGGCGCTGTTGACTAAGAAGGCGAATTAAACCACAGGCATTGTGCATGCTCGGTGACGCACGGATCCAGTGTGGTAAACCAGCGGTTGAGAGCCCAGGCAGATTTTTGAGCCAGCAAGTCTGAGCCTCTGGAAAGGCTTATTCACTAGGCCGTCTACAAAGGTTGTGGGGCAAAAGACTGTTTCCCAGCTCTGTCTGAGGTTCAGCTTGGCGACATTCCCTGGAAGAGCGTGACGGAAAGTGCAATGGAGGCGGGAGGAGAGCGATTTCTTAGACAAAGGCAAGTCTTGCTTCTCTTTGTTTTTCTGGGAGGGTCTCTGGCTGGGTCCGAGTCAAGACGCTATTCTGTGGCTGAGGAAAAAGAGAAGGGCTTTTTAATAGCCAACCTAGCAAAGGATCTGGGACTAAGGGTAGAGGAACTGGCCGCGAGGGGGGCCCAAGTTGTGTCCAAAGGGAACAAACAGCATTTTCAGCTCAGTCATCAGACAGGTGATTTGCTCCTGAATGAGAAATTGGACCGGGAGGAGCTATGCGGCCCCACAGAACCATGCATACTACATTTTCAGATATTACTGCAAAACCCTTTGCAATTCGTTACAAACGAGCTCCGTATCATAGATGTAAATGACCATTCTCCGGTATTCTTTGAAAATGAAATGCATCTGAAAATCCTAGAAAGCACTCTGCCAGGAACAGTAATTCCTTTGGGAAATGCTGAGGACTTGGATGTGGGAAGAAACAGCCTCCAAAACTACACTATCACTCCGAATTCCCACTTCCACGTACTCACTCGCAGTCGTAGGGACGGAAGGAAGTACCCGGAACTAGTACTGGATAAAGCGCTCGATCCGGAGGAGCAGCCGGAACTCAGCTTAACGCTCACCGCGCTGGACGGCGGCTCTCCCCCTCGGTCTGGGACAGCCCAGATAAACATCCAGGTCTTAGATATAAACGACAATGCACCAGAATTTGCACAGCCGCTCTATGAGGTTGCAGTTCTAGAGAATACCCCCGTTAACTCTGTCATTGTCACTGTCTCGGCTTCTGACTTAGATACAGGAAGTTTTGGGACAATATCATATGCATTTTTTCATGCTTCTGAAGAAATTCGCAAAACTTTTCAGCTAAATCCAATTACTGGTGATATGCAACTGGTCAAATATTTGAATTTTGAAGCGATTAATAGTTATGAAGTCGACATCGAGGCCAAGGATGGCGGAGGCCTATCCGGAAAGTCTACAGTCATAGTCCAGGTGGTTGATGTCAACGACAACCCACCGGAACTGACCTTGTCTTCAGTAAACAGCCCTATTCCTGAGAACTCGGGAGAGACTGTACTGGCTGTTTTCAGTGTTTCTGATCTAGACTCTGGAGACAACGGAAGAGTGATGTGTTCCATTGAGAACAATCTCCCCTTCTTCCTGAAACCATCTGTAGAGAATTTTTACACCCTAGTGTCAGAAGGCGCGCTGGACAGAGAGACCAGATCCGAGTACAACATTACCATCACTATCACTGACCTGGGGACACCCAGGCTGAAAACCAAGTACAACATAACCGTGCTGGTCTCCGACGTCAATGACAACGCCCCCGCCTTCACCCAAATCTCCTACACCCTGTTCGTCCGCGAGAACAACAGCCCCGCCCTGCACATCGGCAGTGTCAGCGCCACAGACAGAGACTCAGGCACCAACGCCCAGGTAACCTACTCGCTGCTGCCGCCCCAGGACCCGCACCTGCCCCTCTCTTCCCTGGTCTCCATCAACGCGGACAACGGCCACCTGTTTGCCCTCAGGTCGCTGGACTACGAGGCCCTGCAGGCGTTCGAGTTCCGCGTGGGCGCCACAGACCGTGGCTCCCCGGCTTTGAGCAGCGAGGCGCTGGTGCGCGTGCTGGTGCTGGACGCCAACGACAACTCGCCCTTCGTGCTGTACCCGCTGCAGAACGGCTCCGCGCCCTGCACCGAGCTGGTGCCCCGGGCGGCTGAGCCGGGCTACCTGGTGACCAAGGTGGTGGCGGTGGACGGCGACTCGGGCCAGAACGCCTGGCTGTCGTACCAGCTGCTCAAGGCCACGGAGCCCGGGCTGTTCGGCGTGTGGGCGCACAATGGCGAAGTGCGCACCGCCAGGCTGCTGAGCGAGCGCGACGCGGCCAAGCACAGGCTGGTGGTGCTGGTCAAGGACAATGGCGAGCCTCCGCGCTCGGCCACCGCCACGCTGCATGTGCTCCTGGTGGACGGCTTCTCCCAGCCCTACCTGCCTCTCCCGGAGGCGGCACCGGCCCAGGCCCAGGCCGACTTGCTCACCGTCTACCTGGTGGTGGCATTGGCCTCGGTGTCTTCGCTCTTCCTCTTTTCGGTGCTCCTGTTCGTGGCGGTGCGGCTGTGCAGGAGGAGCAGGGCGGCCTCGGTGGGTCGCTGCTCGGTGCCCGAGGGCCCCTTTCCAGGGCAGATGGTGGACGTGAGCGGCACCGGGACCCTGTCCCAGAGCTACCAGTACGAGGTGTGTCTGACTGGAGGCTCCGGGACAAATGAGTTCAAGTTCCTGAAGCCAATTATCCCCAACTTCGTTGCTCAGGGTGCAGAGAGGGTTAGCGAGGCAAATCCCAGTTTCAGGAAGAGCTTTGAATTCAGTTAAGTGTTAATAAGGATCTACTGAGCCTCGTCTTAGTTAATCTGTGGAAAGTCCTTTTTTACTGCTTTGTCCATTGGAGAGGTCTTTTTTGGTCTGGTTCAAGGCAAGTAGCAAGAATAGAGCAAAATATCAAATCCAGGGATGGCTTAGGTTTCATTAACAGTACTGGAAAGTAGTTGTGTGGCTCTGAATGTTTTGTATTTCAATCGAGAATCCTTAGTCGATAGAACATTTTGTTTATATATTGATTCTACTTTTTCTGTAGTTAATCCTTGCATATTCTCCTTTCATCCTGGCTTGCCAACGCAGTCTTAATTCCGCCTTTTTTTTTTCTAATGGGGAGCAAAAAGAAATTCACTGTCTTTTAATAGTGATTTCAAATAGCTTATTAAAATAACTCCATTCAAATTTTACATTATAAAGCAATGTAGAGAGAGTTCCAAACCACCAATTTTATAATTTCCCTTGTTGAATATATTCATATAATGTGTTCTATAATATGCCCAAAGCAGCTTTGTCTATAGTTAACAAAGTTTTAAGGATAGACAAGAATGTGTTTTCTTTAATAAATAGTAATATATCATCTTTTTAGGGATATAGTACTCAAATGAAAGTAATTTAGTTCATTTTCTGTGTTGACATTTGCAATTAATATTTCAATATTTTATGTGCTTATATTGGCCAAAATATGGACACAAATATAGACTAATATGGGTAATTACCCTTTGGTTTATCTAAAGTGTGTTCATGATGACTGAGGAAAAAAATTAAACCTATGCCATTTAAAAAACTGACTGTTCTTTTCCATTTGACACAAAAACGTTGTTTAGTAAGACATCTGGTGGAACAACTATTTGTTTCATAAATTCTGAGATGTAAGTGTTATGAATCTGAGAGACAATTTTTAATTTCAAGAAAATACATGGGTATATGATATCTAAATGCTTCAAGGTAAAAGTGGTGTCCTATCCAGTCCTATTTTTTTTTTTTTTTTTTTTTTTTTTGAGACGGAGTCTCGCTCTGTCGCCCAGGCTGGAGTGCAGTGGCGGGATCTCGGCTCACTGCAAGCTCCGCCTCCCGGGTTCACGCCATTCTCCTGCCTCAGCCTCCCAAGTAGCTGGGACTACAGGCGCCCGCCACTACACCCGGCTAATTTTTTGTATTTTTAGTAGAGACGGGGTTTCACCGTTTTAGCCGGGATGGTCTCGATCTCCTGACCTCGTGATCCGCCCGCCTCGGCCTCCCAAAGTGCTGGGATTACAGGCGTGAGCCACCGCGCCCGGCCCAGTCCTATTTTATTATTAATACCTACTTGCCACTTGTATGATGATATAGGAGAAAGATATTTTCTTTTTTTCCTGTCTTGGTTCCCTCCTTCAGATTTTAACCTGACATGATTTAGGATTATATATGGTCTTTCTGGGATAGAAACTGTCCATCCTTATCAGCATCCTACCTCCTGCAATGTAATTAAAAGAAGATGTACAAGAATAGAAAGTTCTAAAAAGGAGAGGGCAATATCGTTGTGAAACTCTAAATTAGCTACAACTAAGAATAAAATCTGGAAGCAACCAAAACATGGAATCTTATGGTTATCTTGAGTAAAATAAAAAAACTTATTTTAAGCGACAAAATATTTAGCTCCTAATTAGGGAAGTGTATTAGGAAAAAATTAATTTTCTTCTTACAAGCATTTCTTCACCCACAGAACATCCATATAACTTTCTAGCAATTAAATACTCATGACTAGAGAAAAGAGAATTTCTCAAAGATTTTAAAAATTCCCCAAAAAGCAAGAGTTTAAGATTGACATGCTTTCAAACATATGTTAAAGTGTAGTTATTATCACATTTAAATGGTGTAATTTTATGTAACAGCATCAAATTCATAAATACTTTTTAAAAAAAATTTTTGAGACAGGGCCTTGCTCTGTTGCCCAGGCTGGAGTGCAGTGGTACAATCATGGCTCACTGCAGTCTCAATCTCCTGGGCTCAAGGGATCTGACCACCTCAGCCTCCAGAGTAGCTGGGACCATAGGTGTGTGCCACCACACCCAGCTATTTAACAACAAAAAAAATTTATTTGTAGAAATGGGGTTTCCCCATGTTGCCCAGGCTGGTCTGGAACTCCTGTGCTCAAGGGATCCTCCTGCCTCCACTTCCCAAAGTGCTAGGATTAACAGGTATGAACCACCATGCCCAGCCAAATATGTGAATCTTTAATAGTCAGAGGAAAATTAATATAATATTTCCTTTCACTTTAAGTACTTTATAGAGATGTTTGAATCTGGCTGTTTTGGTCAGATATTTTTCTTCTTTGCATACGTAGCTGATTTTCCATGAATATCAGGAAAAGGCATAGAATTCTGATCAAGATTTCTCTCTCTTTGATTACCTTAGTCCCAGGTGGTATCAGAGCCAGGGAAGTACTCAACTGTGGAAAATATAGAGGGCAGTTCTTTTGGGGACTAATATGGTATATGATCGGAGACTAAAGTTCAAAAGGCAATATGCTGAGTCATTTAGACACTGAAGATAGAAGAACAGATACCATTTGTAATTTAGTTTTTAGATGTACTGGACTTATACATTGTTGAGAAAATGAATAGAATTTAGCAAAGCCAGAAAAGATAATCTATACTAAATTTGAAGGTGGGAAACAATCACATCTTACTCTTGGTTCAAAGCTGCTTCTCTTTCAGGGCAGTTAGAAACCTTTTACCCTTTTATTTGAAGACAACTTCCAAAAACATATTCATCTGGATATTTCATTAAATACAGAACAGAGAGAGTACCACATGTACAGTACTAACTAGTGTTGCCACGTTTTGGAATTCCACGAACTAAATGCCTGGCACAAGGTAAAAGGGTTATTAATAATTTTCTAGTAATTTTTCTTCTAGGCAGGCTAATTCATTATTGTAAAATATTTACAAATCGATCTCACCAGTATTCCAATTATCAAAAAGTAAGAGAAGGAAAAATTTTACTCCCTTCCCTCATTCTAGAATATATAAAATGACCTTACTAGACTCTAAACAACTTGAAGGTAGAGTCTGTTTCTGGTTTATTCACAGTGGTATTTCCAGCAAATAGCACAATGCCTCATTCATAGTAGACACTCAGTTTATATTTGTTAAATAAATAAATTTTAAATTATTTGGGAAATAAAATAATGCTGTAAGGACTTACAAACTTGTTTATTTGGACCTGATCTACACATTGAATTTTAAAAGAACTATCTGTATTCAGAAAGGGGTGGAGTATGAAGAATAATTCCCTATAGAGGCAATTTTTTATTTAATGTCTCCCTTTGCATCTTGAGACTTGTGGAAACTTGGAGAACTGTAAAATTATGTATTAATCTCCAAGTTGGTTCCAAATTGAGCTTATTTATATCTTTGATTTCAGGGACAAAGAAGAAATTAAATATAAGACTTTTTTGTACATCAAATTAACTTTCTGAAATTGGTATTTAAATTCTCTGGCCTCTAATTGGTACTTCTGTTGAACTTGGGTTAGTCTTAATGATATCAAGATTAAATAAAATTTGCAAGATCCCAAAGGCTTAAAAATTTTTTTAATAGCCAATCATTCATTTATTTTCAAAACATAATTCTCGATCACGTGCACACTCCTTTCTTCTCTCTACAAATACATTAGTTCAGAAATAACTTAAATATTTCCTTGACATTCACAATCTAGTTTTTAGCACTGAAAATCAAAGGGATACAAATGAATTTTAAATTTTTATTTGGGGAGTTGTTATAAGACTAAGCTATATTCAAATATCAATCATTAAAACTAGTGAGGCCACTCACTATACCACCATACTTTTCATAAATCTCCTTTGATGAATAAATTCTACTTCCTTACAAAAGAAGACTCTGTTTAAAAAAGGTACCAACTTTTCTATATATCCCCCTACTTTATTCTGGAAATGTCTTTTGCTTCTTAAAGTAATTGTTAGATTTTTTAAGCCAGAAATCTGTTAGTCCTAATTATGAATTATTTTAATGTCAAATATGCATATGGTTAATCAATAGTTTTCTTTATCATAGATTCAAAATTTTAAGCTTATTTTCCTTCCATTCTTTAGGCATTCAACACGTTGATGAAAAGTACAATGTCAGTCTACTTCTCATTCTTTTATCCGTAAACTTCTTTACTCTCTTTTAGATTCTTAAATTTATTCTTGCTGTTCTGATATATATGGTAGGCCCCAACCTGAGATTCACATAACGTACTGCATTTTTTTCTTTGAGAAATTACAATTTTCTTTTGAAAACTTTCATTTGGCAAGTTTTCACAACTATTTGTTCTTGTTTCAAAATTGCTATTTCCTTCTTTGTTGTTTGAGTCTTTTACGTTTAAGTTCTTGCCATATTGTTTCGAATTTCAATTTCTTATAGTAGATAAAACAATTCTTTTATTTGTTGAGTCTCTTTTTCATGGTGTCAATCTTCATTTGCTTGGTGATATTTTACTGAGAACTTATCTCTTATTGGAAGCTTCTTTCACAGTAGTACTTGTTTTGACAATCCTGGGGAAGGGAAGAAGGAGAAGAGGGGTCTCAAGGTGGTTTCAGCCCTGGCCTCTGCAAACCCAAGCCTTAATTTAAAAGCTTAGCTCGCCGGGCGTGGTGGCTCACGCCTGTAATCCCAGCACTTTGGGAGGCCGAGGTGGGTGGATCACGAGGTCAAGAGATCAAGACCATCCTGGCTAACATGGTGAAACCCCGTCTCTACTAAAAAATACAAAAAATTAGCCGGGCGTGGTGGCACGCGCCTGTAGTCCCAGCCACTCGGGAGGCTGAGGCAGGAGAATGGCGTGAACCCAGGAGGCGGAGCTTGCAGTGAGCGGAGATCGCCCCACTGCACTCCAGCCTGGGCGAAAGAGCGAGACTCTGTCTCAAAAAAAAAAAAAAAAAGGAAAAAAGAAAAGAAAATAAAAAAAGAAAAAAGCTTAGCTCAACTTTGCCACACCCAGGTAAAAGTTCTGGACCAAGCACTAAAAATATGTTTGAGTTGGGACCCATGCTCTTTTGGGTGGTATTGTTCTGCATTTGCTCAATGAGGCAAAAATCTCAGGGAATGTCACTGCTTCTTGGTTGTCACGGTTTCTGCTAAGGCTATAGACATGGAAGCTAATGGAGAAATTTAAAATGTTTCAATCTTCAGAGTAAATAAGTTGATTTTTAGGAAAAGTGAACTGTAACTGAAGCAATTGACACATGGGGACTATGTGGAAAACATCATGGTCTGGATTCAAGTTACAGCATTCATGGTAATGCTCAGAAAGATAATAACATACTCCAAGATTCCACTGAAATAGTGGTTGCTATTTTTTTTTTTAGAAAATAGCTTGGGACTCTGGTGATAATGCAAAATGGGCTTGCTCCTTCCAAGACAATCTCCTCATGAAACCATTTGTCAAAAATTAGTGTTCTGGGACTGGGCACAGTGGCTCATGCCTTTAATCCCAGCACTTAGGGAGGCCGAGACAGGAGGATTGCTTGAGCCCAGGAGTTCAACAACAGCCTGGGAAACATAGTGAGACTCTGTCTCTACAAAAAATTTTAAAAATTGACTGGGTGTGGTGGCATGCACCTGAGGTCCTAGCTACTGAAAAGGGTGAGGTGGGAGGATCCTCGAGCCCAGGAAGTTGAGGCTGCAGCAAGCCATGATCATGCTGTAGCCTGGGTAATACAGCCAGACTCTATCTCAAAAAATAAAATTATTTTGGTAACAGAGAAGTCAGGGCTCTGCACCATCTCTTACTAGGGTGGAATCTAACATGCAGAAATATAGCACAACATAATCACACTGTTCTTCAACACTGTCAACAATTCCCTGACCCAAACCTCATGTACCTTATTAATTCACAATAAAAAGAAAGTCCTACTCAGAATGATGATAGTATCACTGCCAAAAACAGAGACTATCTAGGGACTAATACCTAAGTCACTTTCCCACAGCTGCCCAAAGACGTATTCCTCAGCCCTCTCTTGGTATCCATCTGCATGGACAATGGAACCTGTGTGCTTTGATGTCCCTGGTTTTTGAGATTCTTGAAGAGTTTGAGTTCTAAATGTGTCTGGAGCTTTCTGGAGTTGAGCATCAAGATGTGCAGATCCTGGATGACACACAGCTATAATAGCTAGATAACAAAGAAAATTTATTATAAAGCAATTCTATATTGTGTACTGAGCTGTCCAGGTAGAAAAAAAGTGGTAACCCAGTGATGACTTGGGCTAGAACTCATGACTATTTTATTGGTGATTCGAGGCCTCAGAGCCCTGGATGTTAGCATGTGGGCCCACAGCCTGGAAGTACAGAGTATGTGAAGCACATCTAGGCTTCTAAAAGACAACCACAACCAGGCATAAGCTGGTGCTGTTATTAAGGACAAGTGGAAGCCACCTTTATTTGCCATGATCATCCTACACCTGGTCTAGGACTTACCCCAGTCTTCTCTTCCATTCCTTTAACCACCCATAAAAGGATTTCCATTTTCTTGATCACTGATTTGACTCAGTCTTCTTTCTCTTTCAATTCTCTCTGTTCCTGTGCTACTCAGATGTGGAGGGTCAACTGGGAAACTTCAGTGCATTGCTGCTCAAAAGAAAGACTCTTCCTGAGCATTTTGGGAGTATCAACACCACTGGGATTTAGTTCTAGAGCTTTCAGTGTGAGAAGTTTCTGGAATATCAGAAACAAATATCAAATTTCTGAAGCCAATTGTCTCTAATTAATGTGAGCTATCTATGAGGAAAGACTTTTAAAAGAAATTTAATTTCTAGAACAATGTGAGATTTATTTTTTAAAAATTGTATTCTCTAAATTGTATCTTTCTGAGGTTTTTTGTTTAAATTTATCTCTGAGGAAATGAATTTCTTCATCCCAAATGTTTCAATTCTATTTAATTTAAAGTAGGTAACTGGCAGTGTTGAAGTTTCATTGTCTATGTTTGTTATTACAAAAAAGGGTATTGTATATTTTACTGCAATTTTAAAAAAGAATATATTCTGAGCATCAGTGAAAATGGTAGAGAATGGACCTCTGAAAAATCTCTTCTCCAGGAAAGCACTGAGGAAAATGAGAAAAATTTTCAAAATCTACTGCTTCAGAACTCTGAAATTTAAACAAAGATGTACAGCAACTTAGGGAAAATTTATTGAGGGAAAAAGGTCTGACTCTTGGTTAAAAATAGTGGTTTTTGTGGCATTTTAACTGGCCTATTTCCATCTCCATCTCTCTAGCTTCTTAGTAGCCTTTAAAGTTAACAATTTACAATCACAATGAAAATTAGCAGCTTGGCAGCCACCAGAGGAAACAGAACAGCACCACAAAGAATTGTCATTATTTGATCTGTTTGGTGGTTCCCTGGAGGACTCCACTTGCAAGGCTGTCTTTAATTGCCTGAATTAGAGCTTGTCTAGTACAAAAAGTCTGGGTGACAGAGCAAGACCCTGTCTCAAACAAACAAACAAACAAACAAACAAACAGGGCCGGGCGCGGTGGCTCACTGCTGTAATCCCAGCACTTTGGGAGGCCGAGACGGGCGGATCACAGGGTCAGGAGATCGAGACCATCCTGGCTAACACGGTGAAACCCCGTCTCTACTAAAAATACAAAAAAATTAGCTGGGCGTGGTGGTGGGCGCCTGTAGTCCCAGCTACTCGGGAGGCTGAGGCAGGAGAATGGCGTGAACCCGGGAAGCTGAGCTTGCAGTGAGCCAAGATTGTGCCACTGCACTCCAGCCTGGGTGACAGTGCAAGACTCTGTCTCAAAAAAAAAAAAAAAAACAAAACCCAGAAAGAAAAAGAAGGAAAGAAGGAAGGAAGGAAGAGAGAGAAAGAAAGAAAAAAGAAAGAAAAAAATAATAGATCAACTGAAATTATCCAGTCTTAGCAACAAAAAGATTTTCAAAAATGAAAATGAACAGAGACCTGTGGGACACCATGAAGCCTACTAACTACACATACTTGAAGTCCCAGAAGGAGAAGAAGGAGACAGAATAACAGAAAGAATAGCTGAAATAATGGCTGAAAATTTCTCAAATTTGATGAGAAACATTAACCTTCACATTCAAGGAGCCCAGCAAACTCCAACCAGGATAAAGTCAAAGAGATTCATGCCTTGACATCATGATCAAACTGTCAAAAGCTAAAGACAAGAAGAGAACCTCAAAAACAGCAAGAGAGAAGCAACTCATCACATACCTTATCCTCAAAAATCTTATCCTCAGTATGACTGACACTGATTTCTTACAGACATAATGGAGGCCAAAGGGGAGTGGGATGACACATTCAAAGTGCTAAAAGGGACTATCTTTTTTTTTTTATACTTTAAGTTTAGGGTACATGTGCACAACGTGCAGGTTAGTTACATATGTATACATGTGCCATATTGGTGTGCTGCACCCATTAACTCGTCATTTAACATTAGGTATATCTCCTAATGCTATCCCTCCCCCCTCCCACCACACAACAGGCCCTGGTGTGTGATGTTCCCCTTCCTGTGTCCATGTGTTCTCATTATTCAGTTCCCACCTATGAGTGAGAACATGCGGTGTTTGGTTTTTTGTCCTTGTAATAGTTTGCTGAGAATGATAGTTTCCAGCTTCATCATTTTTTATGGCTGCATAGTATTCCATGGTGTATATGTGCCACATTTTCTTAATCCAGTCTATCATTATTGGACATTTGGCTTGGTTCCAAGTCTTTGCTATTGTGAATAGTGCTGCAATCAACGTACGTGTGCATGTGTCTTCATAGCAGCATGATTTATAATCCTTTGGGTATATACCCAGTAATGGGATTGCTGGGTCAAATGGTATTTCTAGTTCTAGATCCCTGAGGAATCACCACAGTGACATCCACAATGGTTGAACTAGTTTACAGTCCCACCAACAGTGTAAAAGTGTTCCTATTTCTCCACATCCTCTGCAGCACCTGTTGTTTCCTGACTTTTTAATGATCGCCATTCTAACTGGTGTGAGATGGTATCTCATTGTGGTTTTGATTTGCATTTCTCTGATGGCCAGTGATGATTAGCATTTTTTCATGTGTCTTTTGGCTGCATAAATGTCTTTTTTTGAGAAGTGTCTGTTCATATCCTTTGCCCACTTTTTGATGGGGTTGTTTGATTTTTTTTCTTGTAAATTTGTTTAAGTTCTTTGTAGATTCTGGATATTAGCCCTTTGTCAGATGAGTAGACTGCAAAAATTTTCTCCCATTCTGTAGGTTGCCTGTTCCCTCTGATGGTAGTTTCTTTTGCTGTGCAGAAGCTCTTTAGTTTAATTAGATCCCATTTGTCAATTTTGGCTTTGGTTGCCATTGCTTTTGGTGTTTTAGACATGAAGTCCTTGGCCATGCCTATGTCCTGAATGGTATTGCCTAGGTTTTCTTCTAGGGTTATTATGGTTTTAGGTCTAACATTTAAGTCTTTAATCCATCTTGAATTAATTTTTGTATAAGGTGTAAGGAAGGGATCCAGTTTCAGCTTTCTACATATGGCTAGCCAGTTTTCCCAGCACCATTTATTAAATAGGGAATCGTTTCCCCATTTCTTGTTTTTGTCAGGTTTGTCAAAGATCAGATGGTTGTAGATGCATGGTATTATTTCTGAGGGCTCTGTTCTGTTCCATTGGTCCGTATCTCTGTTTTTGTACCAGTACCATGCTGTTTTGGTTACTGTAGACTTCTAGTATAGTTTCAAGTCAGGTGGCATGATGCCTCCAGCTTTGTTTTTTTGGCTTAGGATTGACTTGGCAATGCAGGCTCTTTTTTGGTTCCATATGAACTTTAAAGTAGTTTTTCCCAATTCTGTGAAGAAAGTCATTGGTAGCTTGATGGGGATGGCATTGAATCTGTAAATTACCTTGGGCAGTATGGCCATTTTCATGATATTGATTTTTCCTACCCATGAGCATGGAATGTTCTTCCATTTCTTTGTATCCTCTTTTATTTCATTGAGCAGTGGTTTGTAGTTCTCCTTGAAGAGGTCCTTCACATCCCTTGTAAGTTGGATTCCTAAATATTTTATTCTCTTTGAAGCAATTGTGAATGGGAGTTCACTCATGATTTGGCTTTCTGTTTGTCTGTTATTGGTGTATAAGAATGCTTGTGATTTTTGTACATTGATTTTGTATCCTGAGACTTTGCTGAAGTTGCCTATCAGCTTAAGGAGATTTTGGGCTGAGACGATGGGGTTTTCTAGATATACAATCTTGTCATCTGCAAACAGGGACAATTTGACTTCCTCTTTTCCTAATTGAATACCCTTTATTCCCTTCTCCTGCCTGATTGCCCTGGCCAGAACTTCAACACTATGTTGAATAGGAGTGGTGAGAGAGGGCATCCCTGTCTTGTGCCGGTTTTCAAAGGGAATGCTTCCAGTTTTTGCCCATTCAGTATGATATTGGCTGTGGGTTTGTCATAGATAGCTCTTATTATTTTGAGATACGTCCCATCAATACCTAATTTATTGAAAGTTTTTAGCACGATGGGTTGTTGAATTTTGTCAAAAGCCTTTTCTGCATCTATTGAGATAATCGTATGGTTTTTGTCATTGGTTCTGTTTATATGCTGGATTACATTTATTGATTTGCGTATGTTGAACCAGCCTTGCATCCCAGGGATGAAGCCCACTTGATCATGGTGGATAAGCTTTTTGATGTGCTGCTGGATTTGGTTTGCCAGTATTTTACTAAGGATTTTTGCATCGATGTTTATCAGGGATATTGGTCTAAAATTCTCTTTTTTTGTTGTATCTCTGCCAGGCTTTGGTATCAGCATGATGTTGGCCTCATAAAATGAGTTAGGGAGGATTCCCTCTTTTTCTGTTGATTGGAATAATTTCAGAAGGAATGGTACCAGCTCCTTCTTGTACCTCTGGTAGAATTCGGCTGTGAATCCATCTGGTCCTGGACTTTTTTTGGTTGGTAAGCTATTAATTATTGCCTCAATTTCAGAGCCTGTTATTGGTCTATTCAGAGATTCAACTTCTTCCTGGTTTAGTCTTGGGAGGGTGTATGTGTCGAGGAATTTATCCATTTCTTCTAGATTTTCTAGTTTATTTGCGTAGAGGTGTTTATAGTATTCTCTAATGGTAGTTTGTATTTCTGTGGGATCGGTGGCGACATCCCCTTTGTCTTTTTTTTATTGCGTCTATTTGATTCTTCTCTCTTTTCTTCTTTATTAGTCTTTCTAGCGGTCTATCAATTTTGTTGATCTTTTCAAAAAACCAGCTCCTGGATCCATTGATTTTTTTAAGGTTTTTTTTTGTGTCTCTATTTCCTTCAATTCTGCTCTGATCTTAGTTATTTCTTGCCTTCTGCTAGCTTTTGAATGTGTTTGCTCTTGCTTCTCTGGTTCTTTTAATTGTGATGTTAGGGTGTCAATTTTAGATCTTTCCTGCTTTCTCTTGTGGGCATTTAGTGCTATAAATTTCCCTCTACACACTGCATTGAATGTGTCTTAAAGGGACTATCAACCAATAATTCTATATCCACCAAAAGTATCTTTCAAAAATGAAAGAGAAATTAAGATATTACCAAAAAATAATAAGTGACTGATTACATTGGTAGCAAACCTACTCTACAAAGAAATATTAAAGGTAGTCATTTGGGCTAAAATAAAAGGACACCAATAAGTAACTTTAATCCACATCAAAAAATAAAAGCCTCATAAAGGGAAAGTAACTTATAGGCATATATATATATCTAGGGAACTATAAATGTGTTTTTATTTGTAAATTTTTTATTGAAAAGAACACTGCATAAAGCAATAATAATCAATCTATGTTCATAGGTATATAATTTGTAAAGATGTAATTTGTATGACAATGTAACACAAAGGAGGGGAGAGATAACATAGCTATATAGAAACAAAATTCTATATACTATTGAAATTTAATTGATATTAATCTGAACTAGATTGGTAAAAGATGTTCACTTTAATAATCAGAGAAACCACCAAGAAAATAACTAAAAAAGGTAAAAAAAATTGAGAAGTCAATTAAAATGGTACCCAAGAAAATATGTGTTTAACACAAAAGAGAACAATGAGGAAATAAAATAATAAGACATAGAAAACAAAGCAAATTGTCAATATAAATCTACCTTATCAGCAACTATGTTAAATATGAATGAATTACACACTCCAATTAAAAAGCAGAAGTTGGCAGAATGGATTTTTAGAAATGATCCAACTCTAGGCTGTCTACCAAGGGAAACTTTAGATTCAAAGACACACATAAGTTGAAAGTAAAAAGATGGAAAAAGATATACTATGTAGATAGTAACCAAAAGAGCTAGAATGCCTACATTAATATCAAGCAAAATATACTATAAAACAAGCACAAAAGTTACTAAAAATGAAAAGTTAAGGAGGGGAATTTTATAATAGTAAAAGGGTCAATCCATTAGGAAAACATAATAATCATAAACATATATGCACCTAATAATAGAAACCCAAAATAAATGGAGCAAAAAGAGACACAAATGAAAAGTTAGACAATTTGACAATAATAGCTGAAGACTTTAATACCACAATTTTCAATAAATGATAAAACAATGAAATAGTATCAACATGAGAAAAGAAGACTTGAATAATGTTATAAACCAACAGTACTTAACAGAACACTCCATCTAACAACAGCAGAATACACATTATTTTCAAGTGCATATGAAACATTCTCCAGGATAGACTATATTTTAGGCCATAAAACAAGTCTTAATGAATTTGAAAGAGTTAAAATCATATAAAGTATGTTTTCCAGCTACAATGAAATGAAATTAGAAAGCAGTGGCAGAAGAAAATTTGGGAAATTCACAAATATGTGGAAATTAAACATTTAAAAAAACAATGAATCAAAGAAGAAATCACAAAGGACATTAAAAAATACTCTGAAATGAATAAAAATGAAAATGCAACATACCAAAACTTATGGGATACAATAAAAGTTGTGCTTAGAGGGAAAATAATAGCTGAAATACTTATATATTTTAAGAAGATCTCAAATCAGTAACCCAGACTTCCACCTTAAGAAGCTAGAAAAAGGAGAGCATACTAAAACCAATACAAGCTGAAGAAAGGAAATTATTAGAGTGGAAATAAATAGAATAGAAAAACAATGGAGAAAATAAACTAAAAGTTGGTGCTTTGAAAAGATCAATAAAATTGGCAAAGCTTTAGCTAGGCTGATGATGAAAAAAGAGGACTCAAATTACTAAAATTAAAAAAAAGGAGGAAAAAGTATGACCTATTTCACAGGTCTTAAGGGAATACTATAAACAATTTTAAGCCAACAAATTAGAAAACCTAGATGAAATGGAAAAAAAAAACCCTAGATTAAATGGAAAACACAAACTACCAAAATTGACTAAGGAGAAATAGAAAATGTGAATAGACCTGTAATTGCCAAAACTGACTAAGGAGAAATACTAGGTTGGTGCAAGAGTAGTTGTGGTTTTGCCATCACTTTCAATGGCAAAAAACACAATTACTTTTACACCAACCTAACAAAAAACCTGAATAGACCTGTAATAAGAGATCGAACCAGTAATCAAAAACTTTCCACAAAGAAAAGCCCAGAACCAGATGGCTTCACTGGTCAATTCTACCAAATGTTTAAAGAAGAATTAACACCAGTACTTAATATACTCATTCAAAAAATAGAGGAGCAGGGACCACTTTTCAACTCTATTCTATAGAGGCCAGTATTAACATGATGACAAAACCAGACAGTGATAACACAAGGGAAAAATACATACCAATTTCTCTTATGGATATAGATGCAAACATTCTCAACAAAATTTTAGCAAACTGACTCTAGTATCACATAAAAATGATTACATACCATGGCCAAGTAGGATTTATCTCAGGAATGCAAGGTTGGTTCAGCATGTTAAAATCAAACAATGAGCCAGTTGCAGTTGTTCATATCTGTAATCCCAGCATTTTGGAAGGCCAAGGTGGAAGGAATGCTTGAGGCCAGGAGTTCAAGACCAGGATGATCAACATAACAAGACCCCATCTCTACAAATTTTTTTTAATTAGCTGAATATGGTGGCTTGCACCTGTAATCCCAGCTACTCAGGAGGCCAAGGCATGAAGATTGCTTGAGCCCAGGAGCTCGAGGCTGCAGTGAGCTATGATGGTGTCACTGCACTCCAGGGGCCTGTGTGACCTTGTCTCAAGAAAAAAAGATTTAAAAAGGGATTTGAGGCCGGGCGCGGTGGCTCACGCTTGTAATCCCAGCACTTTGGGAGGCCGAGGTGGGCAGATCACGAGGTCAGGAGATCGAGACCATCCTGGCTAACACGGTGAAACCCCGTCTCTACTAAAAATACAAAAAAAATAGCCGGGCGTGATGGTGGGCGCCTGTAGTCCCAGCTACTCGGGAGGCTGAGGCAGGAGAATGGCGTGAACCCGGGAGGCGGAGCTTGCAGTGAGCCGAGATTGCGCCACTGCACTCCCGCCTGGTCCACAGAGCGAGACTCCGTCTCAAAAAAAAAAAAAAAAAGGGATTTGAATATACCTAGTCCTAAAGTTAAAAATGTTAAATTCATACTATTTTGAATAGTCTATTTTAAAAATGAAAGAGTATTTTTAAAACTTCACCATGACTTGAGGATGGTTTTGTTCTTACTTTGAAAGGGGAGAATAGAGGAAAATTAAACATTAATTTTTGAGAGAAAGAGATAAATTTGACTATTATTTCTTTAAATCATATTTCCAATAGCACTATTTCAAAATGTTAAGCTCTCAATAATAAATGGTTACTATCAATGGTTTGTGGAATTTATTAGAAATTCTTATAAAAGGAATGATCTCCTGGAATGTTCTATTAAATGGGTACAATAGATACATCAGCTGACCATTTGAATGAAATAGCTGTAAAGCAAACAATAGTGCTCAGTGGTGAAAGCAAAGTAAATTTTACATTAGCTAACTTTCCAAACTTAAACCTATAAGATATTTTTAAAGTCACACTCACTGAAATGTACATGTAGGAAGGGGATACTTGAATAATTAGAGTTTGACTTGAGAAATTTGTGATGGAATCTAAGATAATTTCTAATAATTTTTTCTAGAATAAAAATAGCATTTATAAGTTTAATATATCAAAATACTCAAATATGTGATATATAACTTAGAATATATCTTTACAATCAGAAAGTGTGGGCTTTTCAACTTTGTTCCTCTTTTCCCAAGATTGTATTCTGGGTACCTCGCATTTTCATGTGAATTTTACGGTCACTTTACCAATTTCTGCAAAAAAGCCAACTGAAATTTTGATAGGGATTGCACTAAATCTGTAGAGCAATTTGGAGCATACCAATATTTTAACAATCTTAAGTCTTCCAATCCATGAACACTTTTCATTTACTTAGATCTTCTTTAATTTCTTTCAATGATGTTTTGTAGTGCTCAGTGTTCAGTTCTCCCACTTCTTTTGTTAAATTTATTCCTAAGCATTTTATTCCTTTTGATGATATCTATTATAAATTCCATTGCTTTCTTGATTTCATTTTTGATTTGTTCAATGCTACTGTATAGAAATACAATTGATTTCTGTATAGTGATCTTGTATTCTGCAAGCTTGCTGAACTCATTTATTTATTTTAGTAGTTTTTGGTTTTATTTTTTTGAGAAAGAGTCTCACTCTGTCACCCAGGCTGGAGTGCAGTGGCACAGTCATGGCTCACTGAAGCCTCAATCTCCCAGGCTCAAGCAATCCTCCCACCTCAGCCTCCCAAGTAGCTGGGACTACAGGTGCATGCCACCACCTCTGGATAATTTTTTTTTTTTTTTTGTAGAGACAGGATCTTGCTATGTTGCTCAGGCTGGTCTCAAACTCCTGACCTCAAGTGATCCTCCTGCTTGGCCTCCAAAAGTGCTGGGATTACAGGCATGAGCTGCCATGCCCAGCCTCAAATTTCTTTAAAATGATTTTTATCTTTCTTCAACGATAAGGTTCTTGCCTATATTTTACCAGAGAGCAACTAGTTTCCTGCGTATCCCTCTATTTTATCTTTCTTTGTATATTTAAAATGAAAAAAATTAAATATCATGCTTCAGATCTGGCAACCAATTATGTAAATAGTCATATGAATCCTTCAGAATGGATAACACAGCTTTTCTGACTGGTGTGAAATAGTTTTCAGGTGCTCATTCTTTACTTCATTAGCTTATCTTATATCATTAGCTTATCCTCCATTCAGGTATAACAGATCTTTTTTTTCTGATAAATATGGCAGTTTAGGGAAATAAACTATGGCATAATATGCTAGGCCATTCTTCTAGGCCACGCTTCTTGATTGTAACCTTAAACCCTTTATCAGAACCTAAACAACTTTTCAAAAGATCTATACATATTTTTATCCAATGTTTAAGGCTATGAGTAATTCATTATGTCACTCTTCATTTTTTTCACCTGATAATGATCTCGACAAAAATGTTGAGTATTAGTTTTCCTTCCAATGTGTAAGTTGTATAAACATCTCTCTTTACTGGTAACTAACTATCTCTAAAGGGAGACAAGTAATTTTTAAGTTTCTAATAATAATTGAAAATTTGAATATAAATATATTTCACCTATGATAACCATGTACCCAAGGCAAGGCTGAAGTTGGGATCTAAATTATCTGAAAAGTTGTTCACCTCTCCAGCTCTGCTTAGGTATAGAAAAGAATGGTTTCTGGAGTCACATAGTAACAGTTTAAATCCTGGCTCTGCCGTTTCACATGCTGTATGACTTTGGACAGATTATTTAAACTCTGTGTGCCACAATTCTTCGTCTTTAAAATGTGGCTAATAAGACTGCCCACCTCATAGGGTTGTTGGGGTGATAAAATGAGTCAACATACGCAAAATGCTTAGAAAAATATCTGGTGTATAGTGGATATATATGTTAATGTTATTGAGATTTCATTTACTTTTGGATTGCAAAAGGAACTGAAAAGACCCAATTCTTACTCTATGTCAACATGTAGGAATAAGTAAACAAAATATGGTTTGAATTTTGTCCTGAATGCATTAACTTGAATCTAACTAAAACCTGGTTACTATATTAGAAACAATTTTCTCTTTGATTTGCCCAGGAGATTTGTTTTCCAGTTATGTCTAAAATAATACTCTTTCTTTTTATTCTTTTCAGTATATATTTTTATTGTTTTTCATTTAATAGTGATGCATAGTGTATCTTTTCTGATTTACTTTAAATGTGAAAGAAAATTCTAAGATGTTAATATTATTATTACTGCCATTGATATATCCCTTATAGGAATTAATTAATAGAAATAGAATCAAAGTAAATTTAGTTATATAATGCTTAGCATGTATTATATTCTCAAAATTCTGTATTCAGTTTCAGACATGTTCAAGGCTGAATATATGATCTGACAATAATCTGCTTATATAGATAAAAACATCATTTGAGTGGATTAATTTATTAATTCAACTGGTATTTACTAAATAAAATCCATGTATCTTTCACAATTTTTACTAATACTTTCTATCACTATCAGAATCTGAAATCTCAGATTTCATGCTTTAAAAAGAATTAATTTAACATGAATTATAAATTATAATTACTTATATGAATTGGATAACTAAATAAAATAACAAGATATTTAAGGGGAGAAAATCTTATATGTGGCAAGATAAGTGGTGCTCCATTCAGTGTATTAATTGCAACCAATAAATTGGTTAACTGTGTCTCAGTGGTACCATTCTTTCTTATTGTTTGAGAGTAATCACAGTAGCTACACACTGTGGTGGGATCCATTTTATACACAAGTCTCTTTACTTCACCATATCTGAGTAGAGACAGCCTAAGTCACCCTTTGGTCACAGAATAAAATATTTTAAATCAGTGCTTCTTGTTTTCCCCAAAATTAGCTGGTCAAGGAATATGATATCTGGGATACAAAAGGTGAGTGTGGTAACAGGCAAACTCATTGTAAAATATAGATTACATCTATCTTGCTAAATAAGCTCAGCTTAAAGCCTTTATCTTCACAAAATTCTGTGACTGTTACTCACTTTTGTCTTGACATTATCCTCATAATAGTCACATAGAATAATCAAGTCCTGTTACCCTCTGAGCTTCAGTTTTAGTTTCCTTATCTTTTATTTCCTCTTTAGTTCTAAGAATCTGTGATTCTAATACTATTTGCCTTACTCCTAGGTTCAATGTAGGTTCACACTATAAATTACTTGATACAAAACAAGATACCTGTCTATTCACCTGTATTACTATTTGCACATTAAAGTAGGAAAATAGAACCTTTCGTTTCAAAGGTAGTCGCGCTTTAGACCATGTATAGAGAACATCTTAAACTTTTGCATCATCACAAAGTCCTCACATTCTTAGAAAAGAACATTTATAACTACTAAGAATTGAATTGAAAGTGTATAAAAATTTGTCTCCTGTGGCTGGATTATGTAAAGAAGAAATGGAGTTCTTTGAAGTTTCACTGATAAGCGTGTGGGGAGTCTGAGATATCTTCTTGATTTGTGCTCATGATTATTCTGGTTCGTGCACTGTAATTAAATAACCTTTTAAATTATGCAGTTTAATGTAACAAAGTTTGTAAAAATTCTATGCTCTTAAAAATGGCTTTTATTTTAAAACTTCCCAAATACGTTGTCTTGAAGTTGTTAATTTCTCAATCAAGACGCAGGGTGGCGCTGCAGGCTAAGTTGTGAATAATGAGCCCTAAAAAGCTCGCGCGTATTCTTCTGTGTCGCTAGACGCAATCAAAAACACACGGAAGAAGCGTTACAAGCAGTGCAGGTTTACCAACGGCTTGGGGCAGCGATATACTAAACAAATTTAATATTAAAAGCAACTGTGTGACGATTCCTCCAAGCAAGAAATTGGAATTGAATGTCTCAAGTCTCGTTGCGGTTGCTGAGGGGATTGGATATAGGGACCTGGACTCCAACATGAAGAAGCTAGGGAGAATTCATCCAAACAGGCAAGTGTTGGCCTTTATTTTGATGGTGTTCTTGTCTCAGGTTCGCCTCGAGCCTATTCGTTATTCTGTGTTGGAGGAAACAGAGAGCGGCTCCTTTGTAGCCCATCTGGCCAAGGATCTGGGCCTGGGAATTGGGGAACTGGCCTCCCGGTCAGCCCGGGTGCTGTCTGACGATGACAAGCAGCGTTTGCAGCTGGATCGTCAGACTGGAGATTTGCTTCTGAGGGAGAAACTAGACCGGGAAGAGCTCTGTGGTCCTATTGAACCGTGTGTACTGCATTTCCAAGTGTTCCTGGAAATGCCGGTGCAATTTTTTCAAGGAGAATTATTGATCCAGGACATAAATGATCACTCTCCAATATTCCCTGAAAGGGAAGTGCTCTTGAAAATACTAGAAAATAGCCAGCCGGGTACTCTATTTCCGTTGCTAATAGCTGAGGATTTGGATGTGGGCAGCAATGGTCTTCAAAAATACACAATCAGCCCCAATTCTCATTTTCACATTCTCACTCGAAATCATAGTGAGGGCAAGAAATACCCAGATTTGGTGCAGGACAAACCACTGGATCGAGAGGAGCAGCCTGAGTTCAGCTTAACCCTCGTGGCGCTGGATGGTGGGTCACCACCTAGGTCTGGCACGGTCATGGTTCGAATCCTGATCATGGACATCAATGACAATGCTCCTGAGTTTGTGCACACTCCATATGGGGTGCAGGTCCTGGAAAACAGCCCCCTAGACTCTCCAATTGTTAGGGTCTTAGCTAGAGATATAGATGCTGGAAACTTCGGGAGTGTTTCTTATGGCTTATTCCAAGCATCAGATGAAATTAAACAAACTTTCTCAATAAATGAAGTCACGGGAGAAATACTGTTGAAAAAAAAATTGGATTTCGAAAAAATTAAATCTTACCATGTAGAAATTGAGGCCACAGATGGAGGAGGCCTTTCTGGAAAAGGCACTGTAGTCATAGAGGTGGTGGATGTGAATGACAATCCCCCAGAACTTATCATATCTTCACTCACCAGCTCCATCCCAGAAAATGCTCCTGAGACGGTAGTCTCTATCTTCCGAATTCGAGATAGAGATTCCGGAGAAAATGGAAAGATGATTTGCTCTATTCCAGATAATCTACCGTTTATTCTAAAACCAACTTTGAAGAATTTTTACACCCTGGTAACAGAGAGACCACTGGACCGAGAGACCAGCGCTGAGTACAACATCACCATCGCCGTCACTGACTTGGGGACACCCAGGCTGAAAACCCAGCAGAACATAACCGTGCAGGTCTCCGACGTCAATGACAACGCCCCCGCCTTCACCCAAACCTCCTACACCCTGTTCGTCCGCGAGAACAACAGCCCCGCCCTGCACATCGGCAGTGTCAGCGCCACAGACAGAGACTCGGGCACCAACGCCCAGGTCACCTACTCGCTGCTGCCGCCCCAGGACCCGCACCTGCCCCTCGCCTCCCTGGTCTCCATCAACGCAGACAACGGCCACCTGTTCGCCCTCAGGTCGCTGGACTACGAGGCCCTGCAGGCGTTCGAGTTCCGCGTGGGCGCCTCAGACCGCGGTTCTCCGGCTTTGAGCAGCGAGGCGCTGGTGCGCGTGCTGGTGCTGGACACCAACGACAACTCGCCCTTCGTGCTGTACCCGCTGCAGAATGGCTCCGCGCCCTGCACCGAGCTGGTGCCCCGGGCGGCCGAGCCGGGCTACCTGGTGACCAAGGTGGTGGCGGTGGACGGCGACTCGGGCCAGAACGCCTGGCTGTCGTACCAGCTGCTCAAGGCCACGGAGCCTGGGCTGTTCGGCGTGTGGGCGCACAATGGCGAGGTGCGCACCGCCAGGCTGCTGAGCGAGCGCGACGCAGCCAAGCACAGGCTCGTGGTGCTTGTCAAGGACAATGGCGAGCCTCCGCGCTCGGCCACCGCCACGCTGCACGTGCTCCTGGTGGATGGCTTCTCCCAGCCCTACCTGCCTCTCCCTGAGGCGGCCCCGGCCCAGGCCCAGGCCGACTCTCTCACCGTCTACCTGGTGGTGGCGTTGGCCTCGGTGTCGTCGCTCTTCCTCTTCTCGGTGCTCCTGTTCGTGGCGGTGCGGCTGTGCAGGAGGAGCAGGGCGGCCTCGGTGGGTCGCTGCTCGGTGCCCGAGGGCCCCTTTCCAGGGCATCTGGTGGACGTAAGCGGCACCGGGACCCTGTCCCAGAGCTACCAGTACGAGGTGTGTCTGACAGGAGACTCTGGGACTGGTGAGTTCAAGTTCCTGAAGCCAATATTTCCTAATCTCTTGGTTCAGGACACCGGGAGGGAAGTTAAGGAAAACCCCAAGTTCAGAAATAGCTTGGTATTCAGTTAAGTATTGTATTTAGTTCAGTGAACCGCCCGTTAGTTTTGTCAAACTTCCCACTGCAATGCCTTTATTTAAAAAAATTGTCTACTTATCTAAATATTCATACCACAATTTCAAACCTACTCATGTCCCTGATAAAGCTAAATTTGTCCCTTTTTTATTGTTATTAATTGCACTTAACATTTTTAGTTATACTGGATATTGAGTATGGATTTTCTCTATATTTGATCTATTGGTGATTAATCTTTTTGTAATCATAAATTACTCAATTAGGATAAAAATAAATTATGTTTTAATGAAATTCTTAAATTAACATCTTTTTAATGGAACATTTAAGTGAATATATGAATATTGAATTTCTAAATATTTGTTGTGCCTGTCTTTACCATGTAACTTAATGTTTGCAAGGCCAGAGTGTTTGAAAGTTTTGTATTTAACTTTATAATTACCTTGTCCTTTCTGGTTGACTATACTAGGCTAAGCCCTCTTAATAGCCATGAGTGTAAAATTTAGTTTACTCATTTTTCACAAATTGTATATAAACATGCACTTCACTACATTGGTAATACACTAAAATTGTGGTCCTTTTCCTCTTGTGACCACCACATGTCTAGTGATTATTTTGTTTATTTGGTTGCTACTTACCTAGCACATTGTAATGTTCCATGAATGCTAATATTAAATTTTGTAAAAATAACTTATTTATAAATAATTTTTAAAGAGAAAAATCTCATATAATTTGTCATAACCTTTCAATAAATAAAACTGTTAAATCATGGCCTGATATCATCTTAAAAAAAAATCTCAGAATCTGAAATAAGCCCTAAATTTCTCCCCAAAATCAAGACTCTTGAGAGCATCATAGGTCTCCTTGTGCTACCTTTTACTCCCTATAAATAGAAATCCAAGTATACTTTAATATGTGTATATTTTTTGGTTTTCCTACAGCTTCTCCCCATCTTTCAAAAGAATCACGAAATTTCTTCTGCACCTTGGCTATTCTGTTTAAATCTGATAATCAGTTGATCTCAGGTTTTTCACTGTACATTACTTTGCAGATATGGACAGCCTTTACAAAAATAATTTTTAAATGCTTAATTATTTTAATTTGTTCTTTAAGGTAACCTTCAGTTATTTTGAATTAATTTAACTTCTCAATTATGCCAAAGTTGCACTTGCATGAAATAAATATTATTTTGTCCTTGTATAGACTGGAACAGTAATAAATTTATCTGAATTAAAATTGTTTTATGCTGTGATCAGTAAGCCCAGTAAGCTAGGTAAAGTTGTATGGATATAACTATAGTACACCTCTATTTTACTTTTGGCAGAATATGAGCAACTGAAGAACTTGCTTTATAATCTAACATTTATTTTTAAATCTCAAGTATCATCCTACTGGAGTTAAATTACTTGCACTTTTCCTTGAATTACTCTTGTTTTCTAAACGTGTAATGAAATAAAAAGGAAAATTGACTGTTATTCTTGAAACATATTTTTTAGCATTTATTCAATTTAAAAATCAAAGTGAAGAAGATATAAAGTGAGAACAGAATATAACATACAAATATGTAAGACATAAATATGGTAGTCAACTTTAATGTCTTCTTCCATTTATTATTAGCTACTTAAATGAAATAGCTTTGAGGCCGGGTGTGGTGGCTCATGCCTATAATCCCAGCGCTTTGGGAGGCAGGCAGATCACCTGAGGCCAGGAATTCAAGACCAGCCTGGGCAAAATGGCAAAATCCCGTCTCTAAAAAAAACACAAAAATTAGCTGGGTGTGGTGGTGCACACCTGTAATCCCAGCTACAGGAGTGGCTAAAGCAGGAGAATTGCTTGAACCCGGGAGGTGAAGGTTGTGGTGAGCCGCACCTCCAGCCACAGAGATCACACCACTGCACTCCAGCCTGGGTGACAGAGTGAGACTCTGTCTCAAAAAAATTTTAAAAAAAAGAAATAGCTTTTATTTATGATGACAAGTAAGAAATCTGGTTGAAGTTTTCACCAACTATATACTGACATGATGAAAGTCCAAAATCATTTTTTTTGTTGTTTATGCAGGGTAAGTCCAATTCGTATAATCACCCAAATGAGACCGTTCAAATAAACACCCCAAACCGACATCATCCTTGGAGGTATTCATAAAGCATGACTCATTCCTTACCAGCTAGGTGTAGTATAGATCAACATTTAAAAATTCAATTATTAGAATTTAGTTGTAAACACGATCCAAATAACTTTCACAACATGCATACCTTATGAAAATAGGCCAGTTCTATTGTCACAGAACAAAATTAGAGAATGGAGGCCAAGAATCTTGATAATAACACCCATCCCAACAGGTATTTTCTCAAATTAATCTATTATATATGCATCTTTTACAGTTCCCCTGCTACTGTTATTTTTAGGCACAGCATATAGTGAATTTAACACACACTGTTTTGGAGACAGAAATTCTGAAGGCAACGTAGCCCATATCAATTTAGAATCCCCTCTCCTTGGCTGGGTGTGGTGGCTCATGCCTGTAATCCCAGCACTTTGGGAGGCCAAGTGGGGAGGATCGCTTGAGGCCAGGAGTTTGAGACCAGCCTGGGCAATATAGTGAGATCCCTGTTTCAACAACCACAACAAAAAGTTAGCTGGTCATGGTAGCACACATCTGTAGTCCCAGCTACTTGGGAGGCTGAGGCAGGAAAATTGCCTGAGCCTAAGAGTTTGAGGCTGCAGTGAGCTATGATCAGGCCACTGCACTCCAGCCTGGGAGACCCAGCAAGACCCTGTCTCAAAACAAAACAAAACAGAACAGAACAAAATGATCCCCTCTTCTTTTACTATCAAAAGTTACAAAATATATTTTAAATAGTCTAAGGTTAAAACTATGCATATATTTGGTGAAATTCTGCTTCCAGAGTAGATGGATTATCTAGCCGCAGAAAGCAACTCTAAAAATTGGTTAAAATGTAAAATTATCTGTTTTGAAGTAACTGAAAACAGATAATATAATAAGATCTGAATGGGCCAAGATTCCTGAGAAGGAAAATTCTTGGAGGTGAAAACTGACTCCTGACAGGAGTTTTACCCTGAGGAAATATGCTAAGTCTGAGAACAAACAAAAAGCTTTTGTCAGAGACAGAGTAACTTCAATAGCTGTTGGGGTTGACTGGAAGATTCAAGTTCATGGCCAAATTTTCCCCTCAGGACACTTGTCAAACTCAGGGAAGCCCAGAGAAAAAGACTAAAATCCTAACTGGAAAATTTCTGAAAAGGAAAGTGAAGTTTTAATAGTCTTGCTATTGAAACATTAGAGTTTAGGATCTGCCATGGGAAGGGGCTGTGGAGAATATACCAAGTTCTCAGCTGAAAATTCTGGAGAGCCAGGTGCTTATCAGGACTGCAAAGAACCTTGACAAAGCCCAGTGCCTGTTTCAGTTGAGATGATTTGTTTAGACAGAACTCTATCAAGTTAACAGTGGAAAAGGTGAACTCTTGTTGGAGGAAGATAATATCTTAACCTTGGATAGCTTTTTATGTAAATATTCAACATTCAATAAAAAATTCCTAAGTACACACACCAAAAACTGGATACATGAATAAAACCGAGAGAAAAAAAAGACAATAAAAATTACCCATAAATGATTCAGATATTAAAATTAACTGAATGATATTAAAATAAGTAAGACTAATATGTTAAAAATAAAGAACAATAGAGAAAATAAGGAGATAATTTCACTGGAGAATTGAACTTTAAAAGTGAAAGTTAATTCTAGAACTGAAAAATTATATTATCTGAAATTAAAACTATTTAAATGGTTTAATGTCATAGTCATAAAATGATACAGGATTAGTGGATGCAAGACAATTCAATATTAACATCCAAATATAAGCACAGAGAATAAAATAATAAAATATACAGAAAAGAACATTAGTGATGTGTGGAATGTAATTTTTAAAAACTCTAACATACTGAAAGAGAGAACAAGCATGAGGCAATATTTGAAGAGATAATGATAAAGAATTTTCCAAAACTGGTGAAAATCCTTAATCCTTCAAGATATTCAAGAAATAAATAATAACAGGCTAAATAAAAACAAAGCCTAATTAGGCATATCATAGGAAAGCATCTCAAGACCAAAGTCAAAGAGATAATTTAAGAACCAACCATGTAAGAAATAAAACATTCCTGTTAAAGGAGCATCAGTAAAATGGAGAGCTGACTTTTCAACATAAATCAGGAAATCAAAAGACAAAGGAATGACATCTTTAAAGTCCTGAAAGAAAATTACTACCAGGTTAGAATTCTATTGCCAGCAAACATATCCTTCAAAAATGAATGCAGTTTTCAGACAAAAATGAAGGGAATTAACGACAGTCACATCTGCACTAAAAGAAATACTTTTTTTTTTTTTTTCGAGACAGAGTCTCACTCTGTTGTCTAGGCTGGAGTGCAGTGGCACAATCTCGGCTCACTGCAATCTCCACCTCCTGGGTCCAAGCTATTCTCCCCATCTCAGCCTCCTGAGTAGAGGGGATTACAGACATGTGCCGCCACGCCTGGCTAATTTTTGTATTTTTAGTAGAGACAGGGTTTCACCATGTTAGCCAGGCTGGTCTCGAACTCCTGACCTCAAGGGATCCACCCGCCTTGGCCTCTGAAGGTGTTGGGATTACAGGCATGAGCTACTGCATCTGGCCAAGAAATGCTTTTAATGAAATGCATTAGGCAGAAGGAAAACAATCCAAAAGAAATCACAGAATTGCAGGAATAAATGAAGAGCAATAAGAAAGGTCAATGTACATGAATGTTGATTGAATATTGATTATACAAGGCAATAATATTAATACTAGTTTCTTAAAGGATTTAAATTATATGTAAAATTTAAATTTATAACAACAATAATGTAAAAGGCAAAGGTATAAATAGAGTTAAAAAGTGTTAAGGCTGTAAGCATTATCATGGAAGTAGTAAAATTACTAACGTGTGTTAGATTCTTGTATATTGAAGATGCATGCTGTAATTTATTGGATAATCCTCAAAGTAATAAAACACTAATTGAAGGAAGAAAAATTAAAAATATCTGAATAATCAAAAAGAAAAATTAAACTTTAGTGACAAATAGAAAAGTAATTAGATGGTAAGCATAAATGGAAATATATCAGATATTGTATTAATTTTATTTGGATTAAATAATCCAATTAAACAACAAAAATTGTCAGACTAGATTAAAGAAAAACTCAACTCTATGCTATCAAATTGTGTGTGTGTGAACACAGAAAGAGTGAAGGTTTAAAAGAATTGGATAAGGTATATAGTAATATAAACACTAGCCAAAATAAATCTAGGTAGCTGTATTTACATAAGACAAAAGAGACTTTAAGGAAAGATACATTACTAGAGATAAAGAGAAGTTTTTTTATAATCATAAAGAAGTAAATATACCAGAAATATGTTAGTTTTAAGACTGAATACATCCCAATTAGATAACTACAAAATATATAAAGTTGATAGAATACAAATACAAAGTAGACAAACCCAATTACACAGGGAGATTGAATACAACTCTCTCAATTCCTGTTAGAATAAGAAGAAAAAACACACACATACAAAAAATGTTGAAGATCCGAACCACACGAACATCATATTCAAATAAATTGACATGCATAGCACACTGGAGCATACACATTCTTCTTATATGCATGTGGGATATATAAAAATTGTTCATGTTCTTTGTCATGAATGAAGTCTCAAATATTTAAAAAAGAATTGAGGCCAGGCACAGTGGCTAACACCTGTAATCCCAGCAGTTCAGGAGGCAGAGACGGGCAGATCACAAGGTCAGGAGTTCGAGACCAGCCTGGCCAATATGGTGAAACCCCGTCTCTACTAAAAATACAAAAATTAGCAGGGTATGGTGGCAGGCACCTGTAATCCCAGCTACTCGGGAGGCTGAGGCAGGAAAATTGCTTGAAACCGTCAGGTGGAGGTTTCAGTGAGCTGAGATCGTGCCACTGCACTCCAGCCTGGGCGACAGAGCAAACTCCTTCTTGGGGGGGAAAAAAATTGAAACTACTTAGAGTATGTTCTTTGACCACAGTGGAATTAAGCCAGAAATAAAAATATAATAAATCTCCAAATATTTTAAAATCAAATTGCATAATCCATGAGTCAAAAAGAAATCACAACAGAAATTTCCAAATATTTTGAACGGGGAAAAATTAACACCTGGCGTATCAAAACAGTACTTAGAGGGAAATTTAAAATCTTAAATGCACATGTTAGAAAAGAAAGGCTAAAAATCAATAATCTAAGCTTTCATCTCAAGAAGCTAGAAAAAGAACAGCAAATCAAATGCAAATAAAGATGGAAGACAATTTTATACACACACACATAGGCAGAAACAAAATAAATGACAAATATACAACAGAGGAAATCAGTGAAGCAAAAAGTTGGTTTCTACAATGATTAAAATTTAAAACTCTTAGACTAATCAAGAAAAAAAGAGGGAAAACACCAACTGCCAATATCAGGATAAAAAAAACACAACTACCAACCTACAGACATTTAAAAAATAAAAAAGAAATATTATGAACAATTTTATGCCAATAAACTTGACAATTTATGTAAAACAGAAACCATCCTTTAAAAACACAATTTTCCGAAACTGAAACAGGACGAAATTAAGATCTGATTAGTCATATCTATTATATTAATTAAAGTTGTTCATTAAAAACCTTCCCACTCTAATTCACAGCAGTGAATTCTCCCAAATACTTATGTCAAAATTATCACTAATTTGTACAAACTCCTTCAGAGAGTAGAAAAATAGACATTTTCCAAATCATTTGGGTGCCAGCATAAATCTGAATAGGTTATAACATTCAAACCTGAATAGGATATTATAAGAAAAGAAAATTACTATTCTTTTTTATAAATATGTATGGAAAATTCATTTTTAAAAATATTAGCAAATAAAATTTTAAAATGTATAAAAGAAAAATAATAATTGGAAAATGGAGTTTATTTTAGGAATACAGAGGCAGTTTAATATTTGAAAATTGATCATTGTAATTTACCATATTAAAAGATAAAGAACAAAACATGATTATTTCAATGGATACAGAAAAAAGTCATGTGATAAAATTCAACACACAGTAGTGGTAAAATTATTAGCAAACTAAAATCAAAGGGAACTTTCAGAGTGACTTTAAAAACCTACAGGAAACATCATTAACAATAAATTTTCAAAAATTTTCCCCTGGAGATCAAGAATGAAACAAGGATACCTGTCTTTTCTTCTCCAATTTAGTATTCTATCACAGGTCCTAAACAGCGGAATAAAGCAAAGAAGGAATAAAAGGCACTATGATTCGAAGGGAAGAAATAAAAATGTCTTTTTAAGTGGACATACTTGTATACCTTGCAAGCCATGAAGAATCTACAGGCTACTGGAATTAATAAATGAAGTTAACAATGCCACTGGATACAAGGTCAACATACAAACATGAGTTCTATTTCTATTTAGCAACAAAAAAAGTGAAAAATTTAAACATTATGCACAATAATTTCAAAAATAGCAGCTATTTATAAACAAATCTAGTTGAATATGTATAAGACTTCTACATTGAAAACTAAAATATGAGAAAAATTAAAGAAGATCTAAATAATTACAGGAATATACAATGTTCACTAATTGGAAGACTCAATGTTGGGAATATGTCAGTTATCTCTTAGTCAATCTATAGATTCAATAAAATCTTAAACAAAATTCCAGCAGCTTTCTTTGTGAAAATTAATGAGCCGAGCATTAAGTTTATTTGAAAATACAAAAACAGTAATAACCAAAGGAACCCTGATGAAAAGGAACCAAACTAGAGATACCACACCAAAGTCACAATCCGCAGAATAAAGAGTTAATAAGCTGGACTTCATTAAAATTAAAACTTTCTGCTCTGCAAAAGATACTATGAAGAGAATGAAAAGACAAGACATAAACTAGGAGAAAATATTTGCAAAAGGCATATCTGATAAAGGACTGTTATTCAAAATATACAAAGAACGACTAAAACTCAGCAACAAGAACCCAATTTAAAAATAAGGCAAAGACCTTAAGAGACACCCACCAAAGAAGGTATACAGGTGGCAAATAAACATATGAAAAGATGCTCCATATCATATGTTAACAGGGAAATGCAAATTAAAATAACAGTGAAATATGACTACACACCTATTAGAATGACCAAACTTCAGGACACTGACAGTGCCAAATGCTGGTAATGAGAGCAAAAGGAGCTCTCATTCATTGCTGGTGGGAATGCAAAATGGTACAGACACTTTGGAAGACAGTTTGGCAGTTTGATACAAAACAAAATATACTCTTACCATGTTATCTAGCACTCATGTTCCTTAGTATTTGCCCAAAGGAGTTGAAAATTTATGTTCACACAAAAACTTGCACAGAGACGTTTATAGCAGTTCATTCATAATTGCCAAAACGTGGAAGCAACCAAGATGTCGTTTAGTAGGTGAATAGATAAACAAACTGCAGTTCATTCAACCCATAGAATACTATTCAGCATCAAAAAGAAATGACCTAACAACCCATGAAAAGACATTGAGGAAATCTAAATGGATATTACTAAGTGAAAGAAGCCAATCTGAAAAGACTACATACTGTGTGATTTCAACTACATGGTGCTCTAGAAAAAGCAAAACTGTGGAGACAGTAAAAAAATCCACTTGCATTGGGTTCTAGGGGAGGGAGGGAGGTATAAATAAGTGGAGCACAGGGGATTTTTAGAGCAGTGAAACTACTTTGTATGATATTATAAAGGTGAATACACATAATTTTAAATTTGTCCAAAGCCATAGAATATACAGCACCAAGAATGGGCCCTAATGTAAACTATGGACTCCAGGTTATAATGACGTGCCAATGTAGATTCATCAGCTGTAGCAAATGAACCACTCTGGTGGAGGATGTTGATAATGGGTGAGGCTGTGCTTGTGTGGGGACAGGGGCATATATGAAATCTCTGTACTTTACTCTCATTTTTGCTGTGAACCAAAAACCATTCTAAAAATTTAGTCTACTTTTAAAAAACTGGAGAACTTACTTCTCAGATAACAAAACTCATGATAAAGCTATAATAATTAACACAATGAGTTATTGTAGGATAAACAAGATTGAATAAAACATCTTCAGAGCTATGGTTACCTAATTTATAACAAAGATGACATTTCAAAAACAATGGAAAATGGATTGTCTTTTAAATAGATGGTGCAAAGGTTTAAAGCATTCAGATACTTACATTTTAAACCTTTTGACTCCAAACTCATTCACTTGAAAAGTTAATTTCAGGTTGATTATAGCTTTAAATATGAAAAATGGAATAATTAATCTTTCAAAATACATCATACAAGAATATTTTCATGACCTTGGAGTATGTGAACATTTAAATAGAACACAAAAAAATGCTAATCATACATGAAACTTATTGACAAATCTGACTAAAGGTAAGAAATTTTATTCATCAAAGACACATAATAGACTTGAAATAAAAACCATAGAGTGGGAAAAGATATTTGCAATACATATATCTTAAAAAGGACTTATGCCCAGAATATATGAGAAACTTCTGCAGATCAATAAGCAAACAGGCAAATGCCTCCCCCCAAAAAAGTAAAAAGGTTTGCATAAGCCCTTCACAAGATTGTATCCTAATGGCTGATAAACATGAAAATGTGCTCAAATTGTTTAATCATCAGGGAAAATGCTAACTAAAATTACAATATCATATCACCATACACTAACCAGAGTGGTTTAAAATGGAAAAGATAGCATCAAATGTTGACAAGAATGTGGAGCAACTGGAACTCTCATACTTTGCTGGTATTAGTACGACTACTTGAGAAAACTTTCTCATTATCTGCTAAAGCAAAATATATGTGCACATCTTAATGCATAGCAATCCAACTCCTTTGAATATATTCAACATAAACACATATATGTGGTCACCAAAAGACTAGTACAAGGATGTTTATACCAGTACTACCCCAAAGAGCTTAAACCTGGAAAACAATGTTCATCAACTGGAGAATGAATAAATAAATCATAGTATATTCATACAACAGAATGATATAAAGCAATGAGAATAAAACAAATAAGAACAAGATGCCACAGATCAATTTGCTGAACATAATATTGAGGAGAAGAAGCCAGACACACGAGAGTAACAATCTATAACTCCATTTGTATAAAGTTAAAAAAAAAAAAAGCAAAAAAAACCTATGACAACAGAAGTCAGGACAGTGCTTATCTTTTGGGGAGAGGGTGGTAACCAGACAATAGCAGGTGGGGACTTGGGTTTGGGTAGTATTTTTAATCTAGGTTCTACTTACAGGAGTGTGTTCACTTTGCGAAAATTCATTGAGTTATACACCTATGATTTGTGCCATTTTCTGGGTGTTATTGGTGTTTACTTCAAAGTGAAAGTAATTTTTCTTAAACTTTAAATTTCTATAGATATTCCTGATCACTTATTTAATATAATCAAATAAGAAACACCAAACAAAGTGTATTTGTGTACTCAAGGGTACTTTTATGGAGATTAATATATAATTTTAGTTTTTTTCTCAAAAGTATTTTCTCACTGAAAATTAACTCCACAACATTTATTTAGAACTTTCAGCAACTAAGAGCTGGAGATACCATCGGGAGAGCTTATGTGACAAAAGGGTATGGATACACGTCAGTTAGAATTTAGGATGAAATGGCAAATACTATATGCAATAGTAAATTAGGACGCCTGGTGGCGCTGCAGGCTAAGAGTGTGGATAGTGGGCTCTGCGGATAACTCAGACGCCATTAAGCTGGGGAATCCAAACTCTAAAAGAAGGACGCATTTTAGGTAAGATCTAGTGGCTAGATCTTCAGGGTGGGCTTCGTTCTTGTGGAAATCAGTCAAGAAAGATCGGATTCGCGGTTATTTATGCAAATCATCTGGGTGGATTGTGTACGGAGTTAAACTGCGCCTTCTGGACCGGGTCTGAACAATGGAGACTGCGCTAGCAAAAACGCCACAGAAAAGGCAAGTTATGTTTCTTGCTATATTGTTGCTTTTGTGGGAGGCTGGCTCTGAGGCAGTTAGGTATTCCATACCAGAAGAAACAGAAAGTGGCTATTCTGTGGCCAACCTGGCAAAAGACCTGGGTCTTGGGGTGGGGGAACTGGCCACTCGGGGCGCGCGAATGCATTACAAAGGAAACAAAGAGCTCTTGCAGCTTGATATAAAGACCGGCAATTTGCTTCTATATGAAAAACTAGACCGGGAGGTGATGTGCGGGGCGACAGAACCCTGTATATTGCATTTCCAGCTCTTACTAGAAAATCCAGTGCAGTTTTTTCAAACTGATCTGCAGCTCACAGATATAAATGACCATGCCCCAGAGTTCCCAGAGAAGGAAATGCTCCTAAAAATCCCAGAGAGCACCCAGCCAGGGACTGTGTTTCCCTTAAAAATAGCCCAGGACTTTGACATAGGTAGCAACACTGTTCAGAACTACACAATCAGCCCAAATTCACACTTTCATGTTGCTACGCATAATCGCGGAGATGGCAGAAAATACCCAGAGCTGGTGCTGGACAAAGCGCTGGACCGGGAGGAGCGGCCTGAGCTCAGCTTAACACTCACTGCACTGGACGGTGGGGCTCCGCCCAGGTCCGGGACCACCACAATTCGCATTGTCGTCTTGGATAATAATGACAACGCCCCCGAATTTTTACAATCATTCTATGAGGTACAGGTGCCCGAGAACAGCCCCCTTAACTCCTTAGTTGTCGTTGTCTCCGCTCGAGATTTAGATGCAGGAGCATATGGGAGTGTAGCCTATGCTCTATTCCAAGGCGATGAAGTTACTCAACCATTTGTAATAGACGAGAAAACAGCAGAAATTCGCCTGAAAAGGGCATTGGATTTCGAGGCAACTCCATATTATAACGTGGAAATTGTAGCCACAGATGGTGGGGGCCTTTCAGGAAAATGCACTGTGGCTATAGAAGTGGTGGATGTGAATGACAACGCCCCTGAACTCACCATGTCTACGCTCTCCAGCCCTACCCCAGAAAATGCCCCGGAAACTGTAGTTGCCGTTTTCAGTGTTTCTGATCCAGACTCCGGGGACAACGGTAGGATGATTTGCTCCATCCAGAATGATCTCCCCTTTCTTTTGAAGCCCACATTAAAAAACTTTTACACCCTAGTGACACAGAGAACACTGGACAGAGAGAGCCAAGCCGAGTACAACATCACCATCACTGTCACCGACATGGGGACACCCAGGCTGAAAACCGAGCACAACATAACGGTCCTGGTCTCCGACGTCAATGACAACGCCCCCGCCTTCACCCAAACCTCCTACACCCTGTTCGTCCGAGAGAACAACAGCCCCGCCCTGCACATCGGCAGTGTCAGCGCCACAGACAGAGACTCAGGCACCAACGCCCAGGTCACCTACTCGCTGCTGCCGCCCCAGAACCCACACCTGCGCCTCGCCTCCCTGGTCTCCATCAACGCGGACAACGGCCACCTGTTTGCCCTCAGGTCGCTGGACTACGAGGCCCTGCAGGCGTTCGAGTTCCGCGTGGGAGCCACAGACCGCGGCTCCCCGGCGCTGAGCAGCGAGGCGCTGGTGCGCGTGCTGGTGCTGGACGCCAACGACAACTCGCCCTTCGTGCTGTATCCGCTGCAGAACGGCTCGGCGCCTTGCACCGAGCTGGTGCCCCGGGCGGCCGAGCCGGGCTACCTGGTGACCAAGGTGGTGGCGGTGGACGGTGACTCGGGCCAGAACGCCTGGCTGTCGTACCAGCTGCTCAAGGCCACGGAGCCCGGGCTGTTCAGCATGTGGGCGCACAATGGCGAGGTGCGCACCGCCAGGCTGCTGAGCGAGCGCGACGCGGCCAAGCACAGGCTGGTGGTGCTGGTCAAGGACAATGGCGAGCCTCCGCGCTCGGCCACCGCCACGCTGCACGTGCTCCTGGTGGACGGCTTCTCCCAGCCCTACCTGCCGCTGCCGGAGGCGGCCCCGGCCCAGGCCCAGGCCGACTCGCTCACTGTCTACCTGGTGGTGGCATTGGCCTCGGTGTCGTCGCTCTTCCTCTTTTCGGTGCTCCTGTTCGTGGCAGTGCGGCTGTGCAGGAGGAGCAGGGCGGCCCCGGTCGGTCGCTGCTCGGTGCCCGAGGGCCCCTTTCCAGGGCATCTGGTGGACGTGAGCGGCACCGGGACCCTATCCCAGAGCTACCACTACGAGGTGTGTTTGACCGGAGACTCAGGGGCCGGCGAGTTCAAGTTCCTGAAGCCGATTATTCCTAACCTTTTGCCCCAGGGCGCTGGTGAAGAAATAGGGAAAACTGCTGCCTTCCGGAATAGCTTTGGATTAAATTAGAGATCTCGTGATGACGCGTTGTTTTCTGCCATTTATCCCAAACTTTTTCAGATCTAGAATTCGAGAGTGTCATGGACAAAAATTTCACCTTGAGATTGAGCTTTTATTTCCCTTTTTAATGGATTTGTCTGTTGAACTTCATGCTGTCCAAGTGTTGAAAAGTCAATTTTATTTCATTGCATTTATTTACATAGTGTCATTCCAAATCCATGCATGCTGTTGATTTTCCTGAGATTTTTTTCTCTTCTTGTTGGTATTTGTTGTGATAAACCACCTTAATAAAATCAAGTATTAATTTTATTTTCTATATATTCTGCCCATTCTATTTCATCACACTCTTAAGTATTATATATTTGATGCTAAAATGCAAAAATTAAAAATGTTTCACATCATCATATTTTAATTGTTTAAAACAAAGACAAATACATACATATGCTAACAAATGAAATATGTGAAAAAATATGTAAAAGGAAACAATCTTCTATTTACTCTTTTTTGCAGCCCTGAGTCCTATTAGCAAACTTTTTAAAAACAGTTTAATTGAATTATTACTTACATGAAGAAAAATGAACAAATCCTTTATGTTCAACTCAATATATATTCACAAAGTAACATATTTATTACCAGCAGCTTGAAGAGAAAATGAAACATCACTGGCACCCCAGGTGCCACACAAATTACTCCTTACAATCACTACTACCCCAAGTATAGCAAATATGCTGACTTCCAATACCATAGTTTAATTTTGCCTCTTCTGAATTTATATAAATGGAGTAATAAAGTATGAACTGCTTGTGTCTGGCTTTTTTCACTCAGCATTATGTTTATGAAATTTATCCATAATACAGCTTTTAAGTTTAGTCCTTTCATTCTCATTGCTGTATAATATTCCACTGTATGAATATACCACAGTTTATTATCTATCCTTTAGATCAGTATTTGGGATGGGGCAAAGTTTGGCTGTTATGAATTATACTGCTATAAACATTCTTTTAACATGCCTTTTGCCAACCTGTATATGCAGTTTTGTTGGGTATATGCCTAGGAGTGGAATTGTTGCCCATCTTGCAAGTACACGTTGACTTTTAGCAGACATTTCCCAATAGTCTTCCAGTGGTTGTACTAATTTACATTGCTATTCCCAGTGTCTGGATGTACAAATTTTTCCACATTTCTGCCAACAAACTGGTATTGTCTGTTTTTCATTTTATCCCATTGGCAAGCACTTTATACAGTTTTTAAAGCTCTTATATTTACTTGCTTATCACTAAGGAATATGTTTGTAACCATTATGAGCTGAACTGTGTTCCTATATCCCCCTCAAATTCATATGTTGAAACCCTAACTCCCACTACCTCAGAATGTGACTATGTTTAAAGATAGGCCCCTAAAAACAGGTAATCACATTAAAATGGGTCCTTAGGGCAGAACTTAATCCAATATAACTGCTGTACTTATAAGATGAGGAGATTAGAACATAGAGAAAGAGATGTCAGACATGTAAACACACAGAGGGATGATTATGTGAAGACACTAGAAGAAGATAGCCATCTACAAGCCAAAGAGAGAGGCCTCCAAATGAAACCAACCCTGCCAACACTTTGATCTTGGACTTCTAGATTTCAGAACTGGGAGGAAAGAAATGTCTGTTGTTTAAGCCACCCAGTCTGTGGTATTTGTTACAGCAGCCATCACAAACTAATGTAGTAACTTTCACAAACTTTAGACAATTAATTTCCTATCATGATTGCTGAGTAACTAGCACACTTAAAACAACTTCAATCTTTTGTTTTTCAGAGGTATCTATATTACTATTTTTGGGTACTTCTCTGGTCAATCTGAAACCTTTCTTTATTGTTCCAGTAACAACAGTTTCATTAGATTTTTGTATGAAGAAAAGAATAGCATTCTTATTCTTCTTTTTATATCTGTTTCTCTCTTAACACTTTCCAACCTCTCTCAGTTGAACTTCTACTCTTACATTTTATTTTTACAACCATAGCTAAGAATTCCTTGTCTTGTCTATAGATATATTTTATTTTATTTTATTTTATTTTGAGACGGAGTTTAGCTCTTGTTGCCCAGGCTGGAGTCCAGTGGCACGATCTCGGCTCACTGCAACCTCCGCCTTCCGGGTTCAAGCGATTCTCCTGCCTCAGCCTCCCGAGTAGCTGGGATGACAGGCATGTGCCACCATGCCCAGCTAATTTTTGTATTTTTAGTAGAGATGGGGTTTCTCCATGTTGGTCAGGCTGGTCTCGAACTCCTGACCTCAGGGGATCCGCCCACCTTGGCCTCCCAAAGTGCTGGGATTACAGGTGTGAGCCACCACACCTGGCCATCTATAGATATATTTTAGAAGATAATATTTAAAATTTACTTTTAATGACTATATAAATTATGAATGCCCTGCAGTCCCAAATCACCAAGAACACACCGAATCAGAACAAAGTTGGGTTTATTGACTTGTTGCAATGAAGGAGACTGCACACAATAGGAAACAGAGGTCACTTTAGTAACAGGGTCTTGCAGAGGAGTTATAGGATTTGGTCTTCTGTTAGGTGGTTTTAACAGAGGTTCAAGAAGTAGAGGTTAGCTCTGGATTGGATGCTTTCAGAAAATTGGGTAATTCTATATTATTTTAATGAATTTCATTTAAGAAGTGGGAAAAACACTGAAATTAAATCTATAATTGGTAAATAAGCAGCATTCACTCATACTAGCAAGGAAAAAGAGCTCTTTTGTCTTTTTCTTTTTTTTTTTTTAGACATTGTCTCCTCAGGCATGAAGTCTGGCTCCAACCGGGTTATAAGGTTATTTTCTGGTCTTGGTGTTATATGAAATTATTTGCATTCAATAGGAGAAGATTATGGCCAACCTGTGAGTGTCAGAACAGTTCCACGTTGTTGGGCTGATTCTCTTCTCAAAATATTGTTCATTGCAGAGCCATATTACTTACTGAAACCTCTAAGTATAGTCTGGGATTGCTTATGGATCTAAGTAATCTTAGAGCTGAGATTACTTAATTTCTACTATTATTTTCTTGATAATGTATCCCTAAGTTTAATCTTGTTATTTCCATCTGAGATTTGTGCTTGTCTGTTATTAAATATTCTTAATAAAAATTTAAAAAACAAACAAAAAAGATATTGAATATTCTTATTTTTCTGTTTCTTATATTTCTCTTTTATTTTACATTTTTAGCTTTTCTTCTATGTCCTGATGTCTCTCACTTTATGTTTTAGTGATAGGGACTATCTTTCCTGCTCTTTGGATCCAATGTTGCACTTCCTGTACCATTGAAAACAGTTATGTTCCTAAAATCAAGACCAAATAGAGTCATCATTTTAGACTCCATTAGTTGGCTTTACCATATTTTCAAAATCTCAATCAATAATTCACTTTACCATCTTTTCTAACCTGAAGCCCTCTAGCTTTCTGCTTCCATCTGGACTAAATGATCTTTAGGTCTGTACAAAACTGTCATCTTGTCTTCATACCTCTCTTGGTTGAGTGCATTATTTAACAGATCACTTGTCTCCCTTTTTATTCCCTCTCTTTGCTACAATATATCCTGAAATGTCTTCCTAAAGGAGAGTTCACAAAAAAGCCAATTTCTGTGTCTCTGCCTAAAATGCATTTAGTTTTCCTTCATATTTAATTGATGATTTGGCCAGACACAGAATTATTGCTTGGAAATTTAAAATCATTAATGTGTTGATTATTGATTCATAATTTTTGATAAAAATTTTATGCCAGTGTGATTGTTGATTTTTTTATACCCCCATCTCTCTCTCTCTCTCCATATTTCTGTAGAGAAAGGAATCTTCTGTGTCTCCTTCCCTCAGAATTTTCTCTCTTCTTTTTAGATGTCTTGAATTTCATAATAGTATTATAATTTTTTCATTCCTTTGACTGAACACTCAATGTACTTATGATTCTAACAATTTATACCTTTTTATCTCTGGGATTACTTCATTTCTATTATTATTATTATTTTGAGACAAATCTTGCTCTGTTGCCCATGCTGGAGTGCAGTGGTGCAATCTGCAGTCTCGGCTCACTACAACCTCTGCCTCCCAGGCTCAAATGATTTTCCTGACTCAGCCTTCTGAGCAGCTGGGACTATAGGCACACACCACCACATCCAGCTAATTTTTTTTTAAAATAGAGTTGGGGTTTCACCATATTGGCTAGGCTGGTCTCAAACTCCTGGCCTCAAGTGATCCACCTGCATCAGCCTCCCAAAGTGCTGGGATTACAGGTGTGAGCCACTGTGCCTGGCCCATTTCTACTATTATTTTCTTAATAGTTGTATCCCTAAGTTTAATCTTGTTATTTCCTTCTGAAACTTGTGCTTGTCAGATATTGAATATTCTTAATTATTTCTGTTTCTTATATTCTTTTTTATTTTACATCTTTAGCTTTTCTTCTATGTTCTGAAGTCTCTCACTTTATTTTTGAGCATTTCTAATGAATTTTTAGTCTTAGTGGCATATTCAAGTTTCTACGAACTTTATTATTAAACATTATTATATATTATGTACTATTATTACTACTACATACTTTCAGTGTACTTGGCTATTTTCTAAATACTTTATACATACTCATTTAATCGTCAAAATAATGGTACAATTAGTGTCTATATTTTCAGGGTGAACAAACTGGAGCACACAGAGGTAAAGCAATTTGCCCAAGGTCACTGTCCTAATCAGTTTGGGCTGCTGTAGCAAATACTATAGATTGAGTGGCTTATAAATAGCAGAAAGTAATTTCTTACAGTGTTAGGGCTGGAAGTCTAAAATCAGGGTGCTAGCATGGTTGAGTTCTGGTGAGGGCCCTCTTCCAGGTTTCAGAGTGCAGACTTCTCCTTGTATCCTCACATGGCAGAAAAAAAGGCAAGAGAATTCTCTGGAATCACTTTTACAAATGCACTAATCTCATTCAGGGCTGCTTCTTCTCTGGAATCACTTTTATAAATGCACTAATCTCATTCAGGGCTGCTTCTTCGTGACCTAATTGCCACTCAAAGCCCTACTTCCTACCATCACGTTGGGGGTTAGGATTTCAACAGTCACCTAGCTAATAAGAGGCAGAAGTAGAATTTGAATCCAGGCAGCCTGACTCCAGAGAAATTGCTTCATTTTTATGAAAGAACTTTTTTTTTTTTTTTAGCGACAAGGTCTTGCTATGTTACCCAGGCTGGTTTTCAACTTCTCAGCTCAAGTGATCCTCTTGCCTTGGCCTCTTGAGTAGCAGGCAGATGCTACCATGCCCAGCTCAGAAATTGCTGTTTGTTTGTTTTTACTTTTTTCTATTTTAAAATCTATCAAAATTCAAAAGAGTGTATACAACATATATGTACAATAATAATAATAAACAATAATAACATGGTCACTCATCTACCCATTACCCAGCTTAAGAACTAGAATGATGCCAAGATGTTATGCCTCCACCATAACATCTTTCAACCCTATGAAAAAGAACCAGTTTTCTGAATTTTTACTTAATTGTTTGTTCTTCTTTATATTTGCAATAGAAAAGCATGTATTCCTAAATGACTTACCATTTAGTTGTATCTGTCTTTGCAATTGATACAAATGAATTTATATAGTATGGATCCTCTGTGAACTTGCTCTTTTTAATCATTATGGTATTGAATTTATCCATGTTAATTCAGTTTATTCACTTAACTGTTCTATAGTATTCCATTATATAAATGGAATACTATGAACTTTAAATTCTTTTTACTAATGATTTACTTTTTGGTTGTTCTAAGAGTTTTGTTACTATAAACAATGCTGCTATAAGCATTCTTGAATATATTGCCTCATACATTTGGGCAAGGGTTCCTTTTGGGTACAGGCACATCCAGGAAGGGACTATCTGGGTCATACCAAGAATCAGGAAAATATTAAAGTGAATGAAAATGACAACAAGGAGATGCTGACACCAAGATGACAGATGTTAGAATTATCTGACAAATTTTAAAAACAGAGCTCATCAAAATGTTTAAATGAGCAATTATGAACATATTTGAAACAAATGAAAAACAGTCTCAGCAAAGAAATGAAAGATATAAAGAAATGCCTATGGAAATTTTAGAAATTAAAGTTATAATAATGGGGCCGGGTGCAGTGGTTCACACCTGTGATCCCAGCACTTTGAGAGGCCGAGACTGGTGGATCACCTGAGGTCAGGAATTCGAGACCAGCCTGGCCAACATGGTGAAACCCCGTCTCTACTAAAAGTACAAAATTAGCCAGGTGTGGTGGTGCATGCCTGTTATCCCAACTACTTGGGAGGCTAAGGCAGGAGAATCACTTGAACCCAGGAAGCGGGGAGGTTGCAGTGAGCCAAGATTGCCTCGCTGCTCTCTAGCCTGGGTGACAGAGCAAGACTGTCTCAAAAAAAAAAAAAAAGAAAGAAAAACCCAGATATAATAATTGAAATAAAAACTCAAGATATGGGCTCCACAGCAGAATGGAGGGAACAAAGAATCAATGAACCAGAAGATGGAACAATAGAAATTACCCATTCTGAACAGGACAGAGAAAATAGAGCATAAAAAATGAACAGAGGCTCAGGAACCTGTGGGGGCATACCAAAAGAACTAACCTTTGTGTCACTGGAGTCCCAGAAGGAGGCCAGAAGGAGGGTGGAGCTAAAAAAAGTACTCAAAGAAATAATGGCTGGAAACTAAGCAAATTGGCAAAAGGCATAAACCAGAGATTCAAGAAGCTGAACAAATCCCAAACAGGATAAACCCAAAGGAATCCACACCGAGGCATCATAGTGAAATTTCTGCAAACTAAGGACAAAACATCTTTAAAGCAGTGAAGGAGAAATGACACCTTACCTACAGGGCAGTAACAATTTGAATGAGAGTAGATTCCTCATCAGAAACCATGGAGGACAGAAGGAAGTTGCACAATATTTTTCAAGTGCTGAAAGAAAACAACTGTCATCCCCAAATCCTATATCCAGTGGAACTATCCTTCAGGGAAAGAATTTGTTGCCAGTATACCTACCTTAAAATATTTGCTAATGCAAGTTCTCCAAACAGAAAGGAAACAATTTAAAAAGCAATCTTGGAATATCAAGAAGGAAGAAACAACACAAGAAACAAAAATATGAGTAAATACAATAGACTTTTCTTTTTCTCTTGAGGTTCCTAAATTATGTTTGGTGGTTGAATCCAAAATTATAACACTTTCTAAATGTGGTCCTAAGTGTATGTACAGGAAATATTTTAAACATATTATAAATGAAGGAGGGTAAAAGGACACACAGGGAGGTACATTTTCTATGCTTCATTTGAACTGGTAAAAATATCAGTTAGTGATATCAATCAGTAAACTGATAAGTTGCGTATATATAGTATAATACCTAGAGTAATCAGTAAAAAGCTATAAAAAGTGATACACTCAAAAAAACAACCCACTACAGCTAAATCAAAACAGAATTCTAAAAAAATGTTCCAATAACCCACAGGAAGTTAGAAAAATGAAAACAGAGAGACAAACAAAAAAACAGAGAAAACAAACAGGAAACAAAAAATGGCAGAGTTAATCTCTACTAATCAATAATTATGTTAATGTAAATGGTTTGAGCACATCAATTAAAACAAACATTGGGAGAATGGGTTTAAAAAATCATGACCCAACTATATGTCTCAAAATTAATTTCAAATATAATGATATATGCAGTTTGAAAGTAAAAAGACAAAAATGCATACAATTATTAATGTAAAAATAAAGCAGGAGCTGGGTGCAGTGGCTCATGCCTGTAATCCCAGCACTTTGGGAGGCTGAGGCAGGAGGATCACCTAAGGTCAGGAGTTTGAGACCAGCCTGGCCAACATGGTGAAACCCCATCTCTACTAAAAATACAAAATTAGCTGCTGTGGTGATGGGCGCCTGTAATCCCAGCTACTCCGGAGGCTGAGGCGGGAGAATTGCTTGAACCTGGGAGGTGGAGGTTGCTGTGAGCCGAGATCATACCATTGCACTCCAGCCTGGGAGACAAGAGCAAAACTCTGTCTCAAAAATAAATAAATAAATAAAAATAAGAATAAATAAATAACTGAATAGATAAATTAATTAATAAAGCAGGAGTAGCCATAATGTCATATAAAGTAGACATGAGAGCAAAGAAAAGCATCAGAGACAGCATGGGACATATCAGAGACATAGTGGGATATTATATAGTGATAAAAGAAGAAAACATAGCAATCCCAAATGTATATATACAAAACTGCAAAATGTATGAAGCAAAAACTGACAGAAGGAGAAATAGAGAAATCCACAATTAATTACAATTGGAGACTTCAATGACCTTCAACAACTGATAGACCAACAAGACAGAAAATCAGCAGAGATATAGAAGAACTCAATAACACCATCAACTAACAGCATCTGATTAATATTTATAAAACACTCCAATACCAGAATACACCAGAACACTCCAATACCAGAATACACCAGAATAAAAAATACTAGAATACACCAGAATAAAAAATACTAGAATACACCAGAATAAACAATACCAGAATACACATTATTTTCAAATGCTCACAGAACCTGTATAAGATAACCACAACCTCAGCCGTAAAACTGACCTCAACCAAATTAATAGTGAAATCGTACAGAGTGGGTTCTCTACGCACAATGAAATTAAACTAAAAATGAATAATGGAAAGATAAGAGGAAAACCTTCAAGTGCACGGATATGTAGCAACATACTTCTAAATAATCTATGAATCAAAAAGAATATCTCAAGGGAAATTTAAAAATACATTGACCTGAATTGAAAGTGAAAATACAACACATCAAATTTTGTGAGACATAGCTAACACAGTGCAGAGAGGAAAATTTTATAGCACTAAATATGTACATTAGAAAAGAGGAAAATTCTCAAACTGGTCACCCACCAGTTTATCAGTTTCAAGCTTCTACCTCGAGAATCTAGAAAAAGATGAGGAAAATAAACCCAAAGCATTCAGAAATAAGGAAATAACAAAGATAATAGAAGAAATCAAGAAAATTCAAAGCAAATAGAGAAAGCAATAAAGAAACAAAGAACTGGTTCTTTGAAAAACATTTTAAAAAATGACAAACCTCTAGCAATACTGACAAAAAGTCTTACCCAATCATTTCAGATTTCAAATGTGATTTAGTATCAAATCCTTTATATTTTCAACTTCCTTGCAACATATCTCCTGTTAATTGAGTTTCTTTAAGTGATTGCTTATATATCATCTCTAACTTTTCCCTGTATTACTATGTTTTTCTTTCTATATAACTAAAGAAGAGTTTTAAGAGATTCAATTTGTCCTTGAAGGTCTTTTCCTTTCTCTTTTGATAAACTTGAATAATTTTTTAAAATTATAATGGGATTAACTGAAACATAAAATGGAAATCAGCTTGATCAGCTATGTAGTACAGGTACAGGTTGGGCATCCCTAATCCAAAAATCCAAAAATAGGAACTGCTCCAAAACCCAAAACTTTTTGAGCCAACCTGATGCCACAAGTAGAAAATTCCACACATAAGTACGTAATGCAAACTTTGTTTCATGCACAAAATTGTTTAAAAATATTAAGCAAAATTACCTTCAGCCTATTTGTATAAGATGTATATGAAACTTAAATGAATTTCATGTTTAGACTTGGTTTTCATTACCAAGATATCCCGGTATGTACATGCAAATATTCTAATATCTAAAAAATCTGAAATCTGAAACACTTCTGGTCTCAAGCATTTTGGACAAGGGCTGTTCAACCTGTCATTACAGGCTAACTAAATAAAATTAATTTTAACATACTTTACAATGTTCAGTCAGTTGAAATACTATTTCAGCTTGCTGGTAACAGTCCAGCTAAATTAATCTATCACTTCACTTTAGCATACATGAGCATAAAGAATATGGGGCATGGTGCTTTTTCACATTGTCTACTTTTCCATCATGTGTCCAGATGAGACCAAGGTTTTGCTCCCCAGTTAACAAAACTGAGCTTCAAAATATGATTAAGATGATTTCCAGTGAATGATGAAAATGTTCCGTATCTTGAAAAAAGTGTGAGTTACACACATGAATCCATTTGTTAAAATGGTACAGTTAAGATTGGTGCATTTCAATTTCTGTAAACATTGCCTTAAGAAAAGAACTATACAAAAGTAATCATTAAGCGGGAAGCAGAGAATGGAGAGAAAGGTATAGACAAAACAAGACAACAGAATGTTGTGAAACTGATTGTGTACAGAGGCTTATTCTGTTTACTTTGTATATGTTAGAATTTTTCCATAATAAAAATTTTAAGTTAATGAGTCCTTGTGAGAACATGTTTACGAATGCAAACTTAATTCAACTCTACTCTAGTCAATCAAATCAAAGCAAAAGAGGGCAACACAGAGAAACATTCTCCTGAAACAATCTAACGTAATCCATTTTCTATAAAAAGGCAGTTTCTTGATAGACCCAACTGATATCTTTTTGGGGTACTTTGAGCTATTATCCTCTTTCTATATAACTACCAATGTTATCAAAGACATTTCAAGGATCTAAATGGAGTTTGACAAATACTGTACTGCTGATAAATTTGCTCTGACGTAAAAAAATAATTCAACAACCTATATTCGAGGATGCCTGGTGGTGCTTCAGAGAAACAGAGTGAATAAAAGACTTTGTGGATGCCGTTAAGCTGGAATCAGAACTCAGAATGCTCACCGAAAGAAGGAAGCATTTAAGATTGAGCAGGAAATAATGGCCTTGTTTCAGCAAAGAGATGACACCAGTCCAATATGTTTATTATTGTTGGTTTATTTCATAATTTCATTTTGTTACATTCTCAAGGAACAGTGTGTTCCCAGTAGCATCTATCAAGTGAACCCTGGAGGCTGGTCACATTCATAATCTTTTGTTTTTCTGGCTACATAGAGGTGATTTTGAACTACAAGATCATCTCAGCTATTCAGAGTTTAGATTTTATTTAGCCTTATTTGTTTTGCCTAGCATTTATGTATTTGAAAATATCTTGATTTTTAATCTTCTATCACCTTGGCCCTTACCTGAAGTGAACTTTGTTTGAACTCAATTGATTTCACCTCTCAATAAATATGAAATTAATCTGAAATGAATTGAATTGTTTGGCATATTTTACCTCTTCTATGTGCACTAATCTATTTCACACATTTTCAGTTTGTTTAGAGATACATGTTCCAATGTATCTGAGTAGAAACTAGTGAGATGGGAATGGATATAGCCATAATATTCCATCATTGAATTCCATGGCATTCACTCAAATGTAACTCACCTGTTTTAACAGTACCTTAATTTGGCCTGTATTTATTGGACTTGGTGTTCTTTTTGCTGTGAGAAGACGGTGAAGGTGATTCTTGAATGTTTGTTTTCTGTGTTGCATCATGTTTGTACAACACGGTAATATATTTGGACCTTGATTAAATAATGTAAGAGGGGAATTTGATCAAAAAATAAAATGCACAAGACTGTTAAAACAATGTCTAATTCTATCCATGCAAAAATGGAGTAGAATCCTAAAATGCTTATGACAACTACTTGATTGCTTCTAGTCCCTCTTTTAAATACTTTAATTTACTTAGATACATGTATCATACGTACTTCTTGGCCTCAGTTTTCCTCCTAATAGCCTAATTGTTCTTTTTACTGTGCAGGCATAACTATATAACAAAGTAGGTTTTTTTTTTCATGCCATTTATGAGTCATATAATTTAGATAATTTATTGTTTATTTTACCATTATTGTTGCTAACAAACTTCGTTGTTTTGCATTGTTTGTTGGGACAATTAAATAGTGTACCTCTTGGACTAATAGATTAAATAGTTCATCAGAGATAAATTGCACTGCTGAAGCATCAAAGGAGAAAGACTGAAGTGTAGAATCTGCACTTCAATCTTTCTCCTTAATTAGCACCACCAGGGAATTTGATTCAAGTTCTAGAGGGGAGTGAACCCAGGAATTGGCTTAAAAACAAAAACATACACACAAAAAAACCAACGCTCGCAAGCAATTATTTATGCATGCGGTCCACGCACTCAGTTTGAGAAACACTGACTCGACTTAAAAGTCTTTATAATGCTCAGATTTCTGAAATGCTATTGACCTGAAAACATCTCATGAAGTTATTAGTTTGAACGCGTGGTGGCGGTACAAGCTAAGAGAGTGAATGAAAGCTCTGCAGACTCGGTGGACTCCGTTTCATCCAGAAGCCAAGTAAAAATACAGACCACGTTTACAGCTAAAGCTGAGATAGATGTGTCCGGGAAGGCAGTCGTCGCCAGACAAGTTGTAAGAACGAATTTAAAAATCTCTGCAAAGACATCCGAGAGGGTCGACGGTAGATGTGGTGATTGGGAGCTGAAAAGGATTTTTCTTCCGTATTCAGACATAATAGACATGATGCAAACTAAAGTACAGAACAAGAAAAGGCAAGTGGCTTTCTTCATTTTATTGATGCTTTGGGGAGAGGTGGGTTCTGAATCGATTCAGTATTCCGTATTGGAGGAGACAGAAAGTGGCACGTTTGTGGCCAACTTGACAAAGGACCTGGGACTGAGGGTGGGGGAGCTGGCTTCGCGGGGCGCTCGGGTTGTTTTCAAAGGGAACAGACAACATTTGCAGTTTGATCCACAGACCCATGATTTACTGCTAAATGAAAAACTGGACCGGGAGGAGCTGTGTGGCTCCACTGAGCCGTGTGTGCTACCTTTCCAAGTGTTACTGGAAAACCCCTTGCAGTTTTTTCAGGCTTCCTTGCGAGTCAGAGATATAAATGACCACGCCCCGGAATTCCCTGCCAGAGAAATGCTCCTGAAAATATCAGAAATTACTATGCCAGGAAAGATATTTCCTTTGAAAATGGCACACGATTTAGACACCGGCAGCAACGGCCTTCAGAGGTACACAATCAGCTCCAACCCTCACTTCCACGTTCTCACCCGCAATCGCAGCGAAGGCAGGAAGTTCCCGGAGCTGGTGCTAGACAAACCGTTGGACCGCGAGGAGCAGCCCCAACTCAGGCTAACGCTGATCGCGCTGGATGGCGGGTCTCCGCCCCGGTCAGGGACCTCCGAGATTCAGATCCAGGTTTTGGACATCAATGACAACGTCCCCGAGTTTGCTCAGGAGCTCTATGAAGCACAAGTCCCTGAGAACAACCCCCTCGGCTCTCTGGTTATTACCGTCTCAGCCAGAGATTTAGATGCAGGATCGTTTGGGAAGGTATCTTACGCCCTGTTTCAAGTCGATGACGTCAACCAACCCTTCGAAATAAACGCAATCACAGGAGAAATTCGGCTGAGAAAGGCTTTGGATTTTGAGGAAATTCAGTCTTATGACGTGGATGTTGAGGCTACAGATGGTGGAGGCCTATCAGGAAAATGCTCTTTAGTCGTCAGGGTCCTGGACGTGAATGACAATGCCCCTGAACTCACCATGTCGTTCTTCATCAGCCTCATCCCAGAAAACTTACCAGAGATCACAGTGGCAGTTTTCAGTGTTTCAGATGCAGACTCTGGACATAACCAACAGGTTATTTGTTCAATAGAGAACAATCTCCCCTTTCTACTAAGACCTTCCGTGGAGAATTTCTACACCCTGGTAACAGAAGGCGCGCTGGACAGAGAGAGCAGAGCCGAGTACAACATCACTATCACGGTCACTGATTTGGGGACACCAAGGCTGAAAACCCAGCAGAGCATAACTGTGCAGGTCTCCGACGTCAATGACAACGCCCCCGCCTTCACCCAAACCTCCTACACCCTGTTCGTCCGCGAGAACAACAGCCCCGCCCTGCACATCGGCAGCGTCAGCGCCACAGACAGAGACTCAGGCATCAACGCCCAGGTCACCTACTCGCTGCTGCCGCCCCAGGACCCGCACCTGCCCCTCTCTTCCCTGGTCTCCATCAACGCGGACAACGGCCACCTGTTTGCCCTCAGGTCGCTGGACTACGAGGCCCTGCAGTCTTTCGAGTTCCGCGTGGGCGCCACAGACCGCGGCTCCCCGGCGTTGAGCAGCGAGGCGCTGGTGCGCTTGCTGGTGCTGGACGCCAACGACAACTCGCCCTTCGTGTTGTACCCGCTGCAGAACGGCTCCGCGCCCTGCACCGAGCTGGTGCCCCGGGCGGCCGAGCCGGGCTACCTGGTGACCAAGGTGGTGGCGGTGGACGGCGACTCGGGCCAGAACGCCTGGCTGTCGTACCAGCTGCTCAAGGCCACGGAGCTCGGTCTGTTCGGCGTGTGGGCGCACAATGGCGAGGTGCGCACCGCCAGGCTGCTGAGCGAGCGAGACGCAGCCAAGCACAGGCTGGTGGTGCTTGTCAAGGACAATGGCGAGCCTCCGCGCTCGGCCACCGCCACGCTGCACGTGCTCCTGGTGGACGGCTTCTCCCAGCCCTACCTGCCTCTCCCTGAGGCGGCCCCGGCCCAAGCCCAGGCCGACTCTCTCACCGTCTACCTGGTGGTGGCGTTGGCCTCGGTGTCGTCGCTCTTCCTCTTTTCGGTGCTCCTGTTCGTGGCGGTGCGGCTGTGCAGGAGGAGCAGGGCGGCCTCGGTGGGTCGCTACTCGGTGCCCGAGGGTCCCTTTCCAGGGCATCTGGTGGATGTGAGCGGCACCGGGACCCTATCCCAGAGCTACCAGTACAAGGTGTGTCTGACGGGAGGCTCAGAAACAAATGAGTTCAAGTTCCTGAAGCCGATTATGCCCAACTTCCCTCCTCAGGGCACTGAGAGAGAAATGGAAGAAACCCCCACCTCTCGGAATAGCTTCCCGTTCAGTTAAGTGTGGGATTATTTTACTAAATCTTACTTATGTTTGGAGATCTCTTTTAACTTAAAGTTACATGGTCTGTTTCTTGTTTATTTTACCTCTATTCTTTAGGTTGAAATTTTATATAAAGTAAGATACTGGTATCTTAGTATTTCCTGTTCATGCTTAGTAGTTTATTACTTCACTTGAGGGTACTTGACAATATGAACAAAAAGTAAATTTTTATTTGCATAATTTTAAGCTTTTGAAATTAAATTATCTATTCTTCCCCCCCCCAAAAAAAAGTATTGTAAATCCTTAAGTAAAATTGTATTTCTAGCTATTGGTAAGAGTTGTTTCACTATTGCTATGTAGGACTGTTTAAAATGTGAGTATCTGATATTATTTAATCCTCCAATGTCTCATTTTGCAGTAACTCCTACAGTGTGTAACACTAAAAATAAGAACTAATGATGGCTAAACACTAAAGTAGCCATTCATACTTATGCATATTTTAGTATCCCATAATAGTCAATCCAAAATTTTTGTGACTATAGACTTTACTGAAGTGTCAACACATTAGTTTGTGAGCCTCATGTAAGAACATGATGGTCTTTTTTTAAAAAAAAAGTCGTGCCAATTATAAGTGCTTAATAAATATTTGCTGAATGTTACTAACATTCTAGTATTGATTTTTTAAAAAAACTATTGTATCTACAGCGAAATGCTAATATCCTCTCTACAATAAAATATCCTTACCAATGAGTGAAAGTATGAAATATCACTTCTTAGTCAAATCACTGTTGCTTTCCTTCAAAACAGAAAACAGCTTTGACTCTTCTACTCACCCTACACACCGCTACAGAAAATAAAATGCTTAACAGCATATTTTATCTTTTTTTCTTTGTCTCACAATTTGAAAGTTGAAAGATTTCAAATTATATTTGCCAAACTCCTCCTCTCACTTTCTCAAGATGTTTGATATCTACCAAGATCTAAGTAAGGTATTAGTGGCAGGTTATTCGGTAACATCAGATTTTCCCTTCTAGTGTTGTGTAAGCATCATTTGCTTGTATTAACCATTACACCATTTACCTTCACAGTTTAGCCCATATCTAGTCTTATTTGTGTCAGCTGTATTTGTGATATTTCATTTAAAAATCCCTCTTTCAACTTTCTATCAAAGGCAAGCAATGTATATTAAAATAACAATTCAGTGACTATTTTATTTTATTTTGAGACGGAGTTTTGCTCTTGTTGCCCAGGTTGGACTGTAATGGTGCGATCTTCGCTCACTGCAACCTCCGCCTCCCTGGTTCAAGTGATTCTCCTGCCTCAGCCTCCTTAGTAACTAAGATTACAGGCGCATGCCACCAAACCCAGCTAATTTTTGTATTTTTAGGAGAGACAGGGTTTCACCATCTTGACCAGGCTGGTCTCGAATTCCTGACCTCATGATCCACCCGCCTCAGCCTCCCAAAGCGCTGGGATTACAGGTGTGAGCCACCACACCTGGCTGACTATTTTATTTTTATCCTTAATTGAAGTGGAACTGGGCTGAACTAAATTACATTTGACTGTGTTTTGTGTCCAGATAAGTGAACTGACTGTCATGGATGATTACCAACTGATTAAATGAGTGTGGGGAACATTTACTATTTTGTGTTCTCAGATATATACCCTATTCTCCTTAGAACAGCATTCTTCCTTGGTGAGATTCCTTCTTCCATTGTTCTCACTCCAGTCACTTGGCTTTAGTTGGAGCAGTAGTGTTTTTCAATATCCCCATCCCCCTAATCCTAGAGAATGTACACTGGGGTAGTATACTGTCCAATGCAGACAGGTCAATACCCTTCCCCAGACAGTGTATTTTTGACTTTGTCAACTTTGTTGTCTTCTTTACATCTGTAGAAAAGACATTGCCTAGATTCTGAGCTTATATTGATTTTTTTTTTTTTTTTTTGAGACAGAGTCTTGCTCTGTCACCCGGGCTGAAATGCAGTGGCACAATCTCAGCTCACTGCAACATCCACCTCCCAGGTTCAAGTGATTCTTCTGCCTCAGCCTCCTGAGTAGCTGGGACTACAGGTGTGCACCACCACACCCAATTAATTTTTATATTTTTAGTAGAAACGAGGTTTCACCATATTGGCCAGGCTGGTCTCAAACTCTTGGCCTCCAGTGATCCACCCACCTCAGCCTCCCAAAGTGCTGGGATTACAGGCGTGAGCCACCACACCTGGCCTATATTGATTTTTAATAAGACAAACCACCATTTTCTCTAAATTTCACTGGGCATTGCACATAATAAATTTATGAAGGAAAAAAAGTCCTAAATGGTGGCCAGGTATGGTAGCTCAAGCCTGTAATCCCAGCACTTTGGGAGGCCGAGGCAGGCAGATCACTTGAGGCCAGGAGTTCAAGACCATCCTGGCCAATATGGTGAAATGTCATGTCTACTAAAACTACAAAAATTAGCCTGGTGTGGTAGCACGCACCTGTAGTCCTAGCTTCTCAGGAGGCTGAGTCAGGAGAATCGCTTGAACCTGGGAGGTAGAGGTTGCAGTGGGCCAAGATTGAGGCCACTGCACTCCAGCCTGGGCAACAGAGTGAGACCACGTCTCAAAAAAAAAAAACAAAAAATTCCCAATGGTTATGTAGACCAGAGACTAACAAGAAACAATATTTTTATTTTCTTTCGGGAGTTACAGGCACATTACAATATGAGAATGAAACTAGATTTTGAAAGTTCATGATTTCTTCCAGTACAATAGAACAAATTAGCATTTTTGTAATAGAATGTAAATTCCCCAAGAGCAAGAATTTTTATGTTTCATTTACTGTATTATCCCAGGAAGCTACATGAATGTCCCTACAGGTAAATACTTGTTAATAAATGAATTTGCCTGGAGCAGAGTTTTGTGTACTGAACCTGCACCTTTATAAGGAAGATGAATATAGATACAGACATTACTTTTGCTGTAACAACCATTCTTAGCTACCTGAACAAGGCCTCATAATAGCCGGGGGAAAAGGGAGTATATAACAGGCTATGACCTAAAAGGCCTGCTATATGTTTTAGCTATTACAGTATACAGTGTGCTTTGAAATGAAAATTATCTGAAGTTGTAAAGCAGAACGCTTGGTGGCGCTGCAGGCTGAGTGAAAAACTGCAGAATCAGTGTCTCCTTAAAAGCTGTGCGGGTTTTCTGGCAGCTCCAAAAGGAAACACTTTTTCACTACTGGGGATAGGTTTCAGAGAGGCAGCCATCCCATGTCGGTCAATGTTAAAAAGAACTAACTCAAGATATTTAAATCAAGATAGCTGAGTTGGCTGTAAAGCAATTATTTTGTGATTAAATACTGCATCTTTTGGACCCTGAGGAATGATGGAGACGCCGCTCCCCAAAGCACCAGAGAAAAGGCAAGTGACCGCCATTATTTTCTTATTACTACTGTGGGAGGCGGGCAGCGCTACGATTAAGTATTCAGTTCTAGAAGAGAGGGACAGCGGCTCTTTTGTGGCCAACTTAGCAAAAGATCTGGGGCTGGGTGTAGGGGAACTGGCCGCGAGAGGCGCCCGGATTCTTTCCAAAGGGAACAAACAGTATTTGCAGCTCGAACGGAAGAGTGGGAATTTGCTCCTAAAAGAAAAATTGGACCGGGAAGAGTTGTGCGGTGACATAGATCCATGTATACTACATTTCCAGATGTTACTGAAAAATCCGGTGCAGTTTATTCAAGGTGAACTACAGCTCCAAGATGTAAATGACCATGCCCCAGAATTCTTGGAAAATGAAATCCTCCTGAAAATCTCCGAAGGCAGCCATCCAGGGACTTCATTTCCTTTGAAAATAGCTCAAGATTTGGACGTAGGTAGCAACACAGTTCAGAACTACTCAATTAGCACCAACTCCTATTTCCACCTTTTCACTCGCAATCACAGCGACGGCAAGAAATACCCAGAGCTCGTGCTGGATCAAGCGCTGGACCGCGAGGAGCAGCCCCAGCTCAGGTTAACCCTCACAGCGCTGGATGGTGGGTCACCGCCCAGAACTGGGACTTCCCAGGTTCTCATAGTGATTGTAGATATCAATGACAACGTCCCTGAATTTGCTCAGCGGCGCTACGAGGTGCAGGTCCCAGAGAACACCCCTATAGGTTCCCTTGTCATCACCGTCTCTGCCAGGGATTTAGATGCTGGGACCCACGGGGAGCTCTCCTATTCATTTTTTCAATACTCCAATCAAATCATTCAGGCCTTTGAAATAAACTCAATCACGGGAGAAATTAGATTTAAAAAGGCGTTGGATTTTGAGGAAATTCAATCTTATCACATGGAAGTTGAGGCCTCAGACGGTGGGGGTCTTTCAGGAAAATGCACCGTAGCCATAGAGGTAATGGATATAAACGACAACGCACCGGAACTTACTATGTCCTTACTTATCAGTGATATCCTAGAAAACTCCCCAGAAACAGTGGTCGCTGTTTTCGGAATTTCGGATCCGGACTCCGGGAACAATGGAAAAATGATGTGTTCCATCCAAGACCATCTCCCTTTCCTTCTAAAACCTACCTTAGAAAATTTCTACACTTTGTTAACAGAAGGAGCGCTAGACAGAGAGAGCAGGGCCGAGTACAACATCACCATTACTGTCACAGACTTGGGGACACCCAGGCTGAAAACCGAGTACAACATAACCCTGCGGGTCTCCGACGTCAATGACAACGCCCCCGCCTTCACCCAAACCTCCTACACCCTGTTCGTCCGCGAGAACAACAGCCCCGCCCTGCACATCGGCAGTGTCAGCGCCACAGACAGAGACTCAGGCACCAACGCTCAGGTCACCTACTCGCTGCTGCCGCCCCAGAACCCGCACCTGCCCCTCGCCTCCCTGGTCTCCATCAACACAGACAACGGCCACCTGTTTGCCCTCAGGTCGCTGGACTACGAGGCCCTGCAGGAGTTCGAGTTCCGCGTGGGCGCCTCAGACCGCGGTTCTCCGGCTTTGAGCAGCGAGGCGCTGGTGCGCGTGCTGGTGTGCTGGACGCCAACGACAACTCGCCCTTCGTGCTGTACCCGCTGCAGAACGGCTCCGCGCCCTGCACCGAGCTGGTGCCCCGGGCGGCCGAGCCGGGCTACCTGGTGACCAAGGTGGTGGCGGTGGACGGTGACTCGGGCCAGAACGCCTGGCTGTCGTACCAGCTGCTCAAGGCCACGGAGCCCGGGCTATTCGGCGTGTGGGCGCACAATGGCGAGGTGCGCACCGCCAGGCTGCTGAGCGAGCGCGACGCGGCCAAGCACAGGCTGGTGGTGCTGGTCAAGGACAATGGCGAGCCTCCGCGCTCGGCCACCGCCACGCTGCACGTGCTCCTGGTGGACGGCTTCTCCCAGCCCTACCTGCCTCTCCCTGAGGCGGCCCCGGCCCAGGCCCAGGCCGACTCGCTCACCGTCTACCTGGTGGTGGCGTTGGCTTCGGTGTCTTCGCTCTTCCTCTTCTCGGTGCTCCTGTTCGTGGCGGTGCGGCTGTGCAGAAGGAGCAGGGCGGCCTCGGTGGGTCGCTACTCGGTGCCCGAGGGCCCCTTTCCAGGGCATCTGGTGGACGTGAGTGGCACCAGGACCCTGTCCCAGAATTATCAGTATGAAGTTTACCTGGCAGAAAGCTCTGAGAGCCAGTTAAAGTTTCTTAAACCGGTACTTCCCAACTTCTTGGGTGAAGGGACTGGTGGGGACAGCGAGGCAAACTCCAACTCTAGGAATCATTTTGGGTTCAATTAGGAATCTGACAACAGGTCGTGATAAATCATAGAATTCACTATTCATCTGTAAGTTCCCAATTCTCTCATTCGCGTAGAGTCACATATTCACACATTAGTAATGGCTGTCATATTTATAGCTATTTCAACCTGCTGGACTATTTTCCATTCCCTTTAATTTTTGTTGTGGTGGTTGTCAGCTATGTTAGTTACAGCATGTGCACACAATAGCAGAGAAATGGTGTTTCCTATGGTTGTTGTTTTTGTTTGGTCAGATTTTGGAACTCACAGGTGTTTTCAGGTTCCCAGTATTTGAACTTGTTCATTGATATGTTATGATTAAGAGAATAGTGTTTCAAACTTTCTGGTTATCATCAGCATGACTCTAAGTCTATCGTAAATCACAGCTTTTAGCCTAAAAAATAATTTTCATTTATGCAAAAATTTTAGTAATCTTGTAAATTGTTGCACTTCTGTTGTGTTGTTTCAAAAACACTACTCTTCCCTCAAATGAACCAATATTTTACCTAGGTGATGTTTTCTCTCCTGAATTTCTTTTTTCAAAATTGATATTTATAGACCATCGGCTGTTATTCTAAAGGATTCAACTCCTGTTACATGAAAGAATAATAGAAAAAAGGTTGGTTGACTTGTGATTGCTTTTTTTTTAATAATAAATGGCTTTGGTATGTAAATAATGATTCTCCTTCTTTTAAAATAATATATAGCAGTGGCTCACACCTGTAATCCTAGCACTTTGGGAGGCCAAGGTGGGCGGATCACCTGAGGTCAGGAGTTCGAGACCAGCCTGGCCAACATGTTGAAACCCCATCTCTACTAAAAAATACAAAAATCAGCTGGGCGTGGTGACAAGTGCCTGTAATCCCAGTTACTTGGGAGGCTGAGGCAGGAGAATCCCTTGTGCCTCGGAGGCGGAGGTTGCAGTGAGCTGAGATCATGCCACTGCAATCCAGCCTGGGTGACAGAGAGAGACTCCATCTCAAAAATAAATAAATAAATAAAAATAAAATATAATCATATGATTCAAACATACAGTAAGTACAAAAGAGAAAGCAAATTAACATCATTATTCCACCATCAGAACTAATTTCATTAAGTCAACATCATTCTAAAATATTTCAATGAATGTATATAAGAATAAAGTAATAGATGAAAATAATTTTATAAAATGGATCTATAATAAATTGATAGCTTCTGATAAAAATGATTAGATTGAATACAATAAAACGAAGTGTGAAACTATAGAACTTGCTTAAGCTTTGATAAGTAGTCCCTATAAAGGTTAAAAAGCAAGATTAGATGCATATTAAGACATTAGCATTACTTAACTGCCTGCTTAAAAATGAGCAAATAAACATTTTATACCCGTTCTTTCTTAAACTTACTTATCCTTTTTGTATTAAATATATATTACCTTATCAATATTTATAACATTTACAATGTATTTTGAAAGAATACTTGCCATAATTGTTTATGCATTTCATATTTTTTTTAGACGGAGTTTCACTCTTGTTGCCCAGGCTGGAGTGCAGTGGCGTGATCTCGGCTCATTGCAGCCTCCACCTCCCGGGTTCAAGCGATTCTCCTGCCTCAGCCTCACAAGTACCTGGGATGACAGGCGTGCGCCACCATGCCTGGCTAATGCTGTATTTTTAGTAGAGATGGGGTTTCACCATGTTGGTCAGGCTGGTCTCGAACTCCTGACCTCAGGTGATCCACCTGCCTCGGGCTCCCAAAGTGCTGGGATTACAGGTGTGAGCCACTGCACCTGGCCAGCATTTCATATTTTTTAAATTTTAATTTAAAAGTTTTTTCCAATTTTATTCAAGTCTGACTGCCCAGGGTAACCACTTTTGATGCTCTTATGTGTTTTCCCATATTTACTTCCCTATTTTTAAAAATCACATATGCTTATAAAGTGCTTTTTCTCAAATCCCAGTTTTAGATATCCAGTTTTTAAGGGGTACACACACAGACGCACACACAACTCGGACATTTCCTCTACCTAGCAATATCAAAATTCTGTTTAGATAATGTTTATATAATTGTCACCATAAAAATGTTACTTACACCTAAGCCTGAAGAGTAAAAACAAAAAGCCTCTTTTTTTACCTTTAAGGTCATAATTGCCTTCTTTTTCAACTACTTTTCTATGTACATCTTTTAAAATTACCCACAAATTTTGTAAAGCCTGAAGCTCCTAACTTAGGTTAAACTCATAAAGAAATTTATCGGTTCCATTCTTTTCTCCTGGAGCCATCCTGGAGCTATTCAGAGTCTTGTTCCATTGTACATTGTTTGCTCTCTAGACCTACTGCACAGCTGGCAGTTTGCTTTTCCCACTAACTTGGGAGTTTATCTTCCTCTTCCATTTGATTTCCTCTTCTGGATTTTACATCTTCCTCTTGTTTGGTTTTCTCCCTTAACTGTCAGAAGAATATTTGGTAATAAATCTTTTGATCATATGAATATAAAAATTTCAGATGTCAGAAACGCAAATGTCTATTTGAAGATTTTGTTGGGTGTGGAATTATAGGTTAGGAATTATTTGCTGCTAGTATTTTGAAGACATTCCTCTGTTGTCTTCTAATCACCAAAGTTGAGATATTACCCATTCTTTTCTGAGAAACTTTGTTTTCCTTCTAGATCCCTGATTCTCAACCAATGGCAATTTTGCCACCTTTGGTAAATGTCTGGCAATTATCAAACATTTGGCAATGTCTGGAAACATTTTTGATGGTCACAGCTGCCAACAGTGCTGAGGCTGAGAAACCTTAATCCAGATAAATTGAGGTTCTTGTATGTACCTCCAGTGTTCTAGAATTTCGTCACTGTGTCATACTATAAGAATTTTGGTCATTTATTGCACTAGTTACTCAATGAGACTTGACAATCTTGAGACATGTTCTTCAGACTAGAACAGGATTGTTAGGGTTTTTTTTAATTAAAAAATTATTTCCCCTACTAAATGGTTTTTGGTTTTTTATTCTGCAATTTCTGTTAATTGTATACTGACCTGGTTTGATATTTAATTTTTCTTATTCTTGTTCTATCTTCTGTCTTTATTTTCCTGGATTCCAGTAAATTTCCTCTATGGCTAAATTTTAAGCTTTTGCTATCATAGTTTTACTTTCAGAAAGCTTTTTCTTGGTCTCTGCATATTTCTTTCTATAGTAGCCTTGCAGTTTTAAAATTCTTTGGTGAGCTATAATTCACATACCATAATATTCACTTTTTTAAAAATTGAGTTTGGTGGTTTTTAGTATATTCCAAGGGCTGTACAATTATTACCACTATCTAATTCTAGAACATTTTTCACATTTTCATCAGCACAAAGAAGAAACCTGGTACCCTTAAGCAGTCACTCCCCATTCCCTCCTCCTTCCAGCCCCTGGAAACCACTAATCAACTTTATGTTTCTTTGGATTTGCCTGTTCTAGACATTTCGTGTAAATTGAATCATAGAATATGTCTGGCTTCTTACACTTAACATAATGTTTTCAAGGTTCATTCATGTTACAGCATGCATCAGCACTTCATTCTTTTCTATGGCTAAATAATATCCCATTGTATGAATGTACCACATTTTGTTTGTTCATCAATTGGTGGGCATTCGGGTTTGTTTCCACTATTTGCTATTATGAATAATGCTGCTAGGAACATTCATGTATGAGTTTTTGTGTGAACATGTTTTCATTTCTCTTGGGTGTATACCTAGGAATGGAATTACTGGGTCACATACTGACTCTATATAACTTTTTGAGGAACTGTCAAACTGTTTTCCAAAGTGACTATACCATTTTACATTCCTCTCAACAGTGTATGAGGGTTCCAATTTGTCTACATCCTCACCAACACTTATTTTTTGTTATTATAGCCATCTTAGAAGGTGTGAAGTAGTATCCTATTATGGTTTGAATTGCATTTCCCAAATGACTAATCATGTTATATTTCTTTTCATATGCTTATTGTTCATTTGAGTATCTTCTTTAAAGAAATGTATACTCAAATTCTTTGCCAGTTATCTAATTTTTTAATATTTTAATTGTTGAATGTTAGTAGTTCTTTATATGTTCTGGATACTAGACTCTTATCAGATACATGATTTACAAATACTTTCTGCCATTCTGTGAGTTGTGTTTTCACTTTATTGGTAGTGTCCTCTGAAGTAAAAAAGATTTTTTAAAATTTTGATGAAGCCCAATTATGTATCGTTTTCTTTTTTTTGAGACAGAATCTCGCTCTGTCGCCCAGACTGGAGTGCAGTGGTGCAATCTCAGCTCACTGCAACCTCTGCCTCTTGGGTTCAAGTGATTCTCCTGCCTCAGCCTCCCAAGTAGCTGGGATTACAGGCGCCTGCCACCACGCCTGGCTGATTTTTTGTATTTTTAGTAGAGATGAGGTTTCACCATGTTGGCCAGGCTGGTCTCAAACTCCTGACCTCAGGTGATCCACCCGTCTCAGCCTTCCAAAGTGCTGGGATTACAGGCGTGAGCCACCGTGCCCGGTGTATTTTTTCCTTTTATAAAATAAGGCACTTAAAAGCTGATAAACATTGTATGTTTGGGTGGGACTAGTTGAGTGGTGGACCTCACCTTAGGGTAATGAAACAGGAAACATTTGGAGACAAAAGGTCAATATCTGTAAGTCTTCTCTCTTGGGCTCACATTGTTCTTCAGAGAGAAATTCAGTAAGGATGGGTAGGATGGAAGTTATTATAAACTTGACACCTAGCACTTTGTAAGCTCCTTGGTTTGAGAGAAAGTGTCTTAATTTTTTTTAACCCACTTTCTCACTAAGATCTCAGTCCTGCCCTAAGTTGTGCTCATGTCCTTCAGTCCAGAGCCCTTCCTATTAAACCACTATGGATATTACACCTCCTATTTTCTGCCATGATGAGAAAAGGGAAAGTGCCTTGCTTCGCTGAGTAGGAAAGGAATTCTCAGATATAAGTACTCCTTATATAGATCTTCAGCCAATGTTATTTTTAGCCTCTCCCTGGGTCCTCAGTCTGGATTATTACTATGGCTACATTTGATTTTCTTATTAATTTTCCTCCTTTTCATTTGAGAGCAACAAGAAAAAAGAAAAAAAAAGAAAACTGTCAGTTACCAATTGTCTGTGTGCTTTGCATCTTCCAAAATTTTTGTGACTTCTCTCCCCTGCGATTTATTCTTCTCCATTATTTTTGTCTTTATAGCTTTGTTTATTTTAAACCCTTGCCCTCTATCATTTACATAAAGTTTCAGGAAAAAATTGAGAAACACTAGTGTGCTCAAACTAGAGTAAAATACAGTCCTTACTGTCAGTCATATTGTGCTAGTTTTCCTGTACCTGAATCATTTATGTTGTTTTATCTCGATTTGCTTGATTTCATCAGATGTCAGTCTTTAGATAAGAGTTCATAGGTGCTGTATTTTTTCACATGCTTGAGAAATACAATTTAGCTGGGTATAAAATTTTTCAATGGACTTTCTTTTCATCAAAGATTTGTTGACATTAAATATAACATTAGTTCTTCTATCATAGTTTCTACAGTCATCTATAAGTCACTTGATTTTTATCCTTAAGTAGTATTTTTTTCAAAAAGAATTCATCAGTACTAGCACAAGGGTTAATGAATTCTTTCCTGTTTGCTGCATTGTTGTCTTTGTACTTGAGCAACAGCTTGGCTATGTGTAAAATAATTGAGCCATAATTTATTTCCCTCAGAATCTTGTAGACATTTCCATTCTGTTTTGGTATTAAATGTTGCTCAGGGAAATACTGAAGCCTGTTTGCTTCACCTGTAGGTAACTTGTTTTCTATCCTTGAAATTCATTATCTTTATCAGATTATGTCTTGATTATGGTAATTACACATTACTTTTCCCTGGAACTCAGCGTGCCTTTTCAATCTGTTCATGCAGATATTTTCAAGTATATCATTTATTTATTTATATATGGTAAGTATATTTTGTTTTAAAATCTGCCTTATAGTTCTAATATCTGAAGTTTGTGTGGGCCTATGCCTACTCTATTTTGTTTCTGCTCCTTCTCATTCATGATGTCTTTGTTTCTTTGTAGGATGTGCATGGTTGATTGCCCTTGAAAATTTATTTGTAGGGTATCTACAAAGCCTAGGTTGCACATGTTCCAACTATCAAAATGGATTTTCATTTGTTTCAGCCAGGATATTGGAAACACTATCAATAGTGGACTATCACAAATTAATTAAATGGCTTGAGGTTCCTTGCATCTCAACCTATGTATATTCAAAATACAAATACACAAGAGGGCCACGTGCAGTGGTGTGGGCCTGTAGTCCCAGCTACTCAGGAGGTTGAGGTGGGAAGATCACTTGAGCTCAGGAGTTCTATACCCACCTAGGCAGTAGGGTAAGACCCCATCTCAATACACACACACAAACACACACACACACACACACACAATATGTAGGTACAACTTCCCAGGCATGTTTTTTTTTTCTTTTTCTTCTTCTCTGCTTAAAATCAGGGAGACTTCTATATAATTCCCTGGAGTTAGAGGCTGAGGGCAGGTTTAGATTTGCTGGTGTTTACACTGTATTTACATTATGGATGTATCCCTGAGTGGTCCCTTAATATGAAGAGGATCTTTCTATAATATGCTGCAACTGTGGTTACACCTGAGCCTTGATTTATATTTCTTTAATCCCACAGCTTCAGATCAAAGCCTGAGTACAAATATTTTTAAATGCCCTGAGAGCATAAGAAGTTTTGTTGTTCTGATACTCTGTTTACCCCTCTCTTACAGGCTTCCATAAAAATTGGGCTTTTTCTGCCATTTTCTACTATGTTTTTGACTCTTCATTAGTTTTGAAGTTTTTCTTAAGTTTTGTCCATTATATTTTGTTTTCCTTAGGAGGGTCATATGAATTATTGATACTATCGTTTTCAGAAATGACAAGCTCTGTCTATTGTTTATTCAACCTGAAGATTCAGTTTTTCCACCATTTCAATTATATATTAATTAGGCTATTTTTCCTTTGAATCCATTGAATCCAGTGTTTCATCAACTGAGTACGGAGTACTCAGACAAATCAATAATCTCCCCTCTCCACTAGACAGTACTCTCTTCACAAAGAGGGCTCTTTATCTTATGGGCTTAGACAAATATATACACAGCCATTCATTGCTTAATAGCAGAAATACATTCTGAAAGCTGTGTCATTAGGCAATTTCATTATTGCTCCAACATCATAGAGTGTACTTACACAAATCCAGATAACGTAGCCTACTATACACACCTGGGATACCCAGTATAGCCTATTGTTCCTAGGCTGCAAACCTGTATATCATGTTACTCTACTGACTACTGTAGACAATTATAACACAATGGTTAGTGTTTGTGTATCTAAACATAGAACAGATAATGCATTGCACTATGACATTACTATAGGTATGGCATCACTAGGCAATAAAAATTTTTCAGCTCCATTATGATCTTACAGGACCACCATTGTATATGCCATCCATGGTTGACCAAATGTCGTTATGCAGCACGTGGCTGTATTGAAATAAATATAGGTGAATGAGTGTTGAATAAAGCAATAAATAAATTTCAGTCTGTTATTTTATCTGGCTTAGTAAGCCTAAACATGATAACAAAATATTTTATTTCTTTTTTATAAAATGCCCATTTATTATTTACAGTATTTGATACTTGCTTTGTTCACCTAACAATATGTCATTTAAAATATGTGACCCAGCTTTCATTTTTTAAAATTTATAACATGATGTTGAGCCCTTTCTTATTTCTTTACAAATAACACATTTTTAAAACAAATTTTGACTTATTGTGTTACACATGAAGGGAGGATGAAAGATTTTTATTCGCCTTCAGACCATGTTCTGCTTTTTAAAAAAGATATACATCAAATTTATCAAACACTTTTATCCTTAGTCTCTCACGAGTACATCTGAAATTTTTTATTCTCCCCTATTCTTAAACTAAGTTGTGTTAGATTAAGGGACTAGTGCCTTAAAGCCTTGATGATTTTATGTTTTACAGTTTTTTTCTTTTACAAACTCTAATCGAGAGGCCCCTATTACTTATAATTTGAGTGAAGGAATAAAATTTTGAATTTGGATGAATTATTCAGAGTTCAGGACAAAAAACCAACAACCACTCTGTGTGTCTCTAACCAAAACCAAAAAAGATATCAGCTACAAGGACTTAGATGCTTATATAAAATCACTGGAAGAAATGGACAAGCAGAAGTAAGAGAGTCAGCACTGAAATGGTTTTGAAGGCATGTGACCACAGCTGCAGCACAGGAATCAGGAAGCTGATGCTACTACTACTACCAAAACTGTTGCTCCCACAGTGCCCTCTCCCACCTCCAAAACTGATGGCTGCACACTGGCACAGAGTGTCTGGATGCCACAGTGGTCTCCAGTTCCCTAAGAAGGTGATGGCTAGACAGAGGAATGCTGACTTGGCTGCAAGCATTCATATCTTTCTGACCTTATTGGTGAACAGTGGAAGACCACCTTTGCCTGTATTCTAAGGCTCACGTGAAGGAATCTCATTGGCAAAACCTAATTTACATCCAGAATAATAATTCTAAGAAGTCTGGAAAATGGAGTTTTAAGCTTTCTAGACCCTGAATTTTTAAAAAATTTATAAAATGAAGTAGGAATGGATGGCATATTACAATAGCACACTGGGGAAACATTGTTCAAAAGGCCTTGTCCTAGCACTTGAATTAATTTCTCTACTGCTTCCTGGGCTTAGCTTTCAGTGGAACAATAATTCTTTTGGCTACAAGCCACACTGCCAATATGGAGAGAGACAGTCGTATGTTCCTTTAATAACTGCTCTGAATTGGATAACTTTTTTGACCCTATCTGTTCCTAGTGGGCAGTTGGGGCAATAGGTCAGGTCTAAGTGGGTGTGATATAGATGGCTACTTTAACCCAAATATACATTCTCCCCTTATTTATACATCTGATTTTAGCTGCTTATGTACGTATGTGAGCTATGGATTATATTCTTCAACCTCTCTTGCAGCCAGGTGTCATCTTGTAACTAAATTGTAGACCGTGAGATAAAAGCACAAGTGCCATGGAGTACCTTATGGAGATAATCTTTTTAAAAAATGAAAGCACACCCTTTCCTTCCTCTTTTTGTTGGCATGAATGCGGATGTAATGACTGCTTATTAGGCAGCTACATTGGACAATGAAGTAAAGGCCATGTCCTGAAGATAGCAAATCAATGATGGAATGAGACTGGGTCCCAGATATCATGGAGTGCATTTTCAGCCACTAGCCTTCTTTTATATTTTGTTTAAGTCACTGTTATTATGGCTTTATCTGTAACTTCAAGCTAAATTGATATAGAACATAGATCTATAAGTTATATAGAATATAATTCTAGCTGATATAAGAAGTTTCTTTAATAAAGTGATATTTAAGGTAAGAGTATAAGGGTAAATAGAGAAAAATGTAAGACTTACATGCATATTTTAGAAATCAAGGTTTATTGAGAAAAAAGGGACAAAGTAAATGACTCAAGAATCAAAACAAGAATTTTTAAAAATAAGGAAAATAAGAGGAATGAATTAAAAATATAAAAGCAAAAATTGATTAAATAGAATAAAACCACATAATATTTGACCAATTAAACAAAAAGTGATTTCTTTGAAAAAGCCAAGGATATTTTAGGTTCTATATATAATTGATGTAGGAGACATGCACCTTTCATTTGGCTCCCTCTAAAAATGCACTAAGAAAACATGAACATATATTTTCAGAAACATAAACTTAATAAGGATGAAGAGAATAATGTAGAAGACAACAGGGAAAACTCTTAGAAGCTGGAAAACAGATGAATGATTTAGTAGACCTGACAAATCAACTACCAGTCATGAAGTGGGAAGAGCTGAGAATCGATCCTGTTCAGACTGTGGGACTAGAATAAATTCTGTTTAGATGGTGGGACATATAGAGGCATCTGAAATGTCAATCCTAGTTCCTCATGCCAAATAAGAAGGATTGTGTTAAAGATTCCTGTAAAGCAGTTAAATCTCTAGCAGTTAGATCACATTTCCCCATTCCAGTCACTGAGTAACCTACCTACCCCCTTGACCCTAACATAAGTCTGGAGTTTTATTTTCTGAAGAGCGCAAAAAGGAGGGTTATTATATGAGAGGTTCTGCCAACAAAATGGAGGTCATGGGTAATATGGGTAGCAAAAGTAAGTAACCATCTAAATATTGAATTCTGGTTGATTGTTAAAATGCTGTGATAGTCATTTGAACCAATCACAAATATTTTGGTTCTCCCCTTCTTGGACATATGGTAGAATTTCAATTCTATTTCTGTTTAAAATTATGTGTAGCCATGTAATTTCCTTTGGCTAATAAAATGTGAGAAGTGACATATATCCATTCTGGGCTGAAGTTTTTGGAGGCACGGTTTAACACATTTTCTTTTCCCACTACAGTGATCACGGAAGTATATGTGAAGATGGAATCTCCACAAGTTTAGATCCTTGACTGACTGCTGTGAGGAGGGCCCCAGGCTGAACTATATAGGATATATAGTATAAGAAAGAAATCAACTTTCTTTCTTTTTTTTTTTTTTTTTTTTGAGACGGAGTCTCGCTCCGTCCAGGCTGGAGTGCAGTGGCACGATCTCGGCTCACTGCAAGCTCCACCTCCCCGGTTCACACCATTCTCCGGCCTCAGCCTCCCAAGTAGCTGGGACTACAGGCGCCCGCCACCACACCTGGCTAGTTTTTTGTATTTTTAGTAGAGACGGGATTTCACTGTGTTAGCCAGGATGGAAGAAATCAACTTTCATTGTGTTAAGCTGTTGAGATTTGGGCAAGTTGTTTGGTATTGAAACATAATTTAGCCTATCCTGATGCAAAACTGTACTCCTCTTCACCCACTTAATCCTTCACCTTTTTCAATCTATATCTTTTCCTTTTGGATAGGGGATTTCAAAGAGTGTGGTAATCTGGCCAGTCCAACCGGAAAGACCTAATCACACTGACACTGAGGTTTCCCCATCCATCAGTGCTCCCAGTTCACTTTAGAATGAAAAATCAAGGTGGACAAGAATTATCAAACTACTCAGAGCCATCACTCAGCTCTGTAGTCTCCCAAACTAAATTAAGAACAAACACGTGAAGAAAGTTTCTGAAAAGGCATACAGAAGTTAAAGAAAAGCAAAGAGTAAAAAGGTAACTTGGAGAAAATGGAAAGTCTGCAGCAAGAAGAAAACTTGGTGGAAAAGCGATTATTAATATCATCAGATGAAAAAAGAAGTTATTGCATCTAAGAAATAAGCCCAAAAGAGAGCTCTTTAAATAGAAGAGACAAGTCTAGGAAAATACTAACCTAATAAAGAAATAAAAATCTCAATATAAGGGCTCGAAGATAAAGTTCAGAAAATGTTCTAGAAAATACTGCAAAAATATTTTACAATGGCAAGTAGGAGAGAAAAAAAATAAAGAAATTAGAGAACCATACCAGAAGTCTAACATCTGAATTACAGAAATTCTAAAAATGAAATGGGAGTTGGATTATAAATGAAATAGTTTAAAGAGATTTCTAAGAGCAGGAGAAAATTAGTTTTCTAGATGAAATGTCTCATCAATTATACTGTGCAATGGATGGAAAATAACCCCAAACCAAAACATACAATTGTTTAATTTTAAAGTGCTTGGGACAATGAAAAAACACTATAACAAAAAATAAAAATATAGGTCACATATGGAAGATAAGAAATAAGATTAGCTTTAGACTTCTTTGCAAACAGATTGGTTTGGAAAGCTCATTGACAAAACAAAAATTCAGAAGAAAAATTATTTTCAACCTAAAACTCTATATTTAGTCAAACTACTAATCAAGTTTGAGGGTAGAATAAAGACATCTTAGTACATTTAAGATCACAAAAACATTTAACTCTGAAACACCCTTCTCCGAAAACTACTGGAAGGTATCTATCAAAATGAGAACCTAATTCAAGACAGGAGAAGACAGAAGAAACAGAAACTAGAAGATCCAAAACAGGACAGAAGTGAAATGAATCTCCAGGTGATGCTGAAGGATGATCCAAGGATGACAACTGAGCATAATGAACAACTAGTCCAGTAAGGAGCTGTTTGACTCAAGAGACAGAGATTTTGAAGGATATCATTAGCAATCCTCTTAACATTGTATCATCTTTTCAATCATATGAACCTATTGGAGGATGTGTTCTAGTAATGCCATAGAGTAAACTGAAAAAGGGCAAGTTATAAAATCCCAGAAATAGCAAACACATCCAGAATAAAAGGCAAAGAATTCCAAGAATGACAGCAAAGAAAAAAATCCAGAATGATAGCTGTGCAGTAGGCACAGAAAGCAACCACCCAATTTAAAGAAAAATTGAAGTCTCAGGAGGAATGGAAATGACTATGGGGAAAATTGCACTGACAGGCAATTGTATCTGTGGGATGAATAAGTGATAGGGATAAAAAAAATCAAGTAAATGAAAAGGCAAGATAATTATTAAAATCACAAAAAAATTGAAAAAGAAAACATAATTAATACACAATAATGTTCCCAATATATGGTAAGTAAAAGAAAATCTAAAATACCTAAAATGTAATCTAACATAATAAACAGTCAATTGATAATTTCTAAAATTAATTAATCAAAATATATCAGAAAACAGATTAGTGACTGAAGAGATAACTAAAAGAGTTTTAAAATGGCTACCTCTTAGAAGGGGAACTAAGAAAAGTGAGGAGGAAAAGGGCAGAACAAGCCTCTTAGTGCTATTTAATTTTGGACCAAGGTCATATATTATTTTGAAAAAAATGCATTTCAAAATATCAGTAAAGTAGAGCTCTTGCAAGTCTCACCAAGAATAAAAAGGAGTTAAAATGCTAAACATCACTAATAAAAATAGGGATACAATTAAAGGTAAATAACGCAATGAAAACAATTCCAAGAAATTTGCAAACTAGATAAAATGATTTTCAAAATAAAATGCAAGTTACTTAAAAATACAAAACCTGAACAGATTAATAACCAAAGGTAAAATGTAAATGGTAGTCACTGATCTACTGCAAGTGAAGTCACCAAACCCAACCAGTTTAAAAGACAAGCTGGAATTAAGCATGTAGAAACATATAATAATATAATTATTAAAACTATTGTATAAAATAGATAAAAAGCTCCCTAACACATTCTATGATGCCAGTATAATAGTTTAATACCAAGGCCATAAAAGGCAAACACGCACTAGGTAAACAACATTAACTAGAAAAATCCTAAAACCATGTTGACACATCATATCTATCTGTGCACTAAAACAATAATACATTATGGTTAAATGTCATTTATATCAATAACTCAGTAATTTAGAAACTAAAGAATAAATGTATTATTTCAACAGCTATCAAAAATCACTTCAAAATATGAAAGAATAAAAAGAAAACTTTATTGATTCAAAAAAGGAATATTTACCCCAAATTGAGATCAACCATCATAGTTGAAGATGAAATGCTAGAAGCACTTCCACAAATGCAAGATTGACCAACTTGCTACTACTAATTTTAAGAGTATTCATTGGACATTGGAGATTCTAGTCACTGAAATTATAGAGGAACAATAATTTCTTATGTAATACTTAAATCAGGTGAAGGATGAAGGTTGGGTTTGGGGGAGGCATAAAGTGTTCCAAGAAATATCACAGGTAAAGAGTTAAGACCTGGAAAGTGGAATAATTGTTTAATTCACAAGAAATTGGGAAAAGGGTCAATTATTCTGCCATATTCACATTATTATTGTTAAATACTTTACAAATAAATAAAATGTCCCCAACCAATATTTGTTGACTTCAAGGAGGAGGTTTCATTTTCTCATATATATTTTTACTATCCATTTTTAAAATAGGAGATTTTCTTAGGATTTCGGTGGGGAGTCAGAGTTTAGTTTCATGCTCCTAGATTTAAGAAGACTATAAATTAATTCTTCTACGAATCCAGATTATCACAGGGGAAAACGACATCAGCTATTACTTACTAGCATTACTGTGACCATTTGAGGATAAAGATGGAATGAAACAGCAAAGATACCGGGGACAAATCATTCTTGTTGCAGAATTCCTTCAATCCGCCATCTTTTTGTTCTAGTCTTGATAACGGGAATAACATCCACAAAACGCAAGGTGGCGCTGCTGGCTAAAAAGAGAGAGAGAAAAATAATTTCACAAAGAAAGGATGTTACAGATTCCAGAGCAAAGAGGCAATCTGAAGAGAAAAGCATAGGAAAGGAAACAGTGGTAATAGGAATTGGGGTAAAATGAGGATCCTTCCCCACAAACATTGCTATTATTCAGCTCATTTCAAAGGATTCCGCTGCTGCCATTTGTGAGAGCCGCTGGAGGCTGAGTGAAAGTCATTTTGAAAGACTGATCCAAAGAAGAATGGAGGCCAGAGTGGAGCGTGCTGTGCAGAAAAGGCAAGTCTTATTTCTTTGTGTATTTCTGGGAATGTCTTGGGCTGGCGCCGAACCGCTTCGGTATTTTGTGGCGGAGGAAACCGAGAGAGGCACCTTTCTTACCAACTTGGCAAAAGACCTAGGGTTAGGGGTAGGGGAACTGAGAGCCCGGGGAACTAGAATTGTTTCAGACCAGAACATGCAAATTTTACTGCTCAGTTCGCTTACTGGTGATCTACTTCTAAATGAGAAATTGGACCGAGAGGAACTGTGTGGCCCCAGAGAGCCCTGTGTGCTGCCTTTCCAGTTGTTATTGGAAAAACCTTTTCAGATTTTCCGTGCTGAACTATGGGTCAGAGACATCAATGATCACGCTCCAGTATTTCTAGACAGAGAGATTTCCTTGAAAATATTAGAAAGTACCACTCCAGGGGCGGCATTTCTCCTAGAGAGTGCACAGGATTCAGATGTTGGAACCAACAGCCTGAGTAACTACACCATCAGCCCCAATGCCTATTTCCATATTAATGTCCATGATAGCGGGGAGGGGAATATCTATCCCGAATTGGTGCTGAATCAAGTGCTGGATCGGGAAGAGATACCAGAGTTCAGTTTAACCCTCACCGCTTTAGACGGCGGCTCTCCTCCAAGATCAGGGACCGCCCTCGTGCGCATTCTGGTTCTAGACGTAAATGACAACGCCCCTGATTTTGTGCGGTCGCTCTACAAGGTGCAGGTGCCCGAAAATAGCCCCGTTGGTTCCATGGTTGTCTCCGTGTCAGCCAGAGATTTAGATACCGGAAGTAATGGGGAAATAGCCTATGCATTTTCTTACGCCACTGAAAGAATTCTCAAAACGTTTCAAATCAATCCAACATCTGGCAGTCTTCATCTTAAAGCGCAATTGGACTATGAGGCAATTCAAACTTACACATTAACTATTCAGGCCAAAGACGGCGGCGGGCTTTCTGGAAAATGCACTGTAGTGGTTGATGTAACAGATATAAACGATAATCGACCCGAGCTGCTCCTGTCTTCACTTACTAGCCCAATTGCAGAAAACTCACCCGAGACAGTCGTGGCTGTTTTTAGGATTAGAGACAGAGATTCCGGGAACAATGGAAAGACAGTGTGCTCCATCCAGGACGATGTCCCCTTCATCCTGAAGCCATCTGTCGAAAACTTCTATACTCTGGTAACAGAGAAACCTTTGGATCGAGAGAGGAACACTGAGTACAACATCACCATCACCGTCACCGACTTGGGGACACCCAGGCTGAAAACCGAGCACAACATAACCGTGCTGGTCTCCGACGTCAATGACAACGCTCCCGCCTTCACCCAAACCTCCTACACCCTGTTTGTCCGTGAGAACAACAGCCCCGCCCTGCCCATCGGCAGTGTCAGCGCCACAGACAGAGACTCGGGCACCAACGCCCAGGTCATCTACTCCCTGCTGCCGTCCCAGGACCCGCACCTGCCCCTCGCCTCCCTGGTCTCCATCAACGCGGACAACGGCCACCTGTTTGCCCTCAGGTCCCTGGACTACGAGGCCCTGCAGGCGTTCGAGTTCCGCGTGGGCGCCACAGACCGCGGCTCCCCCGCGCTGAGCAGCGAGGCGCTGGTGCGCGTGCTGGTGCTGGACGCCAACGACAACTCGCCCTTCGTGCTGTACCCGCTGCAGAACAGCTCCGCGCCCTGCACCGAGCCGTTGCCCCGGGCGGCCGAGCCGGGCTACCTGGTGACCAAGGTGGTGGCGGTGGACGGCGACTCGGGCCAGAACGCCTGGCTGTCGTACCAGCTGCTCAAGGCCACGGAGCCCGGGCTATTCGGCGTGTGGGCGCACAATGGCGAGGTGCGTACCGCCAGGCTGCTGAGCGAGCGCGACGCAGCCAAGCAGAGGCTGGTGGTGCTGGTCAAGGACAATGGCGAGCCTCCGCGCTCGGCCACCGCCACGCTGCACGTGCTCCTGGTGGACGGCTTCTCCCAGCCCTACCTGCGGCTCCCGGAGGCGGCCCCGGACCAGGCCAACTCGCTCACCGTCTACCTGGTGGTGGCGTTGGCCTCGGTGTCTTCGCTCTTCCTCCTCTCGGTGCTCCTGTTCGTGGCGGTGCGGCTGTGCAGGAGGAGCAGGGCGGCCCCGGTGGGTCGCTGCTCGGTGCCTGAGGGCCCCTTTCCACGACATCTGGTGGACTTGAGCGGCACCGGGACCCTATCCCAGAGCTACCAGTATGAGGTGTGCCTGACTGGAGGCTCCGGGACAAATGAGTTCAAGTTTCTGAAACCAATTATCCCCAACCTGCTACCCCAGAGCACAGGCAGGGAAGTGGAAGAAAATCGCCCATTTCAGAATAATTTGGGTTTCTGATAAAGAATGTAAACTAAATCCGCGTCTGTGAATACGTTTCTGATTAGGAACTTATTGCGAGGTTCCCTTAAGGGAGTGTCTTTACATCATTTCAAATATGTACTCTTGAAGTCAAGCAATAAATTTCTATACATAAAATAGGATCCTGATTTAGTATCAAGAACCCTTCACAAAGCATGAAATGTATATGTGTAATGTTTTATGTCAAACAATTATGCTTAATATACAGTCTATTAAATGTAAGTCTTGTTTGAGATATTTTAAATTGCTTTCCATTGTTTTCAATCTCTACTGAGACTTCCTGAGTTGATTAGAAAGCTGTATGAGTGTACCTACCCTAGTCTCAGAAGCATAGACTGTAGAGTATCTTTTTAAGCATTTTTAAAAAATGCTTTTAATGCATCATACACTATTTTAACACTTTTAATCTGAGAAGAAGCATATGAGGCATGGTATTTTAGGAATGAACAAATAGATGGTCTTAGAGATTCAGTAAGTTCACTAAGTTCCACTAACTAATAAGTGACAAAACTGAGCATCCATCCCAGATCTGTCTGACTCTGGGTCAGTGACCCTGCTCCGATTCCATACTGTTTTCTGTCATTAGATATCACCTGGCAAGTTTCTGCCTAATTAAGGAGAAGTCTTTTATCATATTTATACTGCTGTCCAATCTTTTCTATATTTAGAAATAATAATGTACATATTTATCTATGGTTTTATTTTCTTATACACCAAAAGTCCTGCTTTTCTGGGTCAATTTTCAACTATTATTACTAATGCTCTGATCTGTCCAAACTCAAGCGGAAAACAAAATTGAAAGGGCAACCTGTGCCTTCTCCTTTCTTCAGAACATATGACTTTCATTTCCCAGAAAAAAGATTAATGGTCCTGAGTAGGAATATTACATAATTTTGATTGCATCATTAGTTAATTATTTTCTTCATATTGTAGATTTTCTGCAGTCACCCATACTTAACATTTGTAATACATTTTCCTGATTTGAAAGTTTGTTTTTAAAAGTTTTCTATTAATTATAGTGCACTATTGAATCAGGAAAATTTAAGAAAAAGAATAGTTAGTTTTAAATGCATAATATCAAAGAGAATCATAGATGATCATTAAATTTTTAGAAATTCTCGGAAGTTAAGGAGAAGCACTGTTTTTTATAAAAATTTACAACTGATTTTTATTTTTAAAATATCTAGATAATTTTTGCATGGTTGCATTCTGAAAATATTATAAACTAGTGCTGGTAACTCTAATAAAGGTAGTATTACTATATATCACTGGTGGGATAGAATCTAGAGGCAAAAAAACCTCACAGCAGTAAAATCTTAAAATGCTTTCATGGTCTTAGGGTAAAATTATCTAATTTCTCCAACAAATAAATAGCATGAAAAACAGGAGGAGAGAAGTCTACAGTAGGAAAGATCTTACGAGATCTACCAATCAAACGTAATGTGTGGATCTTGTCTGGATCTTCATTCAAACATCAGCAATGACTTTGAAACACTTGGAAGAGTTTGAATATAGATGGGTATTAAGTAATATTAACTGAATTTTTTAGGTATAATAATGGCATTGTACTTAAGGGTATTTTTAGAGTCACTTAAAGTTATTATGCATTTAAAGAAATGTACAATGAAGTATTTGTGGGTGAAAATTCAGTTTGTCTGGAACGTAAAGATGTTGGAGGGATAGCGTCAAGAATTATGGCAAGACATTGATAATAGTTGATGCTAGTACTGAGTAATTGCAGGTTAATTTTACTCCTCTCCTTTTATGAGATATGAAAAATATCAAAATAAAAGCTTTTTAAAATTGATGCTATTAGAAGAGAAATAGAGGTAACAAAAAAGGACACGCTTCCCCAGAAATAAAATCACCACTGCTGTTACACATTTTGTCTCTATTTAGACAAGCTCTCCAGCCTTTCCCTGTTTACCTTCACTGTTTGACATAACTTCTCTACCTGAGATAGTCATGTTCCTGTACTATTCTACCATGTAATTTTGAGGTGTTTTTCTAGTTATAGCAATGGATTTATGCAGAGTCACCTACCTGGTGGTATCAAATTGCCATATACCGGGTACATAGTTTATTTTTAAGCTTAATCTCTCTTTGAATCAGTTTCCTCATGTGTAAGGTGGGGAAATCACAACAGCCCTATGTGGTAGGTGCTATTATTATCCTCATTTTACAGATGAGGAAATTAAAGCAGAGAGATTAAATAATTTGTTCGAGGTTCACAGCTACTAATTATTCCTATGGTTCATGGAAATAAAACTATAAAGATCTAAATGTTGCCCATGTTAACTACTATTATATTTGAAATTCTTTTTGCCAAGCTAGACTGTTACCTAAATATTTCCTTTTTGCCCAAAACTCAGTTAGCATTGTTGAAAGACTAACGCAATTTCTCCTTCGGGCAGTTGTCTGCTCAGTAACGTCCGGCGATATTAACCGTGGTGTTGTAACTTTACATAGTCCCAGGGTACATACAGGCAGAGTTGGGAATATTACATCTATTATCATCCCACAAAATGTAAGATCCTGTGAGGACCCGTGGTGGCGCTGCAGGATAAGAAGGCACAAACCAGAACCGCAGCTGCAGCTCCATTAACCGGCAAAAAGCAGCAGAACCTGGAAGTCCACGGGGAGCTTGGATGCCAAAGGGAGGACGGCTGGGTCCTCTGGAGAGGACTACTCACTGGCATATTTCTGAGGTATCTGTAGAAAACCACAGCCTCAGATACTGGGGACTTTACAGTCCCACAGAACCGTCCTCCCAGGAAGCTGAATTCAGCAAGAACAATGGAGGCCAGCGGGAAGCTCATTTGCAGACAAAGGCAAGTCCTTTTTTCCTTTCTCCTTTTGGGCTTATCTCTGGCGGGCGCGGCGGAACCTAGAAGCTATTCTGTGGTGGAGGAAACTGAGGGCAGCTCCTTTGTCACCAATTTAGCAAAGGACCTGGGTCTGGAGCAGAGGGAATTCTCCAGGCGGGGGGTTAGGGTTGTTTCCAGAGGGAACAAACTACATTTGCAGCTCAATCAGGAGACCGCGGATTTGTTGCTAAATGAGAAATTGGACCGTGAGGATCTGTGCGGTCACACAGAGCCCTGTGTGCTACGTTTCCAAGTGTTGCTAGAGAGTCCCTTCGAGTTTTTTCAAGCTGAGCTGCAAGTAATAGACATAAACGACCACTCTCCAGTATTTCTGGACAAACAAATGTTGGTGAAAGTATCAGAGAGCAGTCCTCCTGGGACTGCGTTTCCTCTGAAGAATGCTGAAGACTTAGATATAGGCCAAAACAATATTGAGAACTATATAATCAGCCCCAACTCCTATTTTCGGGTCCTCACCCGCAAACGCAGTGATGGCAGGAAATACCCAGAGCTGGTGCTGGACAAAGCGCTGGACCGAGAGGAAGAAGCTGAGCTCAGGTTAACACTCACAGCACTGGATGGTGGCTCTCCGCCCAGATCTGGCACTGCTCAGGTCTACATTGAAGTTGTCGATGTCAATGATAATGCCCCTGAATTTGAGCAGCCTTTCTATAGGGTGCAGATCTCTGAGGACAGTCCAATAAGCTTCCTGGTTGTGAAGGTCTCTGCCACGGATGTAGACACAGGAGTCAACGGAGAGATTTCCTATTCACTTTTCCAAGCTTCAGATGAGATAAGCAAAACTTTTAAGGTCGATTTCTTGACAGGAGAAATTCGACTAAAGAAACAACTTGATTTCGAAAAATTTCAGTCCTATGAAGTCAATATCGAGGCGAGAGATGCTGGAGGCTTTTCTGGAAAATGCACCGTTCTGATTCAAGTGATAGATGTGAACGACCATGCCCCAGAAGTTACCATGTCTGCATTTACCAGCCCAATACCTGAGAATGCGCCTGAAACTGTGGTTGCACTTTTCAGTGTTTCAGACCTTGATTCAGGAGAAAATGGGAAAATAAGTTGCTCCATTCAGGAGGATCTACCCTTCCTCCTGAAATCTTCTGTGGGGAACTTTTACACCCTACTAACAGAGACACCACTAGACAGAGAAAGCAGAGCCGAGTACAACGTCACTATCACCGTCACTGACTTAGGGACACCCAGGCTGACAACACATCTCAATATGACCGTGCTGGTGTCGGACGTCAATGACAACGCCCCCGCCTTCACCCAAACCTCCTACACCCTGTTCGTCCGCGAGAACAACAGCCCCGCCCTGCACATCGGCAGCGTCAGCGCCACAGACAGAGACTCGGGCACCAACGCCCAGGTCACCTACTCGCTGCTGCCGCCCCAGGATCCGCACCTGCCCCTCGCCTCCCTGGTCTCCATCAACACAGACAACGGCCACCTGTTCGCCCTCAGGTCGCTGGACTACGAGGCCCTGCAGGCGTTCGAGTTCCGGGTGGGCGCTTCAGACCGCGGCTCCCCGGCTTTGAGCAGCGAGGCGCTGGTGCGCGTGCTGGTGCTGGACGCCAACGACAACTCGCCCTTCGTGCTGTACCCGCTGCAGAATGGCTCCGCGCCCTGCACCGAGCTGGTGCCCCGGGCGGCCGAGCCGGGCTACCTGGTGACCAAGGTGGTGGCGGTGGACGGCGACTCGGGCCAGAACGCCTGGCTGTCGTACCAGCTGCTCAAGGCCACGGAGCCCGGGCTGTTCGGTGTGTGGGCGCACAATGGCGAGGTGCGCACCGCCAGGCTGCTGAGCGAGCGCGACGCGGCCAAGCAGAGGCTGGTGGTGCTGGTCAAGGACAATGGCGAGCCTCCGTGCTCGGCCACCGCCACGCTGCACGTGCTCCTGGTGGACGGCTTCTCCCAGCCCTACCTGCCGCTTCCGGAGGCTGCCCCAGCCCAGGGCCAGGCCGACTCTCTCACCGTCTACCTGGTGGTGGCGTTGGCCTCGGTGTCTTCGCTCTTCCTCTTCTCGGTGCTCCTGTTCGTGGCGGTGCTGCTGTGTAGGAGGAGCAGGGCGGCCTCGGTGGGTCGCTGCTCAGTGCCTGAGGGCCCCTTTCCAGGGCATCTGGTGGACGTGAGGGGCACCGGGAGCCTGTCTCAGAACTATCAGTACGAGGTGTGCCTGGCAGGAGGCTCAGGGACGAATGAGTTCCAGCTCCTGAAACCAGTATTACCTAATATTCAGGGCCATTCTTTTGGGCCAGAAATGGAACAAAACTCTAACTTTAGGAATGGCTTTGGTTTCAGCCTTCAGTTAAAGTAATTGATTTCATATTATATATTTTAATTTTTATGATCAATTCAAAGGAATGGTTTTCTGTCAACTTAGCATAAATTTTAAATTACACTACATTTGCCCATAGTATTTGTCTTGTTTTCACTGTTTTAAAAAATGATATCTCATCTTCTCTTCATTAGTATATCCAGTGGACTCTAATCATAATTCTTTAACAGTGCAATTTTTGTTAAAATGTACATAGTAAAATGCACAGATCTGAAGTGAAGAAATTAATGTAACTGATCTTTTTAAGCCTTTATTTTTTGATTTCTAATCTAGGTAAAATTTAGTTAAAAGTGGTGTAGAGAATGTTTTACATTTATTGCCTTTTAAATGTTTCCCCAAGTCCTAAGGGAGTTGACATATTATCCCCTTTTTTAAATATGAGAAAACTGAGGCTTAGAAAGGTAACTTGGCTGTGAGCTGTGGCTCACACCTGTAATCATAACACTTTGAGAGGCTGAGGCAAGCTGAACCCTTTGAGCTCAGTAGTTCGAGACCAGCCTGGGCAATGGGGCAAAACACTGACACTAACAAAAATACAAAAATTAGCCAGGTGTGATTGCGAACCTGTAGTCCCAGCTACTCAGGAGGCTGAGGTAAGAGGATCCCCTGAGCCCAGGAGACAGAGACTACAGTGAGCCAAGATTGTGCCATTGCACTCCAGGCTGGGTGACAGAGTGAGACCTCATTCCCCCCCACAAAAAACGATTAACTTTCTTATAATTCTGAAATAATAAAGGTAAAAATTTAAAATATAATCTAAGTCTAGCCAATATGCTATATGGTCAGGCATTAACTGATAGCATTGTTTTTCTAACTAAGGAAGTGAAATTTATGTTATTCCTACTCCTACTCCATGAACTAAACTCTCATGTGAAAATATAAGTTTTAGTTTATAGTTTGTTTATACTACTCTGCACAAATATACCCATGTTCTTATCAAAGCTCTAAGTATGCTGGGACAGATACTACAAATGAACTTTATGATGAGCGAATTAACCTGATTTATAGTCCTGTACTTTCTCTACGTGCCATATCCATTATTAAAGAAATGAGTCTAAGTAGGAAGTAGAGTTAACCTATAGTTTCATTTCTTGAATTTCTTATTCTCTTTCTTCAGTCTTTTTCAGTTAACCTACACACACACACACACACACACACACACACACACACACACACATATGTTTATAAGTGGGATGGGAGAACGGGTACGGTGATAATTAAAAGAGGTAAGGTTTCTCTTGAGATGAAAATGTTCTAAAATTGTGATGGCGGATGCACACCTCTGAATATATTAAAAGCCATTGAAATGAAAAAAGGGTGGGGGGAATCCAAAAGTGTAGCAGACCCAACCTTGAGATTTGCTTGTTTGGGAATGAATTTTCCAATAACTTGAAAGTTGTAAAAACTCACACTTCTCAGGGTTAGGTGTCAGAAAGAAAAGGAAGTAATTTATTCTTTAATAAAGCAATTGTTAAATACTCTTTAGAACTACCACTGATTGCAATTTTGCAGTGTCTACTCATAGTGTCTATATAGGTACCATGAAAAAGATGTACTTGTGAAACTGTTCTCATGTTACTTCAGAAAAATTTTGCTTCTAAGTGTGTATTCTATGTCTGGTTAAATGTTCATTGAATTTTATTTAATCATTAATCTCAACAGCATTAAACAGTCAATAACATAAATGACAGTCTTCTCTTTGTACTCCTCCCTGTACAACATCACAGAGCTCCATCTGTATACACGAAAGTCACATGAAAATAGAACTCAGTGTTTTGTATTACATAGTCTATTCAGTACATTTAGAAGTATTTTGCCTCCAATATTCAACCACAGTAAAAGACTCAGTGAGAACGCGTGGTGGCGCTGCAGGTTAAGATGACGGAAAATACAACTGCCTACGCAGCTCCAGGATCCAGCAAACCGTTTCCCAAAGCCTGGAAGCAGAAGAATAGCTGAGCCAGAGCGAACGTGAGTGTGAAACCTCTTTAAGACACCGTTGGGCTGCTTGGTTCTGACATTCTGGACTGCAAAACAGTTCTACTAGGATCCTGGGGATACATGAAGCTTCTGTGAACCAACTTTTCAAGAAAAAGCAATGGAGATTGGATGGATGCACAATCGGAGACAAAGGCAAGTCCTTGTTTTCTTTGTTTTGCTGAGCTTGTCTGGGGCGGGCGCCGAGTTGGGGTCCTATTCCGTAGTGGAAGAAACGGAGAGAGGCTCTTTTGTGGCAAATCTAGGAAAAGACCTGGGGTTGGGGTTGACAGAGATGTCCACCCGCAAGGCCAGGATCATTTCCCAGGGGAACAAACAGCATTTGCAGCTCAAGGCTCAAACTGGGGATTTGCTCATAAATGAGAAGCTAGATCGAGAGGAGCTATGCGGTCCCACTGAGCCTTGCATACTACATTTCCAAGTGTTAATGGAAAACCCTTTAGAAATATTTCAGGCTGAACTGAGGGTGATAGATATAAATGACCATTCTCCCATGTTCACTGAAAAGGAAATGATTCTAAAAATACCGGAAAACAGTCCTCTAGGAACTGAGTTCCCTCTGAATCATGCTTTGGACTTGGACGTAGGAAGCAATAATGTTCAAAACTATAAAATCAGCCCAAGCTCTCATTTCCGGGTTCTAATCCATGAATTCAGAGATGGCAGGAAATACCCTGAGCTAGTGTTGGATAAAGAGCTGGATCGGGAGGAGGAGCCTCAACTAAGATTAACCCTGACAGCGCTGGATGGTGGCTCTCCACCGCGATCTGGAACTGCTCAGGTCCGTATTGAAGTGGTGGACATCAATGATAACGCTCCTGAGTTTGAGCAGCCCATCTACAAAGTGCAGATTCCAGAGAACAGTCCTCTTGGCTCCCTGGTTGCCACCGTCTCCGCCAGGGATTTAGACGGCGGAGCCAATGGAAAAATATCATACACACTCTTTCAGCCTTCGGAGGATATTAGTAAAACTTTGGAGGTAAATCCTATGACAGGGGAAGTTCGACTGAGAAAGCAAGTAGATTTCGAAATGGTTACGTCTTATGAAGTGCGCATCAAAGCCACAGATGGGGGAGGTCTTTCAGGAAAGTGCACTCTTCTCCTGCAGGTGGTGGACGTGAATGACAATCCCCCACAGGTGACCATGTCTGCACTCACCAGCCCCATCCCAGAGAACTCGCCTGAGATAGTAGTTGCTGTTTTCAGCGTTTCAGATCCTGACTCCGGAAACAATGGGAAGACGATTTCCTCCATCCAGGAAGACCTTCCCTTTCTTCTAAAACCTTCAGTCAAGAACTTTTACACCTTGGTAACGGAGAGAGCACTCGACAGAGAAGCAAGAGCTGAATATAATATCACCCTCACCGTCACAGATATGGGGACTCCAAGGCTGAAAACGGAGCACAACATAACAGTGCAGATATCAGATGTCAATGATAACGCCCCCACTTTCACCCAAACCTCCTACACCCTGTTCGTCCGCGAGAACAACAGCCCCGCCCTGCACATCGGCAGCGTCAGCGCCACAGACAGAGACTCGGGCACCAACGCCCAGGTCACCTACTCGCTGCTGCCGCCCCAAGACCCGCACCTGCCCCTCGCCTCCCTGGTCTCCATCAACGCGGACAACGGCCACCTGTTCGCCCTCAGGTCGCTGGACTACGAGGCCCTGCAGGCTTTCGAGTTCCGCGTGGGCGCCACAGACCGCGGCTCCCCCGCGCTGAGCAGAGAGGCGCTGGTGCGCGTGCTGGTGCTGGACGCCAACGACAACTCGCCCTTCGTGCTGTACCCGCTGCAGAACGGCTCCGCGCCCTGCACTGAGCTGGTGCCCCGGGCGGCCGAGCCGGGCTACCTGGTGACCAAGGTGGTGGCGGTGGACGGCGACTCGGGCCAGAATGCCTGGCTGTCGTACCAGCTGCTCAAGGCCACGGAGCCCGGGCTGTTCGGTGTGTGGGCGCACAATGGCGAGGTGCGCACCGCCAGGCTGCTGAGCGAGCGCGACGCAGCCAAGCAGAGGCTGGTGGTGCTGGTCAAGGACAATGGCGAGCCTCCGCGCTCGGCCACCGCCACGCTGCACGTGCTCCTGGTGGACGGCTTCTCCCAGCCCTTCCTGCCGCTCCCAGAGGCGGCCCCCGGCCAGACCCAGGCCAACTCGCTCACTGTCTACCTGGTGGTGGCGTTGGCCTCGGTGTCGTCGCTCTTCCTCTTTTCGGTGCTCCTGTTCGTGGCGGTGCGGCTGTGCAGGAGGAGCAGGGCGGCCTCGGTGGGCCGCTGCTCGATGCCTGAGGGCCCCTTTCCAGGGCGTCTGGTGGACGTAAGCGGCACCGGGACCCTGTCCCAGAGCTACCAATACGAGGTGTGTCTGACAGGAGGCTCAGAAACAAGTGAGTTCAAGTTCCTGAAGCCGATTATCCCCAACTTCTCTCCTTAGGGCACTAGGAAAGAAATAGATTAAAATTCCACCCTTCACAATAGCTTTGGATTTAATTATTGATAGGAACCCATTTGATAAATTCCTTAACTTCTTATGATTGTCTTGTTGATTAAATTGTTCATGCTCACCACCACCAATAAGGTATTTTTCTCTGATTGTTAGTTCAAATTATATTGTTAATTCCAGTTTCCCTTTTCCTCATATTTACCCCGAAGAGGTGTTGCATATAGAATCCCAATTAACAAAATATACTTTATCTTCAAAGTTGATGTCATTTAAAATTTTTCCGTCTTTATATTTTATTTACTTCCTATTCATTTTTTGCTCCATTTTTCATGTTACTTCTCAGTTTCCTAGAACTTCAAGTATTAAAATAACCTGTTGCATGTATTAGGCATATTTCCTATGTTACATTTCTTTTGTCTATTTTCCTTTCAAAATTGGTATTTTTGTTGGGCTCAATTTTCATTATAATACTTTTCTTAAAGTTTCTTTCTTTCTTTTCTTTTCTTTCTTTTTTTTTTTTTCCTTTTTGAGACAGGGTCTTACTCTTGTCACCCAGGCTGGAGTGCAGTGGTACAATCTTGGCTCACTGCAACCTCTGCCTCCTGGGCCCAACGGATCCTTCCACCTCAGCCTCCCAAGTAGCTTGGACTATAGGTGCATGCCACCATGCCTGGCTAATCTTTTGCAGCGATGGGATTTTGCCAAGTTGCCCAGGCTGATCTTGAACTCCTGGGCTCAAGCCATCCTCCCTCCTCAGCCTCCCAAAATTCTGGGATTACAGGCATAAGCCAATGTGCCCATCCAAAGTTTTATTTATTTATTTTTTTGAGATGGAGTCTCGTAAAGTTACCTTTAAAAAAAAAGTTCTATTTTCCCTGTATTGGTATCTCCTTAAATAAAATAAAATATTCCTATTGTAAGTGATATGAGAAATCTTTAACCAGCCTTATCTAAAAATAAAAAGAGAAGCCATTGTAAGACATTCAGTATGTGTAAATGTGTTTGTGTTTGTAGACAAAAGGCAAAGGTATTATGTAAAAATATTTAATAATTTATTCTTTCTATTACTGAATTAAAAAATCAGAGGTCCCTGTTATATTTTTAATGGCTAACAACTCAATCTCATTAAGTTGGAAAAAAAACTTATCAAAGAGACATTTACATGGTTTGGCTTTTATATTCATCATAGTATACATTGGCGGTATCTAGCCCTTTCTCTGTAAAATATCCCTATGTTTAATCTGTATTTCTTGCTTATTATATGTAAAGTTGAGCTTCTTTCTAGATATTAGGCCTTTGAATAAAATTCTATGTGAGTCAGATTTAATAATTTGTTTTCACTTTCAATAGTGTTAGGATAGGTGTTAGTTTGATCTGTTCTTTACCTCCGCTTATTTGGTTCAGAGAAATTAGGGCCTACTAGATTTCCACTAAAAGGGACTTGAAAATAAAGGTCAGTCCCTTCTTTAATTCTGCAAGTTACTTTAAAGCTAATCTAAGAAAAAAAAAAAACAAATTGCAAAGTATGAGTAAATTAAAGAAAACAATTTTCAAATGGCAGAGATCGAAAGGCACTGAATTTTGTTTCATGTCCTACTCACTAGTTTATTTATGCATGCCTTAATATAGCCAGCATTTAGTGAGTGGCTAATTTGCCAACCAAAGATGACTAAGACATAGTTGTTCTCAAGTAGTTCACACATTGATGAAGGGGCAAACTGGCCTGAAACAAGAAGCAATAATATTTATAGAGTAAACATAGTTGTATGCGTAAGTTTTAGAGAAGCACAATGGAAAGACAGCCTAATGCTTGGTTCTGGACTACAGAGCGGTGATTCTAGTTAGGCAATCTGAGATCTTGAAGACATTTGTTGAAGAAGATGTGAAACAAGTTTTTTTTATTGTTGTTAATTTTTGGTGTTCCTATGCCCAAAGCTTTTGAGACAGTGAAATTGATTATTTTGGTGGTTCCAGAAGGCACCCACAATTTTCCCTTTGTTTGCGTAAGAGTTGTGTCAGAGGCGAAAGGCCTAACACAGCTAAATCTAACACAGAGTTGAACAGGGTTACTGCTAGAAACATTTTTTCAACTGTTCAATTTTTATCTTTTCTCATGAAGCAATGAAGAATTTTTAAATAAACACAAAAATTGGGCACAGCCATTTGACTGTGTTGGAAGCCACAAGGTGGCGCTGCAGACTGAAGAGACGGAGGAACAAAATTGACCAGAATGCTACGGAAGTCCTTGACAAAAAGGAAACACTGAGACAGATGGGCTGAGAAGAAGAGCTGTCGAGTCCCTGATTGGGAAAGGAAAAATTAAAAACCCTAGATCTCTGGTACACATAAGTCTGGGTTTGCGATTGCTATTTGTGCTGGGGCAGTGTGATTGAGACTGACATTGAGGAAAGAAGCAGCTATGAAGACCAGGGGGTTCAGCTTTCCAAGACAAAGGCAAGTCCTGTTTCTTTTTCTTTTCTGGGGAGTGTCCTTGGCAGGTTCTGGGTTTGGACGTTATTCGGTGACTGAGGAAACAGAGAAAGGATCCTTTGTGGTCAATCTGGCAAAGGATCTGGGACTAGCAGAGGGGGAGCTGGCTGCAAGGGGAACCAGGGTGGTTTCCGATGATAACAAACAATACCTGCTCCTGGATTCACATACCGGGAATTTGCTCACAAATGAGAAACTGGACCGAGAGAAGCTGTGTGGCCCTAAAGAGCCCTGTATGCTGTATTTCCAAATTTTAATGGATGATCCCTTTCAGATTTACCGGGCTGAGCTGAGAGTCAGGGATATAAATGATCACTCGCCAGTGTTTCGGCACAAAGAGATGGTCTTAAAAATATCAGAAAATACAGCTGAAGGGACAGCATTTAGACTAGAAAGAGCACAGGATCCAGATGAAGGTCATAACAGTATCCAAAACTACACGATCAGCTCCAACTCTTTTTTCCATATTAAAATTAGTGGCAGTGATGAAGGCATGATATATCCAGAGCTAGTGTTGGACAAAGCACTGGATCGGGAGGAGCAGGAAGAGCTCAGCTTAACCCTCACAGCGCTGGATGGTGGGTCTCCATCCAGGTCTGGGACCTCCACTATACGCATTGTGGTCTTGGATGTCAATGACAATGTCCCACAGTTTGCCCAGGCTCTGTATGAGACCCAGGCTCCAGAAAACAGTCCAGTAGGGTCCCTTATTGTTAAAGTGTCTGCAGGAGATGCAGACTCAGGAGTCAATGCAGAAGTATCCTATTCATTTTTTGATGCTTCTGAAGATATTTTAACAACGTTTCAAATCAATCCTTTTTCTGGGGAAATCTTTCTCAGAGAATTGCTTGATTATGAGTTAGTAAATTCTTACAAAATAAATATACAGGCAATGGACGGCGGAGGCCTTTCTGCAAGATGTACAGTTTTGATAAAAGTATTAGATTCCAATGACAATCCTCCTGAACTGATCATATCATCACTTTCCAACTCTGTTGCTGAAAACTCTCCTGGGATAGTATTGGCTGTTTTTAAGATTAAAGACAGAGACTCCGGAGAAAATGGAAAGACAATTTGCTATGTTCAAGATAATCTGCCTTTTTTTCTGAAACCGTCTGTTGACAATTTTTACATCCTAATGACTGAAGGTGCACTGGACAGAGAGAGCAAAGCTGAGTACAACATCACCATCACCGTCACTGACTTGGGGACACCCAGGCTGAAAACCGAGCACAGCATAACCCTGCAGGTCTCCGACGTCAATGACAACGCCCCCGCCTTCACCCAAACCTCCTACACCCTGTTCGTCCGGGAGAACAACAGCCCCGCCCTGCACATCGGCAGTGTCAGCGCCACAGACAGAGACTCAGGCACCAACGCCCAGGTCACCTACTCGCTGCTGCCGCCCCAGGACCCACACCTGCCCCTCGCCTCCCTGGTCTCCATCAACGCGGACAATGGCCACCTGTTTGCCCTCAGGTCGCTGGACTACGAGGCCCTGCAGGCTTTCGACTTCCGCGTGGGCGCCTCAGACCGCGGCTCCCCGGCTTTGAGCAGCGAGGCGCTGGTGCGCGTACTGGTGCTGGACGCCAACGACAACTCGCCCTTCGTGCTGTACCCGCTGCAGAACGGCTCCGCGCCCTGCACCGAGCTGGTGCCCCGGGCGGCCGAGCCGGGCTACCTGGTGACCAAGGTGGTGGCGGTGGACGGCGACTCGGGCCAGAACGCCTGGCTGTCGTACCAGCTGCTCAAGGCCACGGAGCCCGGGCTGTTCGGTGTGTGGGCGCACAATGGGGAGGTGCGCACCGCCAGGCTGCTGAGCGAGCGCGACGCGGCCAAGCACAGGCTGGTGGTGCTTGTCAAGGACAATGGCGAGCCTCCTCGCTCGGCCACCGCCACGCTGCACGTGCTCCTGGTGGACGGCTTCTCCCAGCCCTACCTGCCTCTCCCGGAGGCGGCCCCGGCCCAGGCCCAGGCCGACTTGCTCACCGTCTACCTGGTGGTGGCGTTGGCCTCGGTGTCTTCGCTCTTCCTCCTCTCGGTGCTCCTGTTCGTGGCGGTGCGGCTGTGCAGGAGGAGCAGGGCGGCCTCGGTGGGTCGCTGCTCGGTGCCCGAGGGTCCTTTTCCAGGGCATCTGGTGGACGTGAGCGGCACCGGGACCCTGTTCCAGAGCTACCAGTACGAGGTGTGTCTGACTGGAGGTTCAGAGACCGGCGAGTTCAAGTTCTTGAAGCCGATTACCCCCCACCTCCCGCCCCATAGGGGTGGGAAAGAAATAGAGGAAAATTCTACTCTCCCCAATAGCTTTGGATTTAATTATTGAAAGGAACCCACTTAATAAAGACATTTACTTCTTTAATATATTCTTGTTGGCTAACTAAATTGTGTATGCCCACCACAAAGAAGGTACTATTTTTTGTTTGATTCATCTTCAACTTTGCGTATTATGCTTAACTTCACAAGTTAACTTTTTCTTATTTTGTATCCTGATGAGGCATTTCTTACTAGAATCCCATAAGTGAAATATAATATTTTTCAAAGTTGATATCATTTAAAAATTTTTGGTCGTTTTAAATGTCTTTATTGACTTTAAATTCATTGCCTCTACATTATTCATTAGTTCTTCTTTTCCTAAAACTTTTTACTTGTTAAAATAGTCTGCTGCATGTAATATGTGCTTTTACTATTTGATATTTCTTCTATTTTTCTTTTGAAACCGGTGTTCTTATTGGTTTGCCATCCTTGTTCATTACAACTGTTTTTTGTTTGTTTGTTTGTTTTTTGGTTTGTTTGTTTTTTTTTTTTTTGAGACGGAGTCTCGCTCTGTCGCCCAGGCTGGAGTGCAGTGGCGCGATCTCAGCTCACTGCAACCTCCGCCTCCCAGGTTCAAGCGATTCTCCTGCCTCAGCCTCCAGAGTATCTGGGACTACAGTTGCATGTCACCACGTTCGGCTAATTTTTGTATTTTCAGTAGAGACGGGTTTCATCATGGTGGCCAGGATGGTCTATCTCTTGACCTCGTGATCCACCCCACTCAGCCTCCCAAATTGCTGGGATTTACAGGCATGAGCCACCGCACCCAGCCTACAATAATTTTCTTAAACTTTACCTTTTATTTTAAAGTTCTAGTTTCCCGGCATTGATAGTTCCCTATTTGAAATATAATGTTTCTCTTGTAAGTGATATGATAAATAAACCCCTAATTAGCCTTAGAAGAAAAACCACTGCAAGATATTAAGCGTGTGTAAATGGGCTTTAGTCTGGAAACCAAAAAAAAAAAAAAAATTTAGTCATTCTATAGGATCATGTGAAAATATTTAATTTGCTCCTTTTAATTCTGTATAAACAAATCAGAGGTTCCTGAGGTTCCTGTTAAATTTTTAATGGCTAATAGCCCAGTGCCATCCAGTTGAAAAAACAACAGCAATCACAAAGTAGAGGTTTATATTGTGCGGCTTTTATATTCAGCTATTAGAGTGTTATTGGTAGTGTCTAGCCTTTTCCTCCACGACATTCCTTGACTTAATCCATTTGGGCCTATTATAGACAAAATAGAGCTTCTTTCTAGATATAAGGTCTTTGAGGCAGGGCTCAGTGGCTCATTCCTGTAATCCCAGCACTTTGGGAGGCCAAGGCGGGCAGATCACCTTAGGTCACGAGTTTGAGACCAGCCTGACCAACGTTAAGTAACCCCGTCTTTACTAAAAATACAAAATTAGCCAGGCATGGTGGCACATGCTTGTAATCCCAGCTACTCGGGAGGCTGAGGCAGGAGAATCGCTTGAACCCAGGAGGTGGAAGTTGCTTTGAGCCGAGATTGCACCATTGTACTCCAGCCTGGGCAATAAGAGCAAAACTCCATCAAAATAAAATAAAATAAAATATAAAATAACTTAAAAAGAACTTTGAATAAAATTCTATGAAAAAAGACACTAGAATGCTGTTCTTAATTTTAATAGTGTTAAGATAGGTGTTAGTGTGGTCTGTTCTTTACCTCCCTTTATTTGGTGCAGAGAAGTTAGATCCTGCTAAATTTCAATTAAGAGGGGACCTTAAAATAAGGATCAATCTCTTATTTAACCCTGTAAGTTACTTTAAAGCTAATACAAGAAAAACAAAGACAAGTGAAAGTAAGGAAACAGAAATTGCAAAGAGTAAATGAAAGAAAAAAACTTTCAAGTGGTCGGAATTGAAAGGCACTGGAAAACGTTTCAGGTTCTACCCATCTGAGTTTATTTATGCATGTCCTAATACAGGCAGTATTTATTGCTTGTCTGATTTGTCACTCACAGATGATTAGGACATAGTTCCTATCCTTAAGTAGCCCACACATTGAAGAAGAAATAGATTTGCATGAATTAAGAAGCAATAATATTTGCAGGGCAATCATAGTTGTATACACAAGTTTTTATGAGAGAATAGAGGAGGGACAGCTTAAATGCATTATACAAGATTACAGAGTGATGATTCTCCTTAATCAGTGTGATGAGATTTTGAAGTTTGTTGAGGAAGGTGTGAAACATATTTTCTTTGTCTGTTTTGGTGTTCTTATCCCGATGTTTCTGGAAAAGTAAAATCTCCTGTTACTTTGGTGATCCCAGATGTCAGCAACATTTTCCCTTTGATTCTTGACATTGTGTGAGAGTTGTGTCTGAGATGAAAGGACTAGTAGAGAGCTAAATTTAGCACAGTGAGGTGGACAGAGTTATTGCTAGAAACATATTTTCAAGTGTTGAATTTTTAACTTTTCCCAAAAAGAATTGAAGAATCTCAACAATGTGACTATTTCTCTGTCTCAACATTAATTTTTACAAGACAAACGAAAATAAACATGAAAAATTTAAATGAGGCACTAAAGGAAATTGTCTGAATACACACACCCAAATGGGTACAACTACTGAAATCTGGTGGAGGCCACACGGTGGCGCTGCAGGCTAAAGAGACGGTTTGGGAATTGCTCTGAGGATGCTATGCAAGTCACTAATAAAGGAAGACACGGACAGATGAACTTAAAAGAGAAGCTTTAGCTGCCAAAGATTGGGAAAGGGAAAGGACAAAAAAGACCCCTGGGCTACACGGCGTAGGTGCAGGGTTTCCTACTGCTGTTCTTTTATGCTGGGAGCTGTGGCTGTAACCAACTAGGAAATAACGTATGCAGCAGCTATGGCTGTCAGAGAGTTGTGCTTCCCAAGACAAAGGCAAGTCCTGTTTCTTTTTCTTTTTTGGGGAGTGTCCTTGGCAGGTTCTGGGTTTGGACGTTATTCGGTGACTGAGGAAACAGAGAAAGGATCCTTTGTGGTCAATCTGGCAAAGGATCTGGGACTAGCAGAGGGGGAGCTGGCTGCAAGGGGAACCAGGGTGGTTTCCGATGATAACAAACAATACCTGCTCCTGGATTCACATACCGGGAATTTGCTCACAAATGAGAAACTGGACCGAGAGAAGCTGTGTGGCCCTAAAGAGCCCTGTATGCTGTATTTCCAAATTTTAATGGATGATCCCTTTCAGATTTACCGGGCTGAGCTGAGAGTCAGGGATATAAATGATCACGCGCCAGTATTTCAGGACAAAGAAACAGTCTTAAAAATATCAGAAAATACAGCTGAAGGGACAGCATTTAGACTAGAAAGAGCACAGGATCCAGATGGAGGACTTAACGGTATCCAAAACTACACGATCAGCCCCAACTCTTTTTTCCATATTAACATTAGTGGCGGTGATGAAGGCATGATATATCCAGAGCTAGTGTTGGACAAAGCACTGGATCGGGAGGAGCAGGGAGAGCTCAGCTTAACCCTCACAGCGCTGGATGGTGGGTCTCCATCCAGGTCTGGGACCTCTACTGTACGCATCGTTGTCTTGGACGTCAATGACAATGCCCCACAGTTTGCCCAGGCTCTGTATGAGACCCAGGCTCCAGAAAACAGCCCCATTGGGTTCCTTATTGTTAAGGTATGGGCAGAAGATGTAGACTCTGGAGTCAACGCGGAAGTATCCTATTCATTTTTTGATGCCTCAGAAAATATTCGAACAACCTTTCAAATCAATCCTTTTTCTGGGGAAATCTTTCTCAGAGAATTGCTTGATTATGAGTTAGTAAATTCTTACAAAATAAATATACAGGCAATGGACGGTGGAGGCCTTTCTGCAAGATGTAGGGTTTTAGTGGAAGTATTGGACACCAATGACAATCCCCCTGAACTGATCGTATCATCATTTTCCAACTCTGTTGCTGAGAATTCTCCTGAGACGCCGCTGGCTGTTTTTAAGATTAATGACAGAGACTCTGGAGAAAATGGAAAGATGGTTTGCTACATTCAAGAGAATCTGCCATTCCTACTAAAACCTTCTGTGGAGAATTTTTACATCCTAATTACAGAAGGCGCGCTGGACAGAGAGATCAGAGCCGAGTACAACATCACTATCACCGTCACTGACTTGGGGACACCCAGGCTGAAAACCGAGCACAACATAACGGTCCTGGTCTCCGACGTCAATGACAACGCCCCCGCCTTCACCCAAACCTCCTACACCCTGTTCGTCCGCGAGAACAACAGCCCCGCCCTGCACATCGGCAGCGTCAGCGCCACAGACAGAGACTCGGGCACCAACGCCCAGGTCACCTACTCGCTGCTGCCGCCCCAAGACCCGCACCTGCCCCTCGCCTCCCTGGTCTCCATCAACGCGGACAACGGCCACCTGTTCGCCCTCAGGTCGCTGGACTACGAGGCCCTGCAGGCTTTCGAGTTCCGCGTGGGCGCCACAGACCGCGGCTCCCCCGCGCTGAGCAGAGAGGCGCTGGTGCGCGTGCTGGTGCTGGACGCCAACGACAACTCGCCCTTCGTGCTGTACCCGCTGCAGAACGGCTCCGCGCCCTGCACCGAGCTGGTGCCCCGGGCGGCCGAGCCGGGCTACCTGGTGACCAAGGTGGTGGCGGTGGACGGCGACTCGGGCCAGAACGCCTGGCTGTCGTACCAGCTGCTCAAGGCCACGGAGCCCGGGCTGTTCGGTGTGTGGGCGCACAATGGGGAGGTGCGCACCGCCAGGCTGCTGAGCGAGCGCGACGCAGCCAAGCACAGGCTCGTGGTGCTTGTCAAGGACAATGGCGAGCCTCCTCGCTCGGCCACCGCCACGCTGCACTTGCTCCTGGTGGACGGCTTCTCCCAGCCCTACCTGCCTCTCCCGGAGGCGGCCCCGGCCCAGGCCCAGGCCGAGGCCGACTTGCTCACCGTCTACCTGGTGGTGGCGTTGGCCTCGGTGTCTTCGCTCTTCCTCCTCTCGGTGCTCCTGTTCGTGGCGGTGCGGCTGTGCAGGAGGAGCAGGGCGGCCTCGGTGGGTCGCTGCTCGGTGCCCGAGGGTCCTTTTCCAGGGCATCTGGTGGACGTGAGGGGCGCTGAGACCCTGTCCCAGAGCTACCAGTATGAGGTGTGTCTGACGGGAGGCCCCGGGACCAGTGAGTTCAAGTTCTTGAAACCAGTTATTTCGGATATTCAGGCACAGGGCCCTGGGAGGAAGGGTGAAGAAAATTCCACCTTCCGAAATAGCTTTGGATTTAATATTCAGTAAAGTCTGTTTTTAGTTTCATATACTTTTGGTGTGTTACATAGCCATGTTTCTATTAGTTTACTTTTAAATCTCAAATTTAAGTTATTATGCAACTTCAAGCATTATTTTCAAGTAGTATACCCCTGTGGTTTTACAATGTTTCATCATTTTTTTGCATTAATAACAACTGGGTTTAATTTAATGAGTATTTTTTTCTAAATGATAGTGTTAAGGTTTTAATTCTTTCCAACTGCCCAAGGAATTAATTACTATTATATCTCATTACAGAAATCTGAGGTTTTGATTCATTTCAGAGCTTGCATCTCATGATTCTAATCACTTCTGTCTATAGTGTACTTGCTCTATTTAAGAAGGCATATCTACATTTCCAAACTCATTCTAACATTCTATATATTCGTGTTTGAAAACCATGTCATTTATTTCTACATCATGTATTTAAAAAGAAATATTTCTCTACTACTATGCTCATGACAAAATGAAACAAAGCATATTGTGAGCAATACTGAACATCAATAATACCCTTAGTTTATATACTTATTATTTTATCTTTAAGCATGCTACTTTTACTTGGCCAATATTTTCTTATGTTAACTTTTGCTGATGTATAAAACAGACTATGCCTTATAATTGAAATAAAATTATAATCTGCCTGAAAATGAATAAAAATAAAACATTTTGAAATGTGTGGTTGAGATTGCTGGAGATATTCATTTATATGTTGCAAATTTATTTTAAATACCAAATTTTTAATAAGCAAGAGGAACTAAAGGTTAGAATGAAAAACAAGTTTCATCAGTTTTTTTATATTACTATATATAAAATATATACTATATATAACTAACATTTTATAGTTTTTTAAGTTAGCTGTTCTGCCAGTCCCTTACCACAGTGTGGTTTCTTCTTGAATTGATCTCAATATTTATAAATAATATGTTTATAATACTATATCTTGATATTGTTTTGTATTTGAACCATTTCTTTCTATAATAGAAAAGCATTTTAGCTTTATTTCCAAACTAACAAACATATGCAAACATTGCAAATTCTTTTTCTCCTATTCTCCAATATAGATGTCACAGTTTCTTAGTTAAATTAGTGGTTATTATCTATATTGTTACATGCTTCAGAATATGCATTTGTATACTGTACTAGAATTACATTTCCATACTTGAAAAGTATGGTTCCTAGAGTTCGTAATTGTTATTTCATACTTGCATTATTTTCTATGTACCTCTATTGTTTTTTTCCATATCTTTCATTTGAATGTATTTTCTCCTTAAAAATATTCCAATTTTTAAGATACTCTGTCAATGACATTTATTTTCAGGAGCTCTTTCATCGTGAGTTTCCTGTTTCATTTAGACTGGTTAATCTATAGACTGTTACCCTGGGACTTTTTCCCTTCAATACTTTCCTGTATGAGTCTACTTTTCCAAGGTCCAGTATACTCTTTTTTCTAGTTTACTCTCTTATTCAGCTGGCACGCATCTCTCAAGACCTTCATATAAACGAATGCAGAAGAGATTTTTAAAAAATTGTCTCCTTACATTGTGAAGACATCTTTTTTGTTTGTTTTCATTTGCTTGATAGTTTGACTGGGTATAAAATTCTAGTTTGAAAATAATTTTCCCTCAAATTTTGAAAGCTGAAGCTGTCTCTTTTACTCATTGCATGTCGAGTTTCTTCAGAAGACTGACTTGATTTTGATTCCATCTCTCTTTGTGTCCTTCTCTCTTACCTCCTTTCCTGGAAGCATTGAAAAACTTTTTCCTGGTAATCTGAAAAGACCTTAATACAGGCATTTTATTTATTAATCTGGCCATGCAGGCATACCCTGTTAACATATAGACTCTTACTGTAAGTTCTGAGAAATTTTCTTGTTATGTTTTAGTAATAATTTATCCATTGAGTTTTCTACAGTCTCACTTTAACCAGAATCTCATTAAATATTGCACCTCCTGTGTTGATTTTCTGAGACTCTAAATTATAATTTTTTTCTTCTTTTCCATCTCTTGTTCTACTTATTAGACAATTTATTTAATCATCCAATCTCCATATTTAAGTTTTTCTTTTTGGATAGCAAATATTTATTTTTAAGAGCTCTTGGTTTTTCATAACATCCTATTACAAATTTGCAAATGTAAATCTTCTTTCATCTATAATTAATCTATTTATTCTTTAAAAATGCATTATATAGTAAGAGTTATTATTATACCTATTTTAAACTTGCAAGTGAATCAAAGGGAAGTTAAGAATTTGCCTAAGGCTATATAGCTAGTAAGGGGCACTTAAGCCCTAAGCTATTCTTTGTCTTCCAGGTATAAATACGTACTTGATAGGGTTACTGTTAACATCAACTAGGTAAATCCATATGAGGCACTAGAATAATGAACTTAGAATAAGTCAATAAGTGTTAGCTCTTATTACATTTTGTTTCTCTGGGGATACTAATCAGACATTTTAAAAGGCTTTCTTTTGTTTTCTGAATTATATCTATTCCCTCCTGTTGCTTTTTGTGCTTGGCGGTAGTATTACAGTTTTGGCTTTTCTATTTCATGTTGTAGGCATTTTCTCAAATGTCTTGTTATCTTTGACTGTCTTATTATATATATGAATGGTGACACAGCAAATGCTGACAGTCAACACTTCATGAGTATTGATGACAGGGCTTCACTCTAATGTAACCATGCTAGGATAGAGCTACTACCTTGGGAAACCCCCACATATCAGTACATGTAAGTCTTTATCTGCGCCTTTCATATTCCCCAGGATAGAATTCTACAATATTCAATGTTTTGGGTGCGATGGGGAAGATGTCAGGCATATATCTTGTGTCCTACAATCTGAGAGTATCATGGCTAGGAGTCTCACAATACAGAAGGCAGTGTTTTGCCTAATCTCCCTATCTTTAGTTTCATACCTCCTACTTTCACTCAGCTCTGCCTGGGGTTTCCAAGACTGGAGATAGTATAATTTCTCCAGAATATAATCTAATTTCTCCAGAGTATAAGCTTTCCATTCTCTGGCTCTCAGTTATTTTCTTGTCTCTGTATGATGGTGAAAAGACCAGAGAATTCAACTATCCTACATACATACTTTCAACTAATAACTTCTTTTTTAAGCCCTTACTTGACTTCAGCCTTCTTATACACCTGGTTCCTCCAAGTCTGGTACCTACTAGGATTGTGTAGGGAAAACCCAGTAGTTTATTTTTAGTATCTCCAATGAAGGAACTTTATTTTAGACATTTCTTGGAACTATTGTCAATTGCTCTTTCATCTGCTTTCTATCATCAAATAATTTGTGTATTTACTTATGTATTCTTAGTCTTTGTGAATTCATACCTTTTATTACTTTTCTGTCATTTTAGAGAGGGGTTAAGAAGAAGGAAGGATAATTGTATAGTCAATCCACATACTATTCAATTTCTACTCTTCTGCACTGATAATTTTTCAACCATGTATCTAGTTCACATTTTTGTGAATGTAATTTGAAATTAGAATTTTTAAAAGCAGACTTCTTAGATGTCCTCCATTATTGAGAGTACTTTGAGATGTCTAACAGTGGATACCATTGGTAGTTTCCAAGCACCTATTCCAACTATCTCCCTCATTATGCCATGCACTTTGGCTAGGACTGAAACCACCTCAAGTTTAAGGGGCAATCTCTGCCTGGATTAAAACAAAGGGTCAAAGATGGAGTCTTTAGATTCTGGGACTATAATCTCTACCTTTAATCCTATACATCTTGAGACACTGATTTCTTCAGTAACAGGCTGAAGTGCTCTCAGTTGGTCTAATCAGAATGAAGGCTAAGATTTTGTTCTATTATTGAGGAAGAAAATATCTCTCATTCTGTCTTCTTGAGCTGAAAAACAAAGCAGATAGCCATAGATGTTGCTGGAATAAATCTTGGGAAACTGAGGGAGGGCAGTCTTAGAAATAAGCCTGCTTTAAATGAAACTAACATGCTTGTGCTTGTGTATTTATTATTTTTTGAGAAGCTGGAACTAAATCAAGGATTCTCATAATGTGTTCTACTCCCAATATCTTACTTTACTTTCTAGCAGTTCACAATTCCTTGCTACCAAGGAAATCTATATAAATGCCTTCTTGTGCTATCATAACTATCAAAGTATGTCCCATCTCATGGTTAATCCAGTTTCATATCCTCTGAGAGGACTTCTAAAATGACCCATGTATAGTTTGCCTTTTCATTACCACCTAAGGAAAGTCAAGTAGTGATAGAATTTTGTACAGCTTAAAAATATTATGGTTGTTTTATGTTTCCAGTCTTCTCAGAAAGATTACAAACCACTGGGAGCCAGGAATCACATCTTGTATTTCTGTATTCACCACAACTAAGCACGTTTGGTTGTATGGAGAAGGGGGAAAGATAAATGCTTTAAGATGAATATTAACAGCATATCAAACTAAAGAGAATATGAAATAATTATTACAGAACGTGCAATATATTTGTAATCACTTGAACACAATGAATAAAACAATATTTGTTTCCGGAGGACATATAAGTGAATGGAATTTAGGTAGCTTTCACCAAACTGTGAAAATCTATGGAGACACTTGGTGGCGCTGCAGGATAACATCGTGAAAAATATATTCACTGGATGGCGTTGTGAACACTGATATCCAGTGCACACAGAGAATCAGAAGACAGAAACAACAAGCCTTCAAGAGGGTGACCTGGAAACCATTCAACAGGGTTAAAATCCTTAGACCACAGAGGATTTGGTGGACAAGTCAGAGACGCGTTCCGCAGAGCTGAAGCCTTTCTTCAAGAAGCCTACAAGAAAGGAACTATGGAGAACCAAGGGACACGCACTCAGCAGATAAGGCAAGTCCTGCTTCTCTTTGTTTTGCTCGGAATGTCTCAGGCGGGCTCTGAAACCTGGAGCTTTTCTGTGGCAGAAGAAATGCAGAGCGGGAGTTTTGTAGGCAATCTGGCAAAGGACCTGGGGCTGAAGGTGAGAGAACTGTCCTCACGGGGGGCTCGGGTGGTCTCTAATGATAAGAAACAGCGTTTGCAGCTGGACATAAACACTGGGGATTTGCTCTTAAGTGAAACACTAGACAGGGAGGAGCTCTGCGGTTCCATCGAGCCTTGCGTGCTACATTTGCAGGTGTTAATGCAAAACCCCACGCAGTTTTTACAAATTGAGCTTCAGGTCAGGGATATAAATGATCACTCTCCCATCTTCTCGGAAAAACAAATGCTCCTAGAAATCCCAGAGAACAGTCCCGTTGGTGCTGTGTTCTTACTAGAAAGTGCGAAGGATTTAGATGTAGGAATCAATGCTGTAAAAAGCTACACAATAAGCCCCAACTCTCATTTTCACATTAAAATGAGAGTCATTCCAGACAATAGGAAATACCCCGAGTTAGTTCTGGACAAGGCGCTGGATTATGAAGAGCTCCCGGAGCTCAGTTTCATCCTCTCTGCTCTGGATGGTGGGTCCCCTCCCAGGTCTGGAACTGCCTTGGTCAGGGTGGTGGTTGTGGACATTAATGACAACTCCCCTGAATTTGAGCAGGCTTTTTATGAGGTGAAGATTCGGGAGAATAGCATCCTTGGCTCGCTGATTTTGATTGTCTCAGCTTGGGATTTAGACTCTGGAACAAATGGTGAAATATGCTATACCTTTTCCCATGCCTCAGAAGATATTCGCAAGACATTTGAAATTAATCAAAAGTCTGGAGAAATTACTTTAAGAGCACCTCTGGATTTTGAAACGATTGAGTCATACTCAATAATCATTCAAGCCACAGATGGGGGAGGACTTTTTGGAAAATCTACAGTCATAATTCACGTGATAGATGTAAATGACAATGCTCCTGAAATCACTGTGTCATCAATTACCAGTCCAATCCCAGAAAATACGCCAGAGACCGTGGTTATGGTTTTTAGTATCCAAGATATAGACTCTGGGGACAACGGAAGAATTGTTTGTTCCATTCCGGAAGACCTCCCATTCGTGCTAAAATCTTCAGTTGAGAATTACTACACGTTGGAAACAGAGAGACCACTGGACAGAGAGAGCACAGCCGAGTACAATATCACCATCACCGTCACCGACTTGGGGATACCCAGGCTGAAAACCGAGCACAACACAACTGTGTTGGTCTCTGACGTCAATGACAACGCCCCCACCTTCACCCAAACCTCCTACACCCTGTTCGTCCGCGAGAACAACAGCCCCGCCCTGCACATCGGCAGTGTCAGCGCTACAGACAGAGACTCAGGCACCAACGCCCAGGTCAACTACTCGCTACTCCCGCCCCAGGACCTGCACCTGCCCCTCGCCTCCCTGGTCTCCATCAACACAGACAACGGCCACCTGTTCGCCCTCAGGTCGCTGGACTACGAGGCCCTGCAGGCTTTCGACTTCCGCGTGGGCGCCACAGACCGCGGCTCCCCGGCTTTGAGCAGCGAGGCGCTGGTGCGCGTGCTGGTGCTGGACGCCAACGACAACTCGCCCTTCGTGCTGTACCCGCTGCAGAACGGCTCCGCGCCCTGCACCGAGCTGGTGCCCCGGGCGGCCGAGCCGGGCTACCTGGTGACCAAGGTGGTGGCGGTGGACGGCGACTCGGGCCAGAACGCCTGGCTGTCGTACCAGCTGCTCAAGGCCACGGAGCCCGGGCTATTCGGCGTGTGGGCGCACAATGGCGAGGTGCGCACCGCCAGGCTGCTGAGCGAGCGCGACGCGGCCAAGCACAGGCTGGTGGTGCTGGTCAAGGACAATGGCGAGCCTCCGCGCTCGGCCACCGCCACGCTGCAAGTGCTCCTGGTGGACGGCTTCTCCCAGCCCTACCTGCCGCTCCCTGAGGCGGCACCGGCCCAGGCCCAGGCCGACTCGCTCACCGTCTACTTGGTGGTGGCGTTGGCCTCGGTGTCTTCGCTCTTCCTCTTCTCGGTGCTCCTGTTCGTGGCGGTGCGGCTGTGCAGGAGGAGCAGGGCGGCCTCGGTGGGAAGCTGCTCGGTGCCTAAGGGCCCCTTTCCAGGGCATCTGGTGGACGTGAGCGGCACCGGGACCCTTTCCCAGAGCTACCAGTACGAGGTGTGTCTGACGGGAGGTTCCGAGACAAATGAATTCAAGTTCCTAAAACCGGTTATCCCTAATATCCAGGCAAAAGGTCTTGGGAAGAATAGTGAAGAAAACTCCACCTTTCGAAATAGCTTTGGATTTAATTTTTAGTAAGAATGCTATTTACATTTGCATGTACTTTTTTAGTTTTATGTAACCATATCAATATTATTTAGTCTTAAACTAGTTACGTTATTATGCAATACGACTAATTGTATTTTTAATTTTTTCTTTTCTCCCCCAATTTTTTTTTTTTTTTTGAGACCGAGTCTCATTCTGTCGCCCTGGCTGGAGTGCAATGGTGTGATCTCAGCTCACTGCACCCTCCGCCTCTCGGGTTCAAGCAATTCTCCTGCATCAGCCTCCCGAGTAGCTGGCATTACAGGCGCCCACCACCACGCTCGGCTAAATTTTTTTTTTTTTTATCTTTAGTAGAGACGGGGTTTCACCACGTTGGCCGGGCAGGTTTTAAACTCTTGACCTCATGTTCCACCCGCCACGGCCTCCCAAAGTGCTGTGATTACCGGTGTGAGCCACTGCGCCCGGCCTTTTTTTTTTCTTTTCTTTTCTTTTTTTTGATACAGAGTCTTAGTCACCCAGACTAGAGGTCAGTGGCAGGATCTCAGCTCACTGCAACCTCTGCCTCCTGGGCTCAAGAGACCAGCCCACCTCCGCCTCCAAGTAGCTGGGACTACAGGCGTGCGCCACCATGCCCGGCTACTTCTTGTATTTTTTGTAGAGACGGATCGTCACCATATTTCTTAGGCTGGCCTTTAACTTCTGAGCTCAAGAGATGCACTCCCCTCAGCCTCCCAAAGTGCTGGGATTACAGGCGGCCAGGCCTATTTTCAATTTTCAAGTATTGCATATCATTGTGAATAACATTGTAAATCCTTTTTATATTAAGTAACAGGTAGTTAATCCATTTCTAATGAATAATTTTAAGGTTTTAATCCTTTCCAAGTGTACAATAATTTACTGATTATTATTTCTTATTCTAGAAAACTGACTTTGATTTTTCTCTTAGGTTGTTTTGTTTTGTTTTGTTTTTTGAGACGATGTTTCACTCTTGTCGCCCAGGCTGGTGTGCAATGGCGTGATCTCGGCTCACTGCAGTCTCTGCCTCCCGGGTTCTCCTGCCTCAGCCTCCCGAGTAGCTGGGATTACAGGTGCACCACCACACCCAGCTAATTTTGCATTTTTAGTAGAGACGGGGTTTCACCATGTTGGTCAGGCTGGTCTCTAACTCTTGATATCAGTGATCCGCCCGCCTCAGCCTCCCAAAAAGCTGGGATTACAGGCGTGAGCCACCGTGCCCAGGCTCCCCTAGTATTTTTCACTGTCTGCATCCTATGATCCTAACCACCTGTGTATTGTAGTTTCTTCATGGGAGAAGTCATATCTGCCCTTCCAACCTTATTCTAACATTCTATTTATTCATTTAAAAAGCCACATCATCTAGTTCTAAATCACAGCATTTAAAGAGAAACATTTCATTATTAATGTGCTCATGGTAAATTAAATATTATTTTGTGATCAATATTATACTTCAATACTAACTTTGTGCTTGTATTATTTTCTTAAATATACTACACTTACTTGGCTAATATTTTTAATGCTTTTGTGTGTGTATATATATATATAGAGAGAGAGAGAGATCATGGCTTATAATCCAAACAAAATGTAATAAACTGCATGAAAATAAATAGGAATATTAAAACATTTTGATAATTTTGGGATGAGGATATTGGTGGACTGTTGGAAAGATATTCACTTTTCCTTTTATTTTGTAAATTTATTTCATTATTTTCAAATGTAAAAATCAAGATGAACTAAAGGTTGAAAGAAAAACAAGGCCTGCCTCAGTGGCTTGGCTGGGTGGGTTAGATCACACCTGTAATCTCAGCACTTTGGAAGGCTGAGGCGGGCGGGTCACCTGAGGTTGGGAGTTCAAGACCAGCCTGGCCAACACAGTGAAACCCCATCTACACTAAAAAATACAAGAAGTAGCTGGGTGTGGTGGTGCGTGCCTATAATCCCAGCTACTCAGGAGGCTGAGACAGGAGAATCACTTGAACCCAGGAGGCAGAGGTTGCAGTGAGCCAAGATCTTGCCACTGCACTCCAGCCTGGGTGACAGAGCGATACTCCGTCTCAAAAAAAAAAAAAAAAAAAAAAAAAAGAAAGAAAGAAAAGAAAAGAACAGAACAATATTTTCTTTAATTTCCAGTCTCCTTCTATTGAGTGGCTTCTTCTAGAATTACCTCAATACTTCTAAATGATATGTTTTTGCTGTTAAATCTTGCTACTCCATTTTACATTTTAATCACTTCTTGCTATGTATTTTTTAAAAAAGATTTAACTTTCTTTTCAACTAATGTAAACCAATATAAGCACTGCACATTCCCTTTCTCCTATTCTCCCAATAAAATTGTTACAGTTTTTTTTTTCTTTTTGACAGAGTCTTACTCTGTCGCCCAGGTTGGAGTACAGTGGTGTGATCTCAGCTCACTGTAACCTCTGCTTCCCAGGTTCAAGTGATTCTCCTGCCTCAGCCTCCTGAATAGCTGGGATTACAGGCACCCACCACCACACCTGGCTAGTTTTGTAGCTTTAGTAGAGATGGGGTTTCACCATGTTGGCCAGGCTTGTCTTGAACTCCTGACCCCAGCTGATCCTCCTGCCTCAGCCTCCCAAAGTGTTGAGATTACAGGCGTGAGCCACAGTGCCCAGCCTACAGTTTTTTTTAAGTTAAACTAATAGTGTCCATATTGCTAAGCTTTCTTCAAAATACACATTAGTGTAGTGTGATTAAATTTCCTTTCTTGAGAAACATTTTTCCTAGAACTGAAAATTGTTTTGTACTTACATAATTTTCCATTTACTAATATTAGTTTCTTTACATTCTCTAATTTGAATCTCTTTCTTCTCAAAATATTCAAATATATCAGATACCTGTCAATTATGTTTATTTCTTGGTGATCTTGCACCCAGATCTCTACTTCATTCATACTGGTTGCTCTATAGGCTGTCACCCTAGGACTTTAAAAAATATTTTTCTTTGTTGGTCCTTTTTTATAAGATCCAGTACATTCTTCTTTCTTAGTTTACTCACTTATTTTGTTGATGCACATCTCTCAGTACCTTCATAAAAATGGATACAGAGGAAATAAAACTTTTTGAGAGCTTGCTTTGTTATTTTCTTTTTTTTTATTTGATTGATAGTTTGGGCATAACATTCTAGGTTGAAAATAATTTTCCCTCAGATTTCAAAAGCACTGCTCCTTTTATTGACTGCATATAGAATTGCTGTTCAGAAGACTGATTCCATTCTGATTCCTATGTCTTTTTATGTGATTCCCCCCCTTTTTTTCTTTCTTTCTGTGAGCATTGAAAAAAATTCCCCTGGTCTTCTGAAAATACCTTAGTACTGGCTCTTTATTGATTAATCTGGTTATATCGCTATGCCCTGTTCATGTTTAACTTTTCTTTTTTTTTTAAGATGATGTCTCACTGTGTTACCCAGGCTGGAGTGCAGTGGCTATTCACAGGCACAATCACAGCACCCTGCAAGCTCTAACTCGAGAGCTACTTCTGCCTCAGCCTTCCAAGTTGCTGGGACTACAGGCATGTGCTAGACCCCTTGGCTAATGTTCAGACTATCAATTTTATTTCTGAGAAATTTTGGTTGGGCATGGTGACTCACACCTGCAATCCCAGTACTTTGGGAAGCTGAGGCAGGATTATTTGAGGCCCCGAGTTTGAGACCACCCTGGGCAACATAGTGGGAACCTATCTCTACACAAAAACAATTTGTTAAAAGGAATTTCCTTGGTATGTTTTACTCATAATTTCTCCTCTGAGTTTTCTGGATTCTCACTTCAATGAAAATCTCAGTTAAATATTAGACCTCCTAGATTGACTCTATAAGACTATAAGCCATTTTTCCTTTCTTATTTTCTCTTTGCCTCTCATTCCATTTTTTGGACAATTTATTTAATCACTCAATGTTTTATGTATAAGTTTTTCTTTATGACTGAAAAATATTTACTTTTAAGAGTTGTTTTTGGTTCTCTGAATGTTTTTCATGGCATCCTGTCATAGATTTATAAATGTAATATTTTCTCTCATTTATAATTAATCTTTTCTTTAAAAATGCATTAGGCAGTATCATTATTATATATCCATTTTAAAAGTGAAAGTGAGTCTAAGGGGAGTTAAGAACTTGTCCAAGGTAATATAGCTAGTAAAAAGCACTGAAGTCCTAATCTAGTCTTCATCTTACAATAGGAATATGTACTTCATATAGTTACTATTTAGATTAAGTGGATAAATACATACTTCATACAGCTACTATTTAGATTAAATGGATAAATGCATTATGAGGCACTTAGAACAATGAGTAGCATAGAGTAAATACTAAATAAGTATTAGCTTTTATTAGATTTTCTTTCTCTGGGAATATTAACCAGACATTTTCAAAGGCTTTCTTCTGCTTTCTATATTATTGTTCCTTTTTTTTTTCTTGATGGTAGCGATGGTGGTAGTTTTGGTCTTTCTATGTTATGTTGCAGGCATTTCCTCAAATGCCTTGGCTATCTTCTCGTATTTTAGAAGGATGATATATCAAAATGCTGACAATCAACTCTGTGAGCGAACAGTACCTGTTGATGGCAGGGCTTCATTCTAATATAACCATGCTAGGATAAGTCTATTACCTTATGAGATGCCAAATATTAATATGTGTCTTCATTTGGGCTTTCATATTCTCCAGGTTAGAATTCTACAATATACACTATGGGGATAGACTAGGGGTCAGGCATACACTTTGTGTCCTACAGTCTAAGAGTATTGCATGAAAAGGGATTAGAAGTCTCACCATGCAAAATGCAAAGGTTTGCTTACTCTCCCTATTTTCAGTTTGACACCTCACACTTGTGCTCAGCTGTGCCTAGATCCCCAAGACTAGAGAAAGTCCCATTAAATTTCTCCAGAGAATAAACTTTCTATTTTCTGGCTGTGAGTTATGTTTCCATCTATGTAGGGTGATGAGAAGAACAGAGAATTCAATTATCCTCTACACATACTTCCAACTAATAACTTTTTTCCATCCTTAACTGACTTCAGTCTTCTTAAACATCTGGTTCCTCCAGATCTTGCGCTTAAAAGAGATTATGTTTCTTGTGAGTATCTTCAATGCAGGAACTTTACTTTAGGGGCACTTTTTGGAACTGCTAAGTTAATTGCTCTTCCACCTGCTTTCTGTCATAGAAAAATGTATGTGTTCACTTGTGTATTCTTAATCTTTGTTAGTTCCTACCATTTTAATTACTTTTCTGCCATTTTAGTGCATATTTTTTTTTAAAAAGAGAGGTTAATTGTGTGTGCTCAATTCATCTACTTTTCAAGTTTTACCCTTCTGTACCAATTACTATTTCAACCATGTATCCAGCTTACATTTTTAAGAATATTAATTGAATTTAACATTTTAAAATGCAGACTTGTTGGATTCTTCTCCCATCCATTCTTAGTGCACTTTAAGACTTTCTATAGTGAATATCACTGATGAGCCCTTAGCATCTGTTGCAAACAGTCTCCCTCATTTTGTACCAATGAGGTACTTTGGCTAGGACTGAAACCTTCCCAAGCTTAAGAGGTGGTCCCAGACAGGATTAAAACACAGTAATGGCCAGAGACAGGTCTTTAGATTCTAGGACTAAAATCTCCAACTATAATTCTATACCTCTTGAAACAATGATTGCTTCAGTGGCAGACACATGATCTTACTTGGTCTAATTAGAGTGAAAGTTAGGTTTTTGTTCTATGTTTAGGGATAGACTCTTACTTTCTCTTCCTGGGCTGAAAGAGAAAACAGATAGCTACAGTTGTGGCTACAATAAATTTTGGGAACCTAAGGCAAGTCAGCTTTAGGAATAAGAGTCTGCTTTAAATTAAACTAACTTGCTCATGCTTGTGTACTTATGAATTTTTTTGTAAATTATGAAAAACTGGAACTAAATGATGGGTTTACATAACATGTTCCACCCCAATCTCTTGCTTCATTTTCTGCCTGTTCACAATTCATTGCTATTAAGGAAATCTACAGAAGTGCCTTTTTATGCTGTTGTGTTGACCTATATATGCCTCATCTCATGGTTAATCCAGTTTCATAACTTCAGAAAGGATTTCTGAGATGACCTTTCCTTTACCTTATCACGTAAGGAAAGCCAAGTAGTAATAGAATTTCATTCAGCTTAACAATCACTTATACCCTGCTTGTTTCAGGCTTACAATTGTCTCAGAAACACTATGAATTCCTGGGAGCCAGGGATCACATCTTGTATCTGTGTTTACCACAACTGAACACATTTGGTTGTGAGAAGAGTGGGGAAAGACACTGAATAAATGCTTTAAAACAAAATCATCATCACAAACTATAAAGAATATAAAACGATTATTATGGAAGATAAAATATATTTTTAATTACTTCAACAGAAGGAATTATTTAAACGCAATATTTATTTGCTTCTGGAGGACATTTATGTAAATAAAATTTAGGTAGTGTTCATCAAACTGTGAAAATCTGTGGAGACGCGTGGTGGCGCTGCAGGATAATATCAAGAAAAAAATTACCCTGGAGGATGTTGTAGACCCTGTTATCCAGTACACGCGGAGAACTGGGAAGACAGAAAGAACAATCCTTTAAGGGAGAACCTAGAAGCCATTCAACAAGGTTAAAATCTTCAGGCTTCCGAGGATTTGGTAGACAGATCAGAGGCACGTTTCCCACAACTGCGAAGAGGCGCTGAGGCAATTCTGCAAGAAGATTTTGGGGTTTTGGAAAAGAAGCTATGGAAAACGGAGGGGCAGGCACTCTGCAGATAAGGCAAGTCCTGCTTTTCTTTGTTTTGCTGGGAATGTCTCAGGCGGGCTCTGAAACTGGGAACTTTTTGGTGATGGAGGAATTGCAGAGCGGGAGCTTTGTAGGAAATTTGGCAAAGACCCTGGGACTCGAGGTGAGTGAGCTGTCTTCGCGGGGGGCTCGGGTGGTTTCTAATGATAACAAAGAGTGTTTGCAGCTGGACACAAACACTGGGGATTTGCTCCTGAGAGAAATGCTAGACAGGGAGGAGCTCTGTGGCTCCAATGAGCCTTGTGTGCTGTATTTCCAAGTGTTAATGAAAAACCCCACGCAGTTTTTACAAATTGAGCTCCAGGTCAGGGATATAAATGATCACTCTCCCGTCTTCTTGGAAAAAGAAATGCTCTTAGAAATCCCAGAGAACAGTCCTGTTGGTGCTGTGTTCTTGCTTGAAAGTGCAAAGGATTTAGATGTAGGAATCAATGCTGTAAAAAGCTACACAATAAATCCGAACTCTCATTTCCACGTTAAAATAAGAGTCAATCCAGACAATAGGAAATACCCTGAGTTAGTTCTGGACAAGGCGCTGGATTATGAAGAGCGCCCGGAGCTCAGTTTCATCCTCACTGCTCTGGATGGCGGGTCCCCTCCCAGGTCTGGAACTGCCTTGGTCAGGGTGGTGGTTGTAGATATTAATGACAACTCCCCTGAGTTTGAGCAGGCTTTTTATGAGGTGAAGATTCTGGAGAATAGCATCCTTGGCTCCCTGGTTGTGACCGTCTCAGCCTGGGATTTAGACTCTGGAACAAACAGTGAACTATCCTATACCTTTTCCCATGCCTCAGAAGATATTCGCAAGACATTTGAAATTAATCAAAAGTCTGGTGACATTACTTTAACAGCACCTTTGGATTTTGAAGCAATTGAGTCATACTCAATAATCATTCAAGCCACAGATGGGGGAGGACTTTTTGGAAAATCTACAGTCAGAATTCAGGTGATGGATGTAAACGACAACGCTCCTGAAATCACTGTGTCATCAATTACCAGTCCAATCCCAGAAAACACTCCAGAGACTGTGGTTATGGTTTTCAGGATACGAGACAGAGACTCTGGGGACAACGGAAAGATGGTTTGTTCTATCCCGGAGGACATCCCATTCGTGCTAAAATCTTCGGTAAATAATTACTACACTTTGGAAACAGAGAGACCGCTGGACAGAGAGAGCAGAGCCGAGTACAACATCACCATCACCGTCACCGACTTGGGGACCCCCAGGCTAAAAACCGAGCACAACATAACCGTGCTGGTCTCCGACGTCAATGACAACGCCCCCGCCTTCACCCAAACTTCCTACGCCCTGTTCGTCCGCGAGAACAACAGCCCCGCCCTGCACATCGGCAGCATCAGCGCCACAGACAGAGACTCGGGCACCAACGCCCAGGTCAACTACTCGCTGCTGCCGTCCCAGGACCCGCACCTGCCCCTCGCCTCCCTGGTCTCCATCAACGCGGACAACGGCCACCTGTTTGCCCTCAGGTCGCTGGACTACGAGGCCCTGCAGGGGTTCCAGTTCCGCGTGGGCGCCACAGACCACGGCTCCCCGGCTTTGAGCAGCGAGGCGCTGGTGCGCGTGCTGGTGCTGGACGCCAACGACAACTCGCCCTTCGTGCTGTACCCGCTGCAGAACGGCTCCGCGCCCTGCACCGAGCTGGTGCCCTGGGCGGCCGAGCCGGGCTACCTGGTGACCAAGGTGGTGGCGGTGGACGGTGACTCGGGCCAGAACGCCTGGCTGTCGTACCAGCTGCTCAAGGCCACGGAGCCCGGGCTATTCGGCGTGTGGGCGCACAATGGCGAGGTGCGCACCGCCAGGCTGCTGAGCGAGCGCGACGCGGCCAAGCACAGGCTGGTGGTGCTGGTCAAGGACAATGGCGAGCCTCCGCGCTCGGCCACCGCCACGCTGCACGTGCTCCTGGTGGACGGCTTCTCCCAGCCCTACCTGCCTCTCCCGGAGGCGGCCCCGGCCCAGGCCCAGGCCGACTCGCTCACTGTCTACCTGGTGGTGGCGTTGGCCTCAGTGTCGTCGCTCTTCCTCTTCTCGGTGCTCCTGTTCGTGGCGGTGCGGCTGTGCAGGAGGAGCAGGGCGGCCCCGGTCGGTCGCTGCTCGGTGCCTGAGGGCCCCTTTCCAGGACATCTGGTGGACGTGAGTGGCACCGGGACCCTGTCCCAGAGCTACCACTATGAGGTGTGTGTGACTGGAGGCTCCAGGTCAAATAAGTTCAAATTTCTGAAACCAATTATCCCCAACTTCCTACCCCAGAGCACAGGTAGTGAAGTCGAAGAAAATCCCCCATTTCAGAATAATTTGGGTTTCTGATAAAGAATGAAAAATAAAACCTGTGTTTATGAATACATTTATAATTAGGAACTTATCGTGAGGTGCCTGTAAAGTAGTATTTTTGATCACTTCAAATACATACTCTTCAAGTCAAGAAATAAATTTCTTTACATAGAAAAGGATACAGATTTAGTACCAAGAACACTTCACAAAGCAGGAAATGTGCATGTGTAATGGTTTATGTCAAACAATTATGCTTAATATAAAGTCTATTAAGTGGTAAGTCTTGTTTGAGATATTTTAAATTGCTTTCCATTGTTTTCAATATTTACTGTGACTTTTGTTTTCTGAGTTGATTAGAATGCTGTTCGAGTATACCTACCCTAGTTTCAGAAGCATAGATTGTAGTGTACCTTTTTAAACTTTATTTTTTTAAAAAAAGTTGTTTTATGAATCATACACTATTTTCACACTTTTAATCTCAGAAGAAACATATGTGACATGGTATTTTAGTAATGACCAAATAGACGGTCTTAGAGATTCAGTAAGTTCACTAAGGTCCACTAACTAATAAGTGACAAAACTGAGCATCCATCCTAGATCTGCCTGACTCTAAGTCAGTGACTTTGCTCCCATTCCATACTGTTTTTGTCATTGGATATCACCTGGCAAGTTTCTGCCTAACTAAAGAGAAGAAAAGTTTTTATCGTATTCATACTACTGTTCAATCTTTATTTAGAAATAAACTTTATCTATGATTTCATTTTCTTATAAACCAGTAATCTTGCTTTTCTGGGTAAATTTTCAGCTATTATTACTAATGCTCTGATCTGCCCAAATCTTAAGTAAAAAACAAAATTGAAAGAGCAACCTATGCCTTCTCATTGTCTCCTGAACATATAACTATCATTTCACAGAAAAGATTAATGGTCCTGATTAGGAATAGTACATAATTTTGATGGCATTATTAGTTAATTATTTTCTTTACATTGTAGTATATTTCCAGAGTCACCCATGCTTACATTTGTAATATATTTTCCTGATTTGAGAGTTTGTTTTTAGCAGTTTTTCTTACCTATACTGCACTGCTGAATCAGGAAAATTTAAGAAAAAGAATAGATTTAAATGTGTAATATCAAAGAGAAATATAGATGATCATTAAATTTTTAGAAATTTTGGGGAGTTAAGGAGAAGCATTGTTTGTTAAAAATATATAACCGATTCTTATATTTAAAATAGGTAATTTTTGCATAGTTGTGTTCTAAATATATTATAAACTAGTGCCAGTAACTCTAATAAAGCTAGTATTACTGCATATCACTGGTGGGATAGAATCTAAGGACAAAAACTCACAGTAGTAAAATCTAAAATTGCTTTCATGGTCTCAGGGTAAAATTATCCAATTTCTCTGACAAATAAATGGCTCAAAAAATAAGAGGAGTGAAGTTTACACAAGGAAAAATCTTAAGAGGTCTACCACTCAAATACAATGTGTGGATCTTTTTTGGATCTTGATTGAAACAACAGCAATGACTTTGAAAAACTTGGAAGAATTTGAATATAGATGGGTATTAAATAATGTTAACTTGATTTTTAGGTATGATAATGGCATTGTACTTAAGCATATTTTTAGAGTCATTTAAAGTCATGATGCTTTTAAAGAAATGTATAATGACGTATTTGTGGGAGAAAATTCAGTTTGTCTGGGATGTGAAAATGTTGAAGGGATAGAGTCAAGAATTATGGCAAAACATTGATAATAGTTGAAGCTAGTACTGAGTCCTTGGAGGATCATTATACTCCTCTCTTTTATGAGATTTGAAAAATTTCAAAATAATGTCTTTTAATTGATGCTGTTAGAAGTGGAGGTAATAAAAAAGGACATCCTTCCCAGAAACAAAATCACCACTGCTGTTACAGATATTGTCTCTATTTAGACAAACTCTCCAGCCTTTCCTTGTTCATTTCCTTTCATTATTGGACATAACCTCTCTACCTGAGATAGTCATGCTCCTGTATTCTTCTACCATTTGAATTTCGAGGTGTTTATCTAGTTATAGTAATGGATTTATGCTAGACTTATGATGGATTTATGCCATCAAGACTCAGTTACTTGATGGCATCAAATTGCTTTATACTTGGTATATACCTTATTTTTAAGGTTAATATCTATTTGCATTAGATTCCTCATGTTTAAGGTGGGGAATTCACAACAGCCCTATGTGGTAGGTACTGTTCTTATCCTCACTTTACAGAGGAGCAAACTAAAGCAGAGAGATTAAATAATTTGTTCGAGGTTCACAGCTACTAATTATTCCTATGGTTCATGGAAATAAAACTATAAAGATCTAAATGTTGTCCATGATAACTACAATTATATTTGAAATTCTTTTTGCCAAGCTAGACTATTACCTAAATATTTCCTTTCTGCCCAAAACTCAGTTATCATTGTTGAAAGACTAATGTGATTTCTCCTTTGGGCAGTTGTCTGCTCACTAAAGTCCGGCGATATTAACGGTGGTGTTGTAACCTTACATAGTCTCGGGGTGCATACAGGCAGAGTTGGGAATATTACATCCATTATCATTCCACAAAATGTAAGATCCTGTGAGGACGCGTGGTGGCGCTGCAGGATAAGAAGGCACAAACCAGAACCGCAGCTGCAGCTCCATTAACCGGCAAAAAGCAGCAGAACCTGGAAGTCCACGGGGAGCTTGGATGCCAAAGGGAGGACGGCTGGGTCCTCTGGAGAGGACTACTCACTGGCATATTTCTGAGGTATCTGTAGAATAACCACAGCCTCAGATACTGGGGACTTTACAGTCCCACAGAACCGTCCTCCCAGGAAGCTGAATCCAGCAAGAACAATGGAGGCCAGCGGGAAGCTCATTTGCAGACAAAGGCAAGTCCTTTTTTCCTTTCTCCTTTTGGGCTTATCTCTGGCGGGCGCGGCGGAACCTAGAAGCTATTCTGTGGTGGAGGAAACTGAGGGCAGCTCCTTTGTCACCAATTTAGCAAAGGACCTGGGTCTGGAGCAGAGGGAATTCTCCAGGCGGGGGGTTAGGGTTGTTTCCAGAGGGAACAAACTACATTTGCAGCTCAATCAGGAGACCGCGGATTTGTTGCTAAATGAGAAATTGGACCGTGAGGATCTGTGCGGTCACACAGAGCCCTGTGTGCTACGTTTCCAAGTGTTGCTAGAGAGTCCCTTCGAGTTTTTTCAAGCTGAGCTGCAAGTAATAGACATAAACGACCACTCTCCAGTATTTCTGGACAAACAAATGTTGGTGAAAGTATCAGAGAGCAGTCCTCCTGGGACTACGTTTCCTCTGAAGAATGCCGAAGACTTAGATGTAGGCCAAAACAATATTGAGAACTATATAATCAGCCCCAACTCCTATTTTCGGGTCCTCACCCGCAAACGCAGTGATGGCAGGAAATACCCAGAGCTGGTGCTGGACAAAGCGCTGGACCGAGAGGAAGAAGCTGAGCTCAGGTTAACACTCACAGCACTGGATGGTGGCTCTCCGCCCAGATCTGGCACTGCTCAGGTCTACATCGAAGTCCTGGATGTCAACGATAATGCCCCTGAATTTGAGCAGCCTTTCTATAGAGTGCAGATCTCTGAGGACAGTCCGGTAGGCTTCCTGGTTGTGAAGGTCTCTGCCACGGATGTAGACACAGGAGTCAACGGAGAGATTTCCTATTCACTTTTCCAAGCTTCAGAAGAGATTGGCAAAACCTTTAAGATCAATCCCTTGACAGGAGAAATTGAACTAAAAAAACAACTCGATTTCGAAAAACTTCAGTCCTATGAAGTCAATATTGAGGCAAGAGATGCTGGAACCTTTTCTGGAAAATGCACCGTTCTGATTCAAGTGATAGATGTGAACGACCATGCCCCAGAAGTTACCATGTCTGCATTTACCAGCCCAATACCTGAGAACGCGCCTGAAACTGTGGTTGCACTTTTCAGTGTTTCAGATCTTGATTCAGGAGAAAATGGGAAAATTAGTTGCTCCATTCAGGAGGATCTACCCTTCCTCCTGAAATCCGCGGAAAACTTTTACACCCTACTAACGGAGAGACCACTAGACAGAGAAAGCAGAGCGGAATACAACATCACTATCACTGTCACTGACTTGGGGACCCCTATGCTGATAACACAGCTCAATATGACCGTGCTGATCGCCGATGTCAATGACAACGCTCCCGCCTTCACCCAAACCTCCTACACCCTGTTCGTCCGCGAGAACAACAGCCCCGCCCTGCACATCCGCAGCGTCAGCGCTACAGACAGAGACTCAGGCACCAACGCCCAGGTCACCTACTCGCTGCTGCCGCCCCAGGACCCGCACCTGCCCCTCACATCCCTGGTCTCCATCAACGCGGACAACGGCCACCTGTTCGCCCTCAGGTCTCTGGACTACGAGGCCCTGCAGGGGTTCCAGTTCCGCGTGGGCGCTTCAGACCACGGCTCCCCGGCGCTGAGCAGCGAGGCGCTGGTGCGCGTGGTGGTGCTGGACGCCAACGACAACTCGCCCTTCGTGCTGTACCCGCTGCAGAACGGCTCCGCGCCCTGCACCGAGCTGGTGCCCCGGGCGGCCGAGCCGGGCTACCTGGTGACCAAGGTGGTGGCGGTGGACGGCGACTCGGGCCAGAACGCCTGGCTGTCGTACCAGCTGCTCAAGGCCACGGAGCTCGGTCTGTTCGGCGTGTGGGCGCACAATGGCGAGGTGCGCACCGCCAGGCTGCTGAGCGAGCGCGACGCGGCCAAGCACAGGCTGGTGGTGCTGGTCAAGGACAATGGCGAGCCTCCGCGCTCGGCCACCGCCACGCTGCACGTGCTCCTGGTGGACGGCTTCTCCCAGCCCTACCTGCCTCTCCCGGAGGCGGCCCCGACCCAGGCCCAGGCCGACTTGCTCACCGTCTACCTGGTGGTGGCGTTGGCCTCGGTGTCTTCGCTCTTCCTCTTTTCGGTGCTCCTGTTCGTGGCGGTGCGGCTGTGTAGGAGGAGCAGGGCGGCCTCGGTGGGTCGCTGCTTGGTGCCCGAGGGCCCCCTTCCAGGGCATCTTGTGGACATGAGCGGCACCAGGACCCTATCCCAGAGCTACCAGTATGAGGTGTGTCTGGCAGGAGGCTCAGGGACCAATGAGTTCAAGTTCCTGAAGCCGATTATCCCCAACTTCCCTCCCCAGTGCCCTGGGAAAGAAATACAAGGAAATTCTACCTTCCCCAATAACTTTGGGTTCAATATTCAGTGACCATAGTTGACTTTTACATTCCATAGGTATTTTATTTTGTGGCATTTCCATGCCAATGTTTATTTCCCCCAATTTGTGTGTATGTAATATTGTACGGATTTACTCTTGATTTTTCTCATGTTCTTTCTCCCTTTGTTTTAAAGTGAACATTTACCTTTATTCCTGGTTCTTAAAAGGTGACAATTCATTCTTTAACCCAGATGGTCTTAATTTGTAATTAATTTGCCTCCCTAAAGAGCAATACCAAATCACATTTTTTTCATGCCCCTATCTTTAGCTGAACTTCACCCACTATTATGCTTATGGTAAAATTAAATAGAGCAATTTGGAAGTGATTCCAATTTTCCAGCATTTCTTCATTTGATTCTCTTTTTTTAGTCTTAAAATAATGACTCCTATTCAGACATATCATTTTTCTTTTTTGTAAATCCAGTGCGTTTTTAGTTAACCTTTAAATATGCTTTTTGCTTTCAAAAATAAACCAGAAAACCTATATCCTATGATACAACTCTAAGTGTTATCACTTGATTCGAAAGGGTCAGAAGACCAGTTTTTTAGTATCCTTTCCTCATTCATCCTGGAGAGGATTGTGCAGGCACATTAATATTGTGACCAATCACAGAATCTGGGAATATGAAGCTATAATTTTTTAATTAATGTCACAAAGCTCTAGTGCAATCTAGTTGAATGCAGATGCCTGTGCCCAAATAATAATTCATATAGCATAAATTGGAGTTGTGTGTTAATGTGTAAAAATTTTTGCCTGTACTATCATATAATTTAATGTATATACACCAGAAACTATTTTTCAAACTTTTTTTACTGCAACCAATAGTTAAGATTATATTTTACATATTTTGAAACACACAAGCTTAATAGAAATAAATGCTTGTGAACAATGCTTAGTCTTTTTATGACATAATTTGAAATTACCTATATATTTCATTCTATTCAATTTTCAAATGTGGTCATGATCCACTAAATTTATTTCATGGTATACTAGTGGGTAGTAACCCAAAGTTTGAAAACCACTTTTCTCAGACATATAAAAGCATACCAGATGTTGAACATTGATAGTATCAAAAGATAGTCCCTTAGGGTTCTAATTTTAAAAAAATTTTCAAAGCATTGTAGGGGAGTAGCTTTGTCTCATGTTAAATCACTCTTACCTTTAAGGATCTGACACACTATGTAAGAAAAAGACTTCAAGGTTGGAGGAGGAGATTTTCCATGACTTTTATCAAAGTCTACAGTCTATGTTGTGGGAGAAAAATGTAGAATAACAAAATGAGTAAAAGTATAGAGGCAAAACAAGCATGTGTATGAGAGAGAGAGAGAAAGCATGGAAAAGAGGAAATTCATGGGGATGAGCAAAATGACTACTTCCAGTGCCACAGACTAGACTCAGTTGCTTCTCTTATGTTATTTTTTGAGACAAGGTCCTGTTCTGTCACCCAGGCTGGAGTGCAGTGGTGTGATCTCCACTCACTGTGATCTCCACTCACTGCAACCTCCACCTCCTGGGCTCAAGTGATCCTCCCACCTCAGCCTCCCTAGTACCCAGGACTACAGGCCCAGGCCACCACACCCACTAATTTTTGCATATTTAGTAGAGACGAGGTTTCATCATATTGCCCAGACTGGTCTCGAATTCCTGAGCTCAAGCAGTCTGCCTGCCTCAGCCTCCCAAAGTGCTATGATTACAGGTATGAGCACCTGGCCTCAACTACTTCTTGAAGATATTTTAAAACTTTATCTTAACATTGTAGAGGGACTGGGTATTAGTCAGTTGATAATGCCAAGAAGTGCAATCTCTTTTAATAGCATATCTAAGACAACCTAATGTTTATACTTCTGACTCAGATTTCACTACTGGTTCTGTTGAGCTTTGTCAACTGAGTAATTATTCTTTTCTTTTTTCTTTCTTTGTTTATGTTTTAGAGACAGGGTCTTAGTCACCTAGGCTGGAGTGCAGTGGTGCAATCATAGCTCACTGAAGCCTTGACCTCCTGGGCTCAAGCAATCCTCCTGACGCAGCATCCCAAGTAGCCGGGACCACAGGCACATGCCACCCCCCACAGCTATTTTTGTTTGTTTGTTTGTTTTTTGTTTTGTTTTGTTTTTGAGGCAGAGTCTCACTCTGTCACCCAGGCTGGAGTGCAGTGGCGCGATCTCGGCTCACTGCAAGCTCCGCCTCCTGGGTTCCCGCCATTCTCCTGCCTCAGTCTCCCGAGTAGCACCCCCAGCTATTTTAAAAAAAATTTTTGTAGAGATGGGTTCTCATCATGTCGCCCAGGCTGTTGAACTTCTGGCCTCCAAAGGTGGGAGTTATTCTAGCAGCTTCCCTGTGATCTTCTCATATCTACTGGTGGAGTGGGAAAGAGTAGTTCAAACAACTCAGACAGAAAATCTCGCTGGTGCAACAGTGGAGAGAAGGGCCAAGTACTTGTCCTGTTACTTCCAGTTTTTCTAGATATATGAGCAGCAGGACTCCTCTCTTTATAAAAAGAACTATGAGTTTCCTGGCTCTAATGAAGAGTGACCAGGCATTCAGGAGCTCAAATGCCCAGATACATATAACCAACCAATTCTCCTAGAATGCATTGCTAAAAACGAATTTTGCTTATATGCTTCAAAGACCTCATTTATAGTTATACTTAAAACAGTGCATAGGAATCAAGCTGTATCAGCCAATTTTATATGAAAGAACTATAGGTTGTAAGTAACTTAGAATATAATTTTTTATCTAGCGGGGGTTAAAGGACACTTAGAAAATAGAGACACAAGAGATGGCCCAGCCTTACAGAATGGATTCTCCTGAAAACGCTTACAATAAAAACCAAATAACAGTATTTTTTTTTTATTTAGGCAATAGTATGGGAGGGAAAAGGGACATAGGACATTTTATCTTACAAACACATTGTTCTCTTTATCTTTCTGTTTCAAGTTCTACCACCACTCCTGGGTCCACTGATTAATCTAACAACATGGCCTCTCAGTCCCTAAGTCTTTACCTCTACTCCTGTTTTTCAGTCATTAATGCCCTGGCTACATATTGTACTTTTTCCCCACCAAGAAACTGTTCTATGATATAATAATTTCAGCTATCTCCCTCTGAGTGCACAATTGTCTATGCCTATAACCTTCTCATTCTGCTGTTTCTATCACATCTTGTCTTTGACCTTATCAGAGCTCCATTCCATGGTGCTGTTACTACCTATCAAACGCTCCTGTTTTAATTTCCTTCCTATTCAGCTGATTTCCTGGTTTACCACTCCCAGTTGCTCTCATGCCCATATTCTCAATTCCCTTGTTCAATTTTCCTTCACTAAAACCACCTGATGAAACTCCAGCCCAGATGAATATAGTCCTCCTCCTCTCTTACACATGGGGTGCTGCACTCTATAAGACCAAACTTACAAAATTAGCAATACCACTGCCACTATAAATGTATAATATTCAAACCTAATTGGGCTTCTGAGACCAAGAACTCCTTTTATAATTTTTCTAACGAGCTTTCTCTTCTACGCTCCACAACAACTATTTTAAACCTACGTATCTTACTTTAAACTTCTTACCCTACCACTTAGATACCCCCTTTTATCCGATGAACTTGCCTGATACCTTATTGAGAAAATAGAATCCATCAGCTAGAAATTCATTTTCCTGTCCCCTACTCCACAGCTTTAACAGCATCTGTATCTATACTTTTCACCTGCTGAGGTCCGTCCCACTGGTCTAAATCCAAACACTTCATACATTGCCTGGATCCCATCTTTAACAACCTTTCTAGGGGACTTGCATTATCCCTTCTGTATCTTAATTTTCTCCTTCCCTACTGAACATTACACATTGGCATTTTAAATATATTCAAGTTTCTCTAGTCTTTAAAATACTCTCTGAGTCTGAATTCTTCTCCAGATACCAATGTATTTCTTATTCCTTTTACAGCCTTTTCATTCTTTACAAATTTCTTGAGAGCCTGGATGCAGTGAGCCAGTGAGCCTGGGTGACAGACTGAGACCCTGTCTCAAAAAAAAAATTGTTGAAAGAGCGGTTTACCTCATTTTTGCTTCCTCATCCGCCTCACTTTGCACCGAAGTACAATCTAATTTTCATCACAACCATTCTACTGAAACTGCTATTGCAAATGTTATCAAAGATTTCCATATAAGTTAAGATTATACTGTGGAACCAATGTGATGCAATGACACAGTGGCTTGTAAACATGTCTCTCTTTTTCACATGACAGTACCAATGTAAAAATTATTAGGTAGGTAGGGCAGCTTTCATCCTCACAGTCCTTCTGAAACCAAATTTTCTTTCAAGTAATTTCTTCAACATTCCCTATGGCAATATAATCTGCATGGCTGTAGCTGGGTCACTGTCACATCTGGGTTCTAGCTCGCTTGGAAGAAAGAGGCATATCCAGATGATTTCTGTTCTATAACTGGAAGGGGAAGACAGAAATTCTGCTCACAATCCATCTGTGAGAACTTAATTCACTTGGCCACACTCAAATACAAGGGAGGCTGGGATGGGCAATCTACCTTCATGGCCACATACCTGGGCACAGTTCTATTACTATAGAAGCAAAGGAAAACAGATTTTGTCAGACATCTATCAGAATCCTCCACAATGACCATCTTTTTAAGCCCACTGGATAATTGTCATACTTATTTTTCTTGATTTTTCTGAAGCATTTGCAGCCATTGATCTTCCTTATCTCCTTAAAATGCTATTTGCTTTTGATTTCATGATTTTGAACTCTGAGCCTTCTTTATCTTTTCAAATATACTTCTTGCCCTGTCTCCTCTAAATGAAGATGTTTCTCAGAGTTCTGTGCCAAGCCTCTTTTATACTTATTTGACACACTTTTGCTTGGTTATCCTAGAGCATTCATGGTGTGTATATATATATATATATATATATATATGGTGATTGAAACCATGAATGCTATATATATATATATGCTATATATATGCTCTCTGTATATATGCTATATATATGCTCTCTCTCTATATATATGCTATATATATGCTCTCTCTCTCTGTCTCTCTCTGTCTCTCTCTATATATATACATATATACACACCACAGTTCATATTGCCAGCTCAGATTTATTTCCTATGCTTTGGTTATATGCAAACACACACACACACACCCCACCACCACGCAAACACACATCCTACAGGCACTTACCTCAATATCAGCATGTTCAAAACTGAACACTTCATCTTTTTCCACCCCAATCATGTTTTTTTTTAGCATTCCCTGTCCTAGTGAATGACACCACTAGTCATCCAGATGCCCAGTCCAGAGGTGTGATATCATCTCTGAGTCTTTCCCATTTTTCTCCCCATGCAACCTATCAACCAACAGTTGAAAACATTTCATCTCCTCATACCTTTCTATTCATCCCTCTTCTCTCCATCCACACTGGCATTATCCTCATCCAGATCATCATCTCTTATCTGATCTCCTTGATTCTCCAGTCACTCCCCCTGAAATTAATTCTCCATACTGCAGCCAAACTGATTTTTTAAAATGCAGATGTAATCATGTTAATCAGATATTTAAAACCCATCTTTGTACTTGAATTACCTTTAGGATAAATTCAAGAATGCATGATATGACCTGTATAATGATTCATGTTCTCACCATGCTTTTAACCCTAATTTCATTGTTAGACCCTCCCCTTCCATAGTTTTTAAAGTCCAAGGCATACTTCATTTCTCTGTGTTCCTCAAAATGCCCATCTGAAATATTCCTCCTTCTCCTGGCTAGTTCCTTCAGATCACAATGTATTTTTCATTACCTCAGGAAAGCTTTCACTGATGTCCCAAGTCCGACTTTGATCTTAATTATTTTATTTTTGACAGACACTTAACCAGCACTTACAAACCACTTTGTAAATATTAATTCATTAGATGCCTACGATAATAATCATAGGAGACAAATATTATTACCCCATTTTACAGGTGAGGAAACAAAGGTATCTATAACTTGCCCAAGCTTATAGATAGTAAGTCACATAACCAGGATTCTAATATTGATAATTTGGTTCCAGATCCCATATTCCCAAGCACTAAGGTATGCAGCCTCCTAGGTACAAGAAGTCTTTTCTAGGTATTTCTATATTACTTTTTATAAATGCATACATTATGACATACTTCGTTTACTTGTCTGCCAATTTTTCTAGCTTGTGAGCTCTGTAAGAGCAAGAATTATCTCTAACTTATTTGTGCCATGTCCTTCTTTATATTTTTAAAATATAAAAGTGAAAAAAGTAATGATATTACCAACTATAGCTGACAACAAGTATTTACAAGAGTGAAGGAGATAATATATTTGTAATTACTCGAGAAATGACTTAAATAAAAAATTATTTCTTCAGTTCAGAATATTTTAACAGATCCTTTAGTGCCGAGCATTCAAAACAGTGATAATGCAGTGTATGGACTTTTCTGGATTCAAATTCAAACAAACCAACAGCAAAGGACATTTTGGAGAGAACTGGGGAAAACCAAATGCAGTATAAATTACACCAAGGAATTATTGCTCAAGTTGTTGATTGTGAACGTTTTATTACAATTATCTTTTAGAAGGCCTTACCTATTAAAAATACTTAGTGAAGTATTTAAAGGAAAAAAAATGATGTCTGGGATTTGTTTCGAATGTTCCGGATGTATTTATGAATTACTTTTTCAAAGAGGAAAACTTTTTTAATGAAAAAAAAAACATGGAGACACATGGTGGCGCTACAGGATAAGACGAAAACAGTACATAGGCTGGCACGGTGAGCTTCGCTATTCAGGAGAACAGAAAGCATCCAACCCACTGAAAAGACAGGCATTAAAGGAGCTTCGCCTACAGAGCTGCTGGAGGATACACTCTCCAGGGGGTTCCTGTTAAAAACCAGAGCTTCAGCTTCCAAAATTACGGCTGAGCTTCAGTTTTTCCACAAGAGATTGCCTAAAGGAACCATGGAGATCAGAGGGGCACTCGATCTGCGAAAAAGGCAAGTTCTAATATTCCTTGTTTTGCTGGGATTGTCTCGGGCAGGTACTGAATCTGCACACTATTCTGTGGCAGAGGAAACAGAAATTGGCTCTTTTGTGGCTAATCTAGCGAGGGACCTAGGGCTGGGGGTGGAGGAGCTGTCTTCACGTGAAGCCCGGGTAGTGTCTGATGATAATAAAAAGTATTTGCACCTTGATTTGCTGACTGGGAATTTGCTCCTAAATGAGAAACTAGACCGAGACGAGCTGTGTGGCTCCACCGAGCCCTGTGTGCTGCATTTTCAGGTGGTTTTGGAAAACCCTTTACAGTTTTTTCGGTTTGAGCTGTGTGTCAAAGACATAAATGATCACTCCCCTACATTTCTAGACAAGGAAATACTTATTAAAATATCAGAAGGTACCACTGTTGGAGCTACCTTTCTAATGGAGAGTGCTCAAGATTTGGATGTCGGAAGCAACAGTCTCCAAAACTACACAATTAGCCCCAATTCTCACTTCTACATTAAAATTCCCGACAGTAGTGACAGAAAGATATACCCAGAGCTGGTCCTAGATAGAGCTTTAGATTATGAACAGGAAGCTGAACTCAGATTAACACTCACAGCAGTGGATGGTGGATCCCCGCCCAAGTCTGGGACAACTTTGGTTCTCATCAAGGTGTTGGACATCAATGATAATGCCCCTGAGTTTCCTCAGAGTCTCTATGAGGTGCAAGTCCCCGAGGACAGACCCCTTGGCTCCTGGATTGCCACCATCTCAGCTAAGGATCTGGATGCAGGAAACTATGGAAAAATATCTTACACATTTTTCCATGCATCAGAAGATATTCGTAAAACATTTGAAATTAATCCAATATCTGGGGAAGTTAATTTGAGATCACCCCTGGATTTTGAAGTAATACAGTCCTACACTATAAATATTCAGGCAACAGATGGTGGGGGTCTTTCAGGAAAATGCACCCTTCTAGTTAAAGTTATGGATATAAACGACAACCCACCAGAAGTGACCATATCGTCGATTACAAAGAGAATTCCAGAGAATGCCTCAGAGACCCTAGTAGCTCTTTTTAGTATCCTAGACCAAGACTCTGGAGACAATGGGAGGATGATTTGCTCTATTCAAGATAACCTCCCTTTTTTCCTGAAACCGACCTTCAAGAACTTTTTCACTCTAGTTTCTGAAAAAGCACTGGACAGAGAGAGCCAAGCCGAGTACAACATCACGATCACCGTCACAGACTTGGGGACACCCAGGCTGAAAACCGAGTACAACATAACCGTGCTGCTCTCTGACGTCAATGACAACGCCCCCACCTTCACCCAAACCTCCTACACCCTGTTCGTCCGCGAGAACAACAGCCCCGCCCTGCACATCGGCAGCGTCAGCGCCACAGACAGAGACTCAGGCACCAACGCCCAGGTCAACTACTCGCTGCTGCCGCCCCAGGACCGGCACCTGCCCCTCGCCTCCTTGGTCTCCATCAACGCGGACAATGGCCACCTGTTTGCCCTCAGGTCGCTGGACTACGAGGCCCTACAGGAGTTCGAGTTTCGCGTGGGCGCCACAGACCGCGGGTCCCCGGCGTTGAGCAGCGAGGCGCTGGTGCGCGTGCTGGTGCTGGACGCCAACGACAACTCGCCCTTCGTGCTGTACCCGCTGCAGAACGGCTCCGCGCCCTGCACCGAGCTGGTGCCCCGGGCGGCCGAGCCGGGCTACCTGGTGACCAAGGTGGTGGCGGTGGACGGCGACTCGGGCCAGAACGCCTGGCTGTCGTACCAGCTGCTCAAGGCCACGGAGCCCGGGCTGTTCGGCGTGTGGGCGCACAATGGCGAGGTGCGCACCGCCAGGCTGCTGAGCGAGCGCGACGCGGCCAAGCACAGGCTGGTGGTGCTGGTCAAGGACAATGGCGAGCCTCCTCGCTCGGCCACCGCCACGCTGCACGTGCTCCTGGTGGACGGCTTCTCCCAGCCCTACCTGCCGCTCCCTGAGGCGGCCCCGGCCCAGGCCCAGGCCGACTCCCTCACCGTCTACCTGGTGGTGGCATTGGCCTCGGTGTCGTCGCTCTTCCTCTTCTCGGTGCTCCTGTTCGTGGCGGTGCGGCTGTGCAGGAGGAGCAGGGCGGCCTCGGTGGGTCGCTGCTCGGTGCCCGAGGGTCCCTTTCCAGGGCATCTGGTGGACGTGAGCGGCACCGGGACCCTGTCCCAGAGCTACCAATACGAGGTGTGTCTGACAGGAGGTTCCGGGACAAATGAGTTCAAATTTCTGAAGCCGATTATCCCCAATTTTCAAGTTCATGACACTGGTAGGAATATGGGGGAAATCGAGAACTTTCGAAATAGCTTTGGACTTAACATTCAATAAAACAATTTATTTTAAATGTCTAATTTTTGGTTATTCTTGGCAAGCTGATGGTACTTTTTGCATAATCTTTTGTGGATTCTTGGTTGTACTGTAGTTGCATGCATGATTATAGCTCTTGTTTTTCTCACAGTTTCTTTAAAAATCTTTATTAGTGGCTATAATGACGTGGAAATGTAATCTGTGTTTTCTGGTTTTTCATTTATTTGGCCAAAATGTTATATTAATGGAGTTATTGCTATTTTTGCTGTGATAATGGTATTATGCAAGACCATATTCTCAATTATTTGGATATGCAAACTAAAGTATTAAGAGCTAATGTCATTATATATGTAACTTAAATCTAGACACCATCAAAGCATAAAATAAAAATAAAAAGCGTTGCTGAATCTGGGTCGAAAATGTAGTGCGTTTATCCCACTATTCTCTCTGAAAATGTTCTTTAGAAAGGGTAACAAAGATGCTATCCCTCCATTTTCAGTTCTGGAGAACCTTATTAGTTTTTCAAATATTTACTTTATGATGAAACTTAAGTGGTCACATTGGAAATTATTAATTTCTTAAGTAATTTTTTCTGTAACTGCTTTTGTTGATAATCCTGTTGTGGAGGAAGAGTCTTATAATGCTCTGGGCTTTGCTGTCACTCTTTGGTTTTCTTAATTTAATTCTATTTATTTATGTTTTTTGAGACAGGGTCTCATTCCATTGACCTGGCTGGAATGCAGTGGCACCATCATGGCTCACTGCCGCCTTGACTTCCTGGGTTCAGGTGATTCTCCTGCCTCAGCCTCCTGAGTAGCTGGATCACCAGCACAGGCCACTACGGCCTGGCTAATTCTTTTGTATTTTTTTTGTACAGATGGAATCTTGCCATGTTTCCCAGTCTGGTCTGGAACTCCTTGGCTCAAGCGATCTGCCCGCCTTAGCTAGTTTTTTGTTTTTGTTTTTTGAGACAAAGTCTCACTTTGTTGTCCAGGCTAGAGAGTAGTGGCAGGATCTTGGCTCACTGCAGCCTCGACATCCTGGGCTCAGGCAATCCTCCTGCTTCGGCCTATTAAATAGCTCAAACTACAGGCACCCGCCACGATGCCTAGCTAAATTTTTGTATATGTGGTAGAGATGGAGTTTTGCCATGTGGCCCAGGCTAGTCTCGAACTCCTGAACTCAAGTGATCCACCTGCTTTGGCCTCCCAACGTGCTAGGATTACAGGCATGAGCCATTACGTCTGGCCTAGTTTTCTTTAAATACACCGTGTTTACTAGCTTAAATTTTGTGTTGTTTATTACTAAAGCAGAAAATAATTTAGGGTCTTATCCTGGGTAAAATAGCCTTCCATCAGATGAGTACAAAGCAAGAACTTCATAAGAAATTGAAATGAAGATTCAAACTGTTAAAGAAATGATTTAGTTTCACTTTCCTATTAATTATTGAGTAAATATAAAACATCATTAACACTTTGTGGCCTCTCTCAGATGCCTACAAAGAAGGAATGGGTAGGCATTTATGGTTTATAGTTGCCTCATCATGTAACATATTATATCTCAGCTCTAAAAGAAAGTTCTATAGAAGATTATAGATAGAGATTTTGATAACTGGAATGTAGTATGGATATAGGGCTGGTGTACATATACATTTTGAAATTGCTCTTACAAGATTAAATACTATTATAGACCAGATGATGTAGTAAAATGGAATTTCACTTGCCATTGTGAAATAGGTGAAACAAATTCCAGTTTCCTTAGATTTCTTCCCTCTACTTTATGCAATTATCACTGATTTTATTTTTCGTTGTAACAAGTAGTTATTTGTTGTGTGGATTTCTTAAAATTGACATTTAAACAATAAAATCCTGAAAAGAATATTTGGGTCCCCTTTTTCCCTCAGAGTCATAAGAGGCAAAACTGTGCTCTTAAGTCACTGCTAATGTAAAAACTGAAGTAACTAAAAACTAAAGAAAGAGAGAAGAAAGACTAGAATAAGGTAGAAAAAAGTGAAATGGAAAGAGAAATAAAAGTGTATTTTTAACCTCAGTATTATCAATTATAAATGAAAATTTAAAATAGTATTGAAACTATAATGTTTCTAGAAATTAGGCTAACAAGTCAGAAAACCTTTGTGGAAAAGTGAATGATGTCAATAAAACATTAAATGAAATAATTAAATGTCTGAGTTAATTGAGACAGATGCTAGTTCCTTGATAGAACAACTTAATAAAGATCTATGCTTCCCAAAATAATTTATAAATTCAATGCAATTCCAGTGAAATCCATCATAAGTAGTTAAGGATCTAAAAATGGTTTCTAATATTAATATAGAAGAACAAGTTGCATGAAGAGCTAGGATAATTTTTAAAAAGAAAAATGAGGGAATGCCTTACATTATAGATATTAGTACATATTACAAATATGAAGTAAGTAAATCTATCTGAATGATTCAGGAACAGACTCATAGACTACCAGATAGAATAGAACCCAGGATCAGATCCTCTTATATAAGACAACTTGGTCACAGGAGGTATCGTAAAAACTGGGGTTGGTGGAGAAGAGAGATTATTTAGCAAACGTTATTGGGGAGATTGGCTCACTATATACAAAAACAAAATCCCTATCTCATGTCATATAAAAACAACCTTCATATGTATGTAATAGGTGAATTTGAAATATTTGAATTGGAAGAGATGAAATAAATCTAGGTAAAAATATTCATATCATCTTAGTTTGGGTTTGGATTTCTTAACAAGGCTTTAAAGCACAAAAAAGAAAAATACAAACTGATGAATATTACTGCCTCAAAATTAAAGGATAGCACAGACAAACTAACAGATGACAGTGAGAAGCCACCTGCAGTATTTTAACTGACAAGATTAATATTTACATTATTCAAATAACTCTTGCAAATCAACAACAACAAAGCCAGGAGAGACAATAGGATTTTTTAAGACAAAGGAAATGGAAATTCAAAAAAAGGGAAAACAGCCTGAAAATAGCTTTAAATGAAGTTCAACCCTTTTAGTTGGTGAAACATACACTAAAATTAGTAAAGATGAGAGATTTGGGTAATATCAAGTGGAATAATAGGAAATGACATGTACAGCCTATTTAGAGAGCTTTCTGATAGTATTTAGTAAAATTTAATATATATGTACTCTATAATTCAGCAATTCTATTGGAGTGTGTAAGCCAGAAAACTCTTAAAGAGCTTTACAAAATGATGTATATAAGAATATTCATCCTGGGAAAGTGAAGAATAGGACTCCACTTACATATCCATCAGTAAAGCAATTGATAAAATGTGTAACATGTTAGTGAAGGATTATTATGCAGTGATCAAAAGGAGTTAGCTAGACATGCAATCACATAAATAAATCTCAAATGTTTTAAAAGAAAAAAGACAAAGATTTATAGTATGGTGATATACACAATATCTTTTTTTTTTATTATACTTTAAGTTTTAGGGTACATGTGCACCTTGTGCAGGTTAGTTACATATGTATACATGTGCCATGCTGGTGCGCTGCACCCACTAACTCGTCAACTAGCATTAGGTATATCTCCCAATGCTATCCCTCCCCCCTCCCCCCACCCCACCACAGTCCCCAGAGTATGATATTCCCCTTCCTGTGTCCATGTGATCTCAATGTTCAATTCCCACCTATGAGTGAGAATATGCGGTGTTTGGTTTTTTGTTTTTGCGATAGTTTACTGAGAATGATGATTTCCAATTTCATCCATGTCCCTACAAAGGACATGAACTCATCATTTTTTATGGCTGCATAGTATTCCATGGTGTATATGTGCCACATTTTCTTAATCCAGTCTATCATTGTTGGACATTTGGGTTGGTTCCAAGTCTTTGCTATTGTGAATAATGCCTCAATAAACATACGTGTGCATGTGTCTTTATAGCAGCATGATTTATAGTCATTTGGGTATATACCCAGTAATGGGATGGCTGGGTCAAATGGTATTCTAGTTCTAGAACCCTGAGGAATCGCCACACTGACTTCCACAATGGTTGAACCAGTATACAGTCCCACCAACAGTGTAAAAGTGTTCCTATTTCTCCACATCCTCTCCAGCACCTGTTGTTTCCTGACTTTTTAATGATTGCCATTCTAACTGGTGTGAGATGGTATCTCATAGTGGTTTTGATTTGCATTTCTCTGATGGCCAGTGATGATGAGCATTTTTTCATCTGTTTTTTGGCTGCATAAATGTCTTCTTTTGAGAAGTGTCTGTTCATGTCCTTCGCCCACTTTTTGATGGGGTTGTTTGTTTTTTTCTTGTAAATTTGTTTGAGTTCATTGTAGATTCTGGATATTAGCCCTTTGTCAGATGAATAGGTTGCGAAAATTTTCTCCTTATTTATAGAAATATGCAAATATATAAATACACTTTATGAAGGGAGAGAAGAGAGAATATAGGAAAGCTATTTGTGCACATATAGGGGAATAAGGGGTATAGAAAGAAGTGAGAATGAATACCAATTAAATGGCAGTTGTCTCTTCCAAGAGATTGTTTCAATTCATTATGTCATTATAGAATTGATTTAGCATTGAACAGTTGAAGTTGTTTAAAAATACTATTATTTCTTAGCCTTCCAAAATAATCAGTTGCCCATAGAATATGAAAGCTAAGAGTTTACTTGTAATTTTGAGTTGCAACAATATCCCTGAGACTTTACATTTTTAATAAGGTTGGTAAAAATTATGTAGCACAATGATTTCACTGAAAACAATTAGCTATTAAGATATTAATATATTGTCAGGTTAAAGTTAATGGTAAAAGGAAACCCAGAGAGATAAGCAAGACCAAAATCTACTTTTTCCTTGGGAATCCTGGAAAACTTGAACCTCTATTAATAAGCATGGATCCCTAAGAGCCACACCCTTGGAGTGAGAGTAAACTGGAAATGGATGAACCCTTGTGGGGAATTTCAGCCTTGAACTTGATATTTAGCCTTAAACTTGATTTAAAGTGATCATTGACAGTTCTCCCAGGAACTGATAGAATCAAATGCAGATGTTTTATGAAATCTAACTTCTTTTTTTTTCGAGACAGAGTTTCGCTCTTGTTGCCCAGGCTGGAGTGCAATGGCACGATCTCTGCCCACTACAACCTCCACCTCCTGGATTTAAGAGATTCTCCTGCCTCAGCCTCCCTAGTAGCTGGGATTACAGGCATGCACCACCACGCCCGGCTTTTTTTTTTTTTTTTTTAAGTAGACATGGGGTTTCTCCATGTTGGTCAGGCTGGTCTTGAACTCCCTACCTCAGGTGATCCGCCTGCCTCAGCCTCCCAAAGTGCTGGGATTACAGGCGTGAGCCACCGCACCCAGTCAAAATCTGACTTCTTATAGTGAATGTGAATGTGACCTTACAGCTTTTTTTTTTTGAGACGGAGTCTCGCTCTGTCGCCCAGTTTCTGAATGTTTGAACGTTTATTCACTCTAAGCCTCAAATCATTCATACAACTAATTTTTTATGTTCTTAACATAAACAGTCAAAGATAAGTGCATACACAAGAGAACGTGACACTATGAGTGAGAGCCAGCAGAAAAAAGGAACATAAAAATAAACTTGCAAGCATTTCAAATATTGTAATTATCAGACACAGTCTACAATATGCTAGGCACTTTAATTGAAATAAAAGTTAAACCTGAAGGTGTACAGGGAAAAATACTATAAAATTTGACAGATTAGAAAACAAAATAGAACTCCTAGAAATGAAAAACTATAATAATCAAAATTTTAAACCAACTAGAAAATTTAATAGAAGATTAGATATAACTAAACAAATAATTACTGAAAAGAAAGATAGATGAGGATATAATTTATCCAATATGTAGGTCAGAAAGTTGATAAGATGAAAAATACAGAAGAGAATATTAGAAACAGAGGACAAAGTAAAAAAGTTTAACATATGTTTAACCAGAACAAGGAGATCAGAGAAAAATTGTATCAGAAGCAATAGTTAAAGAAATAATAATTTGAATTCTTCAGAATTGATGAAAACTTCAACAAGCAGATTTAAGAGACCTAAATAAACCTAACAGGATAAATTTAAAAAGATATCCATATCTAGAAACATATTGAAAGCTCAGAAAACCAAAGAAAAAGAGAAATCTTTTTTTTCAAAAGCCATGGGAAAAGGACATTGAACCCTGAAGCACATGACAGACTGACAGCTATGCTCCATGTTTCTCAACAGTAGCAATAGAAAAAAATAGAAAGTAAGATATCTTTAATGTACTGAAGGAAGTTGGCAAACATTTCTACCTAAATGGTCTTTGCATGTAAGAGTCATCAAATGAGAGCATGAACTCAACTTGATATCAGTTTAATTTTAAATTATTCCAGATGACAAGAAAGAAGTAGCATAAAGACATTTTATCTCTTAAATGTGACTTCTTATAGTTTTCCTCTTTGCCCATCCCTTGCAACAATTCTGGGTCCAAGAGTTTGACCTATCTCTGTTTCTAGCCTTCTTCATCTCTAATGACATTCACTTCTACTCTAGCTTAGTCACCTATAACCATGGCCTCTCTCTGGAGATGGTAATCTCTGAAAACTACATCAAGTCTGAAGTCACAAATTCAAATATACTTCTTTTAATCTGCAACTTATTATCTTTCCTGAAGAGCTTTAATCACCATTTATGCCAAATGTGACTCTATAGCCCAAACGTCTTTCCTCAACTGCATTTATGTAATAGAAGCTAATTTATATAACTGTCTATATGGATGCTCAAACTCATCCGTTTAAAATTAAAACTGTTCCCTTCCTCAAAACTAAATATACCTTCACCAACCAGCTCCATATCTATTCCTCTTTCTTCTGCTCTTCCTGTGTTTATCAGTTAATAGAACCAACAGTCACTCAGTTCCCTAAGCCTGAAGACAAAGTACATTTACCTTCATGCCTTTCTACCCCACTCCTTCTATGTTGATCACCACACCCCTATTGTTTTATCATTCTAATACAACCCCTTCACTGCATTTCTAGTTGAGGCCAATGTTTCCTCTTACTTGTATTATTGCAACCATTTGTAATCAATCTCTCACCTTTAATCTTATTCCTCTCTAATTTATTCTCAACTCTGAAACAGGATAATCTTTTTAAAAAGTAGAAACATAATCATGCCACTTTCCTGTTTTAATTATAATCCCTTTAATAACCCTGCATTTCTACTGGCATAAAGTCCAAATACTTTGACATAGTTAAAAAATATATGCTTATCTTTCCAATTTCAACTCTTACCACTTCTCTCCTCTTGCTCTATGTCTTAGCCATATTGATTTTATTTCCTCCAAATACTTCTCTTTATTTGCATTTGCACAATCTTGTTTTTAGTTTTCCTGAACAATTTTACCCCATACCCAATTTTTGTTTAAAGTACTCCTATTAATTTTTAATGTATCAACTTAGAGAATACTTTCTCCAGAAAAATCTGTCTTGTATTTCCAAATTCTGGTTAGATGACCATCATCTATGCCCTTGTAGTAGCATGAACTTCCTTTATCATGACATTCATTGTGCTCTATTTAAAATACATGGTCATTTTTCTGTCTCCCTCTTGCATGGCAGGAACTATGTCTGTTTACCATTCTATCCCTAACACTTATGACCATTCCTTGCACAAAGTATATTCTCAATAACTATCTGCTAAGCTAATTAATTAATAGATATATAAACATATTTAAAATTGTGCCTCTGGAAAGCCTGGGTCTGCAAATGATGAAATTCAGTTTCACAACTAAACTGAGGTCTAATTTGTTCACATTTTAAAAAATGTTTAACTGGACTTGCTTTTAGATTGAAAACCAGAAATGTTTTATTTTACTCACTACTTCTGAGCATTTATTTTCTACTCCTGCCAGCTAAGTCTCCTACTGAGTATCCCTAAATAAATCGTACCATTTATGCAGCTCAAAATGTCCAACCTTTCCAAAGCAACTGTTTTCATATACCAGGTTCATTTTCAAGTACATGATGTCATTCCTCTTTTCGAAGAGTAGTTGTGGAGAGAGCTAAGACCTCTAATTCTCATTTCCAATTTTACTAAAAATCTGTTGCCTACTAAGTCAATTACATGTAAGAGTATTCTTCACTATCTTTAGTTGTTTAATATATTGTCTTCACAGAGAGATCATAACTCGTTTGAGGCAGGGGCTACATCTTAAATATGCTTCTTATATCTACTACAGCTATAGCAGATTGTGGCTGATGATGGAAAGGTAATGGCATCACATATCACAAAAATGCAACTCGGAAAATAGGCATATAGAAGGAGCATATAATTTAAATTTATAGACAAACACACAAGAAAAATTAATATTTTGTCTGAAACGTATTGGAATTTATCTAAAACCTGAATATCTGCAGAGTCGCATGGTGGCGCTGCAGGATAAGACGGTGAAATTTTTGTAACCGCAGATGCTCTGGTTTTCCTTAACCATGGGAACTGAAAGCGCTGGAATACCAGGAGAAAATAGTCTTTCAAAAGGTAGGGCACCATCAACACCTTCGCGACAGGATTAAGAGTTTCTAGATTCCCAAAGGTCCAGGCTGATAGGTGAGAGGAGCAACTTTAAGAGCTGCTAGAGACTGAGTTGAAACGTTTACGCCAGAAAGACGTTTGGCTAAGGAGCTATGGAGCCGGGAAAGGGAAGAGCTCAGCGGACAAGGCAAGTGCTGCTTTTCTTTGTTTTCCTGGGAGGGTCTTTGGTGTGTTCTGAGACCGGGAGCTATTCCATAGCAGAGGAAATGGAGGTCGGTACCTTTATAGCCAACGTGGTGAAAGACATGGGTTTGGATGTGGAAGACCTGGCTGCAAGGGGGGGCCAGAGTCATCTTTGACGACTATAAACCTTATTTGCGATTGGATCCACAGAATGGCGACTTGCTCTTAAACGAGCAGCTGGACCGGGAGGCACTTTGTGATCTCACAGAGCCATGTATATTGCATTTCCAGGTGTTATTTGAAAATCCGTTGCAATTTTTTCGTGCTGAGCTTTTGGTCAAAGACATAAATGATCACACTCCCACGTTCCTAAACAATCATATGCTTCTAAAAATCTCCGAAGGTGCTACTCTAGGAACCTTATTCCAAATAGATAGTGCGCAGGACTTGGATGTGGGAAAGAATGGTGTTCAAAACTATACAATAAGTCCCAATCCCCATTTCCACCTTAAATTACGGGATAGCGATGAGGGCAGAAAATATCCAGAGTTGGTACTGGACCAATCCCTGGATCGAGAAAAGGTGTCTGAGTTTAGTTTAACGCTAACAGCCGTGGATGGCGGGTCTCCGCCCAGGTCTGGGACTACACTGATTAACGTTGTGGTCCTGGACATCAGTGACAATGCCCCTGAATTTGAGAAGCCAGTCTATGAAGTTCTTGTACCTGAGAGCAGCCCTCTGGACTCCTTGATCATCAAAGCGTCTGCTACAGATTTAGATGCAGGAATAAATGGAGAACTGTCTTATTCATTTTCCCACGTCTCCAGAGATGTACGGAAAACATTTGAAATCCATCCAATTTCTGGCGAAGTCTATTTAAAAGCCCCTCTAGATTTCGAGATTATTCAATCTTATATCATAAATATTCAGGCCATTGAAGGTGGGAGCCTTTCTGGAAAATCAAGCATTTTAGTTCGGGTTGTAGATGTGAATGACAACCCGCCAGAAATAGCCATGACATCTCTTACCAGCCCCATACCGGAAAACTCTTCACCTGAGATGGTGGTCGCTGTTTTCAGCATACGAGACCAAGACGCTGGAGACAATGGGAGAACAGTTTGCTCAATTCAGGACAACCTCCCCTTTGTCTTGAAGCCTACCTTCAAGAATTTTTACGCTCTGGTAACAGAGCACCCACTGGACAGAGAGGTCAGAAATGAATATAACATCACCATCACCGTGACCGACTTGGGGACACCCAGGCTGAAAACCGAGCACAACATAACCGTGCTGGTCTCCGACGTCAATGACAACGCCCCCATCTTCACCCAAACCTCCTACACCCTGTTCGTCCGCGAGAACAACAGCCCCGCCCTGCACATCGGCAGCGTCAGCGCTACAGACAGAGACTCAGGCACCAACGCCCAGGTCACCTACTCGCTGCTGCCGCCCCAGGACCCGCACCTGCCCCTCACCTCCCTGGTCTCCATCAACGCGGACAACGGCCACCTATTCGCCCTCAGGTCTTTGGACTACGAGGCCCTGCAGGAGTTCGGGTTTCGCGTGGGCGCCGCAGACCACGGCTCCCCGGCGCTGAGCAGCGAGGTGCTGGTGCGCGTGCTGGTGCTGGACGCCAACGACAACTCGCCCTTCGTGCTGTACCCGCTGCAGAACGGCTCGGCGCCCTGCACCGAGCTGGTACCTCGGGCGGCCGAGCCGGGCTACCTGGTGACCAAGGTGGTGGCGGTGGACGGCGACTCGGGCCAGAACGCCTGGCTGTCGTACCAGCTGCTCAAGGCCACGGAGCCCGGGCTGTTCGGCGTGTGGGCGCACAATGGCGAGGGGCGCACCGCCAGGCTGCTGAGCGAGCGCGACGCGGCCAAGCACAGGCTGGTGGTGCTGGTCAAGGACAATGGCGAGCCTCCGCGCTCGGCCACCGCCACGCTGCACGTGCTCCTGGTGGAGGGCTTCTCTCAGCCCTACCTGCCTCTCACGGAGGCTGCCCCCTCCCAGGCCCAGGCCGACTCCCTCACCGTCTACCTGGTGGTGGCGTTGGCCTCGGTGTCGTCGCTCTTCCTCTTCTCGGTGTTCCTGTTCGTGGCGGTGCGGCTGTGCAGGAGGAGCAGGGCGGCCTCGATGGGTCGCTGCTCGGTGCCCGAGTGTCCCTTTCCAGGGCATCTGGTAGACGTGAGCGGCACCGGGACCCTATCCCAGAGCTACCAGTACGAGGTGTGTCTGACGGGAGGCTCAGGGGCAAATGAGTTCAAGTTCCTGAAGCCGGTGATTCCCAATCTCCTGTCCCGCGACAGCGAAATGGAGAAAGCCCCACCTTTCTGAATGGCGTGGAATGCAATTAGGGATCTGATTATGATGCAGAACTTTTAGAATGAGTCTATTTCTTTGAAATCTTATTCATTGTTATGCAGAGTTTTTCATTTTGGGTAACTGCATTTTACTCAAGAGTTTTCAGAAGTTACAAGAATTTAAGTCTATTTTTTGTTGTTTTAACCGTGAAAAAATTGAGAGCCGGAATTTGCTTAGTCATTGTTTTGAAATACAACCTCAAATAATATATTCACAAACACATTATTTTCCCTTCAAGTTTAATCGCACACTGGGCTCATTCATATTTTCTGAGTGTTCTGACTGTGGATCCTCTATCCAAAGCAGTTTTTATATAATTGAGAATATTATTATAGAGGTAAATGCATGATATGAATAAAAACATAATTGCTTGTTATCTGGTTAGGTTGGTTTCTGAGATGTTATCTAATTTAGGTTTCTTTCTTAAAAACCTATAATCTTTTCATTCTACTTTTCTGGCAAACATTGCAGAGAATTTTTCCTGTACTTAGGGTTTTTTTTCCATAATTATTTGTGAACCATATATATGCTAGTAGAAGTTGTTTTATTTAAATAAATTCAAAACCTTGTTTGGATTAAGATGTATATATCCAGCTCATGCTCATTTCTTGTCTGAGAACTTCTCTATACTACCTAAGAGAGGTGATCACTAGTGTGATGCTTATTCCATTGCAGGCCTTCTTTTCTTACATACACACACACACACACACACACACACACACACACACACACCGTTTGTTTTTTTCGTTTTTTAAGAGATGAGGTCTTGCCATGTCACACGGGCTAGTCTTGAACTCCTGGCCTCCAGTGATCGTACCGCATCAGCTTCCCAAGTTGTTGGGATTACAGGCATGAGCCCTGATCATTTTTTATTGGTCCTGTGATAGATTCCTGATTTAAGCTGGAATAGCTACATTCTCCAAACCCCTAAATTTGTGATTGAGATATAGTTCATCTACTTTTTCCTCTTGAATAAGTGTTGAACGTGGGCTGAGGTAGCCATGTTTATAAGTTTCTAGATAGAGAGAAAAAGAGGGAGAGAAAATGGAAGGAAAGAGTAAAAGTGAAAAGGAATAAGAGTGGAGGAGGCAGAAGCCTAGAAAACAGTAGAGACTAAAACAGCTACTTAGTTCTAGACCTGTCCACCTAAGTACAGTTCCTCCTAAGTCTCCAATGTCTAATTGCCCTTGGGTTCTACAGTAAGACTCCATTGGTAATAGTAAAATTCCTTTGTTTAACCTATCTTGAAGGGGGATGTCTTGAAATCAAAAGAGACTTGAAAGGTATGTACAACCTTGAGTACTCAATTAGACTATCTACCATGAAACCCTGGTCTTTTATTGCATGCTTCTAATATTAACTTAATGAATGAAATACAGGATGTACAAGCCTAGAGATAACAAATCTATACTAGAGGCTTATGTAACAAAATTTAAATTTGTAAATAATTTATGAGGTCTTTCAACAGATAAATGCTACAAAGGGCTTTATGAAATGTCTCATTAACTTTACCTCCATTATTTTATATGTCCCATGATTACTTTTTAAATAATACTTTTTGTTTAAAAAATAATAATAACACTGAAATTGTAAGTTTTGGGTGTCTGTACCTTTTCTCAGGATCATCATACCCTCCTTAGCAGACTCGTTCTTTTAAAAATTACTTGCTAAGCTCAGTGTGAACAAAATTATTTTTGTCATGTAATGTAAAATATTCTTGCTCCATAAATAATCCCAATTTATCGATCATATGGATTGATTCATGATTTCAGTTATAGTAATAAATATTTAATTAATATCCTCTATTGCTAGAAAGCCTCACGAAAGAAATTTAAGTTTCTTCCAAGCCTAGGAGCTAAGATCTTAGAAAGAGGAAACTTTTTCCAAGAGATGAAAGATGGGAATGAAAAACTAACTTTGATTCATTGGGTTACTGACATAGGTACAAGCTTCTATCCCATTAATATTAAAAAATGCATAGACATTCAGGACACATTTTCTTGGACATGTAAATCCATAATAGTGAATTTGGACCCATGACCAAAATATTTCTATAAGGAAATTTGTCCATCAGATTTTGCCCATGACTGGCATATTTTGAAAGTTTAATTAATCGAACTTGTTTGTATAGAAGAAAACATTCTAAAGTAGAATGTTGATTTGAGTTATTTATGCCTTAAGAGAAACCAATATGAACCACAGTTCTTACACTTGGCTCATCCTTAGTTTTCTCAGTTAGCTAGATAATTAGAATGCCACAACACATAATAGTGTCTATTATTTAAACATTGTGAGTAAAACATTGGCTAAAGTTGGCACAGTTGGGAAGACCCCCAAGTCTCCTCCCCCAAAATGTTTTCTCTTTCCTCAGAAGTAAAAATTTCAGTTCCATGCTAGGGTTTCAGTATTCCAATGAATCCACAAGAGATACATAATTGCTTACTAAAAATGAGTTGAGATCTTCTCCAGTTGGGAATATGCTTAACCTGCTATTTCAGGTGAACTTAACATATTTTCTTCTGCATTTTACTTTTTACTTTAACTTCAGCCTTTATATCCATGATCTTGGCTGGCTCCCTCTTCAAGGTCTCAGTGACTCTCAGCTTCAACATGTGTGTATCTCAGTATTAACAATAGATGGTGATGCTCTTTATAAATTATTTTAGATACTGTAACAAGTCAACATAACAAGCTCACAGTCCTTAGGCAATATTCACAAATAAGTTATCCACAACTCTTAGGCTACCTATTGAGTTTGCATAATAAACCAGATTTAGCTAGTATATCACTTAAGTTTACACTCCTGAAATGTTAGAATGAATCTCTTCAACTACTGTGCTAGCACTCATTCGATCCATCAAAGAGAAGAGGCTTTCTTAACCGAAAATTGCGTTGCTGCAAGGATTGATTCCCAGAGCAGATTGCCTACCAACGCAACATAGGCATCCGGACCCTGAATGCTGTTGGTGTTGGAGAAATGGAGGCTGAAAAGGAGCACTTTCCTAGAATAAGGCAAGTGCTGCTTCTCTTTGTTATGCTGTCTCAGACTTGTGCGGAGTGGAATATACTGTGCGGAGTGGAATATACTGTAGCAGAAGAAACAGAAAGTGGTTCTTTTGTGGCCAATCTAACAAAGGACCCAGGGCTAGAAGTAAGAGTAATATACCAGTGGAGGCCTCGGGTCATTTTTAACAATAACAAAAAATATTTTCAGCTGAAACTTCAGACCGGAGACCTGCAAGTAAATGAGACATTGGACCGGGAAGAATTGTGTAGAATCACTGAGCCTTGTGTGCTGCAATTCCAAGTGTTACTGGAAGAACCTTTGGAGGTTTAAACTTTTGGTCAGTGACATAAACACAATTCCCCTGTATTCCCAGAAGCAGAAATTATTTTGAAATCATGGAAAATACTCCTCCAGGAACTGTGTTTCCTCTGAAAAATACACAAGATTTGGATGTGGCCATCAATAACATCCAAAACTACACCATCTACCCCTACTCCCATGTCCACGCTCTCACCCAAAATGGCAGTGAAGGCAGAAAATACCCAGAGCTGGTTCTGGACAAAGCCCTGGATCGGGAGGAGCAGGCTGAGATCAGGTTAACTCTCATGGCAGTAGATGGCGGGACTCCTCCCAGAACTGGGACTGCTCTGGTCCTCATTGAAATCTTGGACATCAATGACAATGCACCTGAGTTTGTGTAGCCACTCTATCAGGTGCAGATATCAGAAAACAGCCCCCTGGATTCCCTTGTTGCCACTGTTTCCGCTAGAGATTCAGACATGGGAATTAATGGTGAGATATTCTACTCATTTTTTATGGTGATGAAGAGATTTCTAAGACATTTGCACTTAATGAACGAAGGGGAGAAATTAAAATAATCAGAAAACTAGATTTTGAAAAAATTGTGTCATATCAGGTGGATATTAAAGCCTCTGATGGGGCAGGTCTTTCTGGAAAATGCACTGTCATAATACAGGTGGTAGATATCAACGATAACGCTCCGGAACTGACCATGGCTTCATTCACAAGCCCCATCCGCGAAAATTCTCCTGAGACCGTTGCAGCTCTTTTCAGCATTCAAGACCGCGATTCTGGGAAAAATGGAAGAATAGTTTGATCAATTCAAAATGATGTTCCGTTCATGCCGAAACCTTCCGTTGAGAATTTATACTGGCTGTTAACAGAAGGACCACTGGACAAAGAGATTAGAGCCGAGTACAACATCACCAACACAGCCACGGACTTGGGGACTCCTAGGCTGAAAACCGAGTACAACATAACGGTGCTGGTCTCCTACGTCAATGACAAAGCCCCCACCTTCACCTAAACCTCCTACACCCTGTTCGTCCGCGAGAACAACAGCCCCGCCCTGCATATTGGCAGCGTCAGCACCGCAGAGACTCGGGCACCAACATCCAGGTCACCTACTCGCTGCTGCCGCCCCGGAACCCGCACCTGCCCCTCGCCTCCCTGGTCTCCATCAACACAGACAACGGCCACCTGTTCGCCCTCAGGTCGCTGGACTACGAGGCCCTGCAGGAGTTCGAGTTCCGCGTGGGCGCTTCAGACCGCGGCTCCACGGCGCTGAGCAGCGAGGCGCTGGTGCGCGTGCTGGTGCTGGACGCCAACGACAGCTCACTCTTCGTGCTGTTCCCGCTGCAGAACGGCTCCGCGCCCTGCACCGAGCTGATGCCCCGGGCGGGCCGCCGAGCCGGGCTACCTGGTGACCAAGGTGGTGGCGGTGGACGGTGACTCGGGCCAGAACGCCTGGCTGTCGTAGCAGTTGCTCAAGGCCACGGAGCCAGGGCTGTTCGGCGTGTGGGCGCACAATGCACTGACAGGCTGCTGAGCGAGCGTGACACAGCCAAGCACAGGCTGATGGTCCTGGTCAAGGACAATGGCGAGCCTCCGCGCTCGGCCACCGCCACGCTGCACGTGCTCCTGGTGGATGGCTTCTCCCTGCCCTACTTGCCGTTCCCTGAAGCGGCCCCGGCCCAGGCCCAGGCCGACTTGCTCACCGTCTACCTGGTGGTGGCGTTGGCCTTGGTGTCGTCGTTCTTCCTCTTCTCGGTGCTCCTGTTCGTGGCGGTGCGGCTGTGCAGGAGGAGCAGGGAGGCCTCATTGGGTCGCTGCTCGGTGCCCGAGGACCCCTTTCCAGGCATCTGGTGGACGTGAGCGACACCAGGACCCTATCCCAGAGGTACAAGTATGAAGTGTTTCTGACGCGAGGCTCCGGGACAAATGAATTCAAATTCCTGAAGTCTGTTATCCCTAAGCATCCGGGCGCTGTGAATGATGGGAGGAAAAGTCCAACTTTGTAAATGGTTTTGGATTCAATTAAGAATCTGTAGATTTTTCAGAGCATTTAGGATAAAGGTTAGTCCTTTATCAATATATTAAGTCTCTGTTATGTTTTTTGTGCTATATGGATTTTCTAAGATTTTTGCTGATTTCATTTTCCTACTTAAGATTAGACATTTTCTTTGATTATTTGTTCATACTTGGTCTCCTTTTATCATGTCCATTTTGATGAATACAACTTTCAGGTTTACTCATTAATGAAAAGTAATATTTGTTCAATTTATCAACTTTTCAAAATCACAGGCTGTTGACTTGAAGACTCCAGCTCCATTCCGTTTCATTAAAGAAAGCTTTTCTAAACTTTTGATGCTTAGAAGACAGGAACGATGATATAGTGATTATTAGTACATATTCTATTGATTCTGTCTTATGCTTACCTGTCTTGAATTTTTAAATGGAGAAGCGTCTGCAAAAATTGCATCGTTTTATTTCACAATAGCTTGAAGTGGGAAAGACTACATTTTTCCCCAAACTTAAAGACTTTTCTGCTCTTTTTATAACCTTCACTCCATAACATATATGAGCATTATTATTACTATTATTGAGTCAGAGTTTCACTCTTGTCGCCCAGGCTGGAGTGCAATGGCGCGATCTGGGCTCACTGCAACCTCGCCTCCCCGGTTCAAGCGATTCTCCTGCCTCAGCCTCCCGAGTAGCTGGGATTACAGGCTCCTTGTTTTAGTAGAGATAGGGTTTCACCATGTTGGCCAAACTCAAACTGGCTCCTGAGGTCAGGAGTTTGGCTGGTCTCAAACTCCTGACCTCAGGTGATACACTCGCCTCTGCCTCCCAAAGTGTGGCATTACAGGTGTGAGCCACCTTGCCCGGCCATACGAGCATCTTTAGTGATTATTAGATTATCTCAAGATTTTAAAATCATAGCTCCCTTTTGTAGCGTCTATCTAGCCCACCTGATCTTTTTCTGGAAAATTCTCCCTGTCTTTGGCTGAAGTGTAATGTTGCAGCCACATTTATTTTATATGACCCACCTCCCTCTGTGATTTCAAACACAAAAATAAGATGATCCTAGCTGGCCTAATCTGATTCTCTCTGTTTAAAAAAAAATGGCTTTAAGAACCAGATACAACATAGTCTCTTTGTTAGGAACATAAGCAGAAAGTGGTGTCATATTTGGCTAAACACTTGCAAAGAAATACAGAACATCAATCTATTGAGAGACAAGAAAAAATAAGGTACCAAAAGAATGACCTTGTCATAGATTTTCCTGTTTTAGATTTTCCAGTCCCTCCCAAGTCTTTTTCCCTTAGGTTGCTGGAGACAAATTTGTGCTCTTTAATAAATTTCCCTCTAATTAAGAGATCTAAGTGAGGTTTTTGTTGTCAAAAGCATGTTTAGATATTCCTGCATTGTTGGTAAGTTAGACCTTTCTTCCTATTGGGTTTTTATTGTGGCTTTTCATATTAGTATGACAACATTTGGGATCAAGGAGGTTGTAAAATATTAGTAGTCTATAAGGGACATGCACTAGCTTTTGTCAGAATATACAATTTTGAGAAAAACTGAAGGATCTTTCCAATGGTACAGTCTTTGAAGTGTTTAATAGAAATTCTTAGAACATTTTATTATATAAGAGTTTTGAATATCGTAAGTGTCATAATAACATTACTGTAAAAAAAAAACCTTGACAATGAAAAATGTGTGTCTAAAAGAGACATAATCCTTATCTTTAGGGTCATCATAATCTTGTTATGTTCTTTCTTTCTGTCATATAATATATCCCTTGCTTATGGGTAGCTAAGTTGTTTTGCCACTTAATGAAATGACATTTTAGGTCATTCTGAGTTATTTCACATTACTATTTAAAGGGCATAGGAAATAGCTACCTTATGAACATGTTGTCTTTGTTTATCCATCTTATATAATGAACTTGAATCCCAGAAGAAGAGGGAATTTCTACAGTAGGAGGAGAACCTATCTGTCAGAATGTTTAAATTAATTGTGATTTATTAATGGATCCATTTAACAAATATTTATTGAGCACGTACCATGTGCCAGGGATTATTTTAGATATTGGGGATGCAGCAGTGAACAAAATGAAGTTCTAACATGTGAGGTTGAAACAGAAAGGAAACAACTAAATAAGTACATCTATACTACGTCAGATAATAAATACGAGAGAGACAAGGCAGGGCTGGGTACAGCAGCTCATGCCTATAACCCCAGCACTTTGGGAGGCTGAGGCAGGAGGATTGCTTGAGCTCGGAAATTTGAGACCAGCCCGGGCAACATAGCAAGACCTCATCTTTACAAATAATTAAAACATTAGCCAGGCATGGTGATGCGCAACTGTGGTCCCAGCTACAGTTGCTGAGGTGGGGGGATTGCTTGAGCCTGGGTAGTCAAGGCTGCAATGAGCAGTGATTGTGCCACTGCACTCCCTCCTGGACAACAGAGCAAGACCCCATCTCAAAAAAAAAAAAAGGAAAAATGAAAAGAAAAAAAAGAAAAAGCAAAGTAAGAGATATAGGAAGTGCCTTCATATGTATTTTTCCACAGTTTAAAATTTTCATAAAATCATAACTCTCTGACTTTATGTAGAAAGGATACCACACTGGAATTAACGTGTAGCTTTTTCTTGATGTAATCCAACCAATGGGAGCACAATTCTGGTACATAGGCTGTCTAGAATTTGAAAGAAATTAAAGAATTCATTTTGTTTTGCTGATAAATTTTTAAGAAATCACGTGGCTTTATGTTATTATTATTACAAGATGACTGATCACTATTATGTCTTCTTTCACTTCTCAATTTCCCTCAGAACACTACACCCAGACTACAGGCTCTGGAGGGTGGGGACCATGTCTGGGTTGTTTACTGATGTATTTCATAATTTGGCACATAGAGACCAATAATACTCCTTTAAATGAAGAAATTAATAATTACCATTGCGTGATATTGTGATTACATCATTTCCTCCCAATTTCCAAACTCCTAATAGAATAGAGAATAGATCAATTGTAGCAATTCGTTTCGAAGCAAAGACAACGCATGGTGGCGCTGCAGGCTAAGGCTTCAAAAAAAGGAAAAGGAAAAAGCCCATGAAATGCTACTAGCTACTTCAGACCTCTTTCAGCCTAAGAGGAAAGCCTGTTAGCAGAGCACGGACCAGTGTCTCCGGAGAATGCTATTCTCCTACATTTCCGAACAGGTTATCAACGCACAGATCGATCACTGCCTCTGTCCCATCGCTCCCTGAAGTAGCTCTGACTCCGGTTCCTTGAAAGGGGCGTGTACAGAAGTAAAGATGGAGCCTGCAGGGGAGCGCTTTCCCGAACAAAGGCAAGTCCTGATTCTCCTTCTTTTACTGGAAGTGACTCTGGCAGGCTGGGAACCCCGTCGCTATTCTGTGATGGAGGAAACAGAGAGAGGTTCTTTTGTAGCCAACCTGGCCAATGACCTAGGGCTGGGAGTGGGGGAGCTAGCCGAGCGGGGAGCCCGGGTAGTTTCTGAGGATAACGAACAAGGCTTGCAGCTTGATCTGCAGACCGGGCAGTTGATATTAAATGAGAAGCTGGACCGGGAGAAGCTGTGTGGCCCTACTGAGCCCTGTATAATGCATTTCCAAGTGTTACTGAAAAAACCTTTGGAAGTATTTCGAGCTGAACTACTAGTGACAGACATAAACGATCATTCTCCTGAGTTTCCTGAAAGAGAAATGACCCTGAAAATCCCAGAAACTAGCTCCCTTGGGACTGTGTTTCCTCTGAAAAAAGCTCGGGACTTGGACGTGGGCAGCAATAATGTTCAAAACTACAATATTTCTCCCAATTCTCATTTCCATGTTTCCACTCGCACCCGAGGGGATGGCAGGAAATACCCAGAGCTGGTGCTGGACACAGAACTGGATCGCGAGGAGCAGGCCGAGCTCAGATTAACCTTGACAGCGGTGGACGGTGGCTCTCCACCCCGATCTGGCACCGTCCAGATCCTCATCTTGGTCTTGGACGCCAATGACAATGCCCCGGAGTTTGTGCAGGCGCTCTACGAGGTGCAGGTCCCAGAGAACAGCCCAGTAGGCTCCCTAGTTGTCAAGGTCTCTGCTAGGGATTTAGACACTGGGACAAATGGAGAGATATCATACTCCCTTTATTACAGCTCTCAGGAGATAGACAAACCTTTTGAGCTAAGCAGCCTTTCAGGAGAAATTCGACTAATTAAAAAACTAGATTTTGAGACAATGTCTTCGTATGATCTAGATATAGAGGCATCTGATGGCGGGGGACTTTCTGGAAAATGCTCTGTCTCTGTTAAGGTGCTGGATGTTAACGATAACTTCCCGGAACTAAGTATTTCATCACTTACCAGCCCTATTCCCGAGAATTCTCCAGAGACAGAAGTGGCCCTGTTTAGGATTAGAGACCGAGACTCTGGGGAAAATGGAAAAATGATTTGCTCAATTCAGGATGATGTTCCTTTTAAGCTAAAACCTTCTGTTGAGAATTTCTACAGGCTGGTAACAGAAGGGGCGCTGGACAGAGAGACCAGAGCCGAGTACAACATCACCATCACCATCACAGACTTGGGGACTCCAAGGCTGAAAACCGAGCAGAGCATAACCGTGCTGGTGTCGGACGTCAATGACAACGCCCCCGCCTTCACCCAAACCTCCTACACCCTGTTCGTCCGCGAGAACAACAGCCCCGCCCTGCACATCGGCAGTGTCAGCGCCACAGACAGAGACTCGGGCACCAACGCCCAGGTCACCTACTCGCTGCTGCCGCCCCGGGACCCGCACCTGCCCCTCACCTCCCTGGTCTCCATTAACACGGACAACGGCCACCTGTTCGCTCTCCAGTCGCTGGACTACGAGGCCCTGCAGGCTTTCGAGTTCCGCGTGGGCGCCACAGACCGCGGCTTCCCGGCGCTGAGCAGCGAGGCGCTGGTGCGAGTGCTGGTGCTGGACGCCAACGACAACTCGCCCTTCGTGCTGTACCCGCTGCAGAACGGCTCCGCGCCCTGCACCGAGCTGGTGCCCCGGGCGGCCGAGCCGGGCTACCTGGTGACCAAGGTGGTGGCGGTGGACGGCGACTCGGGCCAGAACGCCTGGCTGTCGTACCAGCTGCTCAAGGCCACGGAGCCCGGGCTGTTCGGCGTGTGGGCGCACAATGGCGAGGTGCGCACCGCCAGGCTGCTGAGCGAGCGCGACGTGGCCAAGCACAGGCTAGTGGTGCTGGTCAAGGACAATGGCGAGCCTCCGCGCTCGGCCACCGCCACGCTGCAAGTGCTCCTGGTGGACGGCTTCTCTCAGCCCTACCTGCCGCTCCCAGAGGCGGCCCCGGCCCAAGCCCAGGCCGACTCGCTTACCGTCTACCTGGTGGTGGCATTGGCCTCGGTGTCTTCGCTCTTCCTCTTCTCGGTGTTCCTGTTCGTGGCAGTGCGGCTGTGCAGGAGGAGCAGGGCGGCCTCAGTGGGTCGCTGCTCGGTGCCCGAGGGCCCCTTTCCAGGGCATCTGGTGGACGTGAGCGGCACCGGGACCCTTTCCCAGAGCTACCAGTACGAGGTGTGTCTGACGGGAGGCTCTGAAAGTAATGATTTCAAGTTCTTGAAGCCTATATTCCCAAATATTGTAAGCCAGGACTCTAGGAGGAAATCAGAATTTCTAGAATAATGTAGGTATCTGTAGCTTTCCGACCGTCTGTTAATTTTGTCTTCCTCACTTTTCACCTTAGTTTTTTTTAACCCTTTAGTAATCTTGAATTCTACTTTTTTTTAAATTTCTACTGTTGTCTTTAGTAATGTTACTCATTTCCTTTGTCTGATTGTTAGTTTTCAAATTATTGTATTATTATAAATATTTTATATCAGGAAAGTTCATATTTCTGAATAAATTAATAGTATTCATTCCTGAAGGGTGATATGAAAGTTAACCCCACCTAATAAACATAACTCTAATTCTGAAATTACCTTTCACACTATATGACACTACATAAGAATGTATGATTTTTGAAGTCATATTTTAAGTTTTTTTTATAGTTTTTCTTATTCACACAGCTTGACTTTTTGACAAAAGTTTGGGGTGTAATCATTTCATATTTATCCATGTGTAATTTCTTCCAAGCTTCATATTTGGAGTTTTGTTTTTTCCAATAAGGAGCAACATGGATAAGTTTAAGCTACTCTTTTCAAGGTCACACTTGTAAGCATTAGATTTTCATTCTAAAACACATATGTCATCTCATAAAAATATATCTGCGTAATGTATTCTGTCTCATGTAAATTAACATAGAAAAGACTAATGGGTTCTTCCTTATCTCTATCTAATGTTATGATCCTATTGGGGGGACTGGACAGGCTTTCTAATACCCAGATTTACTGTGTTTAAGGTGTTCGTATAAGGCCAATAGACACTAGGACCAAGTAATGCATCTCCTGCAATTTCCTCTTTTCACAGCAGGAAAATCTTAACGAGTTCCAAATTCTGGGCTTAGAGGAGCTTCTGATGGTACAGTATGCCAACATCTACTTGTTTTGGATGGCAACATTGTTCTGATTCATAAGGAATTTGAAAGAAAATACATTGTAGAATTAATATTAGTTAACCAAACAAAATTTATTAAAGGATATGTTGGTGAAGGAGTTGAATTATTTGAGGAAAAAACATCTGCTCTCTTGTCAGGACTTTTCTGTCTCCAGGAGCTTCTCAACTTTGCAGATACTCTAGAATGGTATTGCATGCAAAATAATGACCGCCAAGATGTTCCTGCCCTAATCCCCAGAACCTATGAATATGTTATATTGCAAAGAAATTAAGGTTCAAACAGAATTAAGGTTGCCAATCAGCTAAACTTAAAATAGGGAGACTCTCCTAGATAATCTGGGTGGGTCTATTTCAATCAGTGGAAAGGCCATAAAAGCAGAGTTGAGTCTTCCGTGAGATGAAAATAAATTTTGTTTAAGGACAGCAGCTTCAGCTTATGCCCCAGAATTCCAGCCTGCCCCTCCTAACTGCCTGCTGTACAGATTTTGGACTTGTCCAGCCACGTTTCAAAACTGAGTAAGTCACTTCCTTGCAATAAATTGATTACTACACATCTGCTGCCTGTTTCTCTGGCTGAACTCCAACTAACACAGATTTTGATACCTGGAAGTGGGGTGCTACTGTAATAAACACTTAAAATGTGCAGATGGCTTCTGAATTGGACAGTGGGCAGAGGCTGGAAGAACTTTGACAGGCATGACAGAAAAAGCCTCGCTTGCTTTGGACAGAGTGTTAGCAGAAATATGGTGTTAACAAATCTGCTAGTAAGGACTCAGAATGAAGTGAGGAGCATGTTGGAGAAACATGTTGCCTTAGAGAATACCACATCACTTTAAATAGATTGTGAGTAGAAATATGGATGTTAAAGTCTCTGCTGGTGAGGGTGCAGAAATGAGGAAAATATTATTGGAAACTGAAGAAAAGGGAATCCTTTTATATGGTGGAAGAAAAATTAGCTGAATTGTGTCCTGTAGTTATGTAGAAAGAATTTTTAAGCAATGAACTTGGGAGATTTCACTGAGATTTTCAGGCAAAGGGTTAAATGTACAGCCTGTTTTTTTCTTGCTGCTTATAGTAAAATGTGAGAGGGAAAAGAATGAGAGGAATTAGATTGAGAGAAGAACTGTGAAGCAAAAAGGAACCCAGACTTGATGGTTGGGGAAATTCTCACCCTATTCAGACTGCAACAGATGTTAAGATCAGGAGATTCACTGCTAAGGATGCATGTTTTGGAGAGAAAGCCACAGACATATCAGGACAACCTTTTACTAGTGCGTTGAAAGAATCAGGTAGTCAATCATACAGAAGGCTCTTTGAAGAGACTAGGTACATGACATGGATATCTTCAGCCACATCAGCAGAAGCCAGGAATATAGACATAATTACTCAGGAAATAACTTCGAAGGAGTCTCTTGTTTAATAAATTGAATCCCTGTGAAATGCACAGGAAATAAGGTTATTGAGAATGTTTAATCAGCAGAAACACTGCCAGCTTGAATTGAAAGGGATAGAGAGAACTAATTAAAGGAGGATGTGGTACCCCCCTCCCCAAACTCTGTAAGCTAGAAATAGACTGATAAAACTGCTTAGCTAAAAACATGTGCCAATTCCAATGAAAAAGGAAGGATGCATCAGAGGATGGAGCCTGAAGTCCAGAGAGTACAGCTCTCAAAACACAGAGGATTAGTCCCAAGCCTTGAAAGCAGGAGTTTCCCTGGATGTATTGCCACATTCATTGGTGCAGGTGATTTTTTTTTTTTTACTTTTACTTTTTTACACAGTTGCCAGACTAGGTTCCAAGTTGTCTACTTAAAATGTATGAGGCATTTGTCAGAGAAGTAATGAGGTAGGAGATCAGCAGGACTTATTCCCCTATCAGAACAGGACAAAATGAAGAAATTGACAGGAACCAGCAGGTGGTGCACAACTGAAGTGAAAAACCCTGCAGGAAGTAGCAGCTGGTGTTGAAGGCAACCTCTAATTGCCCTTACTGCTCATTAGCATAAGAGATTCCCACCAGCCCCATGACAATTTACAAATGTCATGGCAACCCAGAAGTTACTGCCCTTTTCCATGGCAACAACCTGGAAGTTACTGTCCCTTTTTCTAGAAAGTTCTGAATAACCAGCTCCTCAATTTGCATTAACTCACCTCTTAATTTGCATGTAAGTGAAAATAGGTATAAGTGAGTATAAATACAGTTGCCAACAACCCATAAGCTGCTACTGCCAACTCTGGGTGCACTGCAAAATAGTTAGTCCTGCTCAGCAAGGAGCAGTCCCTTTTAATAAAAGATTGCTGTCTAATAACACCTGATTGCCCTTGAATTCTTTTATGTGTAAAGCCAAAAGGCCTCCTGGGATAAGCCCTAATTTGGGGCCTTGCCTGTCTTGAATCAGTCATATTGTTTTCCCTGGGGTGTTATCAAGGGACAGTACTCTGAACTACTGCAATTAAATTTATGCCATCATTCAATCATCTCACAACTGGCAAACATATGCAAATAACTGAATTTTCAAGAAATATTCCTGGCTAGTAGCATCTTCAAAAGCTGACTTTGGAGAACAGAATCAGAAAGTGAACGGATAAATGCGAGGCACGCTTTTACATCTGGACTTAACGGTATCCTGAGCAAGATGACTAAGATGTTTATGCAGCAATCCAGAATACCCTGCCCCCATCACAGGCAATAAGTAGCAAGGCTAAAAATTTTACTTAGTAAAATTGACTAAATATGGATCCTGAAAATATTCATAAGCAGATCAGCAGTCCATGTGTTTTTGTGGATTATGGCTATTTGAAGGATAAGTTCCAATTCTCCTCTATGTCATGCATAGCACCTAGAACAATTTTGAACATGAGTGACAATTCATTGTTTCTTAGTGAATAAAAAAATTAAGGACAGTGAAATAAGTTTTTTGGAAACTAGCAGAATAGAGACTCTCATCAACATAAACAGAGCCATTCATTTTACCTATTTTCTCTTTCAGATTTTGTAGACTTCTTTTGAGATTTCTGTAAGTCTCACCTTGCCTTTTATGATGTTAATCTAAGGCCATTGACCGTCTTGCTTTATTTCCCTTCCTTGCTTTTATTTTCTTCCTAAATGGCAATTGGAATACATAGGTAGTTGTGGTCATATGACAGCATTCACAAGGTGGGAGCTACCTTATTCCAACAATTGGAAAGTGGAGAAGAATTTTAATTTCTTCCACAAATGAATTTAAATGGGAGCAACAGTTTTCTGAGAAACCCATTAGCTATATTTTTGGTATAATAAAAATAAGCTGCAGTGTCTCTTCACTATCCTCCAAACCACTACTTAAAAGAGCAACATGGAACTTCTATTTCTAGTTTGATTACTGTAAACATGGAAATTATGTATAATTTTAGACAATTTAGTTAATATGACTATTTAAATGTATATAAAATTATCCCTTTTGGCTGATGGCTGAATTTTTAGAAAAGATTTCCTTAAAAGTTGAAAGCTTGGTGGTACTAGCAGAGGTCTCTCTGGATATTTTGAAGTCGTAATGGAGTGTTATGAGTTATCTTTGGGATAATCCCCTAAGGGTTTTATAATCTTAGATAAACACTGTGATGATGTATTTTCTTCACAAAAGAACAAAGGAAACATAAACATAATGAATATTTTTTGTTAATCCAATGCCTATTCCTGTAAAAATGGATTCCTTTCCTGTAAAATCGATAGAATATAGGCTCTAATATAGCAAGCTCATTTCATACGTATTTCCAATCTATTAAGGGAGAGGCTTGTGTCTTTTTTCCCAAGCAAAGCCAAATAGCATTCAATGAGAGTTCACTTTGGTGATGTTTAATGAAAATCTAACTCAGATAGAGGCCTCACTGGAATACTCCATGAACAGAAATGTAATCTGGGCAAAACCCTGCAGGCTTTATCCTGGGAAATGTAATAAAAAAAAATCAGAATATTGTCTCTATTGCTGAATCAGTAGCCTGGAAGTCACTGCAGAAGTTTTACCTGTGGGAGGCTATGGGAACCCTCTTGTGTCATGTGCTCTCAAATGTGAATGAGCGGGCCAAGAACTAAGAATATTCAAAAGATTTTAAATGTCCAAATAGGCAGTTCTGGAAATACCTCAACATTGTTTGGATATTACATTTGACATGAAATAAAAAGGCATATGAAATACTTTGACCAAATTCTGTTCCAAGTTCTCTTTCTGACCAGAAATTTTCATCTGATCATTGTTAAAAGTCTGATCCATGCCAGGGAAGTCAGGCATTCCACATTTTCCAGATCCAAAGAATGGAGGTTAAAGATATTCCTGAGCATGCTCCTTGAAGGAATCTTGTGTCACTCAACTAGCCTGTCCCTACATGTTACTCCTCAAATTGTCACTACTGCCATCAACATTCAGAATCATGTTTGAAAAGTGTATGCTCTTCTACATATCTCTTATATTCTGCATTGAAAATGACTTTTAGAAATTCATAATTCATAGTAACAGAAAATGTACTAACCAGGAAGATCTTTTGCCAAATTAATACTTCTGTTAGTCTAAATTCTTTTAGTATTAATCAACAGAAACCCAATTCAAATTAGCTCTCAAGATAAAATACAGAATTTATTGAGAAGATATTAGGGTATATAAAGTAATTTAGGATATGTTTGGAAATAAAACTGATTGAAAGGTAGGGCCATAACAATTAGAAACAAGGACTTGACCATTTTTTCTATCCTGCTGGTTTCATTCCCTTTTACTGCAGACCAGCTTCCTTTACATGGAGAAAAATGCGCTTATATTTCAAGAGCCTAAAAGTTATTTTATAACTATTATAAGTTGACTCATGCCTTTTCTGGTACCAAGTTTGGAAATACTGGTGGGCTGATATCAATTCCAAACTAGGGCTAGGAAGCAGGAGATTTGTGTTTTTTGGTTTAATAATATGACTGCTCCCATTTGTTTTACAAGAGTCCAATGGGGTGGAGATATATGCACTCCCTGGAAAAGGGGAGGCAAACACATATCTGCATGTGTCAGTATTCACCAACACCAATGATTAGAAATTAAGGGAATCACAGTGAACATTTTCTTCATAATTCTTGTATTTTATGTGTCTGCAAATATTAAAGAAATTTTACTTCACAATCAGGGCAACAGATAGATGGCAGCTCAATTACTTTGAACATCCAGGCATTTGTCTGTGGAATGGTCATAGGTGACAATGGCAACTCAACATTGATGCTGAATTTCAGTATACTGCTCAGCTCACTAAAGAAAACTGATGCCCAGTAGGAAGGGCAAAGTAGACTATCTGGAGTGGTGGCAATTGAGGGTGGTTCCTCTTAAAATGGGAATTAAAATCAGTGAGGCCTGTGACATCTATTTCTTCATCAAAATTTTCTGCAGAACATTCATTTTAGCTAGCACAGTAGCTATTAGCATCTTTTTAAGTGGATTTTTTCTTACACACCTAGATGCCCCCTTAATGATATGTCAAAGGAAGAGATGTAATAGCAAAATGACTTAAATACATGAATTTGTTCTTGACCTTTCTATGTTTCTGACTGCAGTAATCATTATCTAACTGACTGGGGCTTTTGATAACTGCATTACTTCTGGTTATCAGCATAGTCATAAAAAAATTAAAAATTCTCGTGAATTCTAGGACTTTCAGAAGTTGGCACCATATTTACAGCCCCCATTATGAATATTAATGGCTGGAGAACAGCAAATGCCATTTCCTCTAGGTTATTACCATTAGTACCCAATCATTAGTAGTCCCTGTCACTTGTGGCAATGATGGTCATTTTCAAGATAATATTAAGTTGTATACCAAATGAGAGAAGAAAGCTCATTACTACTACTTTTAGATTTGGTCTTTCTCTTACCTTTTCCAAAAAACATATTTGATTAATTCCTGACAAACTTCTTACATATAGAAATGCATGTTTTGAAACAGGCCCAGAGATCCGAATGTGTACTACTTCCTTTGTATCTTAATTTACAAATGTTTTATGGGTAAAGTCTAGAATTTAAAGGCATCTCTAAAGGATTAATAATTTTGTCTTTCTTAGACTGATCTGGAATACCTTGAGAAGAGCATTACTTCCATTTATCAGCATAGTCACCAAAAAGTCGAGAAAAATCTATCATGATACATAAATGATGATGCCTCAAACAATTTTAGAAATCTATAGCTACAAATACACAAAACCCCATAGTGGTTTGTGTATTTGTGTGTGTGCATTTGTGCCTGTATATGTGTGTGTCTCTGGTGGGTGGCTTTAGTAGACAGTGGCAATAAAATGCAGAGATAAATACCAGAATAACATTGCTTTTCCAAAACTTTTCCACATTAAGATTTTTTCTTTAATCTATGAATGTATTTAATAAAGTTGGTGTTAGCAATGTATTGTAGAAGAGTTTATATTTTCAAATGAAAGGAAGTTATTTCTTGCAAATGGAACAATCCCAACATTATTGAATTTAGAATTTTCGTGACCTTTTTGGCCTTGAAGGAGTAGCCTAGGAGAAGGAGCTGTGAAGTAGACATGGTAAATTTTCCCCCAGTGAGATCAGGAAACAATAAAGTTGACAATAGGATCTGACAGGATGAGGGTGAGGTCAGTGTGGCAAATGTGTGCAAGGGCAGGGTGGTTCCTGTCCTCACTTAAAATTTCATATTTTGTTTCTCATGGGTGTTTACATTAAATTTTAATTTTTACAATATTGTAACAAATAGTATTTATCTCCAAGTTTTGGGATAATGACTTAAAATTTGCATCTGAGTTACTTGCTTTGCCCTTGTCCCAGTTGTTCGTTGTTTCCAACTTGCAAGTTCAAATGTTACTATGGTAACAGTGATGGCTACAATTGGAATTCAAGCAAAGAAATCTGAAGCAAGTCCTATTCCAAATATGGAGTGGCAGGGGCAATGATGGAAGAATCCAAAGACATCCAAGCAGATCTCATGAGCTGGAGTCATGCAGAGTGGGAATGGAACAGCACCTGTGTGATCATGATTGTCTAGGAAAATTGTTTGTAAGTTTTTCTTCCAGGTGACATGCAGCCAAGTCAGTGTGCTAATTTTGTTGAGAATTTGTGCATCTATATTCATGAGAGATGTTGATCTACAATTTTTTTTCTTGTAATACCCTTGTCAGGATTTAGTTTCAGGGTTCTCCTGGTCTCATCAAATGACTTGCCAATTGTTTCCTCCACTTCTTCTTTTATGAAAGAGTTTATGTAAGATAGTTATTATTTCTACTTTATGTATTTGATAGAATTTACTGCAGAACCCAACCATGAATGACATTTTCTTTGTGGGAAGATTTTGAATTGCACACTCAATTTCTTAAATAAATATGCTGCAATTCTAATTTTCTGTTTCCTCTTCTGTCGGCAGCTGGCAGCTTGTGTTTTTTAAGCAAATTTGTCTATTTTATCAAAGATGTTGAAGTTATTTTCATGAAGCTATTGATACTATTTCTTTCTCATCTTTCAATATATTTAGAATCTGCAGTGAGGCCCTCCCCCTTTCACTATGGATATTGGTAATTTATGTTTTCCCTCTTTTTGTCTTTATTGGTATTTCTGTCAATGTACCAATTTTGTTAATTTTGAAAAACAAGACAATCATTGGTTTCACTACTTTTCCTATTACTTTCTGTTTTCTTCCTTTTCTCAGAGAAAAAAAGGCTGGAGTGCAGTGATGCGATATAGCTCACTGTGACATCAAACTGCTAGCCTCAAGAGACCCTCCTAAGGCTAGGCATGGTGGCTCACACCTGTAATCCTAGCACTTTGGGAGGCCCAGGCAGATGGATTACCTGAGGTCAGGAGTTTGAGACCAGCCTGGCAAACATGGTGAAACTCCATCTCTACAAAAATTAGCCAGGCATGGTGGCGGGCACCTGTAATCCCAGCTACTAGGGAGGCTGAGGCAGGAGAATCGCTTGAACCCCGGGGGTCAGAGGTTGCAGTAAGCCAAGATCGCGCCACTTCACTCCAGCCTGTGCGAAACAGCAAAATTCCATCACTCACACACACACACACACAAAAGAGAGAAAGAGAGATCCTCCTGCCTCAACCTCGTGAACAGCTAGGACTACAGGTGCATGCCATCAAATCCAGCTAATTATTTTTATTTTTATTTTTGTAGAGACAGTGCCTCACTATGTTGCCTAAGTTGGCCTCAAACTTCTGAGCTTAAGCAATCCTCCCACCTCAACCTTCAAAAATGCTGGGATTACACGTGTGAGCTACCTTTTCTAGACTCCTTTTTGTTTCCTATTTTATTGATTTCTGCTATTCTGTTTTTATTTCTTTTATTCTATGTATTTTGAGTTTAGTTTTCTCTTTTTCTAGCTTCTCTGAAAGCTCAGATCATTGATTCTAAGCCTTTCTTTTCTAACACACTTGAAAATATATAAAAATATGAAGTTATAAATTTCTTCCTGTATATTACTTAAGTTGCATTTCATGAACTTGACTAGTTTGTGTTTTTATTGCCATTCAGTTTGTACTATTCTTCTTTGATCCATTGCTTGACTATAATCGTGTTGCTTAATTTCCAACTATCCAAAGGTAACATTTTTGATTTCCAAAATAATTATTTTTTGGTCTTGGAGCATACTCTGTAAAATTTCAACCCTTTGAGATTTATGAAGTCATTAAAAATTATTCAGCATGTAAGTTACCATGGTGAGTTCCCCATGTGTACTTGAAAGAAATGTGTAACCTACAGTTGTTGGTTGAGTATTCTGTAAATATCAATTAAATCAAGTCACTTGATAATGTTTTTAGATCTTCTTTATTCTTAACATTGTTTCTACATGTTCTGCCAGTTATTAGGAGAAGAGTGTTAAATTCTTCACCTGTGATTGTGAGTTTTTATTTTTTAATTATACTTTAAGTTATAGGGTACATGTGCACAACATGCAAGTTTGTTACATAGGTATACATGTGCCATGTTGGTTTGCTACACCCATTAGCTCGTCATTTACATTAGATATTTCTCCCAATGCCCACCCTGCCCCCCACCCCATGACAGGCCCCTGTGTGTGATGTTCCCCACCCTGTGTCCAAGTGTTCTCATTGTTCAATTCCCACCTATGAGTGACAATATGCGGTGTTTGGTTTTCTGTCCTGGTGATAGTTTGCTCAGATTGATGGTTTCCAGCTGCATCCATGTCCCTGCAAAGGACATGAACTCATCCTTTTTTATGGCTGCATAGTCTTCCATGGGGTATATGTGCCACATTTTCTTAATCCAGTCTATCACTGATGGACATTTGGGTTGGTTCCAAGTTTTTGCTATTGTAAATAGTGCTGCAATAAACATACATGTGTCTTTATAGTAGCATGATTTATAATCCTTTGGGTATATGCCCAGTAATGGGATCGCTGGGTCAAATGGTATTTCTAGTTCTAGATCCTTGAGGAGTAGCCACACTGTCTTCCACAATGGTTGAACTAGTTTATACTCCCACTAACAGTGTAAAAGTGTTCCTTTTTCTCCACATCCTCTCCAGCATGTTTGTTGTGAATTTTTTATTTATTTTCAGTTCTATCATTTGTTAATCTCATGTACTTTAAAGCTCTGTTATTACATGCACAATGGATAGCTGCTTGATGAACTGACGCTCATTATTATAAAATGTCTCATTTAGTCTCTAGTTACTCTGTCTGATATTAATATAGTCAGTCTACATGTCTTATGCTTAAGGTTTGCATGATATATTTTTTCATTCTTTACTTTCAACCTGTATTTATATTTAAAAAGCATCTTTTTAAAACAACATAGCATTAAATCTTGCATTTTATCCAGTGTTAATATGTTTGCTTTTTAATTGGAGAGTTTATTCCATTTATATGTAATGTAATTATTTATAACATGATTGTCTCTATTGCAATTTTATTCATACCCTCCATTTTCATTCCTATGTTCCCCATTTTCTGTTTTCCTTTGAAATCCTTTGTTCCTCATTTTCTGTTTTCTTTTGACTTGATTAAATATTTTTCATATTCCATTTTATATCCTTATTTGAATTTTTAGCTACAACAGTTTCAGGAGTATTTCTTCTAAGGATGACAATATACTGCCTTTTCTTATCATGGTCTACCTTCAATTAGTATTATACTACTTAAGTTACAATATAAAAAACCTCCAATTATGCAATCCTCATTCTTTTGCCATGACATAGATGGATCAGCACAAGACACAGGACATATATTTGAGAATTCATATGGTGGAAAACCTCTATGAATATAATCAAATTTGAAAATCTCTCAAAAAGATCTTGATGTCTACTCTGTAGAAAATACTCCAAATTGGATACAAATATAATGAGAGTAATAAACATGAAAAGATCTCAGCCAGATTTCAAATCTAAATGTGCACTAGAGAACTCATGCTGCAGGGAAATTATGTGAATTCAGTGAATGCAAGAAAGTCTTCACTGATCTTTCACTTGTTAAAAACACACATGGCATCACACACTGAACACATACCCTATCAAAGTAAGGAATAGAGGGAATCCTTTATGTGTTCCTTGTATTTTAGGAATCATGAAAAATTTCACACTGGAGAAGAATTCTATGAATAGACATGTAAGCAAGCCTTTGTTCATTCTTCATTTATTGATGTACATGTAAGAACTCACAGTGGGCTGGGCACGGTGGCTCATGCCTGTAATTCCAGCACTTTGGGAGGCCAAGGCGGGTAGATCACCTGAGGTTAGGAGTTCAAGACCAGCCTTACCAATATGGTGAAACCCCATCTCTACTAAAAATACAAAAATTAGCCAGGTGTGGTGACGTGCACCTGTAATCCCAGCTACTCAGGAGGCTGAGACAGGAGAATTGCTTGAACCCAGGAGGTAGAGGTTGTAGTGAGCCAGGATCATGCCACTGCACTCCAGCCTGGGTGACAGAGCGAGACTCCGTCTCACAAAAAAAAAAAAAAAAAAAAATGAACTCACAGTAGACAGTGGAGATAAGCCTTATGAGTATAAGAAATGTGAAAAAGCTTTCAATTTTCTTTAATCTTTTAGAAAACATGTGAAAACTCTCACTGAAGAGAAATCTTATTAACATAAAAATGTAGAAAAACCTTGAGTTGCCCCTAATCCTTTAGGGCATATGTGATAACTCATATTGTAATTTACCCTATGGATATAAAAGAATGTGAGATAGGCTTGATTTCTTCCAGATCTCTTGCTGTACATGTAAGAACTAACGTTGGAGAGAGGATTTATCAATATAGAGAATGAAGAAAAGCCTTCATTTATTCCTCAAAACTTCCTGTTCAAATGAAAATAAACCAAAAAGGAACTTTATGCATGTAAGAAAGATGGGCAAGTATACAGTTTGCCCTCTTCTTTCAATAGAAATGTGAGAACAAACACCGAAGACAGCCTCTATAATTGTAAACAATATGAAAAATCCTTCATTTATTCTTCATATTTTACCACTCATGTGATAATACACATTGGAGAAACACTGTGTGATGGTTAACTTTATGGGTCAATTTGACTGGGTTAAGGATACTCAGGTACCTGGTAAAGCATTAATTTTGGATATATCTGTGAGGGTAGTCCAGAACAGATTGACATTGGAATCCGTAGGTTGAGTAAGGAAGATCAGGCCTCATCCAGCGTGGCTGGGCACCATTTAATCAATCGAGGGCCTAGATAGAACAAAAGGGGATAGGAAAGGTGAATTTGCTCTCCCTTCTGGTCCTGATACACCCACCTTTTCTTGCCCTTGGATATAAGAAGTCCAGGTTCTCTGGTCTTTGGGACTTATACTAGTGGCCCTCCAGGTTCTTGGGCCTTCAGACTTGGACTGAGCTATGCCACCAGCTTCCCTGGTTCTCCAGTTAGCAGATGGCATATTATGGGACTTCTCAGCCTCCATAATCATGTGAGCTGATTCTCATAATAAATTCTCTCTATCTATCCATCTATCTATCTTCTAATGGTTCTGTTTCTCTGGAGAACCCTGACTAGTAAACACACTGAATGTATGAAATGCAGAAATATCTTCAGCTATTCCTCATCCCTTACAAAACAGTGTGAGAACTCACACTGGAGAGAAACTCTATTAGTATAAGGAGTGTAGGAAAATCTTATCTTGGGTCTAATTTTTTCAAATTGAGGTAAAATTCACATTAAAGAGGAACCATGCAAGTGGAAGAAACGTAGGAAAGTGTAATCCCTCACACTTTAGAAAACATGTGAGAACACATACTGAAAAAAAATAAATGCCTAGAATGTGAGAAAACTTTCAAGTCTTTTTCATGCCTTAGTCAGCAAGTGAGAACTCATACTGGGAGATACGACTGTAAAGAATGTGGAAAATCCCTTAGTTTCTTTCCTCGTATTTTCAAAGACATGTGAAAACTCACATTGGAAAGAAACCCAATGAATGTAATTCATGTGGGAAGGTGTTCAGATATATCTCTTCTTATACATAAAATTGACACCAGAAGACAAATCTTTAAAATCTTGTAAATATGAAAATGTTTTATTAGTATCTCATCCTTGAAGTGGAACCCAGCTCATAATTTAGTTTTTATTTTCTAATAAAAACTTTTATGATGATAACTATTGCTCCCAGTACCCTTTCAGCTATCTCACATAACTTTGATATATATTATTTTTATTATCGTTTATTAAGTGTCTAATTTCCATTGTGAAGTCTCCTTGGACCTATAAGGCTGAAATAAAATAATTTAAAATTTATTTTCTTATTGTTTCTAATTCAATTTCATTATAGTTAATGCAAGTGGTCATTGTGCTATTGAGTTTGGTACTTTGGAGGTTTCTTTTTTCTGGCTTACCATAGCAGATCCTAGGATTTCCTTAGCTGATATCTACCCTGCCCTTCTTCCTTACTAAGAAAACTTAGAATTTTTCAACTTCACTGGTGAAAGAGGTATCTTCAGCAGAGTTTTGCAGAGAGTGTACTCTACAACTAATTGTCTTGGTCAATATAGTTGATAGAAACTTAAAAATATGCAGTTATTGAAAAAGGACAGTTTCATCTGACCTCTGACCTGATTATTTAACCTTCTGTATTTTGCTACTGCTTCAAGTTGAACACAGCCCTTCAAGTTGAAAAGAGGGACCTTGCAGCCATGTCGATGAAAGTTACAGGTAATGATGATTGTGCTGGACTGTGTTATATGGCTTAGAAATACATTTTCCAGAATCCTCTTTGTCTATGGTTTATAGGTTAGAGTTGAACAAAAGAGGAAACTGAGTGAGATTTGGAATGAAGAAATAAAATGGAAGCCATAAATCTCAAAAGGATGTGGCAGTAGCAGATTGACAAACAGATCTAGAAGTACCCATCAGTTCCAAACTTTAAGCATGTCTTTTTGATTACTGGCTCTGTTGAACAACATTAGCATTGAGCCAATCACCTAAGCACTTAACTTCAATTCCCTCAGAAGTGGTAGCTTCCAGGCTGGGCACAGTGGCTCACACCTGTAGTCCCAGCACTTTGGGAGGCTGAGGCAGGTGGATCACTTGAAGCCAGGAGTTCGAGACCAGCCTGGCCAACATGGTGAAACCCCATCTCTACTAAAAATACAAAAATCAGCATGCCTGTAATCCCAGCTACTCAGGAGACTGAGGCAGGAGAATTGCTTGAACCTGGGAGATGGAGGTTGCAGTGAGCCGAGATCCTGCTACTGCACTCCAGCCTGGGTGACAGAGTGAGACCCTGTCTCCAAAAAAAAAAAAAAAAACAAAAACAAAAAAACAAGTGATAGCTTCCACAAACATCGCTATGAGCTTGTCATCTTTCATGACCTCACTTTGGTGACCAGACAGGCATAGCTGCCTGAATTTCCTTGCAAGCTTAAACCTGCTTATTCATACCACTGTTGCAGAATTTCAGGATTAAAGGCTTTCTTTAATATTCTGACTCCATTTTCTTGACATTTATCAAAAGTCTAATTTTTATGGTGAGCATGTTGTTCCCATAATACTTCTCAAGGCCCTGTTTCTCCAAGTCATACACTATTTCAGGAAAAATGAACAAATAAGTACCTTATTCCCCTACTGTATTGTTCAGTAGCTACACCATCCTTGCCCTACCTATTTCTGGACTCTCCTAGGAGAAAAATCAGCACCTTGTTGATTTGTGGAGCATATCTTGGGAGTTTTCTGTTATTCAAGACCAAACAAAACCCCTAAATAATAAATGTAGTATGTGTTAAATTAAAACAATCAATGTAAAGTAATTCATCATATTAACAAAAGAGCAAATTTGAATTTAGATACATAATAGATATATAGAAAGTCTTTAAAACAATTCTGAATGGGCCAGGCACAGTGGCTCACACTTGTAATCCCAGCACTTTGAGACACCAAGGTGGGAGGATTGCTCCAGGCTGGGAATTCAAGACCAGCCTGGGCAACATGGCAACAAAATATTTATGCATCGTAAAAGATTTTTCATGTGTGTACCATTAATTGTTAAAGTGACCTTGTTCATTCTGTCACATAAGTTTAATGTTAAGTTTGAGGCAGGAAGAAGAAAAGGTTTTCCATTCTTCAGCATAAGCCTGTCAGGTATTTGTTTAAGAAAAATGAAATGAAGGAAATATTGTGCAATGTTTTTTGTTTTGTGAGCATATCAGTGCTTTACGTAGTCAGCCACAGCTGTGAATGTCTTGCCATTTCAGACTTGGGAGACTAAATGGCTGTTGTCATTGCTGATCCTGTGAGAATGTGAAACTGGATAACATACGAAATGCAAAATAAAACAAAATAAAAATAAAAATATACGAATGCCCCTTCATTAGTATATCCTTATTTGCATGAATGAAGTAAATGTATGGACCAAGCACGGTGACTCATGCCTGTAATCCCATCACTTTGGGAGGCCGAGGCAGGCGGATCACCTGAGGTCAGGAGTTCAAGACCAGCCTGGCCAACATGATGAAACCCCATCTCTACTAAAAATACAAAAATTAGCTGGGCATGATGGCGGGCACCTGTAATCCCAGTTACTCAGGAGGCTGAGGCAGAAGAATTGGTTGAATTCAGGAGGCGGAGGTTGCAGTGAGCTGAGATCGTGCCATTGCATTCCAGCCTGGACGACAGTGCGAGACTCCATCTCAAAATAAATAAATACATACAAATGTATGAAAATCTATGGACTCTCCCAAAGAAAAGACTCTGCAGATGACTTTTCTAGTGTCATCTAATAAATCCACTCTAATATGTTTGACGCTTCTGACCCCTTCAGTACTCTCCAAGGTAGTTCTGGTAACTCCAACTCGTTTATTGTAGTCCATCATTATGCCCAAGCTTCAAGAGGCCAACCCAGCAATGTATTAGTTCTTATCATAGGTGTCATTGCCAGGAGGCAATTCTGAAGTACAAATCTGAAGTCAAGAGAGAGTACCTTTGTACCCTAAACACTCCTCTATCCAGCAGCATATTACACACACACACACACACATTTATGTTCAATATTAATTTCCAAGCATAATCCCCATGTTTCTGCTGGTACATATTAGCCATGCCTTGTAGTTTCTTTAGTGAATATAATTTTTTTAAATTTTCTTTTCTTTTCTTTTTTTTGACGGAGTCTCGCTCTCTCACCAGGCTGGAGTGCAGTGGCACGATCTGAGCTCACTGCAACCTCCACCTCTCGGGTTCAAGCAATTCTCCTGCCTCAGCCTCCTGAGTAGCTGGGACTGCAGGTGCATGCCACCATGCTCAGCTAATTTTTTTGTATTTTTAGTAGAGACAGGGTTTCACCATGTTGGCCAGGATGGTCTCGATCTCCAGACCTTGTGAGCTGCCTGCCTCGGCTTCCCAAAGTGATGGGATTACAGGCATAAGCCACTGTGCCTGGCCTAAATTTTATTTTCTAATGAATAGGATTTATTTTTCTCATGAGCAGGAATTGTACTTTCCAGCTCACGTCATTATTTAACCTTAGTTATAGATATAAAAGCAGTGGGGACAGGTCTTGAATAGGGTAAGTTTCATCTTGTAAGGCATTAATATCAGATGAAGGCATTACATTATCTCCAAGCAATGAAAGGCTTTATTTCCCTAGAAAGGAGGAGGATCCATGGCTAGAAAGAGTTCAAGGGAATCTGAGAATATAAGTATCTCAAGTACATCCAACCAAATGTCCTCATCCCAGGACTCAGAGTATGTGGAATATTTCTTTCCTATCAGGATTCTAACTTTAACAAAGAAAACTTAGATCGTTGTGTTTTCAGTCTGCTTTGTAGCTCTGGCACTAATACATTCAAATACTGAGCCTGATTTTCAGTACATCTAGCCCTCCAGCTGTAGAAAAGAGATGTCTTTTAAAATTTTTCCATGGAAAGCCTTTGGCTTTCACAGTGTTCTCTAAATTGATAGGTGGATAATTTGAGCTAATCATGCTATATATTCAGGGCTTATGGTCAGTAGAAAAAAGAAGCAAACTTCACAATCCTTTCAATTACAATTTTTTCCATTTGTGTCATGTGCAGAAGCTATTGCATAAGCCAGTAGTTATACCTGTTGCTCATTTCAATCCTCCACAGGTGAGAATCTTAGTAAGTGGGATGCTACAGCATGACAGGGATTATCACAACCCCACTTTCTACCAGAATTGGATTGCTGCCATGTGACCAGCAAGTAATTCAAGTTCAGAATCCCATCCTTAGAATTTGCTTTCTAAGTTGCTATCTTTGTTGAGTTCTCCCAAAAGCAGACCTAGAGACAAGGACTTAGGTGCAATTAATTTATTTAAAAAGTTATCTAGAGAAGCACCAGTGAGGAAGTGTGGAAACTGAGAAAAAGAAGGGAGAAACATCAATAAATTAAAAATTATTATTTTAATAAGCAGATTACCATTGTGAATACATGGGCCTCAATCTTGCTAGGGAACTCTATGAGGAACTGTGTGGAACATACTGTAGAATTGTCCCATCAAAGAACCAGAAAGTTAGTGGTAGACTGATCTCACCTTCCATCTTTCATTGAGTGTTAACCCTAAGGGCATTAAATTTCTGGAAATTCCAGATTGCAATGTGAATGGGCAGAGCAAGCTCCTATGGCATCAGAGAAATCCCTCCCAGGAAGAGAAGTAGAAAGACAAAAGTGCTTGACATGATGTATTAGTCAATTTTCACACTGTTGATAAAGACATACCTGAAACTAGGGAGCAAAAGAGGTTTAATTGGACTTACAGTTCCACATGGCTAGGGAGGCCTCAGAATCATGGCAGTAGGTGAAATGCACTTCCTACATGGCAGCGGCAAGAGAAAATGAGAGAGATGCAAAAGTGGAAATCCCTGATAAAACCATCAGATCTCATGAGACTTATTCACTACGACCAGAACAGTAGGAGGGAAACTGCCCTCATGATTCAATTATCTCCCACCAGGTCCCTCCCACAACACGTGGGAATTATGGGAGTACAATTCAAGATGAGATTTGAGTGGGGACACAGCCAAACCATATCACAAGAGAAGCTGCTGTAAGCTTGCTAAAAAGTTTTCATTGAACTGCAGGTAAACTCTGAGGTGGGCCAAGGGAATATAGGACAGGCATCAATAGCATCTGCTATACTGCTGCATTTGGTTGTACAAGCAAAGGGTTGAGAAGTAGCTGTGGAAGGAAGGTTCAGCATTCCAGTGTCACCAGGAGCAACAGCCAGATTGAGTGTTCCTGTATCTAGGAGCAACTGTGTGGGTATTGAGAGGTGGTAGCAACAGTAGAAGTGGCCTACTAACCCTGGGTCACAGGTGTAGCAAGTTGTTCTTGGAACTCAATAGTTCCTGAGTTCCACTTATCCACACATTCCAATGATGCTATAAAAATCTAATTATCTCTGTTAAATATTTTTCTGCTTAAACTGATTAGAGTTGTTTTTGTTATGTGCCCTGAGCCCCAAAAATATATTTTGTACCAGAATTTGCAGGCAACAAACACCGAAGAATGAAATTTAGGATAGATTATATGACCTAGATAGATCAAAGGCAATGATAGTCCCATATCCTCTAGAAAATAAGATATTGGTAGTCCCTGGTAAGCAACAGCAAAACATTTACTCAGGTTATCACTTGTGTTTGTCTGGAATTAATTGCTTATTGAAGGTAATTCTCTGGTAAGCAAAGTGGCTGGTGTACCAAAGCATTATGGTGGGGAAGAGAAAGGTTCAGGGGATGTGGTGATTACTTTTGACTGCAATCGAGAATTCAATTAAAGAAAATAACGAACTTAGGGTTTTAAAATTCTTGGGTCAGGAAAGATATGAAAATCAAATATTTTAATGATTGCTTTAAAAACATCTCTTTTATCCCACGGCTACAGGACTACATAGATAAAAATCAGACAAAAAGTCTGATTCTTCAGGTTGATAAATAATTACAAAGTTGAATTCACAACCACTGCATGTTTTTTAATGAAATTGCTAGAGCATTGATCCAGAAAGAGTAGTATCCTTAGAATGGGAATGGGGACAGCTAGGTGAATTCAGATGTGATTGTATCTTGAATCCCCAAACCAATTGAGCCCTTTTTTATCCCAGCAGAAGCAAACTCATTTTCCTTTTTAATAAGACTGTCCTCTTTGCATGCATAGTCTGTAATGACCTCAGCTGAGACAGTTACATTGCAAAGGGTTGCTAATTTTCTCCATGCCCTTCATTTGCCAACTCTCATTGCCTCTAGACCTCTAATTAGATTCATATCCTAGCATGTTCAATGGGGACAAGCACAAAGCCAGTCCCAATATTAGAAGGCATATATACTGAAAGAATTGCATAATTTTGCTAACTACATCACAGAAACCTTAGGAATATGTTTGAGAACTGAGTATGCTATAACAGAAAACAAAGAAAAAACCTTTAGATTGAGTTGAATTTAGGTGGGTTCGTTTGCCAGAGATTCTGAATTCAGTGTTCAAGCTTTCACATGATTATCTCTAATAGTTCTTTTGGTCAGCTGACTCAATTCAATGACAGCCACAATTTAACAAAGGAAATTAAGATGCTAATAATGCCTTAGGATAATGTTATCCAGCAAAAGGGACTCACTACCTGATATGCTAGAAGCCAATAATATGACACTGCATTTTTGAGAAAAGAAAAGCTTTATATTGAAAGTCTTTGTTATAGCAACAAACACACAAAGGAAAGAAAATGGATTCCCAAGGAGACAGGAGTAAACGTCAAGTGTCTTCCCATGCTGGCTTTCAGGCAGTAATTTTGTTAGAAATGCTTTACGGGGCTGGGCGTGGTGGCTCACGCCTGTAATCCCAACACTTTGGGAGGCCGAGGCGGGTGGATTACCTAAGGTTAGGAGTTTGAGACCAGCCTGGCCAACATGGTGAAACCCTGCCTCTACTAAAAATACAAAAATTAGCCAGGCGTGGTGGCGTGCGCCTGTAATCCCAGCTACTCAGGAGGCTGAGGCAGGAGAATCACTTGAACCCGGGAGGTGGAGGTTGCAATGGGCGGAGATCACACCACGGCACTCCAGCCTGGGCGATTGAGTAAGACTCCGTCTCAAAAAAAAAAAAAAAAAAAGAAACAAAGGAAGAAAAGAAAAAGAAAAGATTTAGGGGGCAGATTCTGAGAGCGGTGATTAGCGGAAGGAAAGGGGAGGCATGGGAAGTCCTTGGGCATGTGCACTTACCTCTTCATGCCTCCGCAAGGGTCTTTGTGCGAATTCGGGGGAGTTAGTATGAAACCTGTGGTGGAAACTCAGGCTGCGATCTCAGCAAGCTCATTCTGTGCAAACTCCATTTATCTATCTAGGTTACAACCGATTTCAGCCAGTTCATTTCTTTTAAGCAGAGGGAGTCTCAGTGTTTCAGCAAGTTGTTTCTTATCTGCCATTATGAAAACTCAAGAATTTCTGTTAGTTACTGGTTTCTTTAACTCTTTGGGGCACAGTTTCAATAGTGTAGAGGAAAAAAAAACAAAAACAAAAAAAAAAAACAAAGACTCAGGAAAATAAATCTCTATTTTTTTTTCTTTTTTCTTTTTTTTTTTTGAGACGGAGTCTGGCTCTTTCGTTTCGCCCAGGCCGGACTGCAATGGCGCTATCTCGGCTCACTGCAAGCTCCGCCTCCCGGGTTCACGCCATTCTCCTGCCTCAGCCTCCCGAGTAGCTGGGAAAATAAATCTCTATTTTTATTCTTGCCCTAGGTATCACAAATGTTAGGGGTGCTCCTGCTCCTCTGAGAGTCATACAAGGTTCTAATTATCTCACCATCCCATAGGACATCACATTTTTCCAGCACGCTAATGGGATCATGCTGATTGTACCTCTTCAATAGCAAGTAACATGTGCCCTAGATGCCTTCGTAAGACGTATGTATGGCAGAAGAGGAGATAAGTAAGCCCCACAACAATTTAAGGAACTGTCCTCTCTGAAGTTTTGGGGGATTCAGAAATCTAGGGCATGTTAAGATATTTCCAAGAAAGTGAAAAACAAGTTGCTGCTGCCCTTCCTACACTCCCTACCATGAAGAAAAAGGCAAACTTGGTGAGCCTCTTGATTTTGGAGGCAACATGTTATCTTTTGGCATCCTTCTCTGATCTTTTTGCTGAGTCACTGTTAAGGCTGCCAGCTTTAAACTGAACTCCAAATCAAAGAAGGCTCTACAGGTACTCCAGAATGCATTAAGAACAGGAACACCACTTGGGAGTTATGACTCAGCAGATAAAATTATGTTTAACGCTGGGCGCAGTGGCTCATGCCTGTAATCCCAGCACTTTCGGAGGCCGAGGCAGGTGGATCACTTGAGGTCAGGAGTTTGAGAATAGCCTGGCCAACATAGTGAAACCCCATCTCTACTAAAAATAAAAAAAATTAGACAGGTGTGGTGGCACAGGCCTGTAATCCCAGCAACTCGGAAGGCTGAAGCACGAGAATTGCTTGAACCCAGGAGGCAGAGGTTGCAGTGAGCCGGTATCACACCACTGAACTCCAACCTGGGCGACAGAGCAAGACGCTGTCTGAAAAAATAAATTATGTTTAAAGTGTCTACTATAGCAGAATGTTATATGAAGCCCAAGACATTCCCTAACAAGAGAATTACAGCGTGGGCCTCTGGGATTTGGAACATAGTCCTACCTTTTCAGTAAATAACTATTATCCTGTTAAGAAATAGATCATTCTCCAAGCAGTTCCTCATATGATACTTGTTAATTACAAAGATATTGTTATAATATTTATTAATTACAGACGGCAAACAGTAACTTTACAGTGGAGACAAACTCTTTATCAAATAACCAAAGTTAACATCTCCAGTATGAAACATTAACCTGACATATCTCCTGATATGACGACTGCACATCATTTCTGTATTATTCTTGCCAAAAATGTACTACCAAAATTTAGTCATAAGGAAATATCAGACAAACCCAAATTAAGAGACATTTAACCAATAGCTTGCCAGCACTCTTAAAAAGTGTTAAGGTCATAGAAGCTAAAGAAAGACTGGAAAATTGTCCTAGATTGGAAGAAGTTAAGGAGAAGTTAATGACCGATTCCTAGACCGGAAAAAGGACATTAGTGGAACAATTGGCAAAATTTGAATAAAGTCTACAGGTTAGTTAATTGTATCAATGATAATTTCTTACATTGAGGATAAGATGTTAACTTTTGAGGAAGCTGTGAGGGAAGGACAAATGGAAACTCATACTATTTTTAAAAATGTTTTGGGTCTTAAATTATTTTAAAATTTAAAACTTTTTTTAATGTTTTTGGAGCTTCTAGATAGCTGCACATGTGGAGGCTTCTAGAGGGTAGTGCTCCCACAAAGGTCATGGAAGCTCCTCACCCCTTTCCCCATACCTCTATGCATCTCTTCATCTGTATCCTTTGTAATATTCTTCATAACACATTGGTAAAATTTATTTGGCTTTAAATGCTTCAGAGTGGAAGGGCATATTTGGGTCGATGCAGGGCACACAACTCACTATTGAACAATTGCAGATGGCTATATGTGATCCAGGCACATAGGAGTGTTCCTGAGGGAACAGTCAGCCTAGTGAACTAGATAAAAGCCACTGTAAGTACTGACTATAAAACTGAGGAGCTGCTGGGTTCTGTCAACACTTGCACAGTGCCCTATAAACAGCTCTCAACTAACCACCCAACAACTGCTGAGTTTGTGGATGACAGCTCCAAGATTCCAAGGTGAGTGGGCAACCTCCTGTTTGGAAGGCTGCTCCTCTGATCAAAAAAGTCGTTCTAGGACCAGAGCTGTAACTACAAGTACTGGAAGCAGGGATGATTTCTAAACAAGAAACTGTAAATACGTTTTTAAGCCTCATATCAGAATTGCTAAGGGCCTGATGGGAGTGGGTTGTGCAAAATTGGGGTTAACAGTGAATGCAGCTATACTGCCTGGTGGTAAAAATGGTGCAATAATTTGGCACCTACATAAACTTAGCCTATCTGAATGGAAATGGACTAAGGAGAAGGTAATTACCAGTAGTGATGCCTACAATCTAGACCAGCACAGTGTTGACTCTAATGTCCTTTGCAACGCTTATTAATGAAGTGAAGAAAGAAGAGCAGCTGAGAATAAAGGAATAAATGGGTTATGAATTCAGATAAATCTAGTATCACATTACATTAACACCTTGAAAAAGGCTCAGAGCAAGAGATGACATTGTCTCTTAGTTCAATTATACCAGGTGTCTTACAGGGTGAAGCCAAGACCACTGCTGCTTTTAGAACCTGATAAGATCAATGAAAATCCTGCAAACTTGAGTGGCCTCACCCTGGGATACAAATTCATACAATATGATAATGGACTGAACTAATTATTAATAATTGAATAAGATTCTAGTAATGTGGCAGTGTCTTTTGAGTTGTACGTCTTTTTAAGTAAGGAATTACACATCGGAGGTAGACTGTGATATCATGAATTATGTATTTGGCCCTTGACCTCATTTCCTGGCATACAACTATTAAAATCCTTAGAAACTCCAGAGTGATGTCTTTGTATCCTAATGAGATGACTGGTGGCTGGAAGCCCCTGGGCAGCTTCAGAATTGGGGGCTGGTCACAGAAAAGACTAAGACAGGGTTAAAGGGTTAGGACTTTCCCACCCTGCAACCTCCAGGAAGAGGAGAGGTGCTGAAGGTTAAGTTGATCACCAATGATCAATGGTTTAATCAATCATGCCTATGTAGTGAAGCCTCTGTTAAAACTCCCAAAGGACAGGGTTTGGGGAGCTTTTGAATAGCTGCAAACCTGGCAAACTAGGAGGTTCCTGGAAGGTGGTGTGCCTTGGTAGGGTATTGAAGCTCTGCTCCCCTCCTCTCCTATACCTTGCCCTATGCATCGCTTCTGTATCCTTTGGAACATCCTTTATAACAAACCAGTAAACATAAGTAAATGTTTCCCTGAGCTCTGTGGGGAAAAACAAAGGCTTTTTTCCCCATTTTATTTTGTTTGGTTTTTTTGAGACAGAGACACCCAGGCTGGAGTGCAGTGGTGTGACCATGGCTCACTGCAGCCTCAACCTCCAGGGCTCAAGTGATCCTCCCACCTCAGCCTCCTGAGTAGCTAGAATCACAGGTGCGTGCCACCATGCCTGACTAATTTTTTGGGTTTTTTTTGTAGAGATGGGGGTCTCACTATATTACCCAGGCTGGCCTTCTACTCCTGGGCTCAAGTGATCCTCCTGCCTCGGCCTCCCAAAATGCTGGGATTGCAGGTGTAAGCCTCTGCACTCAGCCTAAAAAATGTTTTTAATGGACATGGAGATGTACCACCCCATCCATCTTCAAGGAGGTCCTTTTGCCTAAGTGCTAGGAGTGTTATCAGTAGACAGAGTTCAGCTGTCAGAATCCTCAGGGATGTCCTCAGTTACACACATCTGCCTCATCTAAGGTCATGCCCTTCCTGGGGCATCCTGCATTTAATGGCAGATCAAGACAAAGGTATGAAGTTCCAGCCATGTTGGCTCAATGTGGAACAACTCTAAAGGTTCATTTTGGCTTCTAAGCTCCTGGTGGGGTTAGCAAGGCTATAGTAGGAACTGCATCATAGTTGGACTTTTCCCTCTGCCTACTTCCTTCCCCTTTTCTTCAACTGGTGGTAATCCCAAGGGTACACCCTAATAAACATCTTTTTCAATAAACTCCATCTCGTAGCCTGCTTCCCAGGGAATTATGTAACTATTGGTAATGGGAGTTGTCTTAGAAAGCAGGCAATAAGATGGGGGTTTCAAGCTGAATCATTTCTCAGCTGGCAAATAAGGGCCCTATAACTAGTAGTAGGTGGAACACAGCTCCTGCCACAAGGTGGCAGTCCAGTTGTTAAAATTTTCACTGGTGGTGAACTGGGATAGTGAATTCCGCTAGTGGAAGAGAATGCATTAACTGTTTCGATCTACAGGGCATTTGAGAAACAGTCAGCAAAAAGTAGCCATATGGACAATGGGAATGTGTGTCTATGGCCAAATTCAATTGACTTGAGAGTAATTAACAGAAATTGAAAGCCAGACATAAAAGCCAGCATGATTCCTAGGTGGAGTAAAAAGAGGCTTCTATTTCCTACAGAAGGAGGGCAGAGAAAGCTGAGGACAAGGCCAGGATATATAACTGTCAGATTAGCTAAGTTCCTGATAAGGTTAACTCCTAGACAAGTCTACTGTGCCAGACTGAGGGCTCCATTTGGGAAAAGATGGTATCCTGAGTCATAAGATGAGAATATAGGGATCAATATCCCCTGCATCTTTAATTTCAAGATTTTCCTTGACCCTGTGAGCCTGCAGAAGTGGTCCACTCCTCCTTATTAAAAGATAGCCCTTTCCTCAAAGATATGCAGAGGCTTCTTCCCTATAAGACAATATATATTACCCTCAAAATCTGCCTCTACCTCCCCTTTCGGCCACTAAACTCACGTAGAGTTAGCTCACAGCATAACCCTGTAGATATGCTAAGCCTAATGAGGGAGTAAAAGAGCTCTACCCTAAAAGAGCTACAAGTCCTAGATAGCATATACCAGCAGGAGCCAGGGGAATGCTCCTGGTACTGGATTCTGAGGTTGCTCAATTAAGGCAGTTGGAGCATAAGATTAGATAAGAGTTTATTGATTTGGGAGACATAGGAATTAACACTCTGACAAGCATTTATATGGAATAAACACTATTAGTATGACTTCTAGAAGCATCAAAAAGTGATGGCACACACTAAGTTAAATCAAAATAACCAGAATTCTCATGGCAGACAGTAGAGGAAGAGATTAGAAAGCCTAGGAAAATTTACATTCTTAAGTTTGGGGTCTTAGAGAAACAGAACCTACGATAGGGGGAAGTGTGTAGAGGGGGTGGCTGTGCGATTTATTATGAAAATCAGCTCACACAACTATGGAGACTGAGAAGTCTCACTACCTGCTGACTGCAAACTTCAGGGCCAGGGAAGTCAGTGACATAAGTCCCAGAGTCCCAGGGCCCAAGAACTAGTAGCCCCATTATCCAAAGGTGGGAGAAGATGGATGTCCCAGCTAAAAAAGAGAAGGAGAGAATTCGCTCCCCCTTAGCCTGTTTGTCTTATGCAGGGCTTCAAGAGATTGGATGATGCCTGCCCGCACTGGTGAAGATGGATCTTGTTTACTCGGTCTACTGATTCAGATGCTGATCTCTTCTACAAATGCCCTCAAACACACTCAGAAATAATGTTTTACCAGCTATCTGGAAATCCCTTAGCCCAGTCAAGTTAACACATAAAATTAGCCATCACAACTATGTAAGGCCAGAAAATCCACTAGATAATTATGACCCATGAGAAGTCCTAGAGTTTACACCATTTACCAAAGCAATAAGTAAGGCACCAAGGAGAATGGCACAAACATCATTAAGAAATCCAGTGAGGCCGGGTGTGGTGGCTCACGCCTGTAATTCCAGCACTTTGGGAGGCCGAGGTGGGCGGATCACGAGGTCAGGAGATTGAGACCATCCTGGCTAACATGGTGAAACCCCGTCTCTACTAAAAATACAAAAAATTAGCTGGGTGTGGTGGCAGGCACCTGTAGTCCCAGCTATTCGGGAGGCTGAGGCAGGAGAATGGCATGAACCCAGGAGGCAGAGCTTGCAGTAAGCCGAGATCGCACCACTGCACTCCAGCCTGGGCGACAGAGCGAACTCCGTCTCAAAAAAAAAAAAAAGAAAGAGAAGAAAGAAAGAAAGAAAAGAAAGAAGGAAAGAAAGAAAGAAAGAAAGGAAGGAAGGAAGGAAGGAAGGAAGGGAAGGGAAGGGAAGGGAAGGAAGGAAGGAAGGAAGGAAGGAAGGAAAGAAAGAAAGAAAGAAAGAAAGAAAGAAAGAAAGAAAGAAAGAAAGAGAAAGAAAGAAAGGAAAGGAAGGAAGGAAAGAAAGAAAAAGAAAGAAAGAAAGAAAGAAAGAAAGAAAGAAAGAAAGAAAGAAAGAAAGAAAGAAATTAATTCAGTGATGGCTACTCTCTGTGGATCATGACTGACAATAGGAGACACCATTATAGAACCAGGCTTACTGATAGCCATGGGAATGACAGTAGTATGAAAAAAAAATAAAGGTCAGGTAGCAGCATTTAACTATCAAAATTTAGTGGGATGCAACTGAGTGGCAAATGTGAGGTGGTAGCCAAGGGTTCTTGATCCATAGAGAGCTGTGGAGATAGTAGAACATGGCTTCCCTTACAGGCATGATAGATGGACAGCTGATAAGGCTATTATTCACCTTAAACTGTCAGAAGGGATAAAGGATGGATGATTCATTGGTTAAGGGCAGCTGTTCCAATAAAAGCCACAATCTCTTGCCCAATTTCTTGATCTCAGCCAGTTTCAGAACAGAACCCTTTGATTGGCCGGGCACAGTGGCTCACGCCTGTAATCCCAGCACTTTGGGAGGCCAAGGTGGGCGGATCACCTGAGGTCAGGAGTTCGAGACCAGCCTGACCAACATGGAGAAACCCCGTCTCTACTAAAAATACAAAAAAAATTAGCCAGGCATGGTGGCGCATGCCTGTAATCCCAGCTACTCTGGAGGCTGAGGCAGGAGAATCGTTTGAACCTGGGAGGCAGAGGTTGCGGTGTCAGCCTGGGCAACAAGAGCAAAAAACTCCATCTCAGAACCCTTTGATTGAAGAGGAGACTGGGCTGCTAGGACAAAGGACTGTACAACATATGGCAAGGGTACACTGTAATGATTCCCCCTGTCCTCCCCCAAATGTACCTACAGCCATTTACTTGTAAAACTGTTCACAGGCTGGGCGCAGTGGCTCACACCTGTAATCCCAGCCCTTTGGGAGGCCGAGGTGGGTGGATCATGAGGTCAGGAGATCGAGACCATCCTGGCTAATGCGGTGAAACCCCATCTCTACTAAAAATACAAAAAAAAAAAAACAAAAAAAAAAACTGTTCACAGGGAAAAGTAGTATATCCAAACACCTCAAGGACTGTTAGACACAGGGCCAAACTGACAATAAGATAGAGATCCAAAGTGTCATGGGCCCATTTAGAATGGAGCCATCTATGGATAAGGTAATAAATGAATTCCTCATCAAAGTGCAGTTCATAGTGGACCTACTGGGTCTACAGACCCGCACAGTAGTCATTTTCCTCATCTCCAAATATATAATTGGGGTAAACATTCTTAAGACACAACCTCGCATTGGTCCTTGCTGTATTGTAAGAACTATCATAACAGGGAATTCTCCCAATCCTGGAAAGATAGTATATCAAAACTGATATTATATCCTGAGGCATGGCAAAAATTAATGCCATCTTTAGGTATCTAATGGATATAGTCTCCATTGTGTCATCACTTAATTCATTGGTCTGTTTCCTCCAAAAACCAGATAAATCCTGTAGGATGACAATAAACTACCACAAACTTAACTAAGTAGTATCTCCAATAGCAACCTTCATATCAGATGTATCTTTGCTTGCTATGTGGTATGTAGCCATTGATTTGGCAAATGAATTCTTTTCCTATAAGAGGATCAAAATCAATTCACATTCACATGAAAAGGACAATAGTACACAATTACAATCTTGCTCCAGGCCTATGTTATTTCTTCTGCCCTCTATCAAGTGCAGTCCAAAGAGATCTGGATTATTTGAGTATTCTAAAGATTTTCACAATGATCTATCAATGACATCATGCCAATTTGGCTGGGTAAGCAAAAATGGTTAGCATAGTGGAGGTCTTGATATCACACATGAACTTTAGAGGTTGGGAGACATGTCCTATGAATTTTCAGGTGCATTTCAAGTCAGTAACATTTTTAGGGGTCTAGTGGCCAAGAGTATCCCGTCCAAGGTAAAAGATAAATTATTGCATTTTGCACTTCAGCCACAAAAAGTAGAAACAACACGTGGTAGAATTGTGCCACACCTGGGAATACTGCCTCTGTCTGTAGACTAAATGATACAAAAGGCTGCCTGCTTTGGGTGTATCCCATGAAGGAAGGGGCGCTGCAGCAGGTCCAGGTTGCAATCCAAGTGTCCTTACCCTTCGAGGACCAGGAGGATTGCATTAAAGCTACAAGTAGTGAGAAAAAATGCTATATGGGATTTATGGCAAGTCAGAGAAGAAGACCTACAATTCAGGTCCTGATGTACTAGAGCAAGGCCATATCACAGGCAAGAGAGAATTACTCACCTTAAAAACAAACTGATAAGGTTTGGATATTTGTCCTACCCAAATCTCATGTTGAAATGTAATCCCCAGGATTGGAGATGGGGCCTGGTGGGAGGTGTTTGGATCATGGAAGCAGATCCCTTTTGGCTTGGTGCTTTCCTTGTGATAATTAGTGAGTTCTTGTGAGATCTGGTTGTTTAAAAGTGTGTGGCACCTCCCCTACTCTCTTTCTCTTGCTCACACTCTGGCCATGTGGTGTGCCTGCTCCCACTTCACCTTCTGCCATGAGTAAAAGCTTCCTGAGGCCTCCTCAGAAGTGAGCAGATCCCAGCACCATGCTTCCTGTATGGCCTGCAGAACCATGAGTCAATTAATCCTCTTTTCTTTATAAATTACCCAGTCTCAGATATTTCTTTATAGCAATGTAAGAAAGGCCTAACACACAAGCAAAAAAACTAGTATGCTATTTGGCCTAGTACAGACTAAATACCTGATCAGGGGATACCAAGTTACTATGTAAATGGAACTACCTATCATGATCGGGGTTCTGTCAGACCTGTCAAGTCATAAGGTTGAATGGATCCAGCAACAATCTAATGTAAAGATGGAAATGGTAACTATGGGATTGAATATAAGAAGAAACAGCATAAGCAAGCTGTATAGCTGTATTGAGTAGGTAGCATGGACACCCACCTCATCCACCCCTGTGGCACAGGAACCCCTCCCTCAGCTCCCACCTGTGGCCATAAGGAGGAACCCTTACAACTGACTGACAGGGAAATTCATGAATAGGTCAGTTTGGTATGTGGGTGCAAACTGCACATTAGTGTCAGCTGCACTATTGCCTCACTTAGGGGTTGCCTGGAAATTTGGTGATAAGGGAAAATCCTCCTTAAAGCTGGACAGAGCTTCCAGTGGTGCACTTGGACATCCACTTTGTGTAGTTAGAAAAGCAGCCTAAGGCTGGAATATAAGTAGATTTATGTTTAGTGGCAAATGATCTGGTTGCCTGGTAAGAGTCCTGAAAGCTTAGAAGATTGGGTATAAAGAGTTCTGGGTCAGAATCATGTTGATGGGCATAGGGGAGTGAATACAAAAGTGTGATGACATTGTGTGACAAGTCAATGGTCATCAGTGGGCATCCTACCATGGAAGAGGCACTAAACAATGAAGTAAACAAGATGACTTATCCCATTGACATAAGACAGCCTCTCTCATCAGCCAGACCACTGCTGCAGTGATGAGCACTTGAACAGAGGCCACAGAGGCAAAGATGAAGGCTATGCATGTGCCTCACTTACCAATTCTGATCTAGCTGCTTCCTGTGTTGTAAGCGGGAGTGTAAGTCCCTATTGTGGGGTATTTAAGGACCACTCCAATGTGACTGTGGAAATTATACTGGGAAAGGCACATGAAATTAACATATTTATCATACACACAGGTGTCCTAGAGAGGGAAATGCAGCACGCCACGCGGGGGGCCCACAGGAAAGCCAAGGGAACACATTCAACAAGCAGGTGGGGAACCAAGAGAGTGAACCCTGGGCAAATGCCTTTATTGGCAGTCAGAGTGGAGTGCACAGGCAAAAGGTGTGAGGGGATTTCATTGGTGTGTTTGACTGGAGTTATATCACAGTAGTCAGGGGAGGGCAAGAAGGGGAACTTGTGGCAGGGACCAACCTTGTTATACTTTTGCACCTAGTCACCTGGGCAGGGTGTTCACTGCCTGTTTGTGAGGATATTGGGCATCAGAACAACATGAAGTCTTAAAAATTTACTTAATAAACTTGCACAGCCAAATCTTCAACCTGCCAGCAATAGAGATCAGCGAGTGACCCAGTTACCATTGTTCCCAATGACCTACTTAGGGAATTTGTGATTCCCATTTCTGCAACTCTGCTCTGCAGGGTTAGAAGTCCCAGTCCCTGAAGGGAAACATTTCTAACAGGGGACACAGCAAGAATCTCAATATATTTTAAGCCAAATCGGTGACCTCAATTCTTTGAGTTCCATGTGCTCAGGGTTCAGCAGGCAAGAAAAGAAGTCACCATCGCAGCAGGGGTACCTGACACTGATCATCAGATAGAAATAGGTCTGCTGTTACACAGTAGGAGCTAGGAAAATTATGTTTGGCACATAGGTGACCCACTTGGGTGCCTCCTGGTACACCCCTGCCCAATTATTTGGTAAGTGAATAAATACAACAATCCCAGATAAGAAGGGAATGGTGACCAGGGCTCAGGTCTCTCAGGGATGAAGGCGTGGATTACACCACCAAATAAGCCACTCTGACCAGCAGACCAGCTAGTGGAGGATGAGGGAAAACTCAAATGGATAGTAGAGAAGACAGATTATGATTATCAGTTGTAACCTGAGACCAGCTTCAGTGGTGGGAACTGCAGTTCATCCCATTAAACTTTCTTGTCTAAGTTTCCTCCAGGAGGAGGCCCACTAGAATCAGAAGGAGCTGCTCTCTGAACATATATGAAGATATGAAAAGGATCTGAACAGCACAGAGGGTGGACTGTAAGAACATGGAGATGTACCACTCAGATTCCCCTTCCATGAAAGACCTGTTTTCAAGAGTGCTGCTGGGAGTGCCAGGAGTGCTGTCAGTAGGCACCCTTCAGCTGTCAATCCTTTGTGGGATCATCTCAGATCACACTTTTCCCAGGGTGGGCCACATCCAATGGCTAATAGAGATGGGACTATAAAGACCTGGCCTTGGCTAGGCGTGATGGCTCACACCTGTAATCCCAGCACTTTGGGAGCATGAGGTGGGAGGATCACTTGAGCCCAGGAGTTCACACCAGCCTGGGCAACATGGCAAGACCCTGTTTCTACAAAACATCTTTTTAAAAATAGGCTGAGCATGGTGGTGTGAGCCTGTGGTCCTAGCTACTCAGGAGGCTAAGGTGGGAGGATCACTTGAGCCCAGGAGGTTGAGGCTGCAGTGAGCCGTAATCACGCTACTGGATTCCAGCCTGGGCAACAAAGCAAGCCCCTCTCCCCTACCACCCCACCCCCCAAAAAAACACACACACACAAAATAACCTGGCCTTTTTAGCTGAATGCAGCACAACTCTAATGGGCCATTTTAGCTCCAGAGCTCCCACTGCTCTTTCTGTTGAATCCTGCCTCTGTCACCTCCATCCTACAGATGCTAAATCCCCACAGAACTCCCTAGAAACCACCCTACACACTAATTCCATCTCAGAGTCTGCTTCCCAGAGATCCCAACCCTGTAACAATGTTCCTGACTTACTATTGAACTATGGTAGAGATTGAACATCTGACTATGGGACACTAAGTGAACATCCGATCCAAGCTGCCTATAGTGTACTAGATGTTACCTAATTTATCAAAACCCGGGCATAAGTAGCAGCACTCTATCTTTTTTCTTTTTTGAGATGGGGTCTTGCTATGTTGCCCAGGCTGGTCTTGAACTCCTTGAACGCAAGCCATTCTCCCATCTCAGCATCCCAAGTAACTGGGAATATAGGTGTGTGCTATGACGCCAGGCAGCACTCTATATTCAAGTGGAAGTGGTAACGCTAGATCATATATGAGCAGGTCTGGAATGCACAAGTACATTTCATGAGTAGGTAGTTTATACTAGCAAAGCACCTACTGCTGCTGCATTACTAGTATAAAGACAGGTCTCTTTCAACCTACATCTATGGCCTCATTAGGACTTTTTGGTGGTTAGATACTACAGAAAGAAAAATTTGAGCCCGATTTAGAAATACTGTCATGCAAAAATCTGGCACAAGCCAGAAAGAGACTTCTAGAGTATAACATCCCACAAGACTGGCTCAGGAAGAGGGAAGAGTTCCTCCTGAAAGGAAATATATCTGTTCATTTTTCCTGAAATATATCTGTTCAACTTTACTAAAAGGACAGTTGGCAAGAAGTATGGGTTTGCATTTGTATCAGTTTGCTAGGGTTGCCTTAACAAAGTACCACAAAAGGAGTAACTTAGACAGAAATGTATTGTCTCACTGTCCCAGAGATTATAAATCCAAACTCAAGGTGTCAGCATGGTTGGTTCCTTCTGAGGGCTGTGAGGAAGAATGTGTTAGGCCTCTCAACTTGGCTTGCAGACAGCTGTCTTCTCCCTGTGTTTCTTTATATTTATTTATTTATTTAGAGACCGGGTGTCATTCTGTCACCCAAGCTGGAATGTAGTGGCACAATCTTGGCTCACTACAGCCTTGACCTGCTGAGATCAAGTGATCCTCCCACCTCAGCCTCCTGAATAGCTGGGACCACAGGTGCGCACCACCATGCCAGGCTAATTTTTTTTTTTTTGAAGTTTTACCATGTTTCCCTGGCTGGTCTAGAACTCCTGAGCTCAAGGGATCCACCTGCCTCGGCTTCCCAAAGTGCTGGGATTACAGGTGTGAGCCACTGTGCCCAGCCTCTTGTCTCTTTATATGATCTTTCCTGTATACATATCTGTCTCTGTGTCCAAATTGTCCCTTTTTATAAGGACACCAGTTTTAATGAATTAGGGCCCACCCTAATTATCTCAATAATAATCTTAACTTGATTACTTTTGTTAAGATCCTATTCCCAAATAATATCATATTCTGAGGTACTGGGGGTTAGGACTCCAGGATTTCTTCTTTGGGGAAGACACAATTCAACCAATAACATCATGTATTCATGAGCAGTGGCTAATGCTTTGGCCTCCTGGTCACGGAATTAAAAGGAATAAGATTAGACTATTGGTTATAAGAAAGCCTGGATACAGGATGTGTTTATGGAACTCTATCAAAAGGAACACAGAGTATGTGGATATATGTGCCTCATATGAATGCCTACTAAATGTTCCACATTGCAGTTGTAGATTTTAATACTGAGGTAGAAAAGAAGGTTCACTACATGGATTTTTATTTAGCAAAACACTTACATAGTGCTTACTATGTGCCAGGCATAGTTCTTAGTACTCGAAAAAAATTAACTCATTTAATCCATAAAATATCAGATAACCCTTTCCTAAGCCACAACAGTATTTGTTCAATGGGCCATCAGCAAAGTGGCCATAGCATTATGCATAGGTTCAACAAAATGATCATCTCTTTATCAAGGCTGATGTGGTTACCACCACTGCTGCATGCCAATCTGTTATCATCAAAGAAAAATGCCAAAGTCTAGACCCTCATGAGATAGCCAGCCACTGAACTTATGGACAAGACAGGGATTTGACCTTACTGGCATAGACACGTTTTCTAGATATGGATATGCCTTCCTGCCCTCAGTGCTTCTGCCAGCACCACCTCCATGAAATTAGTTCCATCCATGTTGCTGCGAATGAGAGAATTTTGTTCTTTTTTATGGCTGAATGGTATTCTATTGTGTATATATACACCACATTTTCCTTATCCATTTATCCATTGATGGATACTTAGGTTGATTCTGTATTTTGGCTATTGTAAATAGTGCTGCAGTAAACATGGAGTGCAGGTATCTCTTCTTTATATTTATTTTCTTTCTTTTGGATATATACCCAGTAGTGAAATTGCTGGATAATATGGTAGTTCTATGTTTAGTTTTTTGAGGAACCTCCATACTGTTTTCCAGAGTGGCTGTGCTAATTTACATTCCAACCAGTAATGTATGAATTTTCCCCTTTCTCCACATCCTTGCCAGAATCTGTTATTCCCTGAAATCCTTGCCTTTCAATACAAATTTATACATATTATAATATGTTGTAGTTTAAAATGGCAAACAAAGGCCCAACATAAATAACAAACAAATTTTTTAATTGTCTGAATTTTCATTTCTATTTCTTCTGCTATGTATTGATCAGACTCCTAATTTCTTTCCAGAGGAGTATGATTACATAAAAAAAAAGTTCTTTGGAGACAGATTTGGCCACTTTTTTCCTTTAAGAATCTTGACCTGTAGTATCTTAGATTACTTAATAAGTCCCTAGGACTCATTAATCAACATTTCTACAAGCATGTTCTTATTTCTTCAGACTGATTAAAATAAGAATTTCATTAGGATTGGAGAATTTACTGCCTCAAGGATACATCTAAGATGTAAATTATGGGTAATGAATTCATTTTCATTAAGAGTCTATAGTCCTCATATGCACATTAAATACCCTAATATTCAAGGCATTGCCTAGCTTCCATACTTTAATTCAAACAAGAATTATTTATATTTTCCAGCCTGGGTTCACCCTGAGTGAATTTGGGCTCAGTTGGCCGGTGCTTTCCCTTTACTGAGTCTTTATACTTAAGAACTAGGTGCTCTTGCTGGCTTGCAGGTGCCTCCTTGAATAGAAATTCAGAATTTCTGCCTAAACCAATACACATATCTGAGACTGTTTCTTCAAAGGCTTTACACAGAAATTATCTAGACTTCACTACAAACAAGTTGATAGAATATTTATTCTTAAGTCCAGACATTCTATCCATTTCTTTTCTTCCTTTTCTTTTCTAAGAGTGAGTTTATTTTACCTCTTAGCAAAAGGCTGAGTGGCATAATTCTAACCCAGAGGTGGAAAAATAGGCAGCTCTTCAATGGAAGTCCCCAAAAGAGATTTCAAAAAGCCTCTTGCCTCGGTGTTTGATTTCAAGAAAATCAGTGTGGGAAGTCTGTCTTATAATTTCTGGAGTAGAATCAATCTTAAGTCACAGAAACAATAATTGACAAAGGAACCAGTCCTTAAGTTATCTCTTCATTTAGATATGGTAGAGGCCTTCTATTGGACAATACTCCAATAATTCTTGGGACAAGTCTGAAAAAAAAAAGTTTCTCAACCTCAAAACAAAATAGATTTTTAATAAAGAAACAGGTCAGATAAAAAAGTAGAACTGTGGGGCCAGGTGTCATGGCTCACACTTGTAATCCCACACTTTGGGAGACTGAGGTGGGTGGATTCCTTGAGGCCAGGAGTTAGAGACCAACCTGGGCAGCATAGTGAGACCTTATCTCTACAAAAAAATTTAAAAATTAGCTGAGTGTCAGGCCGGGCACGGTGGCTCACGCCTGTAATCCCAGCACTTTGAGAGGCCAAGGCGGGCAGATCACAAGGTCAGGAGATCGAGACTATCCTGGTTAACACAGTGAAACCCTGTCTCTACTAAAAGTATAAAAATTAGCTGGGCGTGGTGGCGGGTGCCTGTAGTCCCAGCTACTCGGGAGGCTGAGGCAGGAGAATTGCTTGAACCCAGGAGGCAGAGGTTGCAGTGAGCCGAGATTGTGCCACTGCACTCCAGCCTGGGCACCTGACAGAGCGAGACTCCGTCTCAAAAAAAAAAAAAAAATTAATTAATTTAAAAAAAAAAATTAGCTGAGTGTGGTGGCACATGCCTGTAGTCCCACCTACTCCGGTGTCTGAGGCAGGATAATCACTTGAGCCCAGGAGTTCAAAAAAAGGTAGAACTGTGATAATTTTTATGAGTGTTCAAAACTTATGGTGATCTCATATAAGCATATAAAGCATGTGGCTAAATATTCTGCAGAAGTCCCTGCTCCTCCATCTTCTAAAATGGTATACAAAAAGACACTCCCACTGTAAACTGGGTTCCCAAAGGAAGGGTGACCCAGAGAACGAGGGTGGACCTACTTTTGCATGGAATTTCCACATGAGTTCAAAACACCGGGATCTTCTAGAGAACTTCAAGTTTTGAATTTGGTTTACAAAAGTCCTCAATCAGTGCTCCCATATATTTGGAAGCTGCAAATGCAGATCCTCTCCAGAGAAGGTACCTTCACCACCTTCACCACAGGTCTCAAATTATTTTGCAAATACAACTATAACACAAAAAGAGTCAGGGAAACACTAGTGAGAAGCAGCTAAAAGAATATGCAAAAGAAACAGACCAACAAAAATTGGAATTATTAGACACAGACTACAAAACAACAGTTTTTTTACCTTTTTATATTGTAAAATATGACAGACATATAGAAAAATAACCAAAAATGTCCAGCTCAATAATTTTTCACAAAACAAGCAGTCATGTAACCACCACTACATCAAAAAATAAAACCCTGGGCTGGGCTTGGTGGCTCATGCCTGTAATCCCAGCACTTTGGGAGGCTGAGGTGGGAGGATCACTTGAGGTCAGGAGTTCAAGATGAGCCTGGCCAACATGGTGAAACCCCGTCTCTACTAAAAATACAAAAATTAGCCGGGAGTGGTGGCAGGAGGCTGAGGCAGGAGAACTGATTGAACCCTGGAGACAGAGGTTGCAGTGAGCCAAGATCGCACCACTGCACTCCAGCCTGGGCAACAAAGTCAGACTCCATCTCAAAAAAATAAAAAATAAAAAAATAAAACATTGCCAATGTTTTAGCCACTCTCATGGTTCTTCTGAATTGCTACTTCCTCTCTCCTGCTCAGATAATCACCCTTCATGATAATCACTTCATTGTCTTTATTAACTTTTACCAGCTAAGTATTAGTTTTGCATATTTTTAAAACTTTCTATAAGTGGAATAATAATTATGTGTTCTTTTGTGCCTGGCTTCTTTCATTAAACATTGTATTTGTGAGATTTATCCATGTTGCTGTGTGTAACTCAACTTTGTTCTCTTTCTCTGCTGCATAAAAATAACAAATTATTTTAAATTGAATTTAAATTTATATTTAAGTTTATATTCTAAAATTAAAGGATATGAGGATTGTTTCCAGTTTTTAGCTGTTATGAATAATGCTGTCATGAGTATTTGCTATTCCTGCATTTTTACATTTCTATATTAATTTTAGAATCATCTTGTCAAGTTCTAAAAAAGAAATAAGGACTTTGAATGAGACTGAATATATATATGAATTCTATATATTGTCTATATATGAATATATATGAATTCTTTTCAAATTTATATATAACATATATATTATGTTATACACTACACCTCAAATTTATATATATCCAACTGAGAGATATAAAAATCAGTTTGGAGAGAAATTATAGCCTTATACTATTGAGTCCTGCTTTTGGTAAGGGCCTCAGGCTTCTTCCACTCATGGTGAAAGGTGAAGGGGAGCCATTGTGTGCAGAGATCACACGATGAGAAAGGAGGCAAGAGGGCCAGGGACTTCTTTTAACAACCAGCTCTCTCCAAAATGAGTAGAGTAAGAACTCCCTCCCTCCCTCAAGGGAGGACACTAATCTGTTTATGAGAGATCCACCCCATGCTCCAAACACCTCCCAGTAGGTCCCCCCTCCAACACTGGGGATCAAATTTCAATATGAGATTTTCAGAGGACAAACATCCAAACTATACCACAGTTCCTCACACTGTTTTTAGATCTAAGTCAGATCACCACACCAGACCCCATTGTTTGAAGAGGAAGCTGACTCCTTTTGAGGAAGGAAAATGCCCCTGCAACTATAGACTCCTGATGGTCCCTTCTGTCCTTTCTATCAGATATCTGCAGCCATATGCCTGGGTAACCACACTTGGGAAAGTGGATTATCCAGACTTCTCAATGAAGGCTACATATAGTTCTTGAGCTGCCTCTAATCCAAGGTGTCCTAAAACACCATCACGGTCCTCCAGTTACAGTGGAGGCTTATAGATATCAAGAGATGCATGGAATTTGGGCCCAAATTTATCTCTCAGTGGGTCCAAAGGATCAACAGACCTACCAAGTGGTTATTTCTCAGGCCTGTAAGTGTATAATTGGAGCAGATATTAGCTAGAAAAAGCTAGTGCAGCCAGGCGCGGTGGCTCACACCTGTAATTCCAGCACTTTGGGAGGCCGAGGAGGGTGGATCACCTAAGGTCAGGAGTTCGAGACCAGCCTGACCAACATGGAGAAACCCCGTCTCTACTAAAAATACGAAATTAACCAGGCATGGTGGTGCATGCCTGTAATCCCAGCTGAGGCAGGAGAATCGCTTGAACCCCGGAGGCGGAGGTTGCAGTGAGCCGAGATCACAACATTGCACTCCAGGCTAGGCAACAAGAGCGAAACTCTATCTCAAAAAACAAAAACAAAAAACAAACAAACAAACAAAAAAACACTAGTGCAGAAAAGAGCCAACACAGTAGGTCTAATACTGTGATCCTTAGAAAGCTCTTCTTGTAAGGTTGGCTTTTGGCTGGCATCTGGGAACTGGGACTTTGAGAGTGTTCTCACCATCCCTTCTTACTGACTTTTTGGAATCCTGAATTCACATATCTTAATTGCCTGGACCTGACTCTAAGCTAAAATCTGACTATCTTCTGATGGACCATTTCAGTCTCAGAATGAGCTGTGCTAAACTGAAAGCAGGCATAGTCTCAATAAACAGAACATAGATTCTGCAACTGTTGCAGATTTAAGATACCTCTTTGTGGGGCCTTAATGAAAACGTCATAAATACTGGCTGGACCATCTATGGTGGTCAGATGCCCATGGGAAAGGGGTTATTCTCTGATGGAGCCATCTAAAATTGAGGTGCTGATTGGCTCTATATTTCTGATACAGAGAGATATACAGAGACTGGTTGCATTCCTAATTGCACTTTAGGACTGGGCACATCACAGTGACTGTAACCCCTCTCCCCATTCCTGACAGATCAGACTCTGGACCTCCTCTGGAGAAAGTCCCACTGCTGTAGATTTGTGTTTAGATTTCTGGATTGGTTGCAACTTGCAACAATTGACTTACAGCCTGAATCTACTTCCTTCACCTTTTTACTGGAATATTAAGACAATTTGATTGTTAAATGCAGCTGTCCCCAAAAAGGAACTGCTCTTCTCTGGGATGGTAGGCTGGCCACTGGATAAATGATTGTGACTAAAGGGATAAGAGTCTGTGTAAACTTAATTTGAAAAATCTTAGAAAATTCAGGTCATTGTGACCAATTCCTTACCATGATGTGTCTTTCTGCTTAAGTTGTGTAAAAATGTTTTTCTGTGAAAATGCTTTTTTCCCTCTTGCTTATAACCCTTCTGGATGAAAGGCCCTAGTGAGTAGGAGATGATTGAAAATATAAAGTTATAATTGTGAATGGGACACACTGATTTTGTAACAATGGAGAAACCACACCCAGCCCCTGGGAGGCACAGGGAGAGGTTAGGGTGTTAATGATTTTTGTTTTTCAGAACTGCTCCTGGAAGCTTTACCCCCTTCTTGAAGGAGAAGTCCCCATGCTGGCTTTCCAAGCTGCTGCGAGCACTCTGAATTCAAACAGATTGCTGAGCCCATGGTCACAGGTGACTATGAGACGGCAGAGGAACACTTCCAGATGTCACCCACACTTATGAGATGGATGAAGTGATATTATGCATGAACAAAACTGTTTGGAACTGACTGCCTCAGGCAGTCGTTATGAATCTAAGGACTGACCTGTGTTATTTGGACTGCACTGAGAATCCTGGAGCAGGAGGGCCCACAGTGGAAGGTTACATTAGAGGTCTTCTTAACCTTATTGCCTGACTACTGTATGTCCTGCTTGGGGTGTCCTAACAACTGTAAACTCATTGTTTCCAGGGGTACTGTGTGTGCCCTCTGGGCTTATATTTCTTTTGTGGGTACCCTGACTATCATGACACTGTCTCAGCCCTACAAGGCATTCGGATTAACTTTAACTTACTGGTCAGAGATGTGCTGTGCCTGAGTTGATGCCTTGGGCCAGATTAAAAGAAAAAAAAAGGTTAATATAAAAACTAAAGGAGAAAGACACCTGGCTTTCTAAGATAGACCTTTATGGTTAATGGGATTTTTTGTTTTGTTTTGTTTTTTGAGACAGAGTTTCACTCTTGTTGCCCAGGCTGGAGTGCAATGGCACAATCTTGGCTCACTGCAACCTCTGCCTCCTGGGTTCAAGCAATTCTCCTGCCTCAGCCTCCCGAGTAGCCGGGATTACAGGCATGTGCCACCACACCCGGCTAATTTTTTGTATTTAGTAGAGACGGGGTTTCACCATGTTGGTCAGGCTAGTCTTGAACTCCTGACCTCAGGTGATCCACTCACCTTGGCCTCCCAAAGTGCTGGGATTACAGGCGTGAACCACTGTGCCTGTTCCCAGGATTTGTTTTAATTGGCCAAATCTAGAAGCCATGGAGGACATAACTGAGGCCAATAATGTAGGCTGATCTCACCCTGCCATGTGGGATCCTATTGATAATAATCTTTTTGTAAAAAATGCCTTGGACAATGACCAAGTGGGTAGAAGAAAAGAGTTAATATAACAGACCTGAGACTACTAAGCCGTCGAAGGCCCTGCTTACAAGGTAGGCCCTTGGCTTGCATTTGGGACTTGGATTCTGAGATTGTCTGCATCATTTCATAACTGATAAAAGTGGTTTGCTGTGCCTAAACTGTATATACAAACAACGTGGCTTATGCTGAACACCTGCTTTCCTTCGGGGAATCTGGGATTTTGCTACCTACTAGGCAGAAGAGGCCCACATGACCAGTCCCCAATAAAAACCCTGGATTCCTAGGTTTAGGCAAGCTTGCCTGGTAGATAACACTTTACACCTGTTGGTGCAATTTGATGCTGGAGGATTTAATCATATTCTGTGTGACTCCAATGGGAGAGGATTCTTGGAAGTTTATACCTAGTTTCCTCCAGACTTTATCTGATATACCTTTTCCCCTAGCTGAGTTTGCCTTGTATCCCTTTACTGTAACAAATCATAGCCACGAGTATGACTACATGCTGAGTTTTGTGAGTCTTAGAAAATTACCAAACCTGGGGTCTTGGGACCCTCTGACGCCAAACCTTTGTATTTATTCTCTGACAAATAAGAGAGTAAGACACATTATAGTGGAAACCCTGAAATGTCCCTTTCCCTAGCCAAGATAGTAAATCATAAGTAATGCTGCATCCTAGGAGGATTTTTAGAGATTAACACTACCTCCTGAGGCTTAAAGTGCACAGAGGTGATAGTCCTCATCAAATTCTCATTTAATTCATTTGTTCACCCTCTGCAAAAACTAGATAGATTGTTGTGATGACAATGGACTGCAATATACTTACTTAACCAAATGGTAGCTCCAATTGCAGCTGTCATGCCAGATGTGGTATCTTTATTGGAGTAGATCAGTATAACTTTGGCAACTTGGTAGGTGGCTATTTTTCTGGTGAACGCACTTGTCTTAAATTCCACCAGGGAATAAAATCAAAAGCAGTCATCTTCTCATGATAAGAAAACAGAACACATTCAACTATCTTATTACAAAGCTATGTTAACTCTCTTGCTTTCTTTCATAATGTACTCCACAAATATTTCAACATTGAACATTCTATAGAACATAATGCTAGATCACTGCATAGATGACATGATTCTAATTGGACCCAGTGAGTAGTGAGTAGTAAGTAACAAGGACCCTAGATGGTCTAGCATGTCAAAGAGTAAAATATTAACCCTATGAATATTCAGGTGACTGTCATATCAGTAATGATTCTAGGGTTCTTGGGCATGCAAAGAAATGCCCTCTGAGATAAAATATAAGTCATTATCACTTGCATTTCTTACCATTAAGAAAGAGGCACAGTCTCTTTGGATTTTAGAGGTAACATATACCACATCTGGAACTCAAAATGCTATCAGGTTTGAGAAGACTCTGGAGTAAGAGGTCCAGGCTATGATACTAGCCATCTGACACAAACCAGCCACTCCAGTGTTGCTAGTAATGCCCATGATGGATAACAATGCTGTGTGGAATTTCTGGCATGGCACAGTAGGAAAGCTAAAGTGCAAATCTTTCAATGGTATAGACAGTAAATCTAAATGGGGTAGATCCATGCCTTCTACAGTAGGAAATTTCTCAGTGCTTATAAATAGATACTATCATGCTCCTTAGCCCTATTAGAGACTGAGTAGATGACAATGGGACACTGTGTTAGGTTGTTCTTGCACTGCTAGAAGTATAAATAAAAGAAATACCTGAGACTGGGTAATTTATAAAGAAAAGAGGTTTAATTGGCTCATGATTCTACAGGCTATATAATCATGGTGCCAGGATCTGCTTGGTTTCTGGGGAGGCCTCAGGGAGCTTTAACTCATGGCAGAAGGTAAAGACAGATCTTGCATATCATATAGCAAGAGCAGGAGAAAGAGAGTGAAGGAAGTGCCACACACTTTAAACAACGAGATCTCACAGGAACTCACTACTGCGAGGACAGCACTAAGCCATGAAGGATCCACCCCCATGATCCAAACACCTCCCACCAGGCCCCATCTCCAACACTGGAAATTACAATTCAACAAGAGGTTTTGGTGGGGACAAATGTCCAAACTATATCAGACACCAAATGATTATGCCACCAGAGCTGCCAACAAGAACTTGGTATCATCAGATTTACTAAATTGTAAGGTTAGATAGGTATAAGAGAAACCCTTTGTATAAGAGAAATAGTAAATTCAGGATTAGCTCCAACCAAGTCCAGAAGGAATTCCATAAACACATGACCTAGACTCCTGTTTCACCAATCTCTACTGTGCCAAAGCAATTCACAATTCATACCTATATTTTCATTGGAAAATTCCCTATGACCAACTGACAGAAGAGAAAAGATATTGGTCCCAGTTTACAGGTGCTTGGTACATATGTTGGTGCAAGCCAAAAATGCTTAACTGCTAAGTTACTTAAGGGGAACCCTAAAGGACAGTGGTAAAGGAAAACCTTCTGTGTAAGCAGAGCTGTAAGAAATATACTTGGCCATTCATTTTTAATGAAAAGAGAAGTGGTCTGATGTGTGGCTATATGTAGATAGCTGAGCAGTGGCAAAGGGATTGGCTGGCTGGTCTAGCATCTGGAGGATACACAATTATTATATTAAAGACAAGAAAACTGTGGAAAATGTATATGGAAGGGTTAGGAATTGGGCCAAAAAACAGCATAAAAAATATTTGCATCTCACGTTAATGCTCACAAGATAATTCTACCATAGGAGAGGTCTTCAACAACCAGGTGAATTGGATGACTTATTCTGTAGATATCAGTCAGCCTCGTTCCTCAGCCATCCCACTACTGGGACAATAAGTTGGTAAGCAGGGAGGCCATGGGGGTAGATGGAGATTTTGTATGGGGATAGCAGCAGGGGCTCCCTCTCACTATGGCTGATCTATTACCCCTTCTGGGTTTTTTTTTTTTCCATTTCTTTTTATCTTAATTATTTGAGCTTTTCCTTTGCAGAATATTACCACTTCTGAATGCCAGCAGAAGAATGCTGAGCCTTCAGTATCATTCCTTGAGGAAACCAGCCTGCCACTTAATGGCAAGTTGATTTTATCAGACTCCCCTCACTCTGGATAGGGCAGTAATTCATCACACCTACTCAAGAAAGTGGTGTTTTTCTTTTCTCCTCTCTTCACAATTCTTCGACAGCAATATTATTCAAAGGCTTACAGAATGATGTATCAACAAGGTATCCTATAAACCCTGTCTTAGACTGAGGGACCCATTTGTGGCAAATTAAATAGATAGATATAGGACATTGGATACATGACCAAGAGATTCACGAATTTTACAATGTATGCCTTTACCTCCCACCACCATCAAACAATGAGCCAATAAATCAAGGCAAGATCTATTAAAAATCTTTACTAAGGCACTAGCTTTGGAGATCACTCTAAAAGATTCGGATGCTGTCCTCTAAAATGTAGAATAGGAGCTGAACCAACAATTCCATCCCAAGTAGCTAGAATACATGAGTCCATGAACCAAGTGGTGAAATAGGATTAACTCCTCCCACCAATGCTTCCAGTGATCTGATTGCATTTTTGCTTCCCATCCATGGAATCTCTAGGCTCTGCTGCATTTCAGTTGAATTTGAACCTGGTTACCGCCTGGTCATGTTGAGCTGTTCATACCAGTGGACAAACAAGCCAAAAAAGAGCTAATGTGATTATGGTGGTAAGTGACTTTGATTACCATGAGAAGCTTGGGTTGCTCCAACATAATTCGTTCAGTATATCATATGTCTGGAATTCAGGACATTCACTAGGGTATCTCTTGGTGTCTCCATTGCCAGTGTCAATGGTAAATGAGCAACTGCAGCAACCATGACATAGACAAGGCATTAAGCTCTTAAACTCCTCAGAGGTAAATGTCTCATCTCCAAGCAGGTCCAGAAGGAACCGTAGCTTGTTTCACTAACTCTTAAGTCTCTTCAGAAATCGTACTTGGTTATACCTTAGAGGAAAATCTTTTGTGGACTGGACTTACTCCTCTGCTGTCAGATAAGAAGTGAGGGCATACTCTCTCTTTCTCTCTCTTTCTCTCTCTCTCTTTCTGTCTCTTTCACACACACACATATGCATGCACACACGCACACACACACAAATGGAGGCCCCATATTGAATAATAGCATGGAAGCTGGATACAACGGAGAATATGAGCAGGCCCATGGTGATACAGTGGATGGACTATATCAGATACTTCTTATGCTCCATTTCAGATGGCCTCAGCCTTGCCTATCTTGTGTTCCAGACATGGCTACTGGAAGCCAGCTCCGTGTGGGCACAGACTTCATATAGGTGCAACCTTAACAGTACTTTCTCCCTCATAACTATGTCACATGTCATTTGGCTCTCACCCAAAGGCTTTCCTGTTGAAACCAATTTAACAGGATTGGAACCTTGCTCACCATGGAAACTTGCTCAGCACCCACATAGACACAATTCAGAAGTGTGGGGTAGTTCACGTCTGTGTGCTGAAACTTTGACCAGAGGGAGGTGAGGATAAAAAAATAAATGTTCCCCCATCACCACTCCTCCAACTAGCTCCCCTCAGACACAATATATATGACTTCTTGGAGAACTGGATTTAAGAAATCAGTTGCAATTAATAACAGCCAATTCAATAATGCACCCTCAAATTGGCTCTTCATCCTTTCTGGCTTCACTCTCCTGGCCCCTCATTTGTTTCCTAGGATTGCACTTCCTAATATATTAGTGGTATAAAAGCCCTTTGACATATTTTTTCTTTTTCGAGACAGGGTCTCACTCTGTCACCCAGGCTGGTGTGCAGTAGCACAATCATGACACACTGTAGCCTCTATCTCCCCAGGCTGAAACAATTCTCCTATCTCAGCCTCCCAAGTAGCTAGGACTATAGGCTAATTGTTTTTCTATTTTGTAGAGACGGGGTTTTGCCATCTTGCTCAGGCTGGTCTTGAACTCTTGGGCTCAAGCAATCCATCCGCCTCAGCCTCCCAAAGTGCTAGGATTACGGCTGAGAGCCACTGCACCTGGCCTAGCCCCTTGTCTTCTACTCTGCTTTTGGGAGGACTCAGGCTAAAATAGCTACATTTTCTGTTATAAAAGGAGACATAGAACATATATTCATATTTGCATATTTGTGCATAAAAACACTATCATGATAGCCGGGCACAGTGGCTCACACCTGCAACCCCAGCACTTTGGGTGACAGAGGCAGACAAATCTCTTGAGGCCAGGAGTTCGAGACCAGCCTGGCCAACATAACAAGACCCCATCTCTACTAAAAATACAAAAAATTATCTGAGCATGGTGGTATGGGCCTGTAATCCCAGCTACTTAGGAGGCTGAGGCAGGAGAATCGCTTGAACCTAGGAGGCAGAGGTTGCAGTGAGCCAAGTTCACACCACTGTGCTCTGGCATGGGCAACAGAGCAAGACTCTGTCTCAAAAACAAACAACAAAAACAACAACAACAACAACAAACGCTACCATGATAAAAACGAAAAAATTATTTATAGGAAATGAAGTGTAAAGGGGTAATGTGGGTGGGGTAGGAATAGGACTTCTCAGAGTAAATTTTATATAGTTGTTTGAATTGTGTAACTTATTATCTAATCAAAACGAACACATTATGCCAAGCGAAATAAGCCAAACACAAAAAGATATTGTATGATTCTATTTGTATGAAATGTCTAAAAGAGGCAAATTCAAAGGGACAGAAAGCAGATTAGAGATTACCAGGGATGGGATGAATGGGAAATGGGGAATTATTGCTTAATGGGTACCAAATTTCTGTTGGGTGGTGAAAATGTTGGGAATAGGTAGTGGTGATGGTAGCACAACACTGCGAATGTAATTAATGTCACTCAATTGTACATTTAAAAGTGATTAAAATGACAAATTTTATGTTTTATATATCTATTTTACCACAAAAACAAAAGAAGTTAGGGAAAAGTGAACTCTTGTTTTTTTGAGACAGGGTCTCACTCTGTCGCCTAGCCTGAAGTCCAATGGCATGATCTTGGCTCACTACAGCCTCGACCTCCTGAGCCCAAACAATCTTCCCACCTCAGCCTCCCAAGTAGCTGGAGCCACAGGCATGCACCACCACACTCAGCTAAATTTTAAAATTTTTTTTAGAGATGAGGTCTCCCTGTGTTGCCCAGGCTGGGTGAACTCATTTTTTAAAAAAGAACCATAAACAGCTAAGCAACACCCTGAAAAATATTCATCCTCAATAGTAGTTAAAAAATGCAAAACTAGAAAAAATTAATTTAAAAGAATGAAAGTGAAATAAAGACAATCTAAAACAAAAATGAAGAGTCTTTGTCACTAGTAGACCCACATTAAAGGAAATTCTAAAGAATTTATTTTGGGTATAAGGCAAAGGATCATAGATGGAAACCCAGAGATAATATAAAAGCCAACACGTACACAGTTTACCAGACACCAGGCACCGCATTAACTAGTCTGCATATATTAACTCATTTAATTCTCACACAGCTCTGTGAGGTAATAATCCTCATTTTACTGTTGAAGAAACCAATACACAGAGTTAGAAAACTTGACTAAGGTCACACACCTAGTACAGGACAGAGCCAGAGATATGACACCAAGTATTGAGGATTTTAAATCTGACACTGGCTAGGTAAGTAAATAAATAAAGCAGGCCATGTATGGACTAATGATGAGAGTCTATCATAATCCAATTCTGTGAATCTGAGGTCCAACAGGATTTGTTTTTAAAAAATTCTATATGTGGGCTGGGTGTGGTGGCTCACGCCTGTAATCCCAGCACTTTGGGAGGCCAAGGCAGGCAGATCACCTGAGATCGGGAGTTTGAGCCTAGCCTGACCAACACGGTGAAACCCCATCTCTACTAAAAATGCAAAAATTAGCCGGGCGTAGTGGTGGGCGCTACTTGGGAGGCTGAGGCAGGAGAATCGCTTGAACCCAGGAGGCGGAGGTTGCAGCGAGCTGAGATCGTGCCATTGCACTCCAGCCTGGGTGACAGAGTGAGACTCCATCTCAAAAATAAAAATAAATAACAATAAAATCCTATATGTGATAGAATATGAAGCACAGAAAATCACCAATGATGTATTCTTGCCAAACATGTTTAACTTCTCCCAGGCCTTTAGATCTTTTCTCCAGCATGGAAAACACAGAACCTAGGAGCCTTCCTGCCCAGCTCTACTGCAGGCACAGAACAGAATCAACCTGGAGAATCACTAGTGCTTGGACATAGAGCTAGGGTCTTATCGACTTGGATCAGCTTTGACTCCAGATGGCAAAGAGAAGAGGGGAGGCAAACAAAGAAACAGAAGCAGAAAGTAGAAAAATAAATCCCAGCTGGGCGCAGTGGCTCACGCCTGTAATCCCAGCACTTTGGGAGGCCAAGGCAGGCTGATCACGCGGTCAAGATATCGAGACCATCCTGGCCAACATGGTGAAACCCCGTCTCTACTAAAAATACAAAAATTAGCTGGGTGTGGTGGTGCGTGGCTGTAGTCCTAGCTACTTGGGAGGCTGAGGCAGGAGAATCACTTGAACCTGGGAGACGTAGGTTGCAGTGAGCCAAGATCGTGCCAATGCACTCCAGCCTGGCAATAAAGTGAGACTCCGTCTGAAAAAATAATAATAATAAATAAATCCCATAATGCATTCACCAGAAGACAGTCATGGTGCCGCAGCAGGCTGCAGACACAAGGGAAGACTAACTAACCTCCTGAGCTGCCTCTGCCTGTCTAAATGAGCATCTGAGTCCAGTACCAAGGAGTTGAAGAAGGCTTTTTTGTGGGCAACGTCGTGGAGAACCTAGATGAGAAACCCTGAGCACCGGCTAGAGGTGAGTCCACTATTTCTCCAAAGTCAGAAAAGCACACTTCTTCTAAATGCACAAAAGATCTGTTTGTAAATCAATGATTAAAGAAGATATGTAGAGAGATGCCCTAGTTCACGTCTGCTGAGAGACCAGGTTGTTGAGAAGGACCCAGTGAAACTTCTTCAGGCTGCAGTAGAAATACTCGCTATATACATAATTATCTGGCTTCCCAGTGGAAGAAATAATAATGCCCTTTCTGGGGACATTATTTTCACATGCAGAATGTGCATGATTGTTAAGAGACATCAATTATCTACAAAGCTACTTACCCACTTGTGATATTTTTTCTTCTCAACATGCAGACTAAAGCCAGCCTGAACTGATTTTGAAAAATCTACTAAGCCTCATGTAAGGAATAGAGCATCACTACTGGTGATGCTACCAACCTTGAAGAGGTTGGGGAAACAGGAAGATAGCAGTCCACCTTTTAAACATCATTAACAAGAAGTCTGTATGTAAGTGCTGGCATTAGGAGGAAGCCAAGAACAGTGTAGACAGTGGAGCTCAGAAAGCAGGCCACAGACCCTGATGATAGTTTTGTTGTAGTCTCAGCAATGCACCAAGATGTAACAGTCTCTCCTTGTCTGAGATAACACCCAGAGTTCTTTGTCCTACCTCCAAGAAGACACAAAGGTGAGGTTGGAGCGAAAGTTTAATAAGCGAAACAAGAAAGTTCTCTGTCAGCAGAGAGGCGGGCCTAAACAGGGTGCCCCGTGTGAGGCTGGGGTCCAGGGTTTTCAGGGGCTGGGAAGAGGAAGGAATGTGCTTAGTCCCTGGGCTGTCTGGAGAACATGTGACTCAGCTTGACCTGACATCAACCAGAAAGGTTTGCCCGGGACCTTGGGTTGGGAACAATCAGGGGCTGAAGTGATGATTCATAGAGCCCAGACTTACAGTCCAAAAAAGAAAGAAAAGTGCCCACCGGAACCCACTAGAGCCCACTGTGCCCCTGCCCACAAAAGGAGAAGAAACTTTTTCCTGGGAGCCTGCTGACTATACAAAGGACAAAGGCATTTCTATGCCAGGCCTTGTTCCCTTATCTGAGTGGGCCGGAGGTTTATGTACGTTTTTATTTCTATGCCAGGCCTTGTTCCCTTATCTGAGTGGGCCGGAGGTCTATGCAAGTTTTTATCCAAATGGGCCGGAGGTTTTTCTATCTGTGCAGCTGTGGGCCTGTCTCCAGGCACAACACCCTGTGCTAGTTCCTTATCAGTGCCTGCAGCTTGAATTTTTTTCCCAGGCTCCTTTTTATGTTATGTGGGGATGAGACACTGACCCATGGGCTGGGGGCTCTCCAGGGACCCTTGCCTTGCTCTCTACCTAAGGCAAGCTAACTAACTCCTTTCAGTTTCAACACTGAAATAATTTGCTTTCTAAAATGAATCTCAGGGAAGACTTCTGGCCTATTTCACATGAATAAATGAATCTCAGAGATGTCTGGCCTATTTCACATGAATCTAGAGAGATCAGAGAGCGTAGAGAATTATAGACTTTGAAAACAGGGATTTTAAAGTTAAGGAGCTGCTCAAGTTGGAAGTGCAGGCCCTGGACAGAGGGATACTTTCTGGTCTTGAGCAAAAATCTCCAGTAGTTTCAGTCACACAACAACTTCCTGGAAATAATTATCACCCTCCTTAGAGGTCTGAGCCAGAAGAAAGAGAATCTACATTTCTTCTGAGTTCAGCAAGAAGATCATGAAGAAAATGAGCAGCTTTGATACTCCATTGCCAGATATGATCCTTCTGAGATATCACATATACTTAACTACTACAGCTTAGCATCCAGTGAATGCTAGGACACAGAAAGAATTTCTAACTACGATGTCTTTCAGCAATGCAAGATGCAGACCCTTTGGCCTTGACAATAGACCAAAAGGTATAATAAACTACAGAAAAGATTTTTCAAAATTAAGGGGCAAATTATGTTATGTGGAAGTGAAGAAAATTTTAAAATAAGGCTAGGCATCAGAAAAATGATTTGATCAATTTAAATCTTAGAAACAAATACCATGGCACTAATTTAAAGAATACAAAAAGCCACAATACAAAAACACAATTAAGAGAAGGGGACAATCCCAGCACTTTGGGAGGCCGAGGTGGGTGAATCACTTGAGGTCAGGAGTTCGAGACCAGCCTGGCCAACATGGTGAAACCGCCATCTCTACTAAAAATACAAAAATTAGCCAGGTGCGGTGGCACAGGCCTGTAATCCCAGCTACTAGGGAGGCTAAGGCAGGAGAATTGCTTGAGCCCAGGAGGTAGAGGTTGCAGTGAGCTGAGATCGTGCCACTGCACTCTGGGCGACAGAGCGAGACTCCATCTCAAAAAACAAACAAACAAACAAAAACAAAGAGAAGGGGACTGTTCATTAAATTCAGAGATTCCATCACTGATTACACACACACAATATAAAATTTGGATTCCACCTTTTTCTTCTAAATTTTATTCTAAAATATCACTCTTCTAACTGTAGAACAAACATCTAGACTGTCAGATCCTTGAAGTCAGAAACCAGATACCATTAGTGTCTGAATAGCCACAGTTCAATACAATACATTGTAAATGGTGTGAGTTAAATAAGTATTATGTAGATAAATAATTTGGCGATAGAACCCTCAAATGTCTTTAAACACAGTATTTCAAATTACTATATTTTTGCTTAGAGATCTGAAATGATACAAGTTGTACCCAAATATTGAACACTGAATTAAGCAAATAGGACAGGAAAAAAATTCTCCTGACTTAGATTTCTATTCCTCACTCCCACTATCCTTACTTGCCTCATACTATTTTTTTGAAGGTATTGAGTTAAATCTTTAATGAATGACACGTAAGAAGGTATGCTGACAACAAAGCTAACTTAGACTACCTCATGGGTGCCAGGCAGCGGGACGGTGGACTCTGAAATGATCCACTTCCTGTTAAACGCCAGTCCCGTTTTATATTTAATACAGGCCTGCTCCGATGAAGCACCACTCCATAGCTACTGACCATTTAAGTATGGAATATATAACTTAAATCTATAAATAACTTTAAAGTATAAACATGATTTTCTTTTAAAGTAAAAGTAAATAAATGGAAGATCAGCCATAGCTCTGGGGCACACCAGGCCTGACACTGAGCCTCCCCTCCCCTAAATGTCCGCAGCAACCCTTACTGGTCAGTATCTCATTTCCCTGACCATCTTGCTTCTGACACTAAGGCTAGAGTTACCACAGAGATTTCATAGATAGCAAAAAGCTTAAGGAAACAAAGTTTCCCACAGGAATTACATTCTGTCAAATAATAAACCCACATGGTACAGACTATTATTAAGACTGGTAGCCTGCTTCTTTTCAGCTTTAGAGGCTGCTTAAGAAAACTTGATACTGAAAGAGACCCTGCTGGTGGTCTTGGAGCAACACAGAATGATGGGGCTTACTTTAGTGGTGACAAGAATGACATGGCCAAAGAACAGTTGCTTATCTCCAAGTCTGTGGGGATCAGATAAATGAACTACGTTTTGGGGTTGGGGGTTTTTCTTTGTTTTGGAGGGGTTTTGACAGTGTACATATACATACATATGGTATATAGTTCAATAAAATTACTTTTCTTCTGTTTCATTCCTTAGTCACACCCCATACGTAGTTATCATTAAAATTTACTGATGAACAGTACCAAATTTAGAAGACTCTAGCACTGTAAAGGCATGGGAAGGTATTATGGACCCCAAGGTAAACTTCAAGAAAGGGTTGTCCCTAACATGACTCATTGTGGAGCAAAAGCACTAAGTTCTGTCTAGTTCTATCTGAGAGTAGATGACTTTTACCCACAAGTATTATTAGCAAATAGGGAACAAAAGCTTCTCTTAGCTTTGTCACTTTCTGTTCCCCAGGAAGGTTTCTGGCTGATGGAGGCAGAAAGGACAGTGAGTGACCCAAAATGAATCAACAACCTCTAAATGGGCCGATAGAACACCCTTGAGTCCTACCCAGGCCAGGACCCAGAGACTGGAAGCTAAGAACTGTTATCAGCCACATGGGTCTTCATCAAAGCAGAGGTGCACAGCTCCTTCCTCGAACTAAAGCCCAGCTCGTTTGAGGGGGAGAACGGAAGCTGGCGCAGGAAGGCTGTGTGGATTCCCCAAGGCCTGATGATACTCTAGATCATCCCTAACCATATAGGCAGAGTGCAGAATATAATCCCACTTTGAAAATGGATAACACTATATTAAGGGTATTGTTTCTTGGGAAAATCCACAATGCTTACTCTGAAACTTTTAACTCAAGAATGTCAAAGCCACACTGGTATGCAGGTACCTTCTCCTCTTAAAAATATAGATGAGGCCAGGCGCAGCGGCTCACACCTGTGATCCCAGAACTTTGGGAGGCCTAGGCGGGTGGATCACCTGAGGTTAGGAGTTCATGACGAGCCTGGCCAACATGGCAAAGCCCCATCTCTACTAAAAACACAAAAGTTAGCCGGGTGTGGTGGCGTGCACCTGTAGTCCCAGCTACTTGGGAGGCTGAGGTAGAAGAATCACTTGAACCCAGGAGGCGGAGGTTGCAGTGAGCCAAGATCGTGCCACTGCACTCCAGCCTGGGCAACAAGAGTGAGACTGCATCTCAAAAAAAAAAAGTATATATATATATATACTTTTTCTCATATATATATATATATGAGAGAGAGAGAGAGAGAGGAGTATTTTGGTATCAAGCACCACATGAAGATGTTTCAAAACTTGAACCGCCTAATGTAGTGCGCATGTTAAGCAGACTTTAAAAGAGATCCTGGCCGGGTGCGGTGTCTCATGCCTATAATCCCATCACTTTGGGAGGCTGAGCTGGGTGGATCACCTGAGGTCAGGAGTTCGAGACCAGCCTGGCTAACATGGTGAAACCCCATCCCTACTAAAAATACAAAAATTAGCTGGGCATGGTGGCGGGCACCTGTAATCCCAGCAACTCGGGAGGCTGAGGCAGGAGAATCGCTTGAACCAGGCAGGCAGAGGTTGCAGTGAGCCAAGATCATGCCACAGCACTCCAGCCTGGGCGACAGAGTGAGACTCTGTCTCCAAAAAAAAAGAAAAAAAGAGAGAGTGATCCTAAGTAATCATTCATACCTATCTTCACAAAATATGGTCAATTCTGGGTTTGGGGGGCTGATATTTGAGATTATATATAGAACTAAATTGTTTCACTCACGACATAGAATCATCCAAACTGCATGTACACACAAATGGCTTTATGCAAAGGCCCTGACAGAACGATATTTAGTTTTTCAGATTAGGTACATAGGGCCAACCAGCCCACCCTGTACATTCCAGCAAGTGCAAGAGCAGCAACTTTCCTATTTCAATACAATTATGGGCAGAAATTATATGATGTAAAATAGAGGCCCTTCCATAAAGTTAAGATTTAGGGTAGAAGAAGGGAAGATAAAACCAAAATTCCCATGAAGTCAAAATTAGACAGTGGTCTTGTACTCTGCTGAACCCTGTGATGAACTGTAGTCCTCAAACTCATGGACTCGGATCCAGGTTCACCAAGACACTTCAGTATGCTTCCAACTGTTTCATCATCATCTTCCTGCTGTATTCGTAGGCCACAAACAGTGCCCCATTGGCAGGGATTGCTCGAATCATAGTAGCTTTCAGTCCAGAATATAAGGCTACTATTCCTTCATTTCTCACAACACTTAAGAGGGTACCAATAAATCCTGCCTGTTTCCCATACATGGAAAGAACTTGAATTCTGGATTTAATACAATCCACTGGGAACACGACAAGCCACAGGCAAATTCCAGCAACTCCACCACTTAACATCAAATGGACAGGGCCTAGTTCATCTTTTGATCTCCCTGACGCAAAAAACGATCGGCTCAGTTCATAGCCACCAAAGAAAAAGAAATAACCCGGTACTTCTTGAAGTAGAGTACTCGAGAGTCCATGGTAGAAGCCCAAGGGGCCATCCTTTTTAAGGATACCCTTCACGACAGACCAAATTGTATTATGGCTTTTTGCTATCTTCCCTGACATCTCCATTTCATACATGGTCTGTAGCCGGCACTTCACAAGCTCAGTGGGGCAGAGAGCCAGTGCAGCAAATGCAGAGGCGAAGGACCCCGCGGCTGCAGTCTGGAGATCACTCAGCTTTGCCTGCTTGTCCATTCCAGCCACTTTCCTGACAAACTGCTGGCAGAACCCGTAGCACATGAAGAGGACCGAGTTTTCGGCGACGTAGGCCATAAGTGCCGGGCCGGTGCCCTTGTAGAAGCCCCGGAGACCCACTTGAGCGTATGTCTTCAGGAAGCAGTCGGTGAGGCCCTTGTACAGGTCAGGGAACGTCTGCATCTTCACTTTTATTGTGTCGAAGGGCTGCCCAGTCAGTACACACGCTGTCCCCCCTGCGGCCCCCGCTGTGAGGTCGATGGCGGCTTGGATGCCAGGACCGGACTTCATGTTCGCTCACTCGTCTGAGGGTCCCAGTGGAAGGCGACTAACTCCCCAGAGCGTGAGACCGGCTTTTCACGTCCAGCCGCAGCGAGCGCGGGGAATGGAGTTGGGGGTGGTGGGGTGGCTCTACCGCCTGTTCTGGGCTCTCACCCCAGTGCGGGGGAAGCCGCTCAACCCTACGCTCCGCCGCGGGCCGCCCCCTCCCCGCGCACTAAAATAACCCCCAGCTGCCGGCCCAGCGCGCGGCTCACTAGCGTTCCTGCGGCTCCTGGCGCACTGGCCGGGCCCCCAGCCGCCTCCAGCCTGGAGCCGCCATCCCTGCACCCGCAGGCGGGGGACGCGGACCGAATAAATACTTTTAGTGTACTGCGACTGGGCGCGGTGGCTCACTCCTGTATCCCAGCACTTTGGGAGGCCGAGGCGGGAGGATCGCTTGAGCCCAGGAGATCGAGACCAGCCTGGGCAATATGGCAAGACTCCATTTCTACAAAAACGAAAAAATACCCGGGCGCGATGGCGCGCGCCTGTGGTCCCAGCAATTCAGGAGAATGAAGCGAGGATCGCTTGAACCCGGGAGGTCGATGCTGCAGTGAGCTATGATCGCACACTGCACTCCAGGGTGGGCGAAAGGGTGAGGCTCTGTCTCAAAACAAAACCAAAACCAAGAAAACATGTAAAGCTTTTCGATAAATTCTTGCAATTATGGCCGGGAACTCTAGACGCCGCAGTTCAGCTGGCGGCAAAAGAAATGCTGTCCTAATCAGTCAGCCCTGCTTCTTTTCTTTTCTCTCTTTTTTTTTTTTTTGACTTAGGGTCTCACTCGGCCGCCTAAGCTGGAGTTCAGTGGCGCGATCCTGGCTCACTGCAGCCCCAATCTCCTGGCCTCAGGCGATCCTCTCACCTCAGCCTCCTGAGTAGCTGAGACTAGAGGGACTACAGGCGCAAGCCACCACATCTGGCTAAATTTTGTATTGTACAGACGGGGTTTCGCCATGTTGCCCAGGCTAGTCTCGAACTCCTGAACTCAAGCAATCCACCCACTGGCCTCCCAAAGTGTTGGGGCTTACAAGCATGAACCACCACACCCGGCCTATCCCACGCTTCTTACCATGCAAAAAACAAAAACAAACAACCCGAAAAGAAGATGCCCTCACTTGAATAGACCCTGAATTCAGAGGGTCAATCTACAAGAAAACTGCTTTAAAGTAGATAAGACAGGCCAGGTGTGGTGGCTCATGCCTGTAATCCCAACACTTGGAGAGGCTGCGGAGGGAGGCTCATTTGAGCCTAGGAGTTCAAGGCTAGCTTGGGCAGCAAAATGAGACACCCCTTACCCCCTACAAAAAATAAAGTAGAGAAGACAAACTGTCAGAGGCGCTGGAACCACAGCAACTCCATCTTGACTAGGGACTGAGTAAAATAAGGCCGAGACCTACTGGACTGCATTCCCAGGAAGACAGGCATTCTAAGTCACAGGATGAGATAGGAGGCCGGCACAAGATACGGGTCACAAAGACCTTGCTGATAAAACAGGTTTCAGTAAAGAAGCCAGCCAAATCCCACCAGAATCAAGATGGCATAATAAGTGACCTCTGGTCGTCCTTACTGCTCATTATACGCCAATTATAATGCATTAGCATGCTAAAAGACACGCCCACCAGCGCCGTGTCCACTTACAGATGCCATGGCAACAATAAGAAGTGACCCTATGTGGTCTAAAAAGGGGGAGGAATCCTCAGTTCCGGTAACTTTGGACCCCTTTCCCAGAAACCTCATGAATAATCCACCCCTTGTTTAGCTTACATTCAATAAAAAACTGTAAGTATCCTTAGTCAAGCCGCCCAGGCCACTGCTGTGCCTATGGAGTAGCCATTCTTTTGCTTCTTTACTTCTCTAATAAACTTGCTTTCACTTGACTCTATGAACTTGCCCCAAATTATTTCTTGCATGAGATCCAAGAACAATCTCTTGGGTCTGGATCGGGACCCCTGTCCGGTAACGAAACGATCTGAGGGTTGCTACATGAGAGACAGTGACTGCTTTTGATCAGAAAACCCTCAGCGATCTGCCCACGCTCCTCACTTTCCTGGGGGGCAAGGAGGGGAGTAGGGCACTGTGGGAATCCTTAGCCCTGGAGATGTGCTACTGCTTTCCTGCAGAGCTGGAGAAATGCTATCACATGGCAACATCCCCAAGGATCTGGGGTTGCAGCCCTGGGAACTGGTGGAACGTGGAGTCCTTATCATTTCTGAAGATAGAACACGGCACTATAAAATCAACTTGGAAAATGGATAGTATTTATATACTGCATTGCTAAGAAACTTGATAGAAAAGAGCTGGGTGGCTCAGCACTATGCTTTCTAAGTTTTGAGATTCTCTTTGAGGACCCACACAGCCTCATGCAGAAGTAGAAATTTGTCGTTTGTACACTGTTGGTGGGAATGTAAAATAGTTCAACCCCTATGGAAAGCAGTATGGAGATTTCTCAAAGAACTAAAAATAGAACACCCATTCAACCCAGCAATCCCACTATTAGGTATCTACCCAAAGGAAAAGAAATCATTTTATCAAAAAGACACCTGTGCTGGGGACAGTGACTTACACCTGTAATCCCAGAATTTTGGGAGCCCAAGCCAGGTAGATCGCTTGAGCCCAGGAGCTCCAGACCAGCCTGGACAACATGGCAAAATGCCATCTCTACAAAAAAATACAAAAAGTAGCCATGCATGATGGCATGCCCCTGTAGTGGCAGCTACACAGGAGGCGGAGATGGGAGGATTGACTGAGCTGAGTTGGAGGCTGCAGTGAGTTATGATCCAGCCTGGGTGGCAAAACAAGACCCTGTCTCCAAAAAAAAAACCAGAAAACATCTACACTCATATGTTTATGGAAGCACTATTCACAACAGGAAAGTCACAGAATCAATGTAAGTGTTCATCAATAGTTGATTGGATAAAGAAAATGTGGTATATGTATACCACGGAATACTATGCAGCCATAAAAAAGAATGAAATTATGTCCCTCACAACATGGATGGAGCTGGGGGCTGTTATTCTAGGTGAAATATCTTAGAACCAGAAAATCAAATACTGCATGTTCTCACTTATATAAGTGGGAGCTAAACAATGGGTACACAAAGACATAAAGATGGGAATAACAGACACTGGGGAATCCAAAAGTGGGGAGGGTGGGAGGGATTGAGGGTTGAAAACCTACCTGTTGGGTACTACATTCACTATGTGGGTGACGGGTTCACTAGAAGCCCAAACCTCAGCGTTACACAACATACCCATGTAACACACCTGCACATGTACTCCTTGAATCTAAAATGAAATTCAATTTAAAAAGAAGTAGAAGTTCGGGATACAAATGACATGTCTAGCTTTCAAAGCAAGATGTTTTTTGGACATTAGTGAGGATACCACTGTCAGGACACACTTCTTCCTCCCAGATATTTATAATCCCAGCATTGGAATGAATTCTCTCCAGGCTTACATTCCAAGCCGTCGTCGGCCATGGGTAGTAAAAACAAAATCTGGGGGGAAGAAAGTATGCTGAAAGCATTCTCTTTCATTTAGAAAACTTTCCTTGTCTAATTATCCTTGGCTGTCAATTAAAAGTGAGGTACTTCAGAACAAAGGTCTCTGAGAAAATTTAAAAAAAAATTTTTTAATGAGGTACTAAAAAGCAAATTGTGCATGGATAATTTGTCACCAGGTAGTCTTCACTGTAGTAAATAGTAATCTGGGCTTTTCTTTGGGAAATGCCCAAATGTCAGCAGTTGCAGTTCTTTTCTCTGGTACCACATAGTTTCCTCAGAGAATGCTCTATGAGCTTTGACTGTGTGTGTGCAGGGTGTGGTGGGGGAGAGGTAGGTTATAAACCTAGATACTGATTTAAAGAGAACAAGAGAGGGGAAGAGGGATGACACACCTGGAGTAAATATACAGACTTTCACATAATTTTTTCCTTATTTGACACTGTGCCTACTTTCTCTGAGTTTGGGCCTTCTTTGGTTCAATTTATCCAGAAAATAAAATTTCCATCTTCTGTGGGATGGAAAGAGTTATCTGGCTTCATAGAGTGGGATAGAGATCCTGGACACCCAACAACTCTGAACACAGACTTTAATGAATCTCACATCTCTAACCCTACACCTTCCCACCTTCCCTGGAATCTTCTGCTTGCAAAAATTTTGCATCTTACAAGGCTCTGTCAAGTGGGTTTGTCTCTCTTTGGTATAACTACTTGCAGACATTTAGCATGTAACTTTTTCTGATCTATGAATTCATTTATCATTTCTCTGTTTTGGCCTTCAGATAATGGGTTGACATCTCTCATCCACTGTTGTCTCATTTCCTATTCTCTTTGTCCTTAGAAGTTAACATCTTTTAAAAATCCTTTCTGTTGTTTTATTTAGCAGCCTCTTAGGTAAAGCAGAAAGGATGAGAACAATCTGCAATTTGAAAATAGAAAACTTCATTAGGATTTTTAAATCCTTCATGTCATATTTGAGGAATTTTTTTCTATGTTTTGATTTCACTTTCAGGAAAGGGAACGGGGGAAAAGGGTTTTGTTTTGGTTTGTCTTGCTCTGCTGCCCAGGCCAGAATGCAGTGGCACAATCATGGCTCACTGTAACCTCAACCTCTCAGGCTGAAGCAATCCTTCCACTTTAGCCTCCCATGTAGCTGGGCCAGAGGTGTGCACCATCACACCCAGCTAATTTTTAAATTTTTTGTAGAGACAGAATCTCACTATGTTGCCCAGGCTGGTCTCAAATTCCTGGGCTTAAGTGATCCTCCCATCTCAGCCTCCCAAAGTGCTGGGATTACAGGAATAAGGCACTGTGCTCAGCCCAGAAATTATTTAAATAATAACATATTATGTAGATTTTGCAAGGTCACCTAATATAAATTAGAAATTTGCCTTCGAAGCATCCTGTAGTCTAAAAATAAACACTGAATGGCAAATGAAACAGATATTTGGAAATGGTTTAGCCATTAGATGTAGACCTTAAGACAAAGGGAGCCCATTATATGTGTAATAAATATAAGCAAGTCCAAGGCATTCCAAGTCTAGTGACATGGCATATAGTCTGCATTACTATTTCATTATGGAGAGAGCCTAAAACATATAATTAAGGTTATTTACTGTAAAGGTGTTATCTGAGTGAGATTTAAAAAATATTTTATATATTTTATCTTTCATTGCAAATAAATGGATTAAGTTCTACATTGCTATTTTATCTTCTTTTGCTGTATGAACAGCCATGCTAGGCTATTTTTGCCTCCATAAAAAGCATTTCACTGCATTCCAGCCTGGGTGACAGAGCAAGACAAAACAAAACCTTTTTCCCCCCTTCCCTTTTCTGAGAATGAAATCAAAATATATGGATCCCACTGGGCTACAGTTCATGATGCACACATATTGCCAGTCTTTAAGCACTGTTTCTGTGAGTGGAAAAATGCACTCAAGATGTTTTGCGTCTGCTCACACCACAACAATAAACACAGCAGACTTCTGTGACCAAATGGGTCGGGGTTTCTCCCCACACACCAAGCAAGCAATCAGTTCTACAGCAGACACCAGCTGGGTGTTTTCCAATCCAATTCCAACACTATCTACCTGGAGAAAGCATCAGATTCCACAGGGTAAGTGCTCAGTATCCAAGACTGCACCCCACCCCACTCCCACCTCAGACACTAGTCGTTAAGTCCGGGGCTCCAGAACTTCTAACAGACCAGCTTCATGTTGAGGTTGCTACGGCCCCTCTTTGGGTTTAATTCACTAGAGCTGCTCACAGGACTCAGGGAAACACGTTTACTGGTTTACTATAAAAAATATTACAAAAGGATACAGATGAAACGATGCATAAGGTGAGACATAGGGAAAGAAGCACAGAAATTCCATGCCTTCCCCAGGGCTCCATCCTCCAAGAACCTCCATGTGTTTAGCTATCAGATAGCTCGCTGAACCCAGGGTTTTTATGGAAGCTTCATTACATAGGACTGGTTGATTGAATCATTTGCCAGTGGTGATCAGCTTAACCTTCAGCCCCTCTCCCCTTCTCTAGAGGTTGATCCTAATCCTGCCTTGGTCTTTCTGGCCACCAGACCCCATCCTAAGGCTACCTAGGGACTGCCAGCCTTCAAGTCAATCATTAGCATAGAAAAAAACATCACTTTGGAGTTTCTAAGGATTTTAGCAGCTGTATACCAGGAAATGAGTCAAAGACCAAATACATATTTCACAATATCACACTTTTCTTCACTTTGTCTCTCGGATCAAGAACACACAGAAATAACAATTGCTCCCAACTGATACCAACACCTAATATTATATCTTTTTTTTTCTAAACACTTGTACCAGGGGACTAATATTAGATCTTGAATTTAAGAGTTGAAGGCTCTCCATGTACTAATTCCATCTACTCTTCTAATGAACTCTGCTTATTTTTTCAAATGACATTTATGTACAAGCATTACTTATATACTTATGTAAAATAAATCACTCCCAAAACTTAGTGGCATTAAAAAGCAATAAACATTTGTTATATCCCATAGTTTCTGTGTGTCCAAAATTCCAGAGCGGTTTCTCTCCATGTGCAGACCTGATTTCTTTTTTTTTTTATATACTTTAAGTTCTAGGGTACATGTGCACAACGTGCAGGTTTGTTACATATGTATGGATGTGCCATGTTGGTGTGCTGCACCCATTAACTCATCATTTACATTAGGTATATCTCCTAATGCTATCCCTCCCTCCTCCCCCCACCCCACAACAGGCCCTGGTGTGTGATGTTCCCCTTCCTGTGTCCAGGTGTTCTCATTGTTCAATTCCCACTTATGAGAGAATATGTGGTGTTTGGTTTTTTGTCCTCGTGATAGTTTGCTGAGAATGATGGTTTCCAGCTTCATTCATGTCCCTACAAAGGACATGAACTCATCCTTTCTTATGGCTGCATAGTATTCCATGGTGTATATGTGTGCCACATTTTCTTAATCCAGTCTATCATTGATGGGTTGGTTCCAAGTCTTTGCTATTGTGAATAGTGCTGCAATAAACATATGTGTGCATGTGTCTTTACAGCAGCACGATTTATAATCCTTTGGGTATATACCCAGTAATGGGATGGCTGGGTCAAATGGTATTTCTAGTTCTAGATCCTTGAGGAATAGCCACACTGTCTTCCACAATGGTTGAACTAGTTCAGAGTCCCACCAACAGTGTAAAAGTGTTCCTATTTCTCCAAATCCTCTCCAGCACCTGTTGCTTCCTGACTTTTTAATGATCGCCATTCTAACTGGTGTGAGATGGTATCTCATTATGGTTTTGATTTGCATTTCTCTGATGGCCAGTGATGATGAGTATTTTTTCATGTGTCTGTTGGCTGCATAAATGTCTTCTTTTGAGAAATGTGTACAGACCTGATTTCAAAGCCACTCTCACACTTTATATTTTTATGGCAGCACCTCACTTCTAGGTAGGTAGCAAAAATTTGTACTGGTTATCTGCTGCTGCATCAGAAATTACTCCAAAATGAAGTGAAATAAATGAGCTACAAACATTTATATGTCATATAGTTTCTGTGGATCAGGAATTTAGGAGCAGCTTAGCTGGGTATTTCTCACTTAGGGGTCTCTCATGAGGTTTCTGTCAAGATGTCAGTTACAGTTTCAGTCATCTGAAGCCTTGACCAGGGGCTGGAAAATCTGATTCAAAGATGGATCACTCACATGACTGGCAAGTTCTGCTGGCTGTTCACAAGAAGGCCTCAGTTTGTCACCACTTGGACCTCTCTAAAGAGTGTCCCCACAATATTGTGGCTGATTTCCCTTGGCGTGAGCGATCCAAGAGAGAGGAAGCAAAAGTCACATGTCTTTTATGACCTTGCCTTGCAAGTCACAAATCATTATTTCTGCAATAGCTTATCATTTACTCAGGACATTCCCATTCAATGTAGGAGGGGACTATACAAGATTAATACCAGGAGGTAAGAATCAATGGGAGCCATCTTGGAGGCTAGCTATCACAGTACCTGTGAGAAAAAAAAAAATCTAAGAAAAGATTGTAGAGAGAATGTGGGAGATAATTTCCATGGAAGGGTCACTCTCAGGCTTCAGGTTAATAGGAAGGGTGGGCATTGAGTTCAGGACATGTAGGAAATGGAAGTAAATCCAGGAAATGTAGCTCTCGCCTAGAAAAGAATATCCCAGTGATAAGGATACCCATGAAAAATTACTTTTTCTGCTTAGGAGTATGTTTTATTTATAAGAAGAAATGTTAGGATTGTATAAAAATATATCATAAATATTGATAGGGGGCATGAGAGTTTTGATGGGGCCAAGTGAATAAATTCATGAAGAGAAGAGCAGGAAATAAGCAAGAAAGGAGAAATGTTTTACTGGGTAAGTGCTCCTTTCTTGCTTATTTCTTGCTCTCCTCTTGATGCGTTTATTGTCTGGTACTGACTTGGAATGCGTGCACTTGGAAAGTCAATACTGGACTATAATTGTTTTATTTTCAATTTTATCTCATGTTAGTACAGTACCTTACTTTGTATTCTGAATTTAGCTGCTCATTTATGAAGGAGAGAAAAGAGAGACATCTAACCTTTCCCCTTTTGCTCTTCTATAAGGAGATACAATATAGAAACTGCATATGGCAACAGAAAGAACAGGATTTTTAAAAATGAATATGCTACATTAACCATTTGCCTGCTATTAATGGGAGTCAATGTACTAGCTACTATAAGAAAAAGAAACTGAAGCACAGATGTTAGAGAAATTTGAGGAATTAGAAGTACTAGAAAATGGCTGAACTGCGACACTGCCCCTGCAGTGGGCTTATTCTGGTGAGCATTTTTTTTTTTTCCCGAGACAGGGTCTCGCTCTGTTGCCCAGGCTGGAGTGCAATGGCCAGATCTTGGCTCATTGCAACCTCTGCCTCCCAGGTTTAAGCTATTCTTCCGCCTCAGCCTCCTGAGTAGCTGAGATTACAGGCACCCACCACAATGCCCAGCTAATTTTTTGTATTTTTAGTAGAGACAGGGTTTCACCATGTTGGCCAGGCTGGTCTTAAACTCCTGGCCTCAAGTGATCTGCCTGCCTCGACCTCCCAAAGTGCTGGGATTACAGGAGTGAGCCACTGCGCCCAGCCCTGCTGAGCATTCTTCATAAAATGTACCTGAAATGAGACAAGTCTTTCTCATGAGTAACAACCAAGGACTTCAGAATAGTGCTCTCTCAGGACATTGTCTCTTAAGGTAGAACACAATTCATGTGAAGCTTACAGAATGGGGTCATATGTTTCAATAGCAACAGTAATTAGGAAGAGATACATGATGAGAAAAGCCAAGGCCTTATACATTTTGAAAAACTGTACAAAACCCATGCTGATATTGAAAATACCTGCAGATGTTGAAAAACCAGATAGTGAAATTCTAGTTATGAGTGACAATTCATGGGTATTCTTTTGTTTTTTGATTTTTTTGTTCTTGTTGTTGTTTTTTATTGAGATGGAGTCTCGCTCCGTCACCCAGGCTGGAGCGTGGTGGCACAATCTCGGCTCACTGCAATATCCACCTCCCAGGTTCAAGCAATTCTCCTGTCTCAGCCTCCTAAGTAGCTGAGACTACAGGTGCTTGCCATCACAGCCGGCTAATTTTTGTATTTTTAGTAGAGATGGGGTTTCACCTTGTTGGTCAGGCTGGTCTTGAACTCCTGACCTCAGGCGATCCATCTGTCTTGGCCTCCCAAATTGCTGGGATTACAGGCGTAAGCCACCATGCCCAGCCGGGTGTTCTTTTACAAGTAGAAAGACATCTATTAAAATTAGTGTAAGACTATTGCCTGACATGAGTTTCCAGTTAAGGGGTACCTGAAACTTCAACATGAGAATATGTTGTCTGCAAACTAGAATTTGAAAAGCAATGCTTATTTTTCCCTAGATATTAAAATTAGAACAAAAAAAGACACCACCATGTAGCTGATCTTACAGAATGATTTAGAAAAGAAAGAGGAAGTCTTTCATCATCTCATTATGACCACCAGAGGTGAAACAGTGAGAGGAACTCACATACCCATAACTAAAGATAAATGTAAATGACAGTGTCCCAGTATGCCCCAGTTCCATTAAACAAAGTTATTTGGAGGAAAATATCACATTGGAAACCATACTCCATAACACCAAGGCCAGGGATCAGTACAAGAACATTAATACCTTCAATGAATTGTCAGGCATAATAACACAAGTAACAGAGGCAGATTCCCTGAGGTCAAATTCTATGAAATACATTTGACCATACAGTTGGACTTGGAGAAAACAGAGCCAAGCATATACAGTAACATTGCCCAAGATAATAGGCAATCTTAAGCAATTAAAACCATTTCCCTGATTCCAACTAACCAGAATGATGCTGCTTCTGTTTTTAAGCACATATCCTCCAGAACACATATATTAGAAAATAGTAGCAAAGAACCTTCCAACTTTTTAATGAAGACCACTGCACTTGACATAGCACCTGACATGATGAAACATCTAAATCACATGCTTCTTAAGAATTAGATTGAATGGCCAGATAGGGTTACCAGAGAAAATAAGGGTTGAGTTGGGCCTTCAGTGACAAAAAGCTATCCATGAGAATATCTGGTGACTATTCCAAGAAAAGAGAACTGTAAGTGCTAAACTGTAGGAGGAAAGAGCTGAGTAAATTTGTTTATGCTGCAGATAAATTTGAAGCAAACCGTTTCTGCTGTAACCTAATTTATAAGCTTTCATTTAGAATTTTTTTTCCCATCTGAATTTGGTTGAAACTGATCTCTAAAATTTCTTAAATTTGAAAACAATTACATTTAGAATAGTTGTTTCCCTATAAACACTTTTTCTAACATTTCAGTCACTCTTTAATTATTTAGTATCTGTTATGGTCCATACCTTAATGGGTTGTAATAGTGGTAAATTTACTTCTGTTGTTTACTTACTATGTTCCAGGCATTGTTCTAAATAAGTCATTTATATGATTCAGCAGCCAGCAGCCAACAGCCCAATAACCCTATGAGGTAGGTAGTATTATTGCCTCCACTTTGGAGATGAGAAAATTGAGGTAAACAGATTGCTACCTGTGCAAGGTCACACAACTAATAGGTAACTGAGCTAGGATACGAACCATGCATGACATGTCTTGATGTTAAGATTTTGATCTTTCTACTATTCTTCAGTAAGTTTACAGTCACTAATGTAGCAAAATATCTCAGTAAATTTAAAGCCAAGCAGGAGATACGAACAAAGGTAATTTACACTTTAGTTATAACAGATACTCATCCCAGTAGACCGTGCAGTGCATGAGTTTATAGACACTAAATGCTTTGTTCATCACTGCATATCCAGTAGCTTGTAGTTTGGTGCGCGCGCACACACACACACACACACACACACACCCCTTGTAGTTTGGCACACACACACACAAAATGTTTGTCAAATAAATGAGAGAGGGAAGAACAAAGTGCAAAGCCGTAATAGGGTTGCTTAACCTAGAGGGAGAAAAGGGTCAGAAAAGCCTTGCTGAAGTCACTTAGGTTGAGACCTGAGGGTTAAGTAGGACTCAGACAAAGGGTAAAGTCATCTAGGTGGAGTGAACTGCTTGTTAAAAGGATCTATGGCCCAGGAGTGGGAGAATGAGTAAGCTCCTTGAAAAAAATGTAAGTTCAGAGTGGACTGACCATATACTGAATGCGGAGCTGAGGCTGAAAAGGTAAATGGAGAACTCATAATCTTGTGCATCTTTTTGAGAAATACAAACCTAGCCCTGAGAGCAATGAGATGTCACTGAAGGGTTTTCAGCATGGTAGTAACACAATCAAATATGTCTCAGAAAAATGAGTTTGGTGGCAGTGAAAACTAAATTGGATGGTAAAGAAGCTATTGCCATTTGATAGATAATAATAATGGCTTGAAATAGGACAGTGGCTGTAAGGATGAAGTAGAGTGAGTGAAGAACTTCTTAAGTAAAATCAAAAGTAGCAAGGGAAAGGGAGAAATGTAAAGTTATGGCTCTAGTGTCCAGCTTCCACAGTTGGGATGTGTGGTGGTGCCATTTATTTTTACTGGAACCCAGAAGGAAAAGCAAATTTTCAAGGAAGAGGAAAAGTTCCATTTTGAACCTGTATTTTTTTTTTTGAGATGGAGTTTTGTTCTGTTGCCCAGGCTGGAGCACAGTAGCATGATCTCGGCTCACTGCAACATCCACCTCCCAGGTTCAAGCTATTCTCCCACCTCACCCTCCCAAGTAGCTGGGATTACAGGTGCCCACCACCATGCCCAGCTAATTTGTTTTGTATTTTTAATAGAGATGGGTTTTGCCATGTTGGCCAGGCTGGTCTTGAACTCCTGACCTCAGGTGATCCACCTGCCTCAGCCTCCCAAGGTGTTGAGATATAGGCATGAGCCACTGCACCCGGCCATTTTGAACATTTACACTTGAGTTGCCTGAGAGATACTTTCAAGTATGTTTCTAGTACACATCTGGCTAAACTAAACCTGAAGCACAGAAGAATCAAGGTTGGAAACGTGGATTTTAGAATCCACTTAGAACTCATAACTGAAACAGGAATAGTGAGATCAATATACTATTTTGTTATTGTATCCAGAATCTTTCCTTTCTGTTATTGATGGAACTGCCACCATTGGTGTTGAGACCTTGGTAAGAATAAACTACTTGATAAATGATCCACTGTAAAGCCAGATATGGTGGGAGCTTTTCAGGTGTCAATCTTCTAAGTGTAGCAAAATACCTAGATTACAAAAACAGTAAATTTTGTCACCTAGCATCCTAAACTGTTTTTTTGTTGTTGTTTAATATATATTATTTGGAAACCTCAAGAAATAATATAAAACCTAGATATTGAGGGAAACCTTGCTTAAGCTTACATATTCTGTGCTAAAATCCTAGTCACGGCCAGGCACGGTGGCCCACGCCTGTAATCCCAGCACTTTGGGAGGCCGAGGCGGGTGGATCACAAGGTCAAGAGATCAAGACCATCCTGGCCAACATGGTGAAACCCCGTCTCTACTAAAATTACAAAAATTAGCTGGGCTTGGTGGCACATGCCTGTAGTCCCAGCTACTCCAGAGGCTGAGGCAGGAGAATCGCTTGAACCCAGGAGGCAGAGGTTGCAATGAGCCAAGATAACGCCACTGCACTCCAGCCTGGCAACACAGCAAGACTCCATCTAAAAAAAAAAAAAAAACTTACTCATAAAAACGTTTCACTTAAAAAGATAAATTAGCCTTCTGAAGTCTGCAAATGTCAGCATATTTAATTATAGACCTGAGGACTAGGTAACTTTTTTTTTTTTTTTAACATTTCAATACTGTTTCTTGTCAGATAGAAGTAAAATGGACTTTAGGCCGGGTGTGGTAGCTCAGGCCTGTAATCCCACCACTTTGGGAGTCCAGGGTGGGCAGATCACCTGAGGTCATGAGTTCAAGACCAGCCTGACCAACATGGTGAAACCCTGTCTCTACTAAAACTACAAAATTAGCCAGGTGTGGTGGCACATGCCTGTAATCCCGGCTACTCGGGAGGCTGAGGCAGGAAAATCGCTTGAACCCAGGAGGCAGAGGCTGCAGTGAGCCGAGATCACACCACTGCACTCCAGCCTGGGCAACAATAGCAAAACTTTGTCTTAAAAAAAAAAAAAAAGAGGCCGGGCGCGCTGGCTCATGCCTGTAATCCCAACACTCTGGGAGGCCAAGGCGGGCAGATCATGAGGTCAGGAGATCAAGATCATCCTGGCTAACACAGTGAAACCCCGTCTCTACTAAAAATACACAAAAAAATTAGCTGGGCATGGTGGCGGGCACCTGAGTAGTCCCAGCTACTCAGGAGGCTGAGGCAGGAGAATGGTGTGAACCCAGGAGGCGGGGCTTGCAGTGAGCCGAGATGGTGCCACTGCACTCCAGCCTGGGTGACACAGCGAGACTCCGTCTCAAAAAAAAAAACTTTAAATATTTTCAAACCCAAGCTTCTCATAAACCAACCTGTCAAACAAATTGCATACAACTCTGCCTCTTTTATCAGTAACTGATTTTTCAAAAATAGCTTATGTTGTGAGGCATTAGATTATCTTTAGAGCATGAGAAATTTGGTACCAACTTCCTTTATGAGCAATTTTGATGAAATGACATTGATAAATGACCTCAGTTCTCAGAATATTAATTATAGGAACTCAACTGAAGAAAATTAGAAATATTAATCCAAACCAATGGAATGGTTCATTGGACTGCACTTGATAACCACTGCTTTGTTTCCAACATTTTATGCAGGTAGATTTAGCGCTTTTTAAAAAAGGCACAAAGGCCTTCATCTACAAAAATTAGGGTACTTTAAGAAAGCTCTGTATCTAATGTTTCCCAGCTTTCAAGTAGATCAAATAGAATTGGAATCTTAATATGATGCAAACATGACCATTCCCAATTTCTTTACCCCTGCTGTGTTCCTTTTTTTCATAAACCCTACTGCCTCTACCTGCAGAACGGGATCAAATTGCTTAGTCACTAAACTCCACCATAAAACCACCTCACAAGAGGACCTGACTCCCACCAACCATGAAAGAACAAGATACACTATAAAGTGAAAAACAGATGCTTTTATTTATTGTATTGGAAACAACTTAATAATTTGCATCTCTACATATAGAAAGCTGCTTTGAATAACTGGGAAAACAATTATTGCATAGGAAAACATATGCAAACTAGCATCATTGTCTCTAGACTAGGTTCTTCTTATTGATCTCACGTCATCACAAAGCAGCAACAGCAGCTTCTAGAAAATGGAGAAACAGTAAAGTCCTGCAATGAAGCTATAATTAAGGTTGAACCATACATTCCGCTAATCCTGCAACTTTCCTACAATCATTTTTCTGCCTATACAATCCTGCTTCTTATAGGATGAACACCTAGCAAAACAATATAAATTTGCTGAAAAACAAAATTACAAACAAATGAAAGAACTTAACAGAACACACAGCATTAAAAGGACTAGGAAGAGCAAGGTCTTAATACCCAGTACAATAAAGCCAAGAATTTTCTAATGCTGACCAGTCTGAAGACTGAAATTAAATATCAGTTCTTTTTACTTCTCTAGGAGTGATTCTAGCTCCTCTTGCAAAGAGCTGAGTTGCTCCTTTTCTCGGTCTTCCTTTTGTTTGAGCTCATCCAGTACAGCCTGAAATCTGTTCTTGAGAGCCAGATTTTCCACTTTCATGATGAGATCCTCTTGTCGTTTTGCCCTGTCCTGGGTCTCTTGGAGCTTGCCTTTCATGTTGTCAATCTGCTTCTGAATTCCCATAACCAGCTGATTGGTTCCTTCATTTTCCTGGTGCTGTTCATCTGATTCATTTAGCTTGTCCTGTAGCTGTCTCTCCAGATCTTCCTCCGTGTCAATGATGTTTATATCTTCTTCATCTTGATGCTGGGTCTCATCTTCATCCTCACTGCTGCTGCTGAGGTCATTGAATATCTCCCGAAGCTCATCATGTTCTAATGAGTCATGGCCCTGCCTGTGACCAGACATTCCTGGAGAAGAGATATCCAGGCCTTGATTTTCTGCCTCCTTTGTTTCATCTTCGGCAATTATTTCCCACCGAGTACTAACAGCTTCAGCATCTGTACTCAGCAATCGTTTCACTTCTTTTTCAACATCTGGAGATTCAATATATTTCTTCTTTGCTGTCTTCCGGAACCTTCTCTTCCTGACATTCTTTAGAGGCAGAGTAATTCCGTGGTTCCAGATAAACTTTTTCTCTTTGTCCTTATCCTTTTTCTTGCTTGCTTTAGGATCAGTGCTAGCAACTGGCTCCTCCACAGGAGGATAGAGATCACCATCAACTGTGGATACAAGCATCTGACAGATATCAGCTGTCTTGTAAAAAGTTTTTTTATCAATGGTTTTCAAGCTTTCCATAACACAGGGCAGGTCTACTAATTTTGAGGCCAATGGAACACGGTCCACTCTGACGATTCCATGACGCCCATCAGGATGTAACTCAATTGTCAGTCTGTCCTTGAGGTTGACATGACCAGACTGTACTGCCCTTCTCACAGTAGAGGCATATTCTGGAGGCAGACGTAAGATAAACTGGCTCTCCAGTTCGTGAGGAGCATCATCTTTGCTTTTACTCATCTTTATTTCCTTGTGATTCACTTCTCCAATAAATGCTGGTTACACTAAAAAGTTCCAGCTACTGCAATAGTTTAAAACACCAGTTTGCTATGAATTGAAATCTTTTAATTACAAGAAGTTCTCTGTAGATCAGCAGCTAAGCGTCTATTTTGCCTTAGTTTTTATTTAAGCTCCAAGTCTTTTCTCTAAATATGCTGTGACCGAATACCAGTCGTTAACACAAAGGCTTATTCACAGACTTAAGTTCATTAAATCAGATGCAATGCCAAGTCCCAACCTCTAGGTGCCGCTGCCGGACAACGCGGAGAGAGCTAGCTAGCTAGCTAGGGAACAGGAAAGCAAATGGCGGCTCCCCCGGAACGGTTTTCGGCCCAGAAAGCCCAGCAGAGATACTTTCAACTCACAAACTCTCCCGGAACAAAGACACTCAAAAAATCAGGGCTCAGCGAGCTCTCTTCGCCTCGGGTACTTACAATCCAGTGACGATTATAAGTTCAGTTTCACCGGGCCGGAGCGAAGGGAAGAGGAGGCCGCAAGGAGCCAAGCGGGAGAGAGCCGAGCGTCTCCTTGTCGTTTCCTTAATTCTTCCTGCCGCTTGGCAGAGTGATCCACTACCGATTACTGATGAAAGGGCCCGGGATGGGCAGCGCGAAATCTTGCCGAGAGGCGCAGCTCGCATCACCAGACCCCGCACCTCGCCGGCCCTCCGTCCGGGTCGCCTACCCAGCAAAAACGGAAGTGCTACGTCGCGACGCGGGGCGGGAGGCGGCTGTGAGTGACAGCCCCTCCGGGCGGAAGGGCGGAGCCCCAGCTAGCGCAGGCGCAATAGCGCAATTACGCTGCCCAGCGTGAAACTCATCTTTTCGCGAGAACTTGTTTTTCCGGGATGGAAATGACAGTGTTTCGGAAGAGCTGTTGGTTTCAAACTATTTAGAGCTTGGAAGTTCCAAGAAAGACACAGATTCGTCCCCCGCTAAGCCAGCACTTTTACGGGATCGCTGTGGGGCCGGATGGCTTCTAGACTTCCGGGTGATTCCGGGAGATGGGGGACGCCTTGCAGTAAGCGTCTTTGCTTCTGGAAACATCTCGGATGTTCCCTAGAGTCTAGCCTATCTGGTGCCAATACAAGAATGTGTAGCTACTATACAATGGATTTCAAAGTACCCAAATCAATGGAGTGAGGAGGACATGCAGCTTACTATATAAGTCTCTCTCTATATATATGTTTGTTTGTTTGTTTTGGAGATGGAGTCTCAGGCTGTCACCCAGGCTAGAGTGCAGTGGCACAATATTGGCTGACTGCAACCTCCACCTCTGGGGTTCAAGCGATTCTCCTGCTTCAGCCTCTTAAGTAGTTGGGATTACAGGCACGTTCCACTACCCCACCTAAGTTTTGTATTTTTAGTAGAGAAGGGGTTTCACCATGTTGGCCAGGCTGGTCTCGAACTCCTGACCTGAGGTGATCTGCCTGTCTTGGCCTCCCAAAGTACTAGGATTATAGGTGTGAGCCAGCGCGCATGGCCCAAAGTCTGTATTTTTAAATATAATTCCCTGTAGGGGAATTGTGCCTCTGGTTTTACTTGTGTTCTATAATACTTCTGGGGAAACAAGGGTGATTCCTTTTTATGTGCTTGATTTAGATGTAAATGTAAACAGAGAAGGAAGTGTTCTTTTGGACAGAATTGTCTGATAGACTGAGCATCTGGTTAAAGTAGATATAATTGAAGTATTGTTTCCTGTCTCTCATGTACAAGTAATTTTAAATTACTTTGACATTTTTTTTAACTCCACCTCTACTATTTTGCTGTTTTCTGCTTGTCTTTTCTATCAATAGTCAGGTATTCATCAACACATATTTTTAGTATTTTAACATAACTGGGTAACAGTTGGTACTTATTTCTATTTATTTCCATTTATTTTTAAAATATCTGGGAGAGCATCAAGGCCATTAATATTTCATTTCTATCCTCTAAAATATTAACAATTGCCCCTAAATTTAAGAGAATTCTCTTAAGATGTAATTAACATTTCCAAAATTCACTTTATTCTTGTATGATTGAAAGCTCCATGATAGTGATCTTCTTCTATCCTGGTCATTGTGTCCCAGTGCCTAGTACCAGAATGTGGGAGATACACAAAAAATATTTGCTAATTGAATGAAAAAACTTATCTGTCTAGAAAGATCATAGTCTCAAATCCTGTAGTGATTTCTGAGAGAAAATACATTCTTTGTCATTTTAAAATGAGATAGAGCCACTTTACATACATTTCCTTTCTAGTCAAGGACAATTCTAATTGTTATGAGGTGGGGAGGTTTACTAATAGTGTGTGTGAATGTGGTTTAGCTAGAATGAGATACTGTTGTGGGAGGAAATTAAAATGACCTGACGTTAGTTTGGTTTTTAATGTTAATTTTAAAAGAGAAAGTATGCCCTTCCAGATAACGGTAAATTATTTCTCTTTGCTTATAATGTGTTGAAGAATGTTAGCTGACTTACTTGTAATTTCCAGAATGATCTATTTCCTCTTTTTCAAAGATGAAGTTTTTTCTGTTACAGGCTTGAGCCACCTCGCCTGGCTGTGTTTTGTTTAACCATATACAATGTGAGGTCATTATACATGAAAATAATCCAAATATTACTCAGCATCTTCCCTATGAGTTTTATGATGCTCAAATATTCTTATCATAGAAGGTAACTTGAGATAAATTGTATGCAATTTTTCATTTTCCAAAATTACTGTGTATTTTAGTTTCTAAACCTTTCTTTACATGGAATATTGCCAGACATAGTTAAAAGGATTAACTGAGGTTTTCTTAATGTATCTAGCTCCTTCAGTCCTGAAATACATTTTCTGCTTTTGAGTTTAACACATTTTCTATATGCTGTTTTAGGGGAGGAAATTATATTGACCCTAAATATTTTTTTAAATTGGATTTATCAGTAGACATTAAGATAATCTGCTGGGTGCAGTGGCTCATGCCTGTAATACCAGCACTTTGGGAGGCCAAGGCGGATGGATCATCTGAGGTCAGGAGTTCGAGACCAGCCTGGCCAACATGGTGAAACCCCATTTCTACTAAAAATACAAAAAAAGGGCCAGGCGCCGTAGCTTACGCCTGTAATCCCAGCACTTTGGGAGGCCGAGGCGGGTGGATCACGAGGTCAGGAGATTGAGACCATCCTGGCTAACACGGTGAAATCCCGTCTCTACTAAAAATACAAAAAATTAGCCGAGTGCGGTGGCAGGCACCTGTAGTCCCAGCTGCTCGGGAGGCTGAGGCAGGAGAATGGCGTGAACCCAGGAGGCAGAGTTTGCAGTGAGCCGAGATCGCGCCACTGCACTCCAGCCTGGGCAATAGAGGGGACTCCTTCTCAAAAATAAAACAAAAACAAAAACAAAAACAAATTAGCCAGGCTTGGCGGCGGGCACCTGTAATCCCAGCTACTCGGGAGACTGAGGGAGGAGAATTGCTTGAACCCGGGAAGCGAAGGTTGCAGTGAGCCAAGATTGCACCATTGCACTCCAGCCTGGGCAACACTGGAGCAAAATTCCATCTCAAAAAGAAAAAAAAAAAAAAAGATAATGTGATGTGGCAGTCCTCTGCCTATCACTAAGGCCTAAGGCCTCTGCCACATCACATTATCTTAATGTCTACTGATAAATCCCCAGTTTTTTTTTAAAAAAAAGTTCCATTAGACATTCAGAAAAACTCTGAATTGATGAATTACACTCCTGTGGTTGTTCCATGGAATATCTGTGATACCAGTGAACAAAAGATTTGGGGAGAGCAATAAATTCCCCAGTGTGGTAACAAGTCCTCCAAAGGCTTCCTGTCTGTGATTAAGGAGTGTGGCAATCAGGTTACTAATAATCGTGTATGTTTGAAAATTCCCTTTAATACACTTTCTAGTTCTTTAAAGGGCTCCAAAATATAAGCTGCCCTTTAATACACTTTTTAGTTCCTTAAAGGGCTGCTTATACTTTGGAGGTTAAATTATGGGTGATGGGAGAAATCCTGCTTATATTTAGGAGGTAGAAAATTATAGGGGTGAGGAAATAGCAAATACCACAGAAAAGCCAGCTTACATATTGCTATATCACCATATATTTTAAAGATAAAAAGGTTAACTAAAAATATTTAGCAGTTCTTTTATCTAGTAGGATGTTTTCTATAGGAAAACATTAAAATCTAATTTATGCTGGTTTAAACAGTAAGAAAATCTATGATCCCAAAATACAGGTAGTCTAGCACAGCTTTGTCCTATAGAAATATGATGTGGGCCACAGATGGTCAGCCACAGATGTGATTTTAGATTATCTAGTAGCCACATTCAAATAGCAAAAAGAAACAAGTGAAATTTCAATAATTTTAATCCAATATATCTAAGATATAATTGCAACATATTTTTACAATAATGTAAAGATATTAATAATACGTTTTACATTCTTGTTTTGTACTAAATCTTCAACACCTAGTGTGTGTTTTACACTTACAGCACATCTCAGTTTAGACTAGCTGCATTTCAAGTGCTCAGTGGCCACGTGTGGCTGGTTGTTACTCTAGTGGACAGTGCAGGTCTAGAAGTTTCACTGCCTCTAGGCCAGATACAATCATGGTGTAGCACAAATTGTTTTTTCTTCCTAATTTTGAAGAATGAGCACTTATTTATACTTTTTCTGTTGTTTCAGCTCTGCTTTCCTCTCCTTGTGGAATTCTAAAGGCTGTAGTCACAAGATACCAGCCAGCAGCAATAACTGGAGAACTTTCTTCATTGTCCGTGACAAGAGAGTTACTCTCCCCAAACAGTCTATCTTTCAATCCAACTGGACCAACTTAGGCCATGTTCCCATTCTTAGCTCAGTAATACTAGGGAAATACCCTAAGCCTGTGTTTCTGAAAATGGTTGGGGAGAGGTGAGGTGACATTTGGTAATGTCTGGAGACATTTATGGTTGTCACAACTGTGGGGGGTGGGTCCTACTGGTATCTAGTATATAGAGACCAGGGATACTGCTAAACATTTTACAAGGCACAGAACAGCTCCCCACCACAAAGAATTATATGGCTCAAAATAGTACCAGGGTTGAGAAGCCCTGCTTTAAGCTTATTATTTTAAGTCTATATTCCTAACTAAGCACTGTCAAGAGGATGAGATTATCATTATTAGATTAAATTTATCAGAACCTACTACAGCTCTGAATAGGTTCTGCTTCCCTAGGTACATTAAGGGCGAACACCTAAACTAAAAGGAAGTGTTACAAGAGGAAAAAGGGGCATGAGCAACCAATAGTATCCATAAAAGAGCTGCTTATTTTTGTAATTGTGAAAGTATATATCTATTTTTAAAGTATGGATAAGCATCGAATGTAAATTCTTTATATCAGTAGTTACATAATGCAATTATTCATAATTTTACATTTTTATCAGTATTTTCTACCTTTTATAGTGAAATTTTCTCCTTTAATATATTGAATTTACAGTGAGAATTTTTTATAATTTTTTTACAGTGGATAATTTCTTGAGTAGCCATTTTTACAGAAAATAAGTTTCAATAGTGTGTCATCTTGAAAAGGAAATGTCAAGAGGGAAAAATTTGTAAGAATTCTTAGTCGAATTTTAATGTATTTTAGGCTGGGTGCGGTGGTTCACACCTGTAATCCCAGCACTTTGGGAGGCCAAGGCGGACGGATTACCTGAGATCAGGAGTTCGAGACCATCCTGGCCAGCATGGCGAAACCCCATCTCTATTAAAAGTACAAAAATTAGTTGAGCATCGTGGTGTGTACATGTAATCCTAACTACTAGGGAGCCTAAGGCAGGAGAATTGTTTGAACCCTTGAGACGGAGGTTGCAGTGAGCCATGATCGTGCCACTGCACTCCAGCCTGGGTGACAAAGCAAGACTCTGTCTCAAAAAAAAAAAAAAAAAAAATTAAGAATTTTAATAAAACGTTAGAACTAAATTTTGTGAAATGATCATTTTGCTAATATTTTATCAAAAACAATGATTTGTACCCTTCTTAGTAAAGCAGCTGGTATTTTAAAATATGTCTCGAGAAAAAAGCCAATACAGTCTCTTTTGAGGACCTTGAAAACTAACCTGCTAGGGATATCATACTAGGCCTCTGGGTGCCGCTGTCCGCCAATCCGTGGCTGGAGGGAAACAAAGCAATCCACTGACGCAGCAGTCCCCGCAGGCTTTTGAGACACACATTAGGAGAGGACTCTGCCCGCTGTCTGTCTCACAATCTGCTCGAAATATCTTGGTCAGGAATCTCAGGATGTCTAGTGACCCCGAGTGAGGTGCTGCCTTTTATTCCTGAGCATCTTTGGAAGCAGGAAGCAGGGAGCAACGGTAGCGAGAGGTATTCGGATCTGAGTATCAGCAGGAAGAAGAAACAGAGGAAGAAGTCCCCCATAAGGAAGGCGTGAGGAGCGCAGGAAGCGCTGTTTCCCTGCCTGAGATCTTTATTCTACTAGGTCTTTATTCTACGTAGCCGATACGCTGTAAAATTCTGGAAGAGAAGGCTAGGGGTTTAAGGTTGGTAATCTCTCAGAAGATCTGCGTCTCGGTGACGGAAAGAACTAAGGGTAAGTGCTGAGAAGCCTCTCTTTACAGCCAGAGAACGAGCCAGAGCCGAGCTTGAGAATGACGGGATAGATCTAGCAGTTATGCCCAAGGAAGACCCTCGGCCCTTTGAATTTGAAGGCACTGAAAATCGTATAAATGTTTTCATATAAACGTATGCATCTTTGATATAAATAACAAAATGGCTTTTAGCACAAATTTTGTTTTGGAAATTTTGAAAAACGTCTTAATAAGAGGAATGTTTACTCTTAAGTCTGCAGTAGATTTTGAACACCGGCAGTAACTGTACAAATATATCAGATTAGTTTTAATAGCCATCTCCCCTTCCCCTACAAGTAAAGGAGAGTACTACAGCAGTATGTACTCTGAATTGCTGCTATTGAAGAACCCCTGAGCCTGTGCAGCGTGGCACTCCTGTGGTCCCCATTACTCAGGAGGCTGAGGCAGGAGGATTGCTTGATGCCAGCTAGAGGCTGCAGTGCACTATGAGAACACCTGTGAATAGCCACTGCATTCCAGCCTGAGTAACATGGCCAGACCCCATCTCTTAAGAAAAGAAAAGAAACCCTGAACCAGAGGAGCAGAGCTGCCACCACTTAGTGGTGGGGATGGGGCAGAACAGCTCAGGGCAAGACACAGGCCTTGGATGCCAATGCCAGCCGTCAGATATTGAGCAATGTGTAAGTGGGGTTAGCCTGCAGGAGAACCTGCTCGCCACCTCCTCCTCTTCATTCTTTAGGTGATCCCCATTGACCTAGACAATATCTTTAATATAGAGTTCTCCTGATTTTTCTACACAATTTTACAGGGCATACAGAATATATTTCCTGTCCAATAATGACAGAAATACTTGATTTTGAAGAGTAACAGTTATAGCTTGGAATAGAAGACTGGAGGCAGTTTGAGGGCCGACTTCAGAGTCCTGGTTGAAATGAAGGTTGAGAAGTATAATGCAGTCAGTGCAGGTGACTTTCAGCTGGGTATCTAGTCCTATCAGAGGTAAAAACTGTGGTTGCCCTAACCAAAACAATAGGACTAAGAGACCTTAAATGAAAGATGAAAGTTATTATAGAGAGAAATGATCATACTGGCAAACAATTCACCTCCAAGAATTATGATGTGACTCTTTGTCAGATACTCACAGATGGAATTCTAAACTGGTAGCAGACCCTGAAGGACAATGTCACCATCAGAACCACCAACAAGGACAAACTGTCCCTCTCCTGCATCACCCTGCATACCATCTGCATCCACAAAAATGCTCATTCTTCAACAAGCCTCCTATTTCTTTTGGGTGACTGGGAACACTGCCCAGCACCTCCATCACATGCTTTAGCGCTTCCCACCCTAACTTAGGGTCCCATATGCCTCCTGTTTCTTCTTGACCAGTGACCTGCCACTGTGGGCACTGTCATTCTACATGTCAGTGAGTGCAGAGTGCTATGGTTACCATGCAGACTATCTTTGAGCTGACTCTGCAGGCCAGTGACCAGGGTTCAACTTGCTCAGTGTCATCCTGAACCTGCATGTGATGGTGGATGACCATTGCAAAAATGCAAGGACACTATGCCAGGAGTTGCAGCCAAGTGGGGCCCTCTTTGATGCTGCACCACTCACAATGCAACCCAGCTATCCCATCACCAAAGTGGACACCAGCTGGGGCATAAAGGCTGACTGTCCTATCATGTGCTTCAGGCCAGCTAATGTGGCTCTTCAAACTAGGGATGTGCACGAGCTAGATGCGTGCCGTGTCACTGTGGGTAACAGAGATGCAACCTGCCAAGGTTTGTTGGTCACCGTGGTCAATGGTGAATCATCACGCTGAAACATCACCTGGTTGCTGCTCATAGTTTGCAGGAGTTGCTACCAGACCTCAGCAATCGCCCAGCACCCAACAGCAGGCAGCAGACAGCACCCAACAGCTGGCGATGGCCGTTGCCTTGATCTCCATGCTGTTTCTCCTCAGTGTGACTCTGGCCATCTCTCTGAACCTGCAATGCCCCCTATAGCTCCATTGCCTGGGG